>NC_000021.9:26745342-27375265 GCF_000001405.40 Homo sapiens
TATTATAATTTTTTGTGACATAGTTTTATTGTTAAATAGAAAAAAACTTTTGGGTTCTTTCAAAGCAATCATACTTTACAGAGGACACAGGAAATATATATTATACATATACACATTAATGATTATGAAAAGGGTATCTTTTTTGACACATAATGATCACCTTCACAAGAGAATAGTATGTCAGAGATTGACACCTTCTTTTTTTTTATTATTATACTTTAAGTTCTAGGGTACATGTGCACAACTTGCAGGTTTGTTACATTTGTATACATGTGCCATGTTGGTGTGCTGCCCCTGTTAACTCGTCATTTACACTAGGTTATCTCCTAATGCTATCCCTCCCCCCATCCCTCACCCCATGACAGGTCCCAGTGTGTGATATTCCCCATCCTGTGTCCAAGTGTTCTCATTGTCCAATTGCCACCTATAAGTGAGAACATGTGGTGTTTGGTTTTCTGTCCTTGCGATAATTTGCTCAGAATGATGGTTTCCAGCTTCAACCATGTCCCTACAAAGGACATGAACTCATCCTTTTTTTATGGTTGCATAGTATTCCATGGTGTATATGTGCCACATTTTATTAATCCAGTCCCTCACTGATGGACATTTGGGTTGGTTCCAAGTCTTTGCTATTGTGAATAGTGCCGTAATAAACATATATGTGCATGTGTCTTTAAAGCAGCATGATTTATAATCCTTTGGGTGTATACCCAGTAATGGGATGGCTGGGTCAAATGTTATTTCTAGTTCTAGATAAGACTGACACTTTCTGATGGCATTTGGTTATAGCACTGGAGTAAAATTACCAGCAGAATCAAAGACAAAATCTTAATTTTTCATAACTCAACACTGATATATCTTTAAAGAAGACAGGATAAAATGCTTGCCACTGCATTTATGACTTCCCAGAATTAAAAAAAAAAAAAACTTTAGGTTAAAAAATCTGAAAATCTTCTTTAAAACATAATTTAAGAATATCTCAAGTGCTATGTAAAAACTCTAAATGCAAAATACTTATAACTTTTGCAAAGAAAATGTTGAAAACTACAAAAGAACTTGTAGAGAAGGAAAGAAAGATTAATTTTTAGAGGATGAAGCTGGAAAAATGTTGTTTCCTATGAGAAAGAATACGAGGGAAGAGCAACAATTTTGGTAAATAATTGAAAAACTCTGCATTATAAGATTCAGTAGGCTGCTAATGCGGTCCTTAACATGTGTACATAAAAAATAAGCAACACAGTTCCTGTCCTCAAGAGGCTTCATGCTACCTGGGGACACTAAACAAAGACAGGTTCAAAAATACTTAAGGATGTTTCTGGAACAATGTGTGACTAACAGCAAATTCACATTACAAATATGAACAAGCACTGAGAATATGCAGCAAAAGATAGAACCAGCCCTGCAATTCACGTCGTGCAAACCAGGTAGGTAGAATAGGAGGACATCCTGGGGCACAGGCGTAAAGGCTCTTTAGGACCCAGAAGTACATTTTATTCTCCTCTGAGAATGGTCTTAATGGACCCAGCTACCCCCCAATTCATTGATCCTCCTGTTAATTTTTTTTTTTTTTCAAGATGGGATCTGGAGTGGCACCCATCACAGCTCACTACAACCTGGAACTCCCAGATTCAAGTGATCCTCCCACCTCAGCCTCCAGAGTAGCTGGGACTACAAGCATGTGCCACCACACCCAGCTAATTTTTTATTTTTTATAGAGATAGGGTCTTGTTGTGTTTCCCAGGCTGGTCTTGAACTCCTGGACTCAAGGGACCCTCCCACCTTGGCCTCCCAAAGTGCTGGGATTACAGACATGAGCTACTGCACCCGGCCAGAAGCATTCTTAAATACTCCTCCCTATCTAGTCACCTCTGCTTCCATTTCTCTGCTTGCCATTACTTGGTTTTTACTCCAGTGTTACTTCTTTCCAGAATCTCAGTTTGGTATGCACTAGATGTTTGTGTCCTCCAGAATTTATCTTAGGAGCCCTAATCCCTGTTGTTACGGTATTTGGAGATGGGGCTTTGGGAAGGTCAGAAGAGTTTGATGAGGTCAGGAGAACAGAGCCCTCATGATGGGATTAGTGCCCTCGTAAAAAAAGATACCAGAGAGTTCCCCACAACTCCTGTCAGGACCCAGCAAGAATGTGGCCATCTGCAAGCAAAACCCTTATTAGAAACCACCCTTCTGGACCTTGATTTCAGACTTCCAGCTTCCTGAACCAATGAGAAATAAATTTCTGTTGTTCAAGCCACCCAGTCTATTGGTATTGTGTTATGGCAGCCTGCGCTAATACAGCACACTTTCTTCTGACTCCTTAAAGACTTTACTTTTTAAGACATTTTAAGTATTGGAGCTCTGGTAAAAAAAATAAATAAATAAATAAAAAAGAGGTAAAAAGTGTAATTAGTGTATCTGTACATTTTGTAAAATTCCGCAGTCGAAAGCAAGGATGGACTTTGTCTCTCCTTTTTTATTTTACCTTATATATCTTAATTTCTTGACACGAGTTGTAGATTAATTTGATGTTTGATTCTCTTAAAACAGAGATAAGGAAAAGAATTTTCCTGTTTGCTGTGTCCATTATAAAAAAGGAACAGCCGGAAGAAACAATGATTTTGCTATCTTTTCATTTCCAAACATTTTTGAAAATTTGTCTTGGAAAGACCTTTTATATGCATACTGAACGGTACTCATTTAAGTAGCCGATATCAAATCACTCTTTCTAGCAAATTTATTTGGTCAGTTTCATAAAAATTTCTTTCATAGTAAATCCACCTGGAAGGCACACGAGGAGGATGATGTTCTTAGAACTCGGCTCTTGTTTGTTGCATGACAGGTGTTTCCACTGTCCTGGTGTGCATCTGGCAACAGCTGCAACGAACCTTTTTCAGAATAAAGCCGTGTTTATCACTGTCCATGGTGAGGAACTTTGAGTCTTCATACAAGTGTTAAGTACAGGAGCTGGAAGAGACATGACTTACTTTCTCAGAGGCTGGTTGTGCCCCCAGGCACTCCTGCAGTTCACCTGTTTTGGCATTTCAGACAGTGCACGCTTGGTCTCCAAAGGTAAGGAATTTGTGCTGCTATCTCTAATTAGCAGTAGAATATACTTATTTTTTCCAGCCTTGGATAAAATCATCCTGCTGCTTAGTCTGGCATAAAGCTTCTGTCAAAGTTCTGGTTAAAAAGAAAAGACATTTCCAGAGGGTAGTTTAGGAGACACGCTCTATGGCCACTCTTCTATGTAATTTAAATGTAATCTTTGGATTAAAATATCATATGATGGCTGCAAAAGTCAATCGCAGCACCTCAGCATGCAATAAATTTACCTTCACTGGACTGTATTCTAATGTGCAGCTTGGGGTTTTTATCAAAGCCAAGCAAATTGAGGAACTGGATTTGTTATTAACACCACTTTTATGAACATCTTGCATTGCATCACTCTATAGTTCCAACCTCATGTCCCAGAAGAAAATGTATCTAAACATTTGGAACACCAGAGCCTTTGTATGGTTTGAGGAACTGATGTATTTCTTCTCTCAGGTAAAGCGAGAATGAGGTGTCACATTTTCCCCTTCACTTTGGATTCTAGGATGTATAGTTATGGCCTGTATCGATGCTAACTTAAGGTGTAGTATATTTGCTTTTCTCCTTTTTATTTTGTTTTCCTCCTTTTCTATGTTGTTGTTTTTATTGTGCTTCTTTTTTCCAGTAATTCCCTTTAAATCCTTGTGTTTTACCGTGGAAAAGAACAAACTTATGATATATATACATATATTTTTTTTCGAGACAGAGCCTCACTCTTGTCACCCAGGCTGGAGTGTGTTGGCTCGAGTTTGGCTCACTGCAACTTCCGCCTCCCCAGTTCAAGCAATTCTCCTGTCTCAACCTCCCAAGTAGCTGGGATTACAGGCACCCGCCACCATGCCCAGCTAATTTTTTGTATTTTTAGTAGAAACGGGGTTTTGCCATGTTGGCCAGGCTAGTCTTGAACTTGCGACCTCAAGTGATCAACCCGCCTTGGCCTCCCAAAATGTTGGGATTACAGGCGTGAGCCACTGCTCCCAGCCAATTTGTTTTCTTTTAAATGAACATTAAAAATGAGAACTGTATAAACCTAAAAAATTTTTCTGTCTTCTAAAAGTTCAACTCCATAGGTCCCTCTCATCAAAGAGAGAAATCAGCAGCCATCTAACCTGGGCAATAGAGAGCAGGCCACTCCAATCCCCCTCACAGACATTTCCAGATGCTAAGAAGTCTTGTTTGTAAGAGATATAAAAACATGATGATGGTCTCTTTCCTCCTTTCAATAATACGTGAAATTTCGTGAAATCTAAAGGCAGTTACAACGGTCAAAAGGCTTGTGATGTTATGCTCAACTCTACACAAAACTTTGACATACACCTTGCTATTATTTCTGTGGACTTATGAGTAGGGCATAGAAAATTTCAGTTTGGTAATTTAACTGAACTTTGTCTCTAAGATAGATTAAACATAGCTAGCTTTAGATGTTCTTCTCCATATTTTTAATATTTCAGTATATTTTGTATACTTCATTTCTGACAAAAAAAATTAGCTTCATACAAAACAAAAAAGGATTAGGCTAGGATGAATTTATAAATATAGTCGGTTTTTTTCCCCCTTTTAACCACTTCACAATGATTTGCTTCATTTGTTAGGGTTGGTCTAATACAGGCATTCTTTTATAATTTGTCATCTATATCAATTCATTTGACATTTTCCTGAAGTATCCAAAATGTGAAAGGAAGAATACATGAATAATTGGTCAGAACTGTCTTTGTAGGATTCAGGGCATTTCAATGTGGAGCTTCCCTGCGTTGACATTGCCATTAGGATTAACACTTGTAGAAAACCCAATATAAAGCAAAAGACCTGAGATGATGGAGAAGACCTCAGGTGGATGCAACCAAAAATTGAGGCCGGTGCTGTTCTCAGCTTGACATCTGTATTCTGCCTTCTCTTTATACCATCTTTGAAGGCTTATTCGCTGTGACAATTCCTGACTCACAGATGTGTTTTGAGCCCTTCTCAACAGAGTAGCTAGTTGCCAGGTGGTGCGATTTTTTAAAATAGAAAGCTAGAGAGAGAGTTTATTTTCAGAACCAATCAATCAAGCCCTACTATACATGACAATAAAATAGGCATAAGAGAAAATTGTCCTGATAATTGTCACAGGCTTTGATGCTAGATGCTTAGATCTCTTATAAATTGTAGTCAGTGGGGTTTTGGGTCATATTTAATTTTATTTAGAAGAATTAATGTACCATTTTAGCCCCGAATTATTAAATTTAAATATGTGCCACTAAATCTGGAGCCACATCTGAACTTAATTCATTTCATGTTTTTTGGTGACAATTTGGGTGCATTCCCAATGATACTGCAAACATATGAAAGGAGCGAATGAACTGAAATATGGTGGAGGAACTGAGAGTTCTCCTTGCTCTTGAGCTTGCACAAAGCCCGAAGGGCTTGCACAAGGTTCTTGCTTAGAAATAAAGCTTCTTTAATCCAATTACTGGGTATATACCCAAAGGAACATAAATCATTCTACCATAAAGACACACTCACGTGTAGTTCATTTTAACGCTATTCACGACAGCAGGGACATGGAATCAACCTAAATGCCCATCAACGGCAGATTGGGGAAAGAAAATGTGGTACATATACACCATGGAATGCTATGCAGCCATAAAAAAAATAAAATCATGTATTTTGCGGGAACATGGATGGAGCTGGAGGCCGTTATTTGTAGCAAAGTGACACAAGAACGGAAAATCAAATGCCACATGTTCTCACTTATAAGTGGGAGCTAATTAATGAGAACACATAGGCACAGAGAAGGAAATAACAGACACTGGAGTCTACTTGAGGGTAGAAGGTGGGAGGAGGGAGGGAATCAGAAAAAAATTACTATTGGGTAATAGGCTTAATACTTGGGTGATGAAATAATCTGTACAATAAACCCCATGACACAAGTTTACCGAGATAACGAACCTGCACATGTACCCCTGTACCTAAAATAAAAAATTTTAAAAAAAGACAGTCTTGTGACCTTCCTGAGAGAAAAATTATACCACACTGTCTAGAAAGCTTATCTTCTACTAAGCAATCAATTTCAGGAACATGCAGAATATTAAGAGGAAGTGGACAAACCCTTAGCCACTCAGAAGTGGAAACTATGAGAAGCCATTAAACAATACAAAGACTGTTAATACTATTTCTGTTTTGTCTAAATAATTCTGCTTCTAGGAATCTATATAAAATTATATGCAAAATGTGTTATAGTAGAATTCTTTTTTTTATTTTTATTTATTTTAGCGACGAAGGCTCACTATGTTGCCCAGGCTGGTCTCAAATTTCTGGGCTCAAGCAATCCTCCCCCCTTTGCCTCCCAAAGTGCTGGGATTATAGGCGTGAACCACGGTCCCCAGCCTAGAATTCTTAGTATTTGACAAAAACTGGGAATAACTTCGATGTCCAGTGATATGGAATAAGTACATGTATCATTTGGGAAATTCCCTTCCCTACTTTTCTATGTAGGATTATTTATTTCCTGGACCCCACGTTGCTCTCTTTTTTGGTTTTACTTGTTTGTTTTGCTGGATCAGATCTTCTGGGGGCTCATCGAGAAAGATTACAGAGAAAGGATGCAAACACAGTAATGTTTTAGAATATTTTTGTCTAAAAATGGCTTTAATTCATACTTATACTTAATGGTTTGATCGGATATCAAATTTAGTTTGAAATATTTTTTCTCTGAGTTGTGAAGATATCATGCTCTTCACTTCTTGATTTCAGCGTTGCTGTTGAAAGTTCTATGTCATAATTTTTCATCCTTTTTATATGACCTTATTCCAGGGTTCTGATATTTCACAATATGCCTTAGTGAGATTACTCTTTTCTATATTGTACTTTGCTTTTTGATGGACTCTTTAAGTCTGAAGTTTCATGTTTTTTTAGTTCCAAAGCTTTTACTTATATTGTTTTCTAGTGTATTTTTTTTCTGTCTTCTCCCTATCTTGAACTGGACATTTGACTCCCTGGACTGGTCATCTAATTATTGTTAACTTTTCTTTACAATTTTGCATCTTTTTTTATTTATGTTTTATCTTAAGGAAAATTTATCTGATTTTATTATTCATTCCTTTCATTGACTTTTTTTATTCTTGCCATCATATTTTTTGAATTTCCAGGAATCTTTTCTTAAGTATTGCTTTTTTGTTCATTATTCCATATATTAAAATTATGCTGCTTCAATTTTCCTTATCCATAAATTTCTATTTTATATTATCATTTGTCTTTTACAGCTGCTTTTTGTGCAAACTTCTTAATATATGTAGGATAGTAAAAAGAACATACTTTTGTCATTGTTGATTTTTTCTGTTGTATAGTTGGTGACTATGCTTCTGCTTCTTTCTTTTATCTTTCTTTCAGCTTACATTCCTTTTTTTCCAAAATTTAACAGTTACCCACTCTATTACTTATATCTAAATAAATTGCAAATTGAACAAATACTTAAATATTTAAACAAAAATAAAAATTCTGAAAATTCATGAGGCAATTCGTTTATAACCTCAGAGTGAACAAGGCTTTTTAAACTGTTTTAAAATCCAAGGCAGCAAATAAATTAACTTTAACTACCTTAATATAAAAATCTTCAATGCAAAAAATCATTAATTATGATTGACTCAGCATTTCTGCTTCTGGAAATCTATCCTATAGATATCTATACTCTACATATAACATTATGAAATTGTTTATAACGTGAAATACTGGAAGTGTGCATTAGTAATGAAATTTTTATTACTGTTGAATAATATGTAGCTAAAGAAAAACATGGCAATGCTTCCTGATAACATCAAATCCAAGGTATATTGTTAAGTGAATAAACCAAAATGCAGAATAGCGAATATAACAAGCCATTTTTTGTGCAAAAGGGAAAAATTAAAAATAAATATATTGTATTTTCTTGTAATTTCATAAAGAAACATTGAAAAAAATAAGAAAATAAGAAAAGTAGTTTCTAAAGGTGGAAAAAAAGGGAAGAGCTTAGAAGTAGACCGGATAGGTGAGAGACTTCTCAATGCATGTTTTTGTATATTATTTTGATTTTTGTACCACATGAGTTTATATTCTATTCATTTATTAATATCAAATATATACAAAATAAAAATAGTCAATAAAATTCGAAAAAATATGTGTGAAACCTTTATGGAGAAAGTTATACAACTTTTAAAAGAAATAAATGAGATATATTATATTCATGAACTGTAAAAGTCGGTTCTCCTCAAAATGATTTATGGAGTCAATTCATGCTTATTCCAAATTTTAAGATTTTTAGTGGAACTTGTCCAGCTGATTTAAAAATTTTAATGTAAGTTCCAAGATCTACCAATAGGTAAGATAATCCTGAAGAATAACAAATTGGAAAGACGTGTGTTCTGCCAAATATGTAGACTTATTTTAAAGCTATAGTAATAAATACAGTACAGTCAGAACAAGGATAGGCACATAGATCAACAGAACAAATAATGAACTCAGAAACACTCTATGCATAGATCTAGACGTAGCAATGTTGCTTGTGTGGTAGGGATGTTAATATGCACCGCGTATCCATGTGCTGCCACACAACAGATCCCTTCACTTAGGCTGGAACCACGTGACTAATTCTGACCAATGGGCCATGAAGAAAAGTGATGTATGTCACCTCCAGGCCCAGCCAGTTAAAACCTATTGGAGGGACAAATAGAGAGTCACTAAGCTATGGCAATATTCAGTTTCTTGGTCTGAGTAGAAGATATAAAGATTTTGTATTATTAGTTTAGTTTAAAATTTAACTATTATTTTCTATATGTTTTTTTCCCATTTGTTGTGAATTATACAAATTAGAATAAGTGAAGAATGGTTTCCCACAAATATTCTAGGCACGCAAAGAATTTTTTGTCTATTACTGCTGTTTGCATGGCATATTGTCAAATTTCACTACTTGGTACGTAAAAGATTTTTTACAATAATGGTTTTATTATGGATTCAACCTTTTAACAATATAAAAATGACTCACCTTACTCCCTTTAATGATTTCTTACTTAAAATGTTATTTCTGTTATTAATTTTAGCATTGCATTCCTTTGTTAGTGGTTTCCTTGTAGAGATTTTGCTTCTTACTTTATTTCTGAATTATGTGTGTATAATTTTTAATGCATATGATTTTAAGAAACATTTAATTAGATTTAAAAAATCTCATTCTCAAGTTTTACTCCTTTAAGTGGCAACATGTTCTGCAACCCAAATGTGCTATTACAACTATATGGTAGATTTTACTTCTGCCATTTTGCTTTATACTTCCTGGGTTTTAATGTTTGTGATTTTTCTGCTTTTACTATGTAAATGCTTTTGCTCATTGTTATCTTTAGCTGTTTAGAAGGTAGACACCATGCTTTGAATTGAAGAAGTTGTTTATTATCATTTTTCAAAGCTGTGTGTGTCTATATGTATGCATATATGTATGTGTGTGTAAAGATGAAATTATGAAATGGCTATTTCTGTAGAGGCTGAGAGTTATGCAAAGATTAGGACTCAGCAAAGAGACAAGTGGTCTGGCAAACAAACATGGGCTTGCAACATGCTGCAGGGGACTTCACCTCTGAGGGTCTGGAAAAAAGAAAACGGGCTATTAGAAAGTATGATTTGCTTCAAAATGCAGCTGCTGGCTGCTTAACTCATTCCACAGGCACAGCTGTGGCATGCACTTGTAGATTAGAAAGGCTCTACAATTTTTTAGATATTATTAGAAAGAATAATATTTGGCATTTCTGAGTTGCAATTGCAAGTTACATGATTTTAATTGTGCTATGGTGTTACAGCAATATACTAGCTTTATATTGTCGGGCCCTGGCCTGGGGTGGGGCAGTGGTATGTTCATTGCCTGCCACAAATACAAATTCTGGATTTGTGTTAAGGTCCAAGGTGGACACTGGAAGGGCTGGCCTTGGAGTTACATGGCTTGCCCACGAGCTCTAGCGATACATCATATGGACTTGAGGTTGAACAAATGTATGCACAAGAGGAAAAAATCTTCCTTGGAAATCAAGTTTCTTAGACCTAAGCAATTTCTTATAAAGAGATGGTAAAATCAGACACAAGGCCCAGAACTGAAAACATATGCTGAAGGGAAAGTGTGGAACTGGTAACACAGGTGGTCACCATAGCAAATTTCTCATCTTGGACCAAAAGAAGCAATGAATCAAATATGACTTAGAGAAGTATTGCATGCACAAGGAGCTTTTCTCCCCCCAGACATGGCCAATATACAAAAAAATCAAACCAAATTTGTAAATGTTCTATGAATTAATCTCAAGCTGGAAAAATTATTTTCTTCTTGAATGTAAATTCTCAGCTTCTGGATTCTTGACCACTGGCATTGACCAACTGGCATCTCGTTGAGCCTGAAGCCAATATCTTTTTCTCTTTTCCACTGACATTCTGTGCATTTGTTATTGTTGGCAACGTTAAGTACTCGATAATAGGAAGATAATTTTGGCTAGGATAGTAACTGAGGAACTAGGGATAGCTTCTTTTCTAAATGTTGCTTGTGTGGGGTTAATGCTGGGATAATCTTGTGTCTCTTATTAAATCTTTAAATCCTTAATAAATGAGGCTCATGGGATATGTCTGGCATTGAACTAACCCAGACTGTGAAGCTCTTAAAAAGTTTGCACACATTCCACTGAGAAAGGTATTTCACCACCTCACAGGATACAAAAAACAACAACAACAACAACAAAACTGCTGTGCCTGAAACTGAGAAAGATAAGAAATTTGAGAAGCTAATTATTGATTTTTAAATTGAAATTTTGAACACTGAAATTTAACTTGTGTGACTAAGATTTTTCGATTTTGGATTTTAGCTTCTTTAGATCTTAACATCTTTGTGCTTTAATTTGCAAGGGAATTTAAACTTTGAATTTTCTATTTTGGAGCTTGATGATGGGAGAACTTTTGTCCAGCATCTCTATAGCGCTTTTTAATTATTTTTGTTATTTTATTCTTTATTATTTTTGTTATTATAGTAACTTTATGCATGCTAGTATTGAATACTGCAATGTCATTCAATCTCATTTCAGACAGTTGCTTCTGGGTACAAAAATTCCATAGACATAAGTTCATTGACTGGGTCCTTTTTGCTGTAAAAAGAATGTTGACCAGAAGCATTGTGAGGTGAGCTCAGCTATGTGATAATGAATGAGGCATTCACTAAGTTCACAGATGGTCTTGATGAAAGTAGCACAGAGGGTGGGGAGGAAAATCCACATCCAGAATGAGTCTGTTAATATGGGAACAAACTGAAGCCTCCTCCATGATGGAAGAGATCCAATGTCATCAAGCTTCCACTAGTTAACTGGTTGCTGCCTTTTCCTTATGGTGCCAGTTTTAAAAATTAACTTTGGTCTCTCTTACTGGTCACTTGGACAATGAGAACTGGTGGTAGTCATATCTGCTTTTTAAAGAGGAAATACGTATCGTTGTGTCCATGTGTAACCTCTGGCTCGGCATCATTGACACTTTGTTCATAACTTATTAAACAAGCACTGGCCAGCTTGGGAAAGGGATTAATTTATATCCACTGAACAGGTCATCTTGTGCAACACTGCACTGAGTTCTTTTGTAGTCAGTGTGCTGTGGGGAGCATTTACATGAGACACCATTACTCTCCCTTGGGCAGATTCTTAAAAGTCCATACCCCCTTACATCTCAGACATTTTTGCAACAAATATAATCTTGATTTTCTTCCAAGTTTCTAACTATTCGGTCAAACCATTACTTACTGTCCCTGAATCAGTATAGATGTATAATTTCGACCATCTTTTCTTCAATGTATACAACTATAGGAACCCTTGGGAATCCTATTCTGTCTGCCCTCTCTCCTCAATGATAGCTATGATTCCACAGAAGTCCCTATCTTTCTCAGTGTTGGACTATTTATGAACTAGATTCCATTTTTTTTCTTCCTGAAATGTTAACTGGTCATGGAGAACAGTTAACTGGTCACGGAGAATGCACCATGCAGCTGTAAGTTAGGAATTAGGGAGAGATGTTCTAGTAGTGGATGTGGGAGTTGTAGAAGTATGAACAATCTGCTCATAAAAATTACTTGTGCGTTTGGAGCTGGTTTTGTCCTGATCTTGTTTATAACTTTGCTCCTTCATGATGGAATGCTGCTATATCACACTCAATTTTGTGACTTAGAGGACCAGATAAGAGCCAGGTCATGATGGGGAGAACAGGTCACATGGTCATGTAAATCCTACGGTGAGGCATTCAGGCTCTTCAAGGACTCAGTAGTAAGCCAGGAGCTGTGTGTGAGTATTTGCAGAAAAGAGCATGGATTCTTCAAAATCCCTAGGGTTTTACACTGTGACTCTCATCCCGGCTTGCCCCAAGCTCCACACAGAATCTTAAGCTGCCATAGACACCTTGAACACTGTTTTATCTGCTAGGTTATGAAGCCCAAATGGCAGAACAGTTTGCACTTTAGCCTGAACCAGCTAGAAGTCTTTTCTTGGTATGGCCCACAGTGAAAGCTGCCATTCTTACAGGATGCTTGGTAAATGGGTCAAAAGGGCTTACCCAAAATTATTTGCCTGCAAAATACAAAAAAGAACATTATTCCTCTTTCTTAGTGGAAAGGAGTACAAGATAGAATAAATTTGATTTCCCATTGTATTGGGATATTTTTCTATTCCCCAGACCCTCGGACTTTTTAACACTTTCCTAAAGTAGCACACATCTAATTTTTTTTATGTGTGAGATTATTCTCCATGTATATTTGTCTTACCAGAGCCATGAAACTCGTTACTTCTTGATCATCAGGCACTTTTGGCCCATTTTCATCCAATAGAGTGAAACAGCTTATTGGCCTATGTCCTGTGGATATGAGACAATAAGATTCTTGTGAAATAAATAGTAAGAGTCAAAAACTGATGTAACCTTGTCCAGAATAGGGAAGATGCATTGCCATTGTGGACAAATGAAAAGAAATCACTCTGATGACTTAGATGTTATATCTGACAGATACAGAGAAACAATAATTGCATAGGAAGAGTTATATACTGTTGATTTATTACAGTAAAAGGACAAAATCTGGATATTGCAGCTGAAGTCACTATTTAATTTCATTTAAAGTAAATCTGCTTTCATCTTTCAAGTCACAACTCTCAACTGTGTATGCCTTCCAAGCAAGTTAAGTGAGAGTGTAGAGGAATTAGTATAGCTTCATCTCTCAAGACTTTTAAGAATGTAGTATTGCTTCTACGTTATTTATCTTGTGGAGTGGAATAGAATTCTGTGAGCCCTCCCACCATAATGACTGCCACTCCATGTTTCAGGGAGCCACTGGAGACTAGGAATTTTATTTTCCTCTGTGCATTCAGGAGCTAAGTACTTCTTCCTATGGAATGAAATGAGCAAATTCAGTGAACTCCTGGCCCCACTGTAAGATGGACTTGGTCAGAATGCTCATAAACTGCAACTCTACTGGACTATGGCAGGGTGAGGATTTATGGAGATTGGCCTTAGTTCAGAACCACATACTAGGAATCACCAAAGTTATGGGTATTTATCTTTACTGCTGTATATTCACCCTGATACATAGTTCTAGGTATCTTTGGGAAAGACCAGAAGAAAGATCAATAGTGCATACTTGTGGCTGTGTCACAGGGTCCTTGAGGGTATCAAGCTTCTCTTTATTCATGAAGTATGGAGACTGTAATCCATAACTAGTCTCCGGATGAGTTCTGAAGTATAAATCTGGAAATTAGGTATGGGGTTAGGCCTCTCTGTCATTATGATTCAAATATTACCTTCATTAAGTAGATTTAGAGGTTTTATAGTCGCAGTTACTGAGCTAAATTGAGACCTAAGGCTACTTATTATCTAATTCAGTTTTAAGAATTTATAATTCGTGTAATCATTGCCACAAATTCTGAAGGTTAAAATGTGGTGATCACTTTGGTCTCGGTGTCAAACACAGAAACTACATCTACCTTCTCTGATGGTTATGTGTTGTCACATGGCATCTCTCACTTCTAGCCCCGTCTTCATTGGAAACATGGAGTCTAATTCAATGACAATATCCCCTAAAGCAGATGCTGCTAGTGCTCCAGGCACATGCTTGCTGATTCCTAACCTTGAAGGACAAAGGTGTACAATGTTAAGATAAAGTGAGATGGTTACCCGGTGATGGCTTTCAAAGAGTTGAAAATCCCATAGTCCATTTTTATTTGTTACTTGGTACATGAATTAACCAGCATGGTTAAAAGCATAGACAGTATGAGATAAATCTACTCCTGTCACCTGAATTTGTGCATAATGTAAGGAAAAAAGGCAGACTCACAGGCAAATTCTATTTCAAAATCAACAGAGCCAACCCGTGGGTTGAATGAATGGATAAGCAAGCTCCTAGATTGCATATTTGTCTAAGATTATGAAAGACAGTAAATTATATGCCCAGAGCTTTAGAATCATTAACAACTAAAGAAGATTCACAATACTTATCAGTGGGATAATCTGATTTTATCAGTTGGAAAGTTTGGCTTAGAGTACAATGACATAAGGCTTCAAAATATCTCAAGGAATTCTGTTGAGCTGTGGCTCATAGAAGAGTATTTCCCAAGAGTGGTGGTGTGCTTTTGTAAAATAGTGTTACAAGTTTCTACAGCACCACTCGGTCTAACCCCACCCTTTTGACATGGAGAGACTATCTAGTATTGTATTATTGTACTTGCCTGGGATTGATTTTCAGAATTAATTTATTTGTTGGGGTGCAGGATGAGGTAGAAACGAAGTGCTTATCCCAGGAGTCAAAGTCAAAGAGAATGAATACGCAGGGCTCCTCTGGTCCAGCCCTCTGATGATAGACACAAGGATGAGAAGGCATTTCACAATCACCGGGTTGAATTCTGTGCCATCTTGGGTGTCTTTTCCTCATCGTTGTCTCATGATATAGATGAGAAAAGTCAGAAAACACACAATCAAACACTGGTGTATGTGTTTTATTAATGTTACATTGAGAACTGTAACACTATGATTATACTTTAGGATCAGCAAAATTGACAAAAGAAATGCACTGGTTATACTAATAGTTATGACATACCATAGGTTATTTGAGACCAATGGGCATACAATTTTGATAAGCAGAATATCAAGATTATTTCTAGAATGGAGATGGGAGATTCTTTAAAGACAATTAGTTTCTAATTAATAAATTATATGCTGTATTATTTTCTGTGCTGTATAAAAATTGACCACAAATTTAGCTGCTTTAAACAACACCCACTTATCTCATCATTTCTGTGGACAGGGAGTCCAGGCATGGTTTAGCCACGTCCTTCTCGTTGCTGCAATCAAGGTGTTGGCCAGGGGTTAGGTTCTGGTCCAAAGGCCCAGCTAGGGAAGGACCCACCCAAAACTCACTTGGTGATTGGCAGACTTAATTTCCTTGTGGCTGTAGGACTCAGCAGCTTGCTTCTTCAAAGTGACATAGGAAAGTGTAGTGGTTGATTTTACGTGTCAATTTGGAGGGTGTTTTGGGATGAGATTGACATTTAAATTGGTGGACTTTGAGTAAAGTACATTGCCTTCCTTAATGTGGGTGTGCCTCATCCCATCAGATGAGAACAAAAACCCCACCTTCCCAAGTAAGAAAGGATTCTCCAGCAGATGGCTTTCAGACCTCAACCACACCACCAGCTCTCCTGTGTCTCCAGTCTCCTAGTCCACACTGTAGATTTTGACTCACCAACCTCCATAACCACATGAGCCAATTTCTTACAATAAATTTATTTCTGTATGTATACAAATCCTACTGGTTCTGTTTCTCTGGAAGACCCTGACTAAACAGAGGGACTCTAGAGCCAGACAGCGACCAAGACGGAGTCATCTTACATACAGAAGTGTATAAGAGAGTGACGTCAGATCTCCTTGGCCATATTCTATTAACTAGATGCAGGTCCCAGACCTCACCCACATTCTTTGGTTAAAGATTATACAAGGGTGTGAACATCAGGGCACCAGGAATCTTGAGACTCACCTTCAAGTCTGTCTGCTACATCCTCTAGCCCGTTAAGTGAGAAACTGTAGAGTGATGGACAAGGCCTTGGCCTTCAACACAACCATGAAGTTATATTCTGGGCCTTCAGCTTATATCTATATAACCATAGGCATTTTTCAGTATGGCAAGGGGATCTCCAAAGGAGAGGAGCCAAATCTGGAGCCCCTATGGGGGTGATCTGGTGATTATCTGTGTGAATGCAGGAATTTATAGATGAAGATAAGGGTGATATAGCAGGAAGATGGAGTGAATCATTCCCCTGGGAAGCTGTAGAGATCGGAGCGACAAGGCAGGAAGAGGGACTCACCCTTTCTACCGAAAATGAAAGTGCCATTGGTACCCTGAGGCCTCAGAATACAGAGATGGATGCTAAGAAGCCAAAGGAGTTTGAGTTGCAGGAAAGGGAAGAGGGTAAATTATAACACGTTCTCAGCTTTTAAGGATCATGGAAATTTGTTCCCTTGCTTCTTACCCAGCCTAGGGTAAAAAAGGAATCTATACTTGCACTGTAGTTCCAGAGCAGACTCAGGCCAGAACGTGAAGTTGCCCATCTCAGGACACCTCAGCTGGGAGGTGGAGGTTGTAATCACCCAAGGTGTTCTTCTTGTCCTCTGCACAGACAAGGCTGGCCAAGGCAGGAGAACTGGAGTTATCACTCAAATCAGTCTCCCTGAAGAAGGCTGGAAATTTAATGTTTTTATGGACAATTTGGTGGGCAGGGGGCTAGGAAATGGATGCTGCTGACTGGTTGGGGATGTGGAAAATGATCCTTGTGCACAAAGTGGGCCTCTGGGTGGGGCCATATGACAGGTGAGTCATGAGTTATGGGTCAGAGTGAAGTCAGCCTGAAAAACATCCCAAAGGAAAGAACAACTGGCTGGTCACGGTGGCTCATGCCTGTAATCCCAGCACTTTGGGAGGCTGAGGCGGGTGGATCACGAGGTCAAGAGATCAAGGCCATCCTTGCCAACATGGTGAAACCCTGTCTCTACTGAAAATACAAAAATTAGCTGGGCATAGTGGCATGAGCCTGTTGTCCCAGCTACTTAGGAGGCTGAGGTGAGAGGATGGCTTGAGCCTGGGAAGTGGAGCTTTCAGTGAGCCGAGATCATGCCACTGCACTCCAGCCTGGCAATAGAGTGAGACTCCATCTCAAAAAAAAAAAAAAAAAAAATCTTAGGTTTGACAATAGTGATATTTTCTATAGAAGTAATTGGGGAAGTCACAGATCTTGTGACCTCTGGCTACGTGACTCCTGAGTAGTAAGAGATTATAGAAACCAGACCTTCATTTTAACAGATTTCAGCCCCCTCCCATAATCCTAACCTTGTTGCCTTTCATTAGTTTTATAACGGCAGTGTAGCCTGTTTTACCTGGATCATCCTTGCTTTAAGGTGTGAAAGGGGAGTAAATCTTTGGACCCTCGAATCACTAAGCTAAAGGGAAAGGTCAAGCTGGGAACTGCCAAGGGCAAACCGGCTCCCCATTCTATCCAGAGTCATCCCTCTGCTCACTGAGATAAATGCATATCTGATTGCCATCTTTGGAAAGGCTAATCAGAAAGTCAAAAGAAAGCAACCATTTGTCTCTCATCTACCTATGACCTGGAAGCCCCCTCCTCGCTTCCAGTTGTCCTGACTTTCTGGACTGAATCAATGTTCATCTTACATATATTGATTGATGCCTCATGCCTCCCTAAAATGTATAAAACCAAGCTATGCCCAGACCACCTTGGGCACATGTCGTCAGGACATCCTGAGGCTATGTCACGGGCATGTGTCCTTAACTTCGGCAAAATAAACTTCCTAAATTGACTGAGAACTGTCTCTGATATTTGGGGTTCACAAAGGTTAAACTATAAATTCCTCCCACAGTTAGTTTGGCCCATGCCCAGGAATGACCAAAAGCAGCTTGGAGGTCAGAAGCCAGAAGGAGTCAACTATGTCAGATTTCTCTTACTGTCATAATTTTGCAAAGGCAGTTTCAAGGTCAAGATAGCAGGAACAGAAAGTGTTGACAACGATGTAAGCAGTACCAAATGTAGCAGCAATGAGGGCAGTGGTGGCCACATTCCCATGGCCTGGAAGAGAGAGGCTTAGAAGGAGAGCCAGTCATTCACCTGACACTTTCCAGTAGGAGCTCCCTAACAAACTTGGTTTTGTTGCCAACAGTGGAACTGTCTGCAAGCTCTGTATTATACTTTTCCAGGCTGATGGACAATTTGAAATCTTAACTCACAGTATTGTTGTGAGAAAACAAGATATGATGTAAAAATTTCCAGCATATATTTAGAGCTCATTAAATACCATTTTTAGTTCAAATTGATGAAAAGAAACTTCCAGACTGGTATCTACTTGATAAACCCAAAATATTTTTGAAGTTGAGATCATTGAACTGACGAAAATCTTTTCACTTAAAATAAGATTCAGACAAATTCAGACAGCCAAAGCAATCTGCACAGTTTTTTTTTTTTAAACTCTAAGTTCTCTGCTTCCTTCATGATTTGCATGTGACTGGAAATTGATTGAGAGATATGACAAAGCACATATAAGTGAAAATTTTGGGGGGTCTTTTTTCTATTGAGTGGGTAAGAGAGAGATGTGTTGGTGGGTTGGTCCATTAGAATTAAATTTGGATCTTGGGAGGCCAAACAGATTTGCTGTAGACATTGATCTAGAGCTACCCATTAGCAAGTATAATTCAAAGACTGAATTGAATCTTATTAAAAGAGATAAGGCAGAATAGTCAAGGCATACTAACAAAAATGAGGTATGGGTTGTGACCAATGGCCAAAAAGAGTTGAGAGCTAAATGGAACATAATCCAATGGAAAAACAGTAAAACCATCCAGGTAAAACAGGCTTCGTGGGTGTACACCCTTTGTGGGGCAAGGCTCTGTGTTGTACAGGGCCTCTCTCACACACACACACACACACACACACACACACACACACGGCCTCATACTTGGTTTAATTTTCTGCTGTCATCTTGGAATTTTTAATATTTTTAAAATAAGGGACTTCTTGTTTTCATTTTGCACCGGGTCCCACAAATTTTGTAGCCAGTCCTGCTTTAGGGGCCCTGCTTTAGGGTATTTTGTAAAGGTGAGGGATTAGAAAAGGAGTCTTCTAGCAGGATGGCTTCAGGGGCTCTAGGGTAAAGGACAGAGCCCTGTGGGGCACTGGTTACAGGTAAATGGGCCAGTTAACCTTGAGTAACCTGCTACTAAGTCTTCAGGGTCCATGTTTACCAACTGGAAAATTTTCGGTCTAATAATTATACCTGTACTTTTTTTTTTTTTAACTGCTGGTACCATTAAGTTGAATAGTTCCTTGAAAAGTTTTTACCATCATTCTTTTTCCAGCCTCCCAGAAATCATTTGTGATTCTGCTTATTATTAGTCTTCTTATCACGTTGCCAGATTAATTAAGTTAAAGGGAAGAGCGGTGGGCATTTTAAAGGGGAAATCTGTTTAAATACACACAAACACAAACACACACACAGTTTGTGTTAATATCCTAGAAACAGATTCTATTGCTTTTGGTGTGATATACAGAGTGAAGTCTCATTAATACGTGACGCATCACTCTGTGTGTAGATGTGTCCAATGTCTTGTAAAACTAAAACTTGCTTTTTGTGTGCGTGTGTGTGTGTGTGTGTGTGTGTGTGAGACAGAGTCTCACCCTGTCACCCAGGCTAGAGTGCTGTGGCTTGATCTCGGCTCACTGCAACCTCTGTCTCCCAGGTTCAAGCGATTCTCCTGCCTCAGCCTCCCGTGTAGCTGGGATTACAGGCCTGCGCCACCATGCCTGGCTAATTTTTTGTATCGTTAGTAGAGACAGGGTTTCACCATGTTGGCCAGGCTGGTCTCAAACTCCTGACCTCATGATCCACCCACTTCAGCCTCCCAAAGTGCTGGAATTACAGGCATGAGCCACCACACCCGGCCTAAAACTTGCTTCTTAGGTACATTTTTTAAACATGGTTTCCAGAGGTGTTGACATTAGCTGCCAAAGAGTGAAAAACAATATCCAGTATCAAGAATAAAAACAAATGAAATACACAGGCGTACCTATTTATTCCTTTACTATATAGACAGCTTCAGATGGCACTTCAGTCGTACAGGTTGAGTATCCCTTTTCCAGAATGCATAGGACAAGAAGTGTTTTAGATTTTGGATTTTTTCAGATTTTTGAATATTTGTGTATACATAATGAGGTATCTTAGGGACGGGACTCAAGTCTAAACACAAAATTCATTTATGTTTCATAGACACTCTCAACACATAGCCTGAAGGCAATTTTATACCATATTTTAAATAATTGTATGTGTGAAACAAAGTTCGTGTAATTGAACCATCAGAAAGCAAATGTGTCACTATCTTATATCGGTGCCTAACAGGTTTGAATTTTGGAACATTTCAAATTTTTGGATTAAGGATACTGTACACAGTTTATTTTGAAATTTGTAAATAGTGGTGGCCGGGTGTGGTGCCTCATGCCTGTAATCCCAGCACTTTGGGAGGCCGAGGCGGGTGGATCACTTGAGGTCAGGATTTCAAAACCAGGCTGGCTAACATGGTGAAACCCAGTCTCTACTAAAAAATCTCAGCTACTCAGGAGGCTGAGGCAGGAGAATTGCTTGAACCAAGGAGGCGGAGGTTGCAGTGAGCCGAGATTGCACCACTGCACTCCAGCCTGGGTGGCAGAGCGAGACTCCGTCTCAGGGAAAAAAAAAAAGTTTTAAATAATGTTTACATTACCGTTTTGTCAAAGGTCTTTTTCTGGTCGCTATCTCTCTCTCTTTCTCTGACACACACACACACACACACACACACACACACACACATACCCACACACATACACACACACATTCTCGTAGCCTCACATGCATACATTTATAGTTCACCTTCTCTTCTCTCTACCATGTTCTCTTTACCAGGCTAAGCCAGCAATGGAAAAATAATAGGAACGAGTGGCCCTTCAGCAAGAACCCATGAAGACCAGCCTATGTTTTCCATTTTGGGCCAGGAAGTAGCAGGAGACTTACATCCTGTGCTGTTAATATCAGATCCTCTCGGTGGTGCTTGCTCGCCATCCTGGAGCCGTGGAAGTGGGTAGTTTGCAATGCACCACGCCATTGTATACACCCTTTCCTTCTAATCATCCCAGCCAGTGAGGTGACCTGAATCGGCCTCCTGGGACCAAGCAAGGGTGGATTATCTATGTGGTCAGATTTCGTGCCTTCATAACTACAAACTTACTGGGACTCCTTACCTCACCTAATTATTTAAAAAAAAAGTCAACAAATAAATATTTTGCCTATTATGCTATTTAGTAGAAGAGAGACAAAAGATTCACTCGGATTAGATTTTTTTTAAGCCTATCAAAACCACCAACACAAAACAAAAGCAACATGCCCCAACCAGATTCACAATGAAACACACAGTAGTTATTTTAGTCAGTAAGATTCAAAAGTGGTGCCTGAATTCTTTAGAGAATCTATGGATGATCTCCATGGCTCCCCACCCTTAGGGGAATGAGCTCTCTGTAGACAGTAAGGAGGTTGGGAGCAACCCTCATAGTGCAGGTGTTTCTGACTCATCATAGCAACAGACAACCTACAAAGCTAAAGTTGTCTAAGATAAGATTGTTAATATATTTCTTGCCCTAAAGAGTCTGTTGAGGTGAAATCAGTGCTCAGTCATCACAAAGAGCATAGATATATCTCTCCAAATGACCGTGAAGTAACATTTCATGAGGTAGCCAATATTATCTCGTCAAAACCAGCAGCGTCTTCATTCTTCCCTCTCCGTTTATGTACTCTTTTACCCACTCTCTTCTCATCTCCAACCGGTTTGATTTTAAACTCAGAGACTGAATGATCAGCTGACTAGACCCATAACAGGAAGTCCATCATTGCAATAATGTAATAACAAATTATCAAGAATCACAAAAGACATCAGAGTAATAAAATGGAAAGGGCATTCATTTTGGCACTCAGGATAATTTTGGAAACATTCTGGTGAATTACAAACTTTATTTTATTCTTAGAACGCAACCAGATTGAAGATTTTAGTAATGTAGCAAGCAGCCATATGTCTTCATGGCTATCCAAATTTTGAATAAATCTTCCTGGCACCTATTATGATATTTAGATATCCGAAGTTGTTGATATTTAGATTTTAGATGTTTCCAATATTTGGTCATATTAAACATTAAACAGTTTAAAATTTTCTCCTTATCATATCAGAACTACCATTCTAAAAACCTGACCGTGAATAGATGGTAGATAAGAAGGATAAAACACACACACACACACACACACACACACACACACACACACACTCATGCACACATGTATATATATTTTTAATTTTTTGAGACAGAGTCTCTCTCTGTCACCCAGGCTGGAGTGCAGTGGCGCGATCTCCACTCATTGCAACCTCCAGCTCCCAGATTCAAGAGATTCTCCTGCCTTGGCCTTCCGAGTAGCTGGGACTATAGGCGCGTGCCACCATATCCGTCTAATTTTTTGTATTTTTAGTAGAAATGGGGTTTCACCATGTTAGCCAGGATGGACTCGATCTCCTGACCTCTTGATCTGCCTGCCTCGGCCTCCCAAAGTGCTGAGATTACAGACGAGAGCCACCACACCTGGCTATTTTAAATTTTTTCTTGATACGTAATAGTTGTACATATTCTGGAAGTAGATGTGATATTTTGATACATGTATACAATGTGTAATGATCAAATCAGGGTATTTGGGATATTCACCTCAAACATTTATCTTTTCTTTGTGTTGGGAACATTGCAGTTCTTCTCTTGCAATTATTTTGAAATATACAATAAATTATTGTTAACTATAATTTCCCTACTGCACTATTGAATACTAGAACATATTCCTTCTAACTACAGTTTTGGTTAAAGGGTACAAAAACACACACGTATATTATAGTATGTGTATGATATATAGCAATATATTATATATATAAAATGTATTTTTTGTGACCCATGATCTGACACGTGATCTCTGTCTGTAGAACAGAATACTAGAAATTGGAACCAACCTAGAAAACTATAGATATACATTTTATATATATGTGCAATGTATTTTATATATAAATAAATTATATAAATATATAATTTATATATGCATTATATATGCAATATATAATTATTATATAATGTATATATAGTACATATATGTATATATTATGCAAACTATAGATATTACATTATGTATATTATATATGTTGCATTTTACATATAAAATATATGTTTTTCATATATATATATAATGCAACATCTATAGTTTTCTAGGTTGGTTCCATTTTTTAGTATTCTGTTCTACAGACAAAGATCATGTGTCAGATCATGGGTCACAAAAATTTATTCAGAAAACATATTCTTTCAAGCCTCCTAGGTCAAGCTCAGCCTTTAGGGTGTGAAGGTCTGGGATCAGGCCCTGGTCTAACTTCTCTAATGGACTTGCTGTATAGTTCCTAGCAGTTACTTAAGTTCAGGGCTTCAGTTTTATTCTAACATTTCAAAGATAAGGACGGGCTAGGTGCAGTGGCTCACACCTGTAATCCCAAGGCTTTGGGAAGCCAAAACTGGAATATTGCTTGAGGCTGGGAGTTCAAGACCAGCCTGGGCAACATAGCTAGACCCCATTTCTATTTAAAAATAAAAACTATTAAAAATTTCCCGGGTGTGGTGCATGCTCCTCTAGTCTTAGCTACGTAGGAGGCTGAGGCAAGAACATCACCTGAGCCCAGAAGTTTGAGGTTACAGTGAGCCATGATCGAGCCACTACATTTCAGCCTAGGTAACAGAACAAGACCCTGTCTCTCTCTAAAAAAATAAAAATAAAAAAAAAGATGTACACTTAGCTTATGCACTTCACAGGATTATTCTGAGAAACAATGGAAAAACTCTAAGTGAAAGCACTTTGGAATCCGTGATCATTTCACAAGTGTTTGTTTCTTTGTCCACATTTGTATCTATCATTTAGAGGGGGAGAGTGGTTGAATTCAAATAATTGTTCGGTGGAGTATTTGTTTTTCATGTGTTTTTCATTTGTTTTTCATAATGTTAATGTGATGCAGAGCGAAAAGTAAAGAAGGGTCATTCTAATCACAGGTTCAAAATAATTTCTGAAAAGACAAAGATTCTATTTTAAACATTTAATAATGCATTGCAGATGCCTAGTAAATGTTAGCCAATTTTTAAATTTTTATAGAATAATCGCATATCTAAAATTTAGGTTAATAAAGACAGTTTTAAAAAATGTGTTTCACCGTGACAGATCAAACACAAGGGGGCGTCTTCTACATTTGTTTTAAAAGATTTCCTGATGCAGTCCACATACAAAATGGTTTTCATTCGAATTGCATGTGACAGAGCATACTTACTAAAATTTATTAGTTCCAAATATTACATTCTCTACACATGACAATTTTCACATTTGATGCATAAAATACTCTCCAGAGTGAGTTTATAACTCCGTTTTGGCTTAAAAATAATCATATTTTGTGACTTAAACTTAGAAAATTCTAACAAAAAGAATAACATTTACTAGACAGTACGTAAATACTCTGAATTTTAAGGCTTTAAAAAAATAAATCTACCCAAAACTTTAAAATGTCTCTCTCTCATCTATCCCTTTTCCCTATTTTGCCCAGCTATTGTGCAAACCCTAGTTGTCTTGACAGGTTCAGAGGACACACAGTTTGACTTAAGAAATGACCAAGGCCTTGGAAGGGGAAATATACAATCACAATCCTCTTAGGTATGGGGTATGTAAGGAGCAAGTTTTTAGAAAACACACAAAGGTTGAGTTGTATTAAAAAAAAAAAACATAGGCTTATCTTCTGCCTTTCATCTGGAACTTTGGGATGGATAGAAGTAAACATTTAATCAGAGAAAGATAAAGTGTGTGTGTCTGTGTATGTGTGTGCGTGTGTATGTGTGCGTGAACCCACATGCGAGAGTAGTGTCGGTGGTAAGTGCTATGAAATGAAGGTCAATGAGACAGGGCTTGTGAATTAAGGCCTTTGTTAAGGAAGTTAAGAAAGGCCTTTCTGGCCGGGCGCGGTCGCTCACGCCTGTAATCCCAGCACTTTGGGAGGCCGAGGAGGGCGGATCACGAGGTCAAGAGATCGAGACCATCCTGGCTAACACGGTGAAACCCCGTCTCTACTAAAAATACAAAAAATTAGCCGGGCATGGTGGTGGGCGCCTGTAGTCCCAGCTACTCGGGAGGCTGAGGCAGGAGAATGGCGTGAACCCGGGAGGCGGAGCTTTTAGTGAGCCGAGATCGCACCACTGCACTCCAGCCTGTGCGACAGAGCGAGACTCCGTCTCACAAAAATAAAAGGAAAAAAAAAAAAAGTCCTTTCTGATAAAGTGATATTGCAAAAAACTCTTTAACCCCAGATAGCAGCAATATGAAACTGGAGCATGTTTGATATCTTTAAAGAACCCGAAGATGCCAATGTAGGTAGAGAAGAGTGAGTGAGGAGGACCATAGTAGCATATCAAATCAGAAAATGATCAGGGAGCTGATTAGGTAGGGGCTTGTGGTTTTTTGTAAGGACTTGGCCTTCACTCTGCATAAAATAAAAAGGAAAAACAGAACCTAATGAATGGTTTTGAGGAGATTATTGACTTGATCTGACATTTGCTTTTTAAGGTACTGTTGGTCCTTTGCATCTACTAGGTTCGTATCCATGGATTTAGCTAACTGCAGATAAAAATATATGAAAAAATCCAATAAAAATAACAACATACTAGTACAAAATTATAGAAATAAAACCAATAAAACTTAACAACTATTTGAATAGCATTTACATTGTATTAAATATTATAAGTAATCTAAAGATGATTTAAAGTATGAGGGGATGTCTCATAACAAATACTACGATTTTGTATAAGGGACTTCAGCATCTTTGGATTTTGGTATGGGAGGAGAGTTCTGAATGCTGAGGGAAGACAGTATTATTTCAGATCAAGTGCAGTGAATTGATTCCACGAAGATGAAACCCATTAAAACACTATTCCAAAGTTGCAGGTAAGGAATGATGGTGACTTAGACCAGATTAGTAGCAGTGGAGGTGATGAGAAGGAATTTGAATTCTGGATAGAGTCAAAAGGGCTTGTTGATAGATTAGATGTAGAAAGTGAGAAAAGTAGAGGAGTCAAGAATGACTCCAATGTATTAGTCCCAAGCAACTGGAAAATGTAACTGCCATTCACACAAATGTGGAAGACTGTGGGAGAAACAGATTTGAAAGGGAAGATAAGGACTTTGGTTTTTATGAAATGGCTAGTAGGCATTCAAGCAGAGATATTAAATAGACAAATAAACATATGAGTTGGGAGTTTGAGGATGAGGCCAAGCCTAGAGATTTAAAAAAGGACTCAATTATGTAAAGAATGAATTTACAGTCATTAGGCTGGATAAAGTCCTCCAGGATATCAGGACAGGAACAACAACAAAAAGGTCTTAGTGCTTGAAAGATTAAGAGTCCTGCAAAGAACACTAAAAATAATGGATCATTGAGATAAGAGAAGAATATTTTAAAAAGTATCCCAGAGACAAAGTGACAAACGTAGTTCAAGGAGAACATAATAATAAGTGAAAGAAAATGTGTCGGATTAGTCAAGTAGGATGAAGACTTAAAACTTGGGGATCAGTGATGAACTCTTCCAGAACAGTTCTGGAGTTGTAATGTGAGAAAAGTCAATTATAGTGGGTTCACAGGAGTGCAAGAGTTCTTTTAACAGAAACATAGTAGACCAAATATCCTGAAAAAGTCTTCAAATGACCTAAAACATTGATAAAATATGAGATATGACAAACATTTTAAAAATTTTATGGTGGACTGACAAGAAAGTAAGAGTTTTCTTGAGAGCCAACAATTTTTTAAAAAATTGAATCAGAGGTAAGTGCTGAAGACAATAGCTGTCTTGGAAGCATTTACTTGGTGGTTTTTCTTTCTTTCTTTTTTTTTTTTTTTTTGAGATGGATTCTTGCTCTGTCGCCCAGACTGGAGTGCAGAGGCATAATCTCAGCTCACTGCAACCTCCGCCTCCCGGGTTCAAGTGATTCTTCTGCCTCTGCATGTAACTAATAATATAACACTGCAAAAATAATTTGACAAATCCACTCTTATTTTGAGAGTTCTTTTTTTTTTAACAAAAAAGTCAATAGGGATGTGGAAGATTTGAACAGTTAAGAACCTTGAGCTAGTCAACATATACATTGAACACCGTACCCAATGGTTAAATCATATATGTTTATTTTCTAAAATACATTTGTAAAAATTGACCTTATATGAGAACATGAAGACGTTTTCAACAAATTTTAAGGATTTGATTTTTTACACACCCACATTTTTTAACTATAATGCTGTTAAGTTAGATATTGATAAGAAAAATATTAATAATTAGCTTGTATGGTTAAAGTTTAAAAACCAACTCTTGTGTCAAGAAAAAAATTATAGGATAAAATAGAAAATGCTTAAAACTCAATAATAATAAAAACGTTACACATGTGCTAAATAGTGAAACGAATGAAACAAGTGAAACAAATGAAACAAGTGAAACAAAGTGAGAACTGTTCATACAAGGTAATGTGTAGCCTTAGATGCTTAGAAAAATAAATGAGTAAACCAAACATTCAGTTACAAAATTACTCTGAGTTTCTCAACAGGTGTGTTATTGGTCTTTGGGGAAAAACAATTCTTTGTTGAGCAGGAATGTCCTACGCATTACAGGATAAATACCACCCTAGGCTTCACCCGCCTAATGCATATTGCACTCCAGGGTTATTGTGAAAAGATAAAATACCTGCACACATTTTTAAATTCTACCAAGTAGGTGATGCTACCTCCAGTTGAGAACCACTGAATTAGACAAAGAACAAAAGACTAAACCCAGAGACAGACATGTGAGATAAGAGCAAAAATAAAAAAGAGTGAAAATTAATGCACAAAAATGATAAATTACAGGGGTCCAAAAACCAAAAGTTGTTTCTGGAAAAGTACTACTAGTAAAATTAGTATGAAAATTTGATCAAAAGAGATTTTTTAAAAAGAAATCAATATAAAAAGCAAAGCAGTCTACATAACTGTAGACTCAGTAGAGATTCAAAAAATAATAAAATGATACTATGAATAGTGTAATGCCACTAAATTTGAAAAGATAAAATAAAATATATATATAAATATACATATGTACATACATATGTATCTCATATATATAAAATATGTGTGTATGTGTCTTTATAGTCAGGAGGAAATAGAAGATACAAATGTTCCTAAACCAATTTGAAAAGTTGAATTTGTATTTTTAAACTTTCTTACCAATAAATAATTTGCCCAGACTATTTTTAGGCTAATTCTCCAAAACATATATACATTTTTTGTTGTTGTTTTTGGAGATGGAATCTTGCTCTGTCGCCCAGGCTGGAGTGCAGTGGCGCAATCTCGGCTCACTGCAACCTCCGCCTCCCGGGTTTAAGTGATTCTTCTGCCTCAGCCTCTCGAGTAGCTGGGACTACAGGCACGTAACACCATGCCTGGCTAATTTTTTTGTATTTGTAGTAGAGGCAGAGTTTCACCGTGTTAACCAGGAAGGTCTTGATCTCCTGACCTCATGATCTGCCCGCCTTGGCCTCCCAAAGTGCTGGGCTTACAGGTGTGAGCCACCGTGCCCAGTCACATATATACTTTATATGCAATTTCCAAGAGGTCTGAACAATAAGAACATCTCTCCAACTCACTTTATGGAGCTGGCATGATCTCAGTAACAAAACCAGAAAAGCATAAATGTGAGAAATTAAATTATAGGCCAATTTACCCGTGACTGTTACGGCAAAAATCCTGAATAGAATATTGGCAAACCAGGCTGACAAAGTAAATAAGCAAATATATCACAGTGTTGAGTTTAACCTAGCCGTGCAAGATTGGTTTACGATTAGAGAATGAAAGCATATATATAAAACCATATTAACAGGTAGGGAAAGGTATGTTATTGTCTCCATAGACATAGAAAATAGTATTTAATAAATTTGACATCCATTTATGATAAAATTACATAAGTACATCATAAGCTGGGAGTAGAAGAAAATCTCTTTCACCGTTTAAAGATTATCTATAAAATGTTACAAACATTAATCGTGAAACATTAAAAGTGTTCCCTTTAAATTTGGACCAACACAAGGAAATTCACTACCATTTTATCTACCTAGTACTGTAATAAATGACTTAGCCAGTGAATATACCTGGAAAACTTATAAGTCATAAGGATTGGTAAGGAAAGCATAAAGTTGCCAGTATCTGTGCTTTTTATGGTTGTTGATAGCTATATGCACAAACAGATCACCAAAAAGAGAACTTAACGAATATGCGGGAGATGACACCAATACAAAATTAATGTTGCTAACTAACAGGTAGGAAATGAAAATACAAAAAATAAAAGCTACTATTTCCCTTATATCTATATCTGTAAATATAATATCTATCTATATCTATCTATCATCTATCTCTATCTAAATTTAGATCTATTAGTGTTTGCTTTGTTTCCTTATTCAGCTCCTTAGAGACCAACATTTTTACATTTTAATCTCCTTTGTCTGTGTTCATATTTGTCACTTTCTTTCAAATCCTTTTCACTATTTCTCCATTTATTTTTGACTACTATTTTTTTTTTTTTTCCTTATCTCTCTCTTAAGTCATTAAGTTACTTTTTTGGTTTTTGTGTCTCTTCAAACTTTGTCCTCAATTCTGAAATAACTTTTTATTTCTGGTATTTGCCTGAGCTTTGTCAGCTAATTTCTGAAGTTTTGTGACTAATTTATGTTGCCCATTTTCTTACAGTTTCCTAGCCCATTTTGAATAAGTAAGTTATGGTTTTGATCCATTTTTGGGTGTGTCTGTCAAGTATGCTTTTATTGCACATAAAGATGTTACTGTGCTTTCTTTTTCCTCAAAATATCTTCATATGGGATTTGATTTTGAGAGCTTTCTGTTTGTCATTGTGAAATTGATTTTTCTGAACTTTTAAAAGGAGGTAGTGTTTAAGATAATTTTTCTAATTTCACGAGGTCTCTCATTTGGTGTTTTCTTATAATGCTCAAAAATAAAACAGCAGCTTGTTTTTTGTGAACTTTGTTTCTGTCCCCTTTTCAATTTTATCTGGACCTTTTAACGCCTTCCATGTTATCAGTATGCTGCTCAATTTTTATTCCACTTCCACTAGTTTCTCTTCAAAGAGGGCTCTGTCTGGAAGGGAACCCTGGGTTGGTGCATTTCTGCAATTCTTAGAGGCCAGATGGCTTCAGCTCCTTCATCTTTTTATGGTGTGTCCCTTGCACTCATGGCTATTACACTTGACAAAAACCCTTCCCAGTTTCAGCCACTGTTAGAAAATTGGCCCTCCCTCCCTGCCTATAAATATCTGCAGGCTGTTTTCAAATGTTTCTCTTCCCAGGTAAGGAAGATACTGTTTTCCCCCACCCTCTACTTCTTCCTACACAAATGCTGAAGCCATGAAGTCTTGTTCCCATTAAAGGTTTGTTTTTACTTGCTTGTGTTTTAGGGTTGTCTTGAAATTTTTATTGAAAAATTTGTGCATAGGATTTTAAATTTGGAATCTAGTTGTTCTATCTGATTTTAGATGGAAATGCATGGAGATCCAGGAACTATGGATGAATAGTTCCTCTGTCAATGCTATTATCTGCCCAGAATCATGTCTTTAAGTTTTTCAAGAGAAAAGAAGACTTCATTAATACTTTTTTTCCATGAATGTAATAGTGGAAAATGGTTCAACTTCAAATTGTGAGCATTTTAATATTGCTGAACTTTTACTATGTGGACCATTTGACCTATTCTTTGTAAGCAAGAATGGACAGAAGAGCTAGGCTAATTTAAGATGAGAAACAAAGTAGAGATCATATATCCTTGGCTCGGATTGTTTTCCAAACCCATTTCAGAAGCATTTGAGAGTAACAGCTGAACTGTCATGCCATGCCCTCCCTATCTTGTTACTTTGCAATAAAGATGGTAGAGTGGCCTCGTGCTTCCCTAGGAAGAAAGCCACCCCTTGTTGACTGAAGGCTTATAATAACTCAACCCAACTCTCCAAGACTTCTAATATGAAGTTTACTGTTACACAGAGCAGTATCAGCTTAACTATTCCTAGTAATGTTTTTGCCTTAAACCTGGGACTCTGCAACATACATGGAACTCATTACAGAACTTTCATATCTAGAGGACCATCTTTTGGACAAAGTTGCGCAAAGCTCTGACCAGAGCTTTCAAAATTCCATGTATATGTACTGTATTAGTCAGCATTCTAACACATTCTTGAGATTTTCTTCCTCTAGAACCACTCTCAGTACCAAATTCTGTATTAGTCAGGGTTCTCCAGGAAAGACAGAGCCAATAGAATATGTGTGTTTATGCTGTGTATGTATGTGTGTGTATACACACACACACACACACACACACACACACACAGTAGTCCTTCCTTATCTGCAGGGGAAACATTCCAAGACCCCCAGTAGATGCCTGAAAAAGCAAATAGTACCAAACCCTATATCTCACGTGGATGAATTTCTTTGTCTTTCTTTACATCTCCACAGATAGAAGGTTGATTCTGACTGTAGATCTCAGCAACCCCAGCATGTGATTTTTTTCCTTTACTTATAAAGTTGAGAACTTTTACATTTTCACTTAAATTAACACTTTTTATGGCTTCTCTTTGGCTTATTCGAATTGCCAACATCACAACTGTTGCACCTTGGGACCATTATGAAGTAAAATAACAGTTTCTCAAACACAAGCATTGGGATACCACAGCATTCAATCTGATAATGGAGATGGCTACTATGTGACTCACCAGTGGGTAGAATACACAGCGTGGATCTGCTGGACATAGAGATAATTCACACATTCCAAGTGGGACGGAGTGAGACAACACAAGATTTCATTATGGTACTTGGAATGAGGTGCAATTGAAAACTTATAGATTATTTGTGAAATTTTCTACGTAATATTTTCGGACTACAGTTGATTGCAGGTACCTGAAACCATGGAAAGTAAAACTGAAAATAAGTGGGGTCTACTGTAGATCTATCTCTATCTATCTGTACACATATACACACACCTTAAAATGCATACACACATCCTATGGGTTCTATTTCTTTATAGAAGAAAATTAATTATAAGGCACTGGCTCATGTGATTGTGGAGGTTGGCAAATCCAAACCTGTGGTGTGGGCAAGCAGTCTGGAGACGCAAGAGAGCCAGTGGTGCATTTCCAATTGAAAGATTGTCCGACGGAGACCCAGGTGAGCCAATAGTGCGTTCTAATCCAAAAACTCAGCAGGCAAAGACCTAGGTGAGACCATGATGTGGATGAAATCTGAATGTAATCTACTGGAGAATTTCCCTCTTGCTCAGGGTAGCCAATCTTTTTGTTCAACTGATTGGACAAGACCCACCAGCATTATGGAGAGGAATCCACTTCCTCAAAATTCACCATTCACCAATTTTAATGTTAGTCTCATCCAAACCACCCTCCAAGTTGACATATAAAATTAACCATACATTCGTCATAGGTTGGTTCAAACTTTTAGACTAGACATCCTTCTTAGCACCTAACTTGAGACTTAATTAATGAAACAAAAACTTCATAATTCTCAGGGAAACAGTGATTTGTCTTCCATTTATAATTGAGTCACTTCTGTGGGGATTCAGGAAAGAATAAGCCAAGAGTGGTTCTCAAATTGCTACCATTCCTGTATTTTCTCTTTAACCCATTGTAATTATGTATTTATTTGGGGCTAACACACAGACATGTATGTGATACAACATATTGTGGTTACAGGTTCACTTGATGGTAGTTACAGATTTTTATTTCCTGGAGAATGAACTCAAATTAATATGCAATGGTGTTATTATATCTTAAATACATTCCAGATCTCATTTTCCATGTTTTATAAAAGAGCTCCCCTTCTTTCCCTAAATTTGCATAATTTTCTTATTTTGTATATGCACATTATTTCTGTAAAAAATTAAATCTCTTCTTTTTAAGATTCTCCAAAACAACATAAATTATGTGGTTTTTTTCCTGTAATCCTTATATATTATTGGCCTGTAATGGAAAGAAGTATCAGTCTGAGATCAAGAAGGAAGGACTGATTTAAATAACAAGCAACGCTGTGTACCAATGTAAACATTTATTAAATTCTAATCATTCTTATCCCAGTAATTTACATTCATTTCTTGCATATATGGGTGCTTAATCTGCATGAATTGACGGAACAGAGAACTTGTGGTAACAGTAGCTTGAAGTTCAGTTTTTTGTTGTTTGTTTTTTAATTGAGACAGGGTCTCTCTATTGCCCAGCTGGAGTGCAGTGGTGCAGTCATGGCTCATTGCAGTCCAGCCCTCCTGGACTCAAGCAATCCTCTCACCTCAGCCTCCTGAGTACCTGGGACTACAGGCACACATCATCACACTCAGCTAATTTTTGTATTTTTTGTAGAGATGGGGTTTCACCATGTTGCCCAGGCTGGTCTTGAACTCCTAGGCTCAAGAAATCCACCCTCCTTGGCATCCCAAAGTCCTGTAATTACAGGTGTGAGCCACTGTGCCTGGCCTCAGTTTGAAGTCTTTCTTCGTTTTACCCAATACTACCCATCATCACCAATGTAATGGTACCTAACTGATTGTGATTGTGACTTGACAAAAAGAGGACAGACTATGCGTGTCTCTACTTTTGCTGTGTTGGTTCCTCAGCTGCCTTTGCAAAGAGAGTCTTTATGGTTACTTAATTTTGAAGGAAGAAGTTCTAATCATTGTCACTGATAATAGCATGTATCACTAACTAGCTGAGCTAACCAGCCACATATTTGATGCCAAAGTAAGTATCCAGTTTGATTGCTAGGTGTGCATATGGGAGTTGTCTGATAAATAAAATAATTTATTAGAAAACAAGAAAGCAGACTATCCAAAAAGCCATATTTCATGTGATATAGATCGAGGAAAAAAATCATTTACTAAAATATAGAAAATTGCTTATATTTGGAGGCCACCATAATTTAAATTCCTGCTCTATTAATTTGAAATATTCTCCCTAAAAAACTGATCTGTTTTTTGAAATGTTTTACAATTCCTCTCTTATATATCTGTTGGGAGAAATACATATATGTTTAATGTGCTTGGTCAAAATCAACATTGAGATTAATGAAGTCATGTATAATGAATCTACATGAAATAATTCAATTATGAGAAAGTGCATTTGGATGAATCCAGGAAGTTTACTATTTATTTTCCTTAATTAATTTAATGTCAAGAGGGCTTCTTACAAAATTTATGAGACTCTGTGAACTTAATTGCTTTTCCCAGATTTTAATACCATACGGCGAATGTATCTTCCATAAAAAATTGAAATTGTTTTCCTCATTTTGATTTGCAACAGTGGTATTTATCAGGCTCTGTTTTATAGTTCTATAGTATATTTTATTTCATGAGTGCTCATTATTGATAGTTATTAGCAATTTCTTTCAATTTTAAAGTAATTATAAATGATATATAATACGCATTTTTACTTCAATTCAAAATAATGAATGAGAGGGTAGTACTATTCTTTTTAGTTAGTCTAAATGTATACAGGTTGACTTTATAAGGACACAAACATTCCATCTTCACAGTGATGTTAGAAATCACTGAAGGGTTAACAGTTGGTTGTCACTATTGTCTGGGATTTTAAAATCTGAGAATGCCTCAACAAAACAGCGCCAAAGATAATGTTTAAATATTAGTGTTTATTAAAGTCATCCAAGAAACACTGCCCAGTCTTTAGAGTTAACTGCTGTTAGATTCAGATTTCTTGATTAAAGCCGGAAGCAATTTAAAATTTTAAAGTTGGGCCAGAGGAAGGTCTTATTCATACCTTTGCCCTAACAGAAAGCGAATTCATATATGCCACACCAAATTATGGGCATATATTTATAATATTGAAAACTAATTCTATTTCTTTGTCTTTAAACATCTTGTTCAGTAAACCTGCTGAATACTGTGCAAAGGATTTGGATTTTTATAAAATCAAGAACTCTTCAAGTATTTCCTCTACCAATCAAGTTTTCATTTCTGTTCTGAAGACTCAGTTATCTTTTACTTCTTACATCAGTTAGCTATTGCTGAGTAACAAATTACTCTAAAAGGTACTGTCTTAAAGCAACAATCATGTATTATTTCTCATGAGTTTACAGGCTGGCTGAGCTTGCAAGTTTACAGGGTGTGCTGATTTTTTTTTTTTTTTTTTTTTTTTTTAAGGTGGAGTCTCTCTCTGTCACCCAGCTGGAGTGCAATGGTGCAATCTCAGCTCACTGCAACTTCCACTTCCTGGGTTCAAGCGATTCTCTTGCCAAAGCCTCCTGAGTAGCTGGGATTACAGTTGCCCACCACCACACCCAGCTAATTTTTGCATTTTTAGTAGAGACGGGGTTACACCATATTGGCCAGGTTGGCCTCAAACTCCTGACCTCAGGCAGTCCACCAGCCTCAGCCTCCCAAAGTGCTGGGATTACAGGTGTGAGCCACCACACTTGGCTGGGTCTGCTGATCTTGGCTGGGCTTGGCTGGCCAACACTACACTCATTACCACTAAGTAACAAACAAATACAGATTTGTTCTCATCTCTGGAAGTTCATCTGAGACCCATTCACATGCATATCTGGCAGTCAGGTGGCTGTTAGCTGATCCAGGATGGTCTCAGGCAAGAAAATTTTCTGTTTCATATGTCTCTCATTCCTCAATAGATCATCTGTGTCAGGAGTCCCCAAGACTCTTCCTCAGAGTCATTGATTCTAGCAGGAATCATAGGACTTCTCATATACTCATACTCATGGCTATGATTTATTATAGGAAAAGGATACAAAACAAAATTGGCAAAATCAAAAGGCATGTGGGGCAAAGTCCTGAGAAAACCAGGAATAAGCTCCCAAGAGATCTCTCTCAGTGGAGTTACACAGGATATGTTTAATTCTCCTGGCAATGAATTGTAACCACACATTTGAAATGTTGTCTACCAGGGAAGTTCATTGGAGATTCTGTGTCCAGAGTTTGTATTAGGGGCTGGTTACATAAGCACCCTCTGCCTGGCTCATACCAAAACTCCAGAATCTCAGAATGGCAGCAAGTATTCAGCATAAACCATGCGGTTTGCACAGTTTAGGTCTAGTGAGACACTCTTACCAATTAGAGTGGTGGGAACATTCCCAAAATCCAAGTTTCCAGATGCCAGCTGAGGGCCCATCTTGCACGTAGGTGTTTCCAAGGATAGCAGTCTCAGGCTTGCTATGTTAATGCTTTTCTGGATATTATCCCAGGCTTGTATTCTGATTAAGGCAAAGTTCCAACAGGCAAGTGGAAGCTCAAAAGGTCTCTTGAAGCCTAGGCTAGGAATTGGCATACATTGACTTCTGACATAACCTATTGACTAAAATGACTTTCAAGGTTCAAGAGGAGAGGAAACAGACTCAATCTCTTTATTGGAGTGGTTCGCAAGACCACATCATGAAGGGTATGGATACTCATCATTTGGGACCATAAATGCAATTAATCTATCATGCTTCCCAAACTTTAATCCTTTGCCTTACAGTTTTGAGAAACTTATGACTTGCCCTGTCCTATCCATGCAGTTCCATTTCATAATGAGCTTTGATCACAATTTCTTTCCAACTACCTCTGGATAAGATTCTTAGCATTTTCCAAAAGGTAATTCTTAACCTCGGTTCACTATGGTGTCTGTTGCAAATCTGAATGCCTTGGGTCAGCTGTTTGGATTCTGTAATTTCTTTCTTCACTTGTAAAGTGTGGGTTTGCAGTAAAACAGCCGCAACCTCTCGGGGATTTGGGAAATCACTCTTTAGGCAATCCAGAATGAATCTCCATCAACTTCAGCTCCAGAGACTCAAATGTCTACATTCTACTGATGAACTGCAGTCACTGTCACACCCAAGAGATTTGAAACTCAACTGGACTGAGTTCTCTAAATAGCAGCCAAATCCAGGACCAATCCCATCTCTAGGAGTCTAAGTCTGTAACTTTCCAAGAGCTTATCCAGAGCTTCTTGGGCGGCTGGTAGAGAATACTTTAGGAAAAATTCCAGGACAGTCCAGTACAGATCCCAAATTCTGGTTTGGGGAGAGACTAATTGCATGGAAATTAGAAATAATTGAGGCCCAACACTCATTTCCCTTGACATTTTTAGTCTAGTTATGTTCAAACCAGAGCATGTCACTAGTAGGAGAACTTGATGGCTTTTATTGGTAAAATGGCACATATGTAGCAGTTTCTTTTTAGTGGAGTACAGTCTTAATACCCAAAATAGCAGATATTAGCATGGACTTTAGAGGAACATTCCTCTTAGGACTCTTTCCCGGACAATATAATTCCTCCCCACGACATTTCCTTGGCAGGACAATCTGACTAACTTTGTCTCAGCCCAGACATGACAACACTAACTGCTCTTTCTCCTGAGCTAATGATCTTCTCTCTCTCATTACCTTCTTCCCACATTCATTTGGCCTTACTTTTAAAGCTAATTCAACAATGTCATCCCTGATATAATGACTCTTGAATAAAGCACCATTCCTTTCAATGAAGAACTGTGTATAATATTTTAAAGGTGGAAATTTTGAAGTGAATTTTTTATAAAAAAAAAACTTTTTGGTTCTCAACAAACACTGTTAAGTGTATAATTTAATATTCAAAGTAAAGCTACACAATTGAAAAGATGCTTATATTTTATAAAAACTAGTCTATTCTCAGTTAAGACCTCAATAAGTTTAAAGGGCAAAATAGTTTTTTTTCTCATCTGAATGACATGCTTTGCTAAAATTGCCCAGAAGACAGTACTTGTCTGATTGTGCTTCAAGTAAATTATTTTAAAATAAATATCTAGCTTACATTTGAGTACTTATTATGGGGAAAAGGCATTACATAGAGGACTTTACATATCTTATCATATATATCAGCCATATATTAAGTAACCTGTTCAGGGGTACTATTTTGCAGATGAAAGCCTCAGACTTACAGAGGTTTAGTAGCTTAATCAAGAACAGACTGAAGTTGAGGAGAGCCAGGTTAGCACTGGAATTCAGGTCTGTCTGACTCAAGAGACCAAGCCTGACTTAAAATAGTCAATATACTTGGATGTATTCCAAATATCAATACAGGCATGCATGTGCACACACACACAGATTTAGACAGTATTTGAACACTTTAAAAACGTTATCCCCAAAATGACTTTGTGATTCTGAAAACAAGATTATTTAATATGTTAATCATGTGCCATAACTCTAAAGAAGCCACTTAAATATGTTATACTGACTATATCCTGGAATGTTCCCTCAGATTCTAAGACTTAGAAGATTGTTGCTAAGATGTTGTTTCTTTTTCCAAAATGATGATTCTTGGCAGGCAGAGTATGGTTTTATTCACAGGAACATTGTCTTAGGGAAATTTCTTGGTAGGAAAATTTTGAAGAGAATTTATAGAAAATGCTGCATAGAAAACTTCCTTTCCAAGGCAGGCTGTAAGAAGACTGGCCCTGTCAGAAAAAAATGCCTAAGAAAAGATTCCAAAATGAATCACAGAGACTTTCTTAAAAAGACTATAATAAATATTACAAACATACACCCTCACAGAGTGATGAATTTAACTTTACTCAATGGAATTTTATCAAAAGCATAATAGAGATATGCTATTATGGTTCCTTTCTTTGTTTACTTAACTATTTCTGGTAGGTCTTATCCATGAACTTGGGTAATGGGAAGCCCCGAATAGGGGGAAATATATTGTTATTTAGATAAAATAATTATGGATGTATTAACTTGATGACTGCATGAACATCAAACATTGACTTTAAAAAGATATTTGGGAAAGTAAAAATGTTTTCCCGTTGAGATCTTTGGAAGAAACAGAAGTGGTAACCCCCAAGAAGGCACTTTGATTTTGAGATGCATCAATTTCCCACACTCCAGATCATCTAGAACTCAGAGTGCTGTTAAAGGAAGACCCTCTAGTGTCCAGGGTGCATGATGGAACGTTAGTGAAAGTCATGGAACCAGGTGTATGCAATAGTTCAGAGAGAGGAAGTAAGACTATCATTCTACCTTGGCACAATAAAAATACTAGCTAGCACTCATTTGAAGCGTGTTAAAATCCAAGAACTGTATTAGGTATATTGAATGTATTAACTTAATACATTTCTAAAGTACTTTTTTCTCTCCCTTTTATAGATTCAGAGCCTGAGGCAATAGATTAGGTAACCTGTCTCTGCTAACACAGAGTCAATGTAATATAGCCACTTGAACACTGGCATTGTTCTTTTGAATCTTTTCATCCTATTCACTCACTATGCTGCGTCTGAAATAACATCAGAGCTGATGGGTTTGAGCACTTAGCTTTGAAATCACCTTTCGTTATTAGAGGCCCAATGCACTCTCCGTCACACTACAGCCACCTATGATCCTAGACACATCCTACAACTAGGAAGAGAGGAAGAAACTAAGAAGAACTGAATGTTCCCACCAAGCCCAAATTTGTGTCACTGCAGTGATATTCCAGGCAATATAAACCTAAGTAGTGCAGAAAGAGTAGCCCCTTGAGAAATGACCTACTGCACCCAAAACCTTTTCCAAATCTTGGCCAAACTACTCCACGTCATCAAAAAGAAGCCAGAAAGGAACTCCAAGGTCAGGACTCTGTGCACCACAGCCATCTTCTTACTACACATATCTCTTAACATTCTATTCTATTTTTCTCCTTTTTTTTTTTTCCTTTTCCTGGGATGGCTTATGTCCTGCCAATTCTCTTTCCAAAGTCTTTCTCTCCTTGAACTTACTGCCAAAAGGCATTATTAAATGTGCTTTTCCACACTGGAATGGTGAGGGATACAACCAGAAGAAGGAGTCCTTATCCTGTCTCTTTTCCTTCTGATATTTTCCTTTGCATTTATGATGACTATTTTCAAACTTACACTCCCAGTGACTGCTTTCTGTGCCAGTTCTCTCATTTCTACCCATATCCCACTTTCAGAACTTAAGATCTGGGATTTTTGCTTGAAAGACAGTTTCTGCAAAACAACTTATTTGCCAACATTCAAGCAACAAGTTCAATAACCAGAAAGCAAACATAAATAAATTCAAATTTCTAGATACAACCTTACATTAGGAAAATCCAATGTGGAGCACAGAGGGTTCAGTTATGTGATGTGCTTGGTTCCCCTCATCATTCCCAGCCATTTGGAGAAACATTTAAGATGACCTTTCCAAGAATAATTCTCTCAGATGACAACCACCAGTAGGAGAAGTCTTTGGAAGGTCTCCTTGGAGAACCATGGGCTGTATTCTTTGTTAGGATACCTCTCTAAGCTGCAAGGTATTAATTCAGATTTCCTTCCCATGCATTGTGTCCTTGTTTACACAGAGACAGTTTTTCTCCAACTATAAGAACATTTGATTTATAATTCTGAAGGGCCACATGTTTTAAAACTGTGTTTGGAAAATTTCCCCAGCCTTCATGATTTTCATTTTCTACCTTGCAAAGTGAGCAGCTTATACCAAGCCATTCCAGTTTAGCACCATAGTCCATATGCAGAGCTTGGGCTGTGTTAGAATGATAACATTGAGCTATATTTTAGAAAAAAAATATGTATAGAAAAAAAGAATTCATCCACTTAGATGAGTCAGGTGTGCAGATACGACCATTCAGGCAGCACAACACCGAACTGTCATTTTTTGACACTATGAAAAATTTTTTATGAAGACATAGTTAAAGAATTCTGCCTTATATGCAAACAAATACGTATATACCAGTAGAAAGCTTAAATGTGGATGGAGTTCAATTTCTCTAAATATATGTTTTAGGACCATAAAATTAAACATCAACAAGAAGTTAGGCTCCAACCATTTCACACTTCAATTTCTTCTTATTTACCAACATATTATGTAATTTTTACTTCATATCTAAAAATGTTTTCTATCATTCATTTATTGAAATTGCTGAAGAATTTTTTATATTTTCAAATATAATTTTATGTAATTTCCCCTCTGTGTAAACAATTTATGCAGATTTTATAGATATCAAATTCAGAATCAAATAATGATAATCAAGGTTTGAGTGGTGATTTACCTCTCTGAACACATTGACCTGTCTCTTGTTAAAAAGCACATCAATATTTGCTAAGTATGGGATATTTTAATTTAATGAATTCAGAGTTTTAAAAATCAAGGATTTCTAGTGTTTGAAAAAAAAAAAATTAGAAAATCAGGCCAGATGCAGTGGCTCACACCTGTAATCCCAGCACTGTGGGAGACCAAGGTGGTTGGATCACTTGAGGTCAGGAGTTCAAGACCAGCCTGAACAACATGGTAAAACCCCATCTCCACTAAAAATACAAAAATTAGCTGGGTATGGTGTTGGGTGCCTGTAATCCCAGCTACTCAGGAGGCAGAGGCAGGAGAATTACTTGAACCTGGGAAGCAGAGGTTGCAGTGAGCCAAGATCATGCCACTGTACTGCAGTGGAGTGAGACTCTGTCTCAAAAAAAAAAAAAAAAAAAAAAAAAATCCAAATATTCTGGAATTCTCTTCAACATTTTGACTAATTACCACATGGCCTTGTCATAGTCCTAGAATGTCAGTACCTGAGGAAACTTCTGGTTGGAAAAGCTTTTTTTTTTTTGCACTCAGGACTAAATTTCTCTTTTTGGTTTGATTTTTTTCCTCTGAGCCAAATTTGAATAAGCCTGGTAATTTTTACCCAAGATAATTCCTCACATATTTGATAATAGCTATTCCATTCTCTATAAAATTTATCTTTACAGAATGTTTGTATAAGTCATAATAAATAAAACTAAAAAAACTAAAGACGTGATTTCTTCAAGTTCATGTAATTATATTAGACCCATGTTGTTATATTTTACATATTGAAAAGAAAAATAAAAGTAAAAGTCAGGACTAGAAAAACATTAGTAGAAAACAAAATACATATTTGTTTTTAAAGTTAAATTTCTCAATTAAATATTGTGAGCATATCAGATATCTAAGTGTACTATTGTATCATTCAAAAGTCTGCATTATACTATTAATATAATCTAAATGGTTTTAATAGTTTCTATTTTCAAAAGATCTAGTAATAGGCTTAATTCAGTATAAAACATCTACCATATCATTTTTATCTTTATTGATGAAACACAAGACATGGACAACTGACCCACTGTTTTACAAAAGTGATTTCTTTTTGTGATATGAGTGCTTGTTTAGTCTAAAAATAACAAAGCTAATGTTAAAAAATATAATAGACTATTCTGTTGGCTTTGCTATAACAAATGGAACAGTGTATCACTTCGGATGTACTTGTCATTATTGAACAAAACATAAAGTTAATGAGATGGTGTCCTTAAGACATAAGTATGGTTCTCCAGATGGTAATGAATTTAGACTTTAGTCTCTCTTCTCGGCAGACTCTCATATCTAATTTGTTGAGATTTTGCACTGCTTTCTTATGAATTATTCTATTTGACAGGTAATATGACATAAAAGATTTCCTTGACAGGTAGTATTTTAGAAATGTAATATTTGTACCTTTTATTTTTAAAGGGTGGGCCCCTTAGATCATTTCCATAGATGAAGTAACATCATGAAAAAAATAAATGTTCTTTCCTGGCCTTCAATGTTACTGGTCTCCTATTGATGCGAATGTAAGTTATTAATGCATTATTTACATTGTTAGCAACCTTGATAATATACGGGGCATCTGAATTTATCTACAGCTTTGAACCATCATCTCCAAAGCCTCTCCCATGCTTTCTATTTTCCTTGAAAATCCTTTTCTGTCTTAACACATATTCACGTTTGTATCTTATTAGCTTTATTTTCTTGTTTTTTTTTTTGAGACGGAGTCTCGTTCTGTCGCCCAGGCTGGACTGCAGTGGCCCTATCTCGGCTCACTGCAAGCTCCGCCTCCCGGGTTCATGCCATTCTCCTGCCTCAGCCTCCTGAGCAGCTGGGACTACAGGCTCCCACCACCACGCCCGACTAATTTTTTGTATTTTTAGTAGAGACGGGGTTTCACCGTGTTAGCCAGGATGGTCTCTATCTCCTGACCTCGTGATCCACCCGCCTCGGCCTCCCAAAGTCCTGCGATTACAGGATTAACTTTATTTTCATGTGTTTCATAACGCTGACTGCTAACCCTTGAGATCTGAACAGTTAAGTTTATTTATATTTTGTTTTCACATTTGTATTTGTCCCATGATTAACGTAATTGTTCTTGACTTGAGTTGTCTTGATGTTAGCAGTCAAGTTGGTGAAGGATATTACCAACAAATTACTCTGCTTAAAGTAGCTGTACTCAGTTCGGGCCAAATATTAGCCGTCAGTTACTGTTACACGCAATTTTGGGGTCACTTCCTGACCTCTTATTCTTACGCACAACTGCCGTGGATATCAGCATCAGTGCAACTGGAACTGAGCGTGAGTGTCCAGCTAGGACTTGGCGTGGAAGTCACTGACAGCAGAACTTGGCTCAGGATTTGTTTAAATGGAGTAGCTCATGTTGGACTACAGGAAAGAGGAAAAAGAAAATAAAGGAAACTTCTGCCTATTTTGGAGTTGTCTAGCAGGACAAAATGCTTGAAGCTTGGAATATGAAACAAATGAATTACAGAAGATTTTGTGATATGACATTAAAAATCAGAAAGCCTACATGATAAATTTAATTCCTTACAATGAAAAACCACCCATAGAAAATAAGTAAGTCAACAAATCAATCATGTTATTCATTTCTTATCTTTTTCCAGCATATCCTGAAATGTGCTCAAGGGCTTCCCAGTTTTCCCTTTCAAGTCGACTGTCAGCAAAGGATTCTGATTTTATCCAATGTAAATTCTTTCATACCCTTGTCTCTTGCTCTCAAATGCCTGGCTTCATACTTTCTGTCACAGATGTGAAGGTGTCTTTCTTCTTAAACTCTCCACTCACTGACTCTCTTGATCTTAATTTTTGTATTTTTAGTAGAGACGGGTTTCACCATGTTGGCCAGGCTGGTCTTGAACTTCTGACCTGAGGTGATCCACACACCTCAGCTTCTTAAAATGCTGGATTTACAGGCATGAGCCACCGCGCCTGGCCCCTGTGCATTCTTTTTTTTTCTTTTCTTTTTTTGAGACAGAGTCTTGCTCTGTTGCCAGGCTGGAGTGCAGTGGCACGATCTCGGCTCACTGCAACCTCCGCCTCCTGGGGGTTCAAGCGATTCTCCTGCCTCAGCCTTCCGAGTAGCTGGGACTACAGGCACGCACCACCATGCCTGGCTAATTTTTGTATTTTTAGTAGAGACGGGGTTTCACCATGTTGGCCAGGATGGTCTCGATCTGCTGACCTCGTGATCCGCCCACCTCGGCCTCCCAAAGTGCTGGGATTACAAGCGTGAGCCACCGTGCCCAGCCCACTGTGCATTCTTAATTCAGATATTGGAGAGTGAGATCTCTCTGATGAAATTCACTGGACGAAGATTTTGCCCTGGATTACCTGATAGACTGGAGTTACCCTGTTAAATGTTTGTCTTTGATAACCAGTCTTGGTCCAGTCACTTCTGGGCTGAATGAACAGGATTATATGATAATAAACATTGATATCTACAGCCATGAAGATGATAAAATAGCTTCATTTAGTCAGGTCGGGGGGTGTTTCCAGCCAGGTTTTGAGTGTAAGTTTGTCATTTTCTCCTCTGCCATCAAATTTGCACATTCCCAGCCAGTGCTCCACCCATCTTGAGATCAAAATTTAAGAAGCATCAAAACATTCACTAATCAAGGTAAATAACATTTTAAGTGCAACATTTAAAATCAAAATTTATACAAAAAAATACATGGTGAACAAAATATCAAAATGTATTACTGGTTTTTCCTGTTCCTCAGGCTTCACTATGGCCTGGTTTGGCACTGATCCCAACTGCTCCAACTAAAATAAAATAAAAATGTGCCCTTTTTAGTTACAGTTTTGCTTGTTCCTTCCTGCAAGCCTGCTAAGTCTATTTCTTTGAGGTCTATTTCTGCTGAATCTGTTTTGAAATATAAATATTTGGACATTTAATTCTATATGGTTAAGAGACTTCCTAATTCAGAGCAGATTTTGTGATTATACATAGTTAGGAAAACTCTCACTAGATAGATTCATGGTTCTTGCTAAAATTGAAGGTACAGATAAAAGGAGAAAGAAGCAAAGCATAAAAAATTTGAAACAATGGTGTAAAAATGTGTTGGGGAATCATAATAGGGCTCAGGGCTACTGAGAAAACATAAATGTTCTCTCTTCCCCACCAAGGTCCTGATTACCCTTGAACTTGCCATATTATTCAATGATTTAGACTGGCTCCTCTTGGTTGAAACGTTTTTAGGAAACCAGGTTCTCATGATTCCCTCACACCCCTGTCTCATGCCTCTTATTTTTTTTATTGCCATTTTCTCTTTCTCCCACCTTCTCAAGAAACGTGTAATTCAAGGCTCAATCCTCAGAATTCTTGCTTTTCTTTTTCATTACCTTAACAATCTCATTCACCCTCACAGTCCAATTTTCATCCCTACAGAGATCCCTCCAGAACAACACATCTCCAGCCCTGGACTTCTCTATTTCTAACAGTTCTTGTATTTGTCCTTTGTCTCTACCGCTCCACCTTACCTTCCTACATGTCCATATCACCTCACAGCTAGACCTGTCACCTCACACCTAGACCTGTATGTAGGGTATAAAAAATGTGCATGTAGTTGGCCAGGCATGGTGGCTCATGCCTGTAATCCCAGTACTTTGGTAGGCCGAGGCGGGTGGATCACCTGAGGTCAGGAGTTCGAAACCAGCCTGCCCAACATGGCGAAACTCCATCTCTACTAAAAATACAAAAAATTAGCCAGGCGTGATGGTGGGCACCTGTAATTCCAGCTACTGGGGAAGCTGAGGCAGGAGAATTGCTTGAACATGGAAGGCGGAGGTTGAAGTGAGCCGAGATCAATTGCGCCACCGCACTCCAGCCTGGCGACAGAGCGAAACTCCATCTCAAAGAACAAAAAAAGACGGGGACATGTAGTTAGCTCCAAAACCAGTCTTACTTTTTTACTTTATTGAAGGATATCAATGTTTTATTTGCTTGAGATAAGTTAGTTAATATACAATTTCATTTATACAGTTTTTTTATTTATTTTATTTTTTTATTTTTTGACACGGAGTCTCACTCTGTCACCCAGGCTGGAGTGCGGTGGTGCAATCTTGGCTCACAGAAAGCTCCGCCTCCCAGGTTCACGCATTCTCCTGCCTCAGCCTCCTGAGTAGCTGGGACTACGGGCATCTGCCAACAAGCCCGGCTAATTTTTTGTATTTTTAGTACAGATGGAGTTTCACCATGTTAGCCAGGATGGCCTCGATCTCCTGACCTCGTGATCCGCCCGTCTCGGCCGCCCAAAGTGCTGGGATTACAGGCGTGAGCCACCGTGCCCAGCCTATTTAGTTCTTATAGAGAAGGAATATGTTAAATGAATTGTTATCTTAAAATAACTCTTTAGGGAATGGTGAGATAGCTACAAGAGGTATCTGCTATTCAGGTCTGAATACCATCTCACCTTTAAAGAAGAATATCCTTATAATGAAGCATTGTTCTTTCTAGCCTGTTCACTAGGTAGAGAAGCAAACATGACAGGGAGTAAATCATACATTTTTTCTTCTGAGAGTATTTCTTTTTTATTTATTTATTTATTTTTAAATTTTATTATTATTATACTTTAAGTTTTGTGGTACAAGTGCACAATGTGCAGGTTTGTTGCATATGTATGCATGTGTCATGTTGGTGTGCTGTACCCATTAACTTGTCATTTAACATTAGGTATATCTCCTAATGCTATCCCTCCCCCCTCCCCCCACGCCACAACAGTCCCTGGAGTGTGATGTTCCCCTTCCTGTGTCCATGTGTTCTCATTGTTCAGTTCCCACCTATGAGTGAGAACATGCGGTGTTTGGTTTTTTGTCCTTGTGATAGTTTGCTGAGAATGATGGTTTCCAGTTTCATCTATGTCCCTACAAAGGACATGAACTCATCATTTTTTATGGCTGCATAGTATTCCATGGTGTATATGTGCCACATTTTCTTAATCCAGTCTATTGTTGTTGGACATTTGTGTTGGTTCCAAGTCTTTGCTATTGTGAATAGTGCCGCTATAAACATACATGTGCATGTGTGTTTATAGCAGCATGATTTATAATTCTTTGGGTATATACCCAATAATGGGATGGCTGGGTCAAATGGTATTTCTAGTTCTAGATCCCTGAGGAATCGCCACACTGACTTCCACAGTGGTTGAACTAGTAAATCATACATTTAACCAGAAATACATGTATTTGCTAACCTTGTTTCTTGATTCATTTATTTTTTTCAACATTCAATAAATATTTTTTTTTAGTTCCTACCATGAGCCAAATAATATACTAGGCACTGGCACAGGAGTAGGTTTTATAGTACAGGAGTGAATACAAGAGTCAAGAATATATTTCTTAATGAGGCTCACATTTTAAGACAACTCAGCCATATTAGATGGCTATAGGTGCTCAAGAGAATAATAAAGTAAGGGAGATATGGAGTGAGGAGTTTGCAATGTTAGTTAAGATAGCTGAGAAGATGATATATGAGAAAAGAACTAAAGTGTAGAGTTAAACATGCAAATATCTGGGAGAAGCAGATTCTAGACAGAATAAAGAGCAAGGGCAAAGACTGAGGAGGAAGTGTGCTTGGCAAGTTTAAGGAACAGCAACTATGGCTAAAGCTGAGTTAATAGAAAAGGATATAGGATAAGAGTAATGGTGGGGGGTGGTCAAATCAGGTAAAGCCTTGTTGGACATTGTAAAGAACTTTGGCTTCTCTTTTGAGAAATTGGAAAGGATAATTCTGAACAAAGAACGAAAAGAATTTCCCTGTATTTTAACAGGATCACACTGGTGAAAATTCTTAATAGACTGGAGCCGAATGAGAATGCGGAAATGGAGGTAGGGATGCCTATTTGGAGGGTACTGCAATACTCCAGGTGACAGATGTTGGTGGCTTGGACCAAGATGGTGGCAATAGAAGTTGTAACAGTGATTAGGATAGGGAATTCTTTGAAAGTAGATACCGTAAGATTTACTGATGATCTGAAGTATGAAGATATGAATGAAATGTGAGAAACAGAGAGGAGTACAAAATAACTTTATAAATTTTGGACTGAGGACTTGGAAAAAGAAACTGCCATTTCCTTAGAAGGGGAAGCTTCAGAAGACACAGATTTTTGTTTTTTTGTTTTGTTTTGTTTTTAAGTAAGGGTAGTGGTGGCAGGGAAGGGAGATAAGGAGTTCAGTTTAAGACATGCTTATTTTGAAATGCTCTTAGACATTCAAGTAGAGATATCTAATTGGTAATTGAATAGAGGAGCCTAAATTTCAGGGAAGAGTTTTCAGCTAGAGATACAAACTTAAAAGTTCTTGATATAATAATGATATTTACAGTGAGAAGACGGAAGGAATCATGAAGACAGTTAGTGAAGATGCAGAAAAAGAAATACACTTTTTTTTTTTAAGACTGAGTCTTGCTCTGTCACCCAGGCTGCAGTGGCATGATCTTGGCTCACTACAACCTCCGTCTCCCAGGTCCAAGTCATTCTCCTGCCTCAGCTTCCCGAGTAGCAGAGATTACAGGCACATGCCACCATGCCCAACTAATTCTTGTATTTTTAGTAGAGATGGGGTTTCACCATGTTGGCCAGGTCTCGAACTCCTGACCTCAAGTGATCTGCCCGCCTCAGCCTCCCAAAGTGCTGGGATTACAGGCGTGAGCAACGTGCCTGGCCAGAAAAACACAATTTTAATTTTATTTATTTTTTCTTTTAAAAAATGTATGTTTCAGATTCAGGGGATACACTGTGCAGGTTTGTTACAAGAGTACATTGCATGATGCTGAGGTTTGGGCTTCTATTGATCCCATCACCCACATAGTGAACTTAGTACCTAACAGGGAGTTTTTTAGCCTTTGCTCCTTTCCCTCCCTCCCTCCTTTTGGAGTTTCCAGTGTCTATTTTTTCCATCTTTATGTCCATGTGTACCCAGGGTCTAGCTCCCATTTTTAAGTGAGAACATGTCGCATTTGGTTTTCCATTTCTGCTTTAATTAGCTTAGGATAATGGCCTCCAGCTGCATCCATGGTGCTGCAAAATACACGACTTCATTTTTTTATGGCTGCATAGTATTCCATGTTGTCTATGTACCACATTTTCCTTATTAAATCCACTGTTGACAGGCACCTAGGGTTGATTCCATGTCTTTGCTGTTGTGAATAGTGCTGCAGTGAACATAGGCGTTCACGTGTCTTTTTGGTAGAATAGTTTATCTTCCTTTGGGAATAGACCCAGTGATGGGATTGCTGGTCAAACAGCAGTTTTATTTTTGGTTCTTTGAGAAATCTCCCAATTGCTCTCCACAGTGGCTGAGCTAATTTACATTTCCACCAGCAGTGTATAGGCATTCTTTTTTCTCCACAGCCTTGCCAACATCTGTTATTTTTTGACTTTTTGAAAAATAATAACCATTCTGACTGGTGTGAGATGTTATCTCACTGTGGTTTTGATTTGCATTTCTCTCATGATTAGTGACATTGGGCATTTTTTCATATGTTAGTTTTGGCCACTAAGACATAATTTTTAGAGATTAGGGATAGGAGACTGTGAAAGGATAGCCAGTAGGTAGGAGAAAATGAGAAATATGGTTCCTGGAAGCCAAGAAAAGACATACTTTCAAGGAGAAAGGCGTGATCCCATGTCAAATTCTACAGGTAGGCAAGTAAAATGAGGGCAATGGGTGACTGACTGTCAGTTTGTCTCTCGGGTCACGTTCCTAAAACTGCTTAAGAAAGGGCCAGTAGAGAAACGGATTTAAGAAGTGCGAATAATTTGCCGGTACATTTATCTGTTGTGTCCCAGAGTGGCTTCGCCTCATAAGGGTGTGTGAAGCCACGCTGGGATTTTCTTCCTTCCTCACAGTTCCAGGAGGGACCCGCCCAAAGTTTAGTTCAGAAGGATGGCTTTCTCCTGAAAAGAACTTTCCTTTGTTCGAAGATACATGTTTCTCCATCAGTGTCTCCAAACAAACCCTAAAGATTCATGACAGGGGAGCAGGATTTCTTCCAAGACCTCTATGTAACTTCTCAACCACCACAATGGGCCTCTGTCGGGTCTTTAGGGGAGATGAGAAACGTCCCCCCCTCAAAAAAAGGGTTATGCACTTGTGTTTTTTCAAGCTGTCATTAAAAAAAAAATGTAAGCATTTAATAAGCAGCTACAAAGCAATTACAGACTGAAAGCCACCTCTTTATAAAGCAGCAGCCATAAAGACAATGGACACTGTGTAATGACAAAGCAACAGCTGCAAGATTCACGGGGAACAAGGAGGGCCATGCACATAAAGCATAAAGCGGCTGGAAAGTGTGGGTGCTGCTGTGCGTGGTTGGAGGGGGCCGTGGAGAGGCTTTATGAAAAAGGAGGGGGAAGGCAGGCTGCCAAAAGAGTTCTTTCTCTAGAGATAGCTAGAAAGAGAACATAAATAAACAGTGACTCATTCTGTGTGATGCTATAAACCTTGTCCAGCAGACCTTATTTACGTAGGAGAGAGGACTCTGATGACTCCAGTTGTTTGGGAGAATACGGAAGAACTATTGGATTGAGCCCTAATTTGACTCAGGTTACCAGTCCCTAAGACTGCCAGTTTTACTTTCTTTGGGAAATTTTAGGAAGAAAGCAAAATGCACGTAGGACAAATAGAGACTAATGTGAGATGATGACAATATCCAGAAATTCATATTTAACTTTTCAAGGAACTGCTTATCAAACCTATTTCTAAATCTTTGAAACACATGGGATTTCTAGTTGAAGATTTCTGAACAAAGTCAACTGTCTCTTTTATTCAGTCAAATAAATCATAAGCAAATTAGACACTAACCGACACTGTGCTCTTAATACAATCATCCACAACATATTTCCTGTCTATTTCTGTAACTGTCTATTTATCTCTCCATTCATTTATCATATATGTAAAAGATTGGAGAACATTTTGACATTTCCCTATACAAATAAATGCAGCCTATATTTCTGCTTGTTTCAGAGTTTCTCCATGAAACTACCTCAGAAATAGATTCTCCAGTTTGCACAAATAAGAAATCAAATCATAATTACATATGCTCTTTTCTGCTGATATTTATTTGGTGTTTTCATATGTCAACATTTAAAAAATGACAGCTCTTTTTCTTCCAGACTTATCAAGAGATTTTCCTTCTTTGGCCTAAATTCTTTCTTACAATGGTACAAGATTTAAGAAGAAAAAATTCACAAATACGTCCTGATGTCTACTCACTGGTTTACTGGTTTAGGGCTGATAGTGGCATTTCTTTTCTAGAAAACTGAAATTACACAGCAATTCAAGAAAGGACCACAATGGTTAGAGGCGAAATTCCTTTTCCAGGAAAGAAGCAGGACAGTACTGGCAAAGTGTGTCAACCTGGCTTTGCCCAGATTTGGAGCATGAATCAAGTCACACAGTGTGGCTTCTGTGTGCTCTACCCACTCCAACTATGAACTGATGTTTAAAATTTGACATAGAAATCATGTTAACAATGCAAAGAGTCTTGATGAGAACACATGGAGACATAGAGGGGTAGAGGGGAACAACACACACTGGGGCCTTTTGGAGGGTGGAGGGTGGGAGTAGAAAGAAGATCAGGAAAAATAACTAATGAGTACTAGGCTTAATACCTGGATGATGAAATGATTTGTACAGCAAACCCCCATGACGCAAGTTTACCTGTGTAACAACCCTGCACATGTACCCCTGCACTTTAAAGTTTTTTTAAAGCAAAACTCAACAAAAGTCCTAAAAATTACACAGCATCAAGGGAGTAATAGTTTTAAACCCTGAAAAGCTTAGTGATTTTCTTTTTTCTTTTTCTAGAGACAGGGTCTTGTTCTGTTGCCCAGGCTAAAATGCAGTGGCATTAACAGCTCACAGCAGGTTCTAACTCCCAGACTGAAAGGATCCTCCCATCTAACTCTCCCCAGTAGCTGGGACTAGAGGTGTGTGCTACCACACCCCCCGCCCTTTTTTTTTCTCTTTAGAGATGGGGTTTTCCTATGTTTTCCAGGTGGTCTCAAACACCTGGCCTCAAGTGATCCTCTCACCCCAGACTCCCAAAGTTCTGAGATTAAAGGCGTGAGTCACTATGCCCAATCTGATGATTTTCTTGTTTCTTGATTTTCTTTTATTCTTGTAGGCCAGTTACTGCCAAGTTGTGCTATCTCTACTGCTTGACAAGGTAGTAGCAGGGATATACTATTCTATCTTAAGAAACAGTGGACTGGAAATCTATAAACTATTCCTTTGAGCTTTTATTATTTGTCACTTTTTTGTGCCGAGCATGAGCCCTAACCTGACATAGACTCACCCACAGATGCCTACACAGCAATATACGTAAACACACACCCACTCGCACATACACACCGTCCACAGGAAAGTGTCACAGACTCCAATCAATCCACATTTCCCATGTCCACTGTTTCTCTGGCCCGAACCATCATCATCCTGCAGTACTGCCTGGTGAAGTGTGTGGTTCCCACAGTCAGACTGATGTGGTTTGAATGACAGTTAAACCAACCCGCCAAGGGTTGCTTGGGCGGGTTGCTTCCCCTTGCTCCTCTGCTCAACGTTGTTAGTTTTAGCGCCTGCCTGAAAAGATTTGTGAAGACGAAGCTAATTCATGTAAAGTGTTTAACATAGGTGATGCTTAAGAAATATCACCTCTCATTATTGGAATGTGTATTGGTTTCCTACTGATGCTGAAACAAAGTGTCACAAACTTAACCGCTTACAACAACACAAATTTATTATCTTACAGTTCTGTAGGTCAGAAGTCTGATGTGGGTCTCACTGGGCTAAAATCAAGATGTTAGCAGGAGTACATTTACTTCTGGAAGCTCCAAGGGAGAATCCATTTCCTTGCCTTTTTCAGATTCTAGAGACCACCCACATTCCTTGACTCACGGCCCCCTTCCTCCATTTTCAAAGCAGCAACACTGCATCTCTCTGATCCATCTTCCATCATCTTTCTAATCACAGTTCGTAGAGGTTTTCTGGGACTTGTGTAACTACATTGAACCTTCTAGAATTATCTAGGTTAACCTCAAGGTCCATAACCTTAATCACATCTGCAAAGTCCCTTTTCTCTTGAAGATAACATATTCAGAGCCTCCAGGTTTGGGACATGGTGGACATCTTTGTCCGGAAGGATATTATTCTGCTTACCACACAGGGAGTGTTACTGATTATAAATCTGTATGAAAAATGTGAATGCATCTTCATTGGATTGGCTGTCCCATGTGTTTCTATCCATTAACTCCTCCATTAACATCATGTTCTGATAGGGCAGGCTCTATGGTGATCAAGTCCATGCATGCATGAAACTGGAAACCTCATGGAGTTGTCCCACCATCATGGCGCAAAAAGCACAGCAAATTATTTTAAACTAGCCTTTGATACGGAACAGATACATACAATGATAAGATCTAGATATTGAACATTCACTTATTTGCTTTTTCAATCACTCAACAAATATTTATCAAGTGCTTAACATGAAAAAGCCACTCCACAAAAGGAAATCTCAATTTCTGTCAAGCTTTCAAAGCTATAAACTATGACATCATCCTTTCTCAAACAAACCAACCATTATAAACATCCCAGAATAGGCTTTATGAAGCCTTCTCTGGAGAAGGGCTCTTAACCTAGGGCATGTGCAGAGGCTCCAGTAGTCTGGGATTTCCTGTTAACTGCATGACAAATTGTGCATGTCTGTGTGTTTGGGGGGCAGGGGAGAAGGTCCATTGTTTTCATCTAGTTCAAAAAGGGGTCTATAATCCACCGAAGGTTAAGCGTGGCAGCTCCAGGGTATCACTGTTTAGGATGCTAAAGACCTTACTGCCCAGTTTCTCCATTTCGCTCCAGAAAATTTCCGTGAAACTAAGCAAATGGTATTAAGTACTTGGGCTCACCCCTTGAGTTACTGACACACCATCACATCCCTTGCTTTTCTGCTTCTCTCTGCTCACTTATTACCCTACTAATGAGCGCAGATACCTCTGCTTAACTATGTTCTGTGTGACAAAGGAAGATTAAGAGTTAGACAATGGCAGAACTTGAATATCAGTTCTTCAAGTTCTAAAATCTCCTTTCCTTTTCCTACCCTGAACAATTCCTATTTTGATAGTCCCATTCCCTCTATTATCTACATCCAGTTATATACTATAAATCATGTGTGAAGAGAAGGTATGAAAACCTTCTGGGAAGAGGATTGTATTTAAACCTAGGACCTGTCCTTCCCACATCAAAAAAATAAATAAATAAAATCAACTGAAAAAGGAAGTAAACAAAGTGATATGCTTCTACATAGATTGAATAAAGAACCACGCCTTTCTGCTGCCCTCTTTCCAAAGCAGTGTGTTTGAAAAAGCATTACTTCTTTCAGAGTACAACACTTGATTCCTCTAGGTCAAGGGCAACCGTGGGTGGTTTGGGCTGTGCTCACATTTAGGAATGCCTCCAGTTCAGGCTCTGCAGACCTACTGCCTTAACTCTTTACTGCTCTTTCCTCCCCCCTGATTCCAAGAAAAGCACGAGGACAAAACATTGAGTCCCATTTCTGAATATTTCAGTTGTTCTGTGTGGAAGGTGCTGCCACCCTTTCCAGGCCACCCTTCTCCCATCAGATTGCAGAGCAGCCCTGACTGACCTTGAAGAGTCACTCCCAGGCCCTTGGATAGCTCACCCTGCGGAAGTCTCAAAGTGGGTGGCAAGTGGGTGATATGCCTTACGGAGATGTGTATGTAAGTCTATGCACTCATACACAGTGTACATGGTTGTGAGCTGAGCCCATTTATGGTTTTGGTATGTGTTCTTTGTTTCATCACTTAAAAGAGTGTCCCTTGTCTCTCCTTCCCAGTCTCAATGGTCCCATTGCTCATTAAATCCCTTCCCATATACCTAACCCCATCTACCTGCATTTCCTGGGCATGACGTGAGCAGAAACTATGTCTTCATCTGTTGATTTTATGTCTTAAAATCCATTTAATTTTGCTGGGCTGGTGGTACCAGGAGCAGATAGAATGAGGGAGACAGAATGAGTTAGAAGTTAGCTAGAGCTGGGTTTCTAAGTGACCTCATTGAAGAGGATGAACATAATAAATATGTAAAATATCTGTGATTTTATAGCACTTTGGGGTTGTATAAATAAAAGAGTAAACTATACACTGCATTTTTAATTAGGAATTGAGTGTCCACATTGAATGGATTCATTTTTATACAGGACTTTAGATCCATTAGATGATCTCTGCTTACTGCCTCGTCTGTCTGCAGGATCACATGATCACACATGATGTTACTTTTATTTTAATCCATTCGGAAAGTTTCCAGGAGACTGAGAAAGAGAAAATGCTCATCGGGGAGTTTACTCAACATTGCCTAGTTTTGTTATCCATAGAAAATAGACTGGTGGAAGTGGCCCGCAAAGTACACAACCAGGTCAGGGTCCCACGCTCTGTTCAAATTCTGTTTTCTCGTTAGCAGACTTCACATGACAGAGCCCTGGAGAAGGACAGCACTTGAGCAACTTTCAACTATCGCAGCATCTGCTAAGAGCCAGAGAGAGACTTGAGGAGAAAACGACTGTGAAACAAGGATGCAATGATCTCAAATTAAAAACAGTTACATGATTAAGGCAGTGGCCCGCTTACCACAGCCTCAGGACACACTGGAAAGCTTCAGCCATTCATTACCATTCACATGTTTTGTCCAAATGGCAAAACGTTTAGGAAGAAAATGTTAAGGTTCCAAATTCTAAAATACTTTTTCCTACATTGTTCAATTCCTGATTTGAAATAGTAGAAGGGGGAAAAACATTTCAGCTGAAACTGAATGCATTGGCAAGCTAGAGATTATCAAAAGAGGGAGAATGAAGAGAATTTTTTACAGGCACTGGTGGAGAGAATTATGCAACTTCCCACTACGCAAACTTTTGTAATTGTAAATTCTGCTACCTTTTAAGGAGAAAATACCATCAGCCTGCAACTTGAGAGCTTTTATGAGAACCAGGAAAGGGATTTTCCTTCACTCACATCTGTCTTCATTTGCTGAGTGTATGCTGCAGATTTCATGCTGGTTAGCTCAGTCTAAGAAGTAGAAGACAACTAGCATTAAATCAAGCAAATGCATGTGTCCTTATTTTTAAAAATTACATGAAAACAAGGCTTGCCTTGGACTATATGGTCTATTTTTCCCAATAGCAAAAGGTAAGAAAGTCAATATAAGCAAATTCACAGGATTGAAGTAGAGACTTTTCCCCATTTATGTGGGTGAAACAAAGGATTATCTTTCAAGGACGTTTCTAGACATCTTTACACGTTTACATTTTTATATAGATAAGGATATATACCATTAAAATGTGCATGGATTTTTTATTTTGGCTTCTTCCATACTCAGGCATTTAGTATCGTGGAATCATAGAAACTTTGGTTTTATGATGATTTCAGCAGGATCTCAAACATGTTTTTAAAAATCACTTCTTTCAGATAATCCACATCACGAACTTTGCTCTTTGATTTTATCTGTGCATCAATATTTGCTAATCACTAAATTTTCTAAACTAAGATATCCATATTTCCAACAGGAATTTATCTGTTAACACAGGATACATGACAGATTGAGAGAACCATGTACATACAATTTATCTTTGGTGAATATTCCACAGACTTTATTTTCTCAGGTAATTTTTTTTCCCAATTAGACCATTCTTAACATGCTGACCACTAGAATGAAAAGTGAAAACTTGAATCAATGAACAAATACCAAATCTTGGGAACCATGATAACCCAAACACAAATCCCTGTGGATTGAAGGCCTGTATAGGAAGGGGTGAGATGGTTGTGGGGATGCAGCTATTAATTATGAGGGAGGTTCTTCTTCTTTTTGAGATGGAATCTCACTCTGTTGCCCAGGCTGGAGTGCAGTGATGCAATCTCAGCTCACTACAACCTCTGCCTCCTGGGTTCAAGCAATTCTCCTGTCTCAGTCTCCTGAGTAGCTGGGACTACTGGCGCATGTCAACACACACATATATATAGTTTAATAGAGACGGAGTTTCACCATGTTGGCTAGGCTGGTCTTGAACTCTTGACCTCAAGTGATATGCTCGCCTTGGCCTCCCAAAGTGTTGGAATTACAGGCATGAGCCACCGCACCCGGCCCCTGAAGACTCTTCTTAAGGGAATGTAATTTCTTTGTAGAAATGAAATATCATGTAATATAAAATTGGCAATATAATCTGAGTTCTAATATTACAGTTTTGGTTGTTATATTTAATATTTTTAACATGATTATACATCTTTGAATCTAACAAATATGCCTAATTGAAGAATAATTTGTACAGTTCTCTATTTGATGTGGCATCACTTTAATTCTGAAATTCAAGAAATATCTTAGAACATTTGTAAAAATCAGCAGTTACGTTAACAATAATACAAGTAAGAAATCTCTCCTTGGCCCTGCCCTGCCTCCCCTGATCCCCATCTCCCTTCATTCGTGCCTTGTTTTCTTATCCTTCTTTTGCTCCTTCCTTCCCAACTTGAGCATAAACCTGCTTCTTAGTTGCTTTCTGTATTGGGGGAAACCTTTTGCTGTTTTCTGGAAGCAACAAATCCTTCTTAATTTGACAGGGTATTGTTGAGCCTGGAAGCAGCAGACAGTATTGTGTACCTGCCTTTATTAATCTGGGTACACATTTTAGAAGTTGCTTGGGTAATATCATGTGGGTTCCCTTTCATTTCCTTTCTTGGCTTGCCTTATCTCACAGTTCCACCCTTTGCCATGAATGTCTTCTCCTAACTTAGAAAAGAATATCTCATAAGACAGAAATAAACATGAAGGCAAAAGAGAAGAATAATTTTTGGAGTGACGTATTTTAGCCAATTTTTTTTCATCTCTAACTGTAGTTTCTGAGATTCCTCCTGCTCCCAATTTTTAGAATCCATTCTTTTCTTTTGTATCACATATAGCATTGATTGCACAATTTTTAAATAATTACAGACAATTATGTGGTATTTCAGTGTGTCGGGCACAGATCTAATAATAACATTCAATCCTCACAACAGCTTTACGGTTACTGCCTTCACTTTACAGATGAGGAAACTGGGGCTTGCGTATGTTAATTCTTACTCAAGGTCAGTCCGTTAATAAGAGATGGAGCTCAGAATCGTACTAAGTTGCTGAAACAGCTGAGTCTCTGCTATTAACTGCTCCTCCTTGATAATGACTTGCCCAAGATAATGCAGCAATCAATAGATTAGACATTGTATCAGGAGTCTATGGCTTCTCTTATTGGATTAGTTCCTGATATGGTTTGGCTCTGTGCCTCCACCAAAATCTCATGTTGAATTGTAATTCCCAGTGTTGGGGCAGGGAGCTGGTAGGAGGTGATTGGATTATGGGGACGGATTTCTCCCTTGCTGTTCTCGTGGTAGTGAGTGAGTTCTCATGATATCTGTTTGTTTAAACGTGTGTAGCACCACCCCCTTTGCTCGCTTCCTCCTGCTCCAGCCATGTGGACATGCCTCCTTAGTCTTCGCCTTCTGCCATGATTGTAAATTTCCTGAGGCCTTCCCAGCCATGCTTCCGGTACAGCCTGTGGAACTGTGAGCCAGTTAAACCTCTTTTCTTTATAAACTACCCAGTTCTTTATAGCAATGTGAGAACAGTTCCCTTTAAAGTTTGTGAATTTGAGGCTTTTAGCATTATCTATTACACAATTAATGGCTTGTTTTTTTTTTCCTCCAAAATGACCAAATTAAGAGTAACTCTGTAGACCTTTGATGCTATCCAAAAATCTCTTTAGAGACTCTTGGTTAGGAAATTGTGCTTATAATCCCTTGGCTTCCCTTTTCTTGGTAGGAAGATAAACTCCTGGGAAACACACTTAGGCATGTATTTAATGAAATAAATTACTGCTAAGTGTTATAAAATGTAATGCCTAAAAGAATTAATGTACTCAGTCTTGACCCACCTAAGTTATTCACCTCTAGTCCCTGGTTGAATATTAGACATGTAGGAAAGGCTCAATTAATTCTGAATGAATGAAACGACTCAGATTCACTCAAGGAAGCAACTTTGGTGTAGTTCTATGTGTTAGAAAGCCTAAGTTCATGAATGGGATAAAATGAGGTATGACAGACTGAATACCTAACCACCTACTGTGGAGCTGTGCAGAGAACGAAGGCTCCTGAGCACCTGATGGACAAAACTCATGTCCCATTCCCCCTCCACCTAAGATGCCTTTGCTCTGTTGACTTGGCCTATCATTTTTAGTCGGCCAAGGGAATTGAATCAATGCCAACAACTTCTGCCAAAAGGCAGCAGTGAACTTCAAAATATTTATCAATTAGTACAGGGTGCGCCTCAACCAGTCAGAATCGGCACTGGCTGTAAACCTGCACAGCTGTACTGGGGCTTACCTGCTGAAAATCAGCACTGCTTGTAAGCCCTGCAATCTCAAATCTTCCTAGAGGCCCATGGGTTTCTAAGAAGCTCCTCTCATTGCTATGAAAAGATCTAGCCCCTATACACATTTTTTTAACCATCCATTTTAGAAAAATTCCTGGGAAATTTGTCAGAATCTGTGTAATCATCATTAATTTAGCAATTCTCAAAGGTAACCCAGAGTTCATCCAGCTGCAGCTTATTCCATTGATCACAATAATCCACCCCACCCAGAACTTTCCTCATGAAAGGAATCTTCTTGGAGTGGCCATCTGGATCGTGTTATCCTAATCAGAGTGTAGAGAGCATACAAGGTGCAGACACTCTTTCCACTGAAGAGTCAGGCTCACTCATTCTTGGATGTGCTTCCCCCTTTCCTTTCACTTCCCTCTTTCTTTCTTTTATCTCCACTGGAGAGGTATTGGATGATTTACTGACATTAAAAAATAAGACTATAATAAATTTTATTTTCTCTGAGTAATGCGCACTTCTGAAAACTGCCACCCCCATTTCTACACATTAGGCCTGGAGTGGAGGTGAGGGGTGGCCTAAACTAAAAACAAAAACCTTCCCACTTGCAGATAATTGTTTAATGGGCAAAAGCTTCAGCTCATTCTTGGATTTTCCATATTGCAAACCGGTGGCCCCAAATTTAGTTTATAGCTTTTCTCTATGCTTTATTTCCAGGCATTTGTATGCACAGATCTATATACTTTCCCATGACCATATAAATGAAAAGCTTTCATTATCAATATAGTACAGTGAAAATGAAAGCACAAAGTTACGGGCAAACATGGACTGACCACTGGGGTATTAAAACATTTCTAACAAAATCTCTAAAGCCATTGAATTTTGATTTTTTTAATTTATAACCTAGATAAAGGATGAAAACTAGCATTTATCAAATGGCCAAGTCAGTTAACATATTATTTTTATCCACACTTCTATTGTCCTTCCATAAAAATGAAATAATTAAAAGGCAATAAATGCAGATATAGTGTTCCGTATTTCAAACTAGCATCCAAAGTAATTATTGAGTGTTTGATCTTTGCTCTGTACCAGTATGATGAATCAACTAATGAATCAACAAATTGCAAAACAGGAAATCTATATTTCTGTCAGTTGAGGAACAGGTAGATAGTTTATTTAGAATAATAGAATATTTTCCAAAATATCAATTTAGAATCCAATAGGCTACAAATTAAGAGAAAACCAAAGCAGTGGCTTAAACAAGTAAAAGATTTTCTGATATATCAAAAAATCCAGAAGCTGACAATCAAGGGTTCTTGCAGGTGTCAAGGGAGCCATCATGGAACCAGGCTCCCTCAATTATCTTCTACTGCTTTTGATCTCATGGCCACAAAATAGCTACAGCAACTCCAGCCATCACATTCTCATTCTAGGCAGAAAGAATAGTTTTGGCAAGTGTAAAATGCCAAAGTTTTCTTCTCACTATATTTTACCATTCTTATTTGAGAAGAATTCTGCATGTCTCATTGGCCAAAACCATTTTATATGGTCAACCCCTATCAGCAAGGGAGAATGAAAATTTTATTTTAAATTTTGGTAAAGAGGAGTAAATGAATTTGGAACAGTGGTTGAAAATAAACTAACTCACAATATTTGTCACGTATGCTTCTGACCAACAAATAGACAGCTCTTTATGGATATAATATGTGTTTCCTCAGACCACAAAGGTTTTGAAGCAAGAATATGAGTCACAATAAGTCACCGTGAGTGTTTGTTTCTTTGACTCTTCCCCTTCCTCATGGTCTTCCAGACCTACAGAAACCTTCATCGTCCCTCTTAAATATTTCTGGAAGTCCCCAGAGGATGTCTTTTGCGTACTCATAAACTCAGCTCTGATAGATACTATATGTGCCCATATTTTCTTTCTGCCTGAACTGGCTTCATACAGTAATCAGAGTGGAGGCATCGATATGTCTGAAAGCCACAGTTAACACTACTATATTGTTTCCTGTTGCTGCTGTTGTAGGTGAGATCATCCTGTTAAAAAAAAAAAAAAAAAAAAAAAAAAGCCACTCTCTGCAAAAGCTGTCTTGCTGCACTCAAACCCATAACCTATCTAATGGAAGCTAGAGTTACTGAAGTCCATGTGGTGAAGCCATACTGTAGACGTGGTCAGTATTGCCTCTCAGCTTTGAATTCCATGGGTCATATCTTCCACATTTGGTGCTCTCTGTTCCTGGGAGAATTTGGTTGGAAAAGTCCTTTTCATTTCTATTTTGTTCTACTCCATAGAGCTCAAGCAAAATGGCTTAATGCTGGAAAAAGGACCCCATACGAGACGTGCCATATTCAAATTTACCCTCCCTTCAGTTATTGGGATATTTTCATCAGGCCAATCTCATAGGCTTTGCATTTTATTTGTGGATGACTTTTTAAAAATCTTATGGAGCTCTTACACAAGCTTTGCATAGATACTTGACACCCACTGGTTTATTTAAATCAATGGATAAATTCAGTTTAGGCTGCCAAGCTGGCATTACTAGACCAAAGGTAATATTACTAGACCAAAGGTAATTCATGCTAAGTTCAGTATATCTGCCTTCATCTTAACCCTATCCACAGCCATCCCCTCCTATTCATATTTCAGGTTGTCGGAATTCAAACTGGTCTTACTATCCATATGTTAGGTTGTCAAAATTCAAACTGGTTTTACTATTCAAATTCCAGGTTTTACGCACACTTGCACTTACATACCAGCTCTCCACTTCTTATGTTAAATCAATCTACTTATCCTCTTGAGATTATGAGCCTGACATACAGGATGTTCACTTACAGAGAAAATCATAGTTTACTTTTTTAGACCTGTTTATGCCACTCTACATGGAGAAGAAAATTGATGGGCTACTTAGATAGAAAACCCTCTTCAAGCCAGTCTAGCAAGGTCTCACTAGGGGATATTTCAATGGGAAAATATTTCTTTGTTACTCCTCCTATGCCCAAGCCCGGATTTGAAGTCCCAGAAGGAATCTGGATTGGGATGGGAAAAAATCTGGTAGTGTTGTGGAACCCAGACTAGGAGTTCATATGGAAGAAGAAAGAAAGCGGACGCCAGAGCACCATCGTACCTCACGCCACCCACAGGACACCAATAAAGCAACCTGTGACGATCAATGCTGGAAATGAGTGCCTTGGAGTTAGTGTTAAATGGATGCATGAGAATCTCAATTGAAGTTAAAAATATATACGATGAGCAAACTGAATGGAAGTAGAAAAATGGCAGTTATGAACACAACATTCAAAAGTGCCCCATCTCTATGTGTGAATGGGATTTTCAGCTTTCCTGGAACAAGGGAAGCTACTTGAGAAGAATTTATGTCTAGAATAAGAACAAATGAGATAATACTTTTTCAAACTTACCCTACCAGTAAATACTGCTGAACAATCTGTCTAATTTCTGTATGCAGTTACCTCCAGAAACATCAGAGAACCTATGGGAACTGGTATACGATGCCAATATTGAGTTTTGTGAGCACATGGGTTTTGAGACAACCTCTTAAAGAGCCCTTTCAAAATCAACAGAGCCTTGAAATAGTAAAAGACTCTGCTCTAGCCCTTACAATTTGAGTTTAGTATTGGATTGTTGGGATCCATTTAATACTGAGGTTCCAAGCCTGGGTTAAAAACTTTGCTAGGTCAAGAGCTACACCTTTGCCCCTTTTCCACCTGAGGTAAATTATTTCCTCCAAGAAATTACTTTCCTTTTTGAGCAAGTAACTTTCTGAAATGCTGAGAGAAACTGGTACTTTAAAATAGATAATTTGCCTCAGATGGGTCACACACTTTATTTCCAGAAGCCAGTTTAATTTTTTTTTTCCTTCACTCTGATGATTGGGTCAAATCCTTATTAATAAAATGTGTGCTACTGGAAAGGAAAGACACCTTTGTTACTTAATCCATGTGCGGCCATTTATATTTGGCATGCATAAATGTCATGAAGAACAGGGAAAAAATATAATTCATGAGCAAAATGCATTTTATGCTACTGTTCCCTTGCCAAATTAAGTATTATAGTTGGAAATTTAGGGTGGAGGCTCACTTTGGGAAAAAAGAATCAAATTGTCTGGGGATTTTGCTTTCATCACCAAAGGGATTTTATGTGTTTGGAAGGATCATCAATTCCTGACTTGGTGGTAGACAATACTCTTACTTCACGCAGGTCCTGCAGAATTCTAATATGGCTTGGTTGAAATTTCTTCTTTTGACTAGAAACTTTTTTCACATTTTTTTTCAGTATTCCCTTTGATGCAGTCAAAATAGGTGGACAAATACGTTGTCTACACTGAAACAAAGCTTGCTTGAATTCACCTATATGATGATGTCTTCATGAGCTTGCTTTGCCTTTCCAAATCTATCTTTAAAAGATTCACTAATCTCCAGATTTTAAAACATAGAGGAATGTTCCAACAGTACATTTTTCAAGTGATGTAAAAAGTTCTTGGAATTAATTTGTCATCAGCCTTGCTCTAAGGACGGTGTTGTTTCAGCCATGGCCATTTAGGAACTGATCATTGCTACCTACAACCCTGTTGAAAAGGCCCACTTCGTGCAAAAGTCAAAAGTAAAAAAAAAAAAAAAACTTTGTATACATTTTTTTTTCCACTGGATGTATTACATGGTTAAATTTATTTTTTTAAATTTGGAAAACAAACTTACTTTTAAGCACTTTCATGTCCTAACAAGTTTAAAACACACATAGAAGCGGAAGCATTCCTTCACCTGATGTTTCAGCGTTCAAGGTACTGAAAGTCGCTTGCTCATACAATGATATAAAGTTGATGAGTAATAAAGACACCTGATTTTATTTTTGCTCATGTGTCTCATGATGACAAAATTTGAGACAGGTCAACAAGAAATATTTACTAGATCTAGTAGTTGTTACTACATTTAAATTGATAGTTTCTAATAATGATGTTTTGCATAGGTCATAAGGAATTTTCTGTGAGAAATATTAGGAATAAAAGGATTTTCTTCACTCTTCACATGTGTTCTACAGATGTTCACAGACTAGTCTTCCTTTTATAGGCTCTGAATAAAGATAAAATATGGTGGAAATCAACCAATTCGTCATTGCTGTTTTATGCTGTAGAAATTACCCTTAATTTTCACTTACCTTTGTGTTCAAGGTCAAAGCCACCCCCATGAAAACTCCCAAACTACACACCAAAAAAACAAATCAAACGAAATAAAGCATTGCAAGAATGTGAAATTTGTGTTGAAAACATCTGGCTGACTATTCTCCCAGGCTATGCTCGGCACTCATTATTCATATAAATTGTGAGAAAGGTTTGGTGTCTGAACGTACCTCTAGCCCCTATGATGTGCGTATGTGATTTTTGCCCAAGTAGTCATCACCACAATCCTGTATAAGAAAAATAAATTTGAATTTGCTGTGAGTCAGCTTCATCTTTTAAATTAAATATGATGATAATACCTGCTTTAATTATCTTAGGGCTTCTTATGAGGATAAGATGAAATTTTTTAAAAAGTAAATGTATGAGGAAAACTTAAAAATACCAACACTTTAGCAAATTTTTATGCTTGGCATGCAAAATCATATCTGATTTGCTTGGCAACTGAATGTGATCATGTTTTTGCCATCAGAACTCTCATTGTCATGGGTAATGTAATCCAAATATTTTAGTTCCCAGTGAAAGAGTCAAGAATAAATAAGACAAACACTGCATGCTAATTCTGGCCATGGAGACTGAATATAACAGAGATTTGAATGAGAAAATCTGGTTTGGTGTCAAGCATAATAAAATAAAGAAGAGTTTGTTGATGGGCAAAAGGAAGAGATGGGTTGAGAAAGTGCTGTGCTCCCTGCTGAGAGAGTAGTTTGACTTTGGACAAAATAATAGCTTCAGTTTCTCTTTGGATTCATTATTGCTCCTGGACTCTCTCTAATTTGAACCTTGTAGGGGTCATCTGTGCCTCTGTCATCTCGAATACTCTCCACTTCAATGAATCATACTTCACACTGCCAGGATGACCACCCAGAAAGGCCTGTTTATGTAGGACTTGGCTGCTGCAGAGTTCATCTTAAGTCCCGAACAGCTGAGTTGGGAGCTCCACAATGGTCTCCTGTTTGTTTCTGGGCAGGGTTGGAGATAAGATCATCTATATAGCCTAACAACCATCTGTGAGTTAATCTGTTGGAATTCTCATCTTATCACTGCATATATTGGACTGTGCTGTAGTGGGCATACATTTTCTAAAATGCTGTCTTGGCCTGAAATAAAGAATATGTCAGGAAAGTCAATGTCAGCCTATATACAAACAAGGAAGTTGAGATTAAGAGGATACAGAGATAAGCTATCAGCCGATTTACACCTTGTCGCCTTTCTTCTATTCCTTCAATATGATTTTATAATCTTACCATTTTAACCACTAAAATAGTAGAAAACCAAGATGGGCACTTTTGGCTAAATCAATAGTAACTGTGCTTTGAGACTTGAGCAAGATTGTGGAAGATTTTGCAATGGATAAAGGAGATTATTAAATATCCTTTCAATGAAATGCAAGAGCCTTTGGAGATTATGTGGTGCTATGGGGATGTGTGCCTTCATTTTTGACTAGGCTTTTTTACAACTCTGTAGAGGTAGAAGTGAACTCATAGAAATTTGATAGGAATGGAAATAGTTTTTGTTGCTAAAAATGCAAAGTATGTCCCTTGGATTATAATCGATGATTTACCTCCACTAAATCTCCCAAGCTTCACAACCAAAAAACCAAACCAAAACAAAAGATATCATCATAAGAACCTGAAATTTGTGTTGAAAGCAACTGACTGATATTGCATTAGATAGCCAACATGTCTTGTTATAACTGGTGGCTCTGAAAATTTGCATTTTGAATATATCTAATAAATTAAAACTCTAGCAAGGAAGTTTTAGAAAATGACTACAATATAGTAAATGTATTCATACGCTCTGAGAAAAGTAGACAAATGAGAAACCCATATAGCTCATGCCTTTTCTGGGTTCAGATAGAGATCAGTAAATGTTTTTCAATTATAATCATATGGTCATTTCAAAAGCAAATCTAGAAGGATTGTTTGCAATCACCACTGTTATTCATAAGTAAAAGTTTAGATGGAAAATTTTGTGTATTTTGTGTGGGGGTGTATCCTCTGAAGAGTTTATGCTACTCACTACAATGTATACTTTGGCTCATCTGATTGTTCCTGGCACAGGAATATAGATGCTATCATTGTCTTGAGACCCTTAAGTTTACATTCAGCCAGATTTCTTTATCTCCTTCCAATATCAGCCTCAATCTAATGATCTTTCTCTTTATAAATTTTCCTCGGTGCCCTCTTTTCAGGCTGACTTGCCTGTCCAGAAAAGAGGGATTTTCTTTAATGTGGTAAAATATACATAATATAAAATTTACCATTTTAATTATTTTTAAGTGACATTAACTACATTCACCTTGAAGTGGAACCATCACCATCATTCATCTCCAAGTCTTTGTCATCACACCGAATAGAGACTCTGTATCCATTAAATAATAACTCCATATTCCCTCCTTCTCCCTGACTTTGGTAACCCGAATTCCACTTTTTATCTCTATGAATTTGACTCTTCTTGATACCTCAAATGTAAAATCAGACAATATTTGACCTTTGTCTGTCTGCCTCATTTCACTTAGCCTAATGTCTTGAGGATGTTGTAGCATATGTCAGAATTTTATTTCTTTTTGTGGCTGAATAATATCCTATATACGACTTTTTGTTTATTCATCCATTGATGAATATTTGGGTTGTTTCCACCTTTTGGCTGTTATGAATAATGCTGCTGTGAACATGGGTGTACAAATATCTGTTCGAGTCTTTGCTTTCAATTCTTTCTGGAATATATCCAGAAGTGAATTTCTGGATCATATGATATGTTGATGTTGAAATTTGAAAATAAATTTTTAAGGAATTCTTTAAGGAAACACCTTGATTGAAAACAATTTGGAGGAGGAGCAGCCTACTGGGGAATGTATTATTTAGTGACATTAAAAATTATGTAAATGTACTGTTTTCCTAATGGTTGCACTTCATCCATATTATGTCAGTGCTTAGTATGCGTTGTTTGACTCTAGGCCAATCCACCACTACCTTCATTAAAGCATTAGAGTCAAAAACCTTTGTCTCACTGGTTTTCACCTCTAATTAACTTCATTTCTGAAAGTGCTTTGAAATAAATTTTCCATTCTGAGGGAAAGAAGCCAAAACAAAAAAATCCAACAAAACCCACGAAGTTTCCCACATGTGAGGATTTGTTTGCTGCTTTTATCTATCGCAACATTCTCTCTAACAATCTCGTTCACAATTGTGGACTACTCAGGGTTCTCCACAGAAACAGAATCAATAGGGTGTGTATGTGTGTGTGGAGGCAGAGAGAGAGAGAAAGCCTGAGATAAATTTATCTTAAGGATTAGTTCACATATTTGTGGGGCCTGGCAAGTCCCATATTTGCACGATAGGACATCAGGTTGGAGACTCAAGGGAAAGCCGATGTTGCAGTTGAGTCCAGAGGCAGTCTACAGGCAGAAATCCCTCTTCCTCAGGGAGGTTAAGTCTTTTTCTTAAGACCCTCAACTAATCGGATGAGGCCCACCCATGTAATGGAGGATAATCTGCTTTACTTAAAGTCTGATTTAAATGTTAATCGCATCTAAAATTACCTTCACAGCAACATCCACAAGTGTTTGACCAAGTATATTGGTACTATGGTGTAGCCAAGTTTCGCATAAAATTAACCATCATGATAATGCACTTCTTTAAAAAAAAAAAAAAGTGGAGGAGTGTTATACAAAGCTTAAATTTTGTAACCTCATTTGATTTGGGTTATTATTGGCTAAATTCTCATTTATCTTAGTCATTAAGCAGATTTCAGTTTACTCATAAATTATTTTTGTGTGTTTCCAAATATTTTTTAGCACAAGTTTTGCCTTGACAGTTGGATTACATTTTCCTTAAAGCTTGGGTCAAGATTTATTTGGTAATATCCTACCTATTATCAATGCCATCTATTATAGCACTCGAGGCAAGTCAGTGTTCACCAATCACCAAGTAAATACTTTGGCAGTATCTGAAACTTCAATTTAGAGTTAATTTCCTTCCTGCCATCACCAGCACTGTCCGTTGTAGCCATCGGTTTTTTATGGAATCTTTATTACTTACAGTTATGTCCATTTTGTCTGAAGTCCAAAATGATTTAATGGGCCATTGCTTTACCATTTTTTTTTTCATAATTTCCCTGAACTAAAGCTCTGTCCTAAGCTTCTTTCTACCTCTAAGATTTTGCTCCAATTTCTGCCATACTTGGAGGAATGCCATTCTCAGCCTATCCCAATCCCACCCATTGTTTAGATCATAGTTTAAATTCCTTTTCCTGCACAGATTTCTCAAGCATCCTGGTCTACAGTACTCTATGTTTACTCTATTGCCTGTTTTATCTGCAACTCTTCATGTTGTTAGGAAAGCATATAATACCACCTCTTGTTGTTCAGTAATTTAATATGGGAATTTGACTTCCCAAAGGTAAATGTAAACGTACAGACATACACTCTTTGATTTGTCTCACCCTTCCCTCAAAAGTAAATCAAAAACTCTATCTAGGCCGAGTACAGTGGCTCACAACTGTAATCCCAGCACTTTGGGAGGCTGAAGTTGGGGGATAGCATGAGTCCAGAGTTCAAGACCAACCTGGACAAAATGGTGAAACTCCGTCTCTCCAAAAAAAAAAAAAAAAGTCAGGTGTATGTGCACCTGTAGTCCCAGCTACTTGGGAGGCTGAGGCAGGAGGATAGTTTGAGCCTGAAAGCTTGAGGATGCAGTGAGCCGAGATCATGCCAAAGCATGCCAGTCTTGGCAGCACAGCGAGACCCTGTCAAAACAAACAAACAAACAAAACAAAAAACTATATAGAGAGATAATGAGTAAACATTTTTTAAAAAATGAATTAATACAAACATACTGGGATCTTGTTCAGTGTAAGGTTAGTCCCATGTGTTTCTGAACTTTACCTTGGGTTTGTAGTCAATGTATATGTGTTAGGTAAGTGTTTTTGACTTTATGTTTATGTGTGACTTGGAAACAATATTACCTCATTTGAATTACTGGCATATTAATGATGTCAAAACCTTATCTTTTGAGCATTTTTTCTACTTAAATTCAGAGCTGTTTCATTTGAACACTGTGTTTACCAAGCTGAAAAGTCTCATGTTCTCTTGGATAATCTCCAGTCAGAGTTATCTATAAATGATACTTCAGGGACTTTCTTTACAAACTGAATTTGGTTTTCTTTGTACAGTGCAAATAAGTAAAACCAAAAATTAAAGTACATGAAAAAACATTTGAGCTAGTTATTTCTTCAGCTAGCTCACATGCAGCTGTTAAAATCTGTATAGACCATTTTCTGTTCACAGTCCCATTATTAATATTTTGTAGAGCCTTCCTTTAGCCATTTCTCATTTTCAAGCTGGTCTCCTATTACTGGGAGTACATTGCAGCATTTGCCATTTTATTTGGGATTGGGACAGTAATACAGTACTTCAACATTGCTTTCATTTCCCAGTATGTCAAACAACATACAAATGTCAAGTATTTTTAGTCTCTGCATCATCATCGTTAACAGGATACCAGACTCCCAATGTGCATTCCATCTCCAGCGTACAAAATCACAGCAAGTCATTTCACCAGGGAATAAAAGAGCTTTCTACCCAAACGCTGTTACAATTTTCACACTTCGAACGGTATGAGTCTTAAAGCATTTGTAGTCATAGCAACTGTTTTTTAAATTTTGTATATAATCATTTTAATTATTAAGTATTTGATATAAAATATAAGGAAAAGTTAATACATGTATGAAAGGTAAATAGGCAGGCTTTTAAAATTACCAAAACCCCTACATTTTCTAGGAAGGAATTTATTATTGTTTGATGAAGTTAAAACATGCAAGCAGTTAGTGGGACAGTTCCCACTTAGCTCCACTAGAGGTCTCAATTGATATTTTGTGTGTGTGTGTGTGTGTGTGTGTGTGTGTGTATATATTTGTGTGTGTGTGTGTATGTGTGTGTCTGTGTATATGTTTCTGTGTATATATACATGCATATGTATATATGTACACCCATAAATGTGTACGTACATATATACATATGTATATATGTGTGTATATACATACATACACACACAAGCATATATATATATATATATACACACACACACACACACACACACACACACACAAATGTATTTTTTCAGACAAAGCTAAAATGCTGCACTGCTATTGTGGATGATCTTATAGCAGTATTGCCAAAAGGAACAACCACCATAGGAATAACAATACCTTTTAAAATTCATTATAAATAAAAACAAACTCTAGTACCTTTCTTTTTCCAAGGTTTAAAACTTTATTGTACATTTCCCTTTAAAACAAGGACCATCATTTAAAAACATCTTTTAAAAACTCCCAATACTTTTTATACACACAAGCAAATATAAATAACCATGTTTCTTTATATTAAAAAAAATGGGAAATTTATTTGGGGTCATTTCTTGTGAACTTTTTTTAAACCACCTATAAGCTTGCTCTTTATTATGACCATAATTTTATATATGTGTAATAAAATAACATAATAAAAATTATATGGTCATAATTGTTATTTTTAGAAGCTCTGACTTTCCATCATTAAACTTATTAATCAAAAGTGTATGCTACTTATTTTCTAATTTATTCTGAAATGTGAACCAAGGAAATGGAGAACATGAAATTTTTGCTTCAAGAACTTAGACAGTATAAGTAGTGTTTAGAACCTTGGTCATCTAGGAGAGCCATCACCCCATCAAAAAACTCTCATTAATTATAATAAAAATAAAATTCATCCAAAAACATTTTCATGAAGTTAGGAATTAGTTACATTTAATAGAAATATATATATGAATATATATATTTTTATATAGTTTCTATTTTTAACATAAAATAGAAAATATATAATAAAATTATATTTTAATAATTTTATTATTTAATGTTATAATAAAAATATAATTATATACTAAATAATTATAAAATTTAATACGTTATATAATTAATATAATTATGTTATAATAATATAGTAATACAAAATTATGTAATTTTGTTTTATAATATATAATTATGTAATATATTCTATATTATATAATTATGTTAAAATTAAATTATATAAAAATTTATTCTATTGTGTATTACTATATATACTCGCTATAATATATAAATATTTTTAATATATAGTAATATATATAAATATATTTTTATATAGTATATTATAAATAACATATATGTATATATAAATATATTGTTATATATTATAAATGATATATCATATACTTATATATAAGTGTGTATAAGTATATATAATTATATATAAAATACTGTATATTATTGTATATATTATGTAATACATATTATATGTATTGTATATAAAATAGAGAAAATATATACATTGTAAATAGTTATATATTTATATAAAATAGATATTTATGTCTATTATATATACTATTTTACATGTAAAATATATATTTATCTATTTTTTCCTCTTAATTCAGTACTTTAGGAAAACAGGTTTTTTTACTTTATGATGGAATGCACCACTCACATTACTTGTTGCTTGTTACTTTTGGAATACTGTCCAGGCCATAATTCACCCTAGCTTGCCTAAGCTTTTGTTGGGGCTGATAAACTTGTCAGCTTCTAGAAGCTTCTGAAGGCCAGTTGAACTCAGATCCATTCTTTTTACCAAAATACCTTCTAAGGTAACTGAGTTGTGTGTCCCTAAATCAGGGCAGGGTTGAGAGCATTGAATCAGCTAGAAAATGACTATAGTCAGCCATGTGCTCCAGGTATTAATATCTCAGTAATATGTTTATTTACCCCGTGTGCCGGAAGTTTTATATATAATATCTCACTCAGTTTAGAGTAATCTTTTAAGGTAGCTCCTCATTTTTATAAAAGATGAATCAGAAATGCAAAAAGGTAATTTACCAGTTCCCAGAGAAATTTGTAAGTACAGACATGTCAACCTCAGTAGCAGCAAGGGCATAAATTCCCCTCTACAGCTACTTGAGCCATGGTAACTAGTAAATGTTTAAGCCATGGTTGTTCTTTGCAGAAAGCCCAGATGTTTGTCAATGAGTAAAACTTTTATTGAGTTTCTACTATGTCTAGACTACAATTCTAGGAACTCGACAGGAGGGAGAGCTATAAAAGAAAAAGATGTGGCGTTATTATTAAGAAACATAAAACCCACTTACAGAGACACAGCACAAGAGTATAAAATCCGGGTGAACACTTTTACAGGGAATGTGTGTCTCCTGGAGGCCTTAGCACATGAAAATGATAGAGTTCAAAGTGAAAGCCTTCAAGTGATTCTGTGCTAAATAAAGGCAATTTAAACCAAATATATTTCTTTTTTTAGTAAACAATTAAAATGACAGTATAATGGGTTTAAATTGAAAAAAAAATAATGTTTTAAAGGAAATTGCCTTGGCTATCACGGTGTGATATCTGCCTTCGTGCACATCTCTGTGACTTAAAGTCCAATACCAGGATATAATGAATTACACATGGCTTTTGGCTTTCCAAGGTATTATCCAGTGAGAAGAGATATGAGAAAAGGAAAAGGATCTTCGACCGTAAAATTAAAATAACTCAATTATCTTACCTTGTTGAAGAAATAACAGACCTAGAAATATTAAATGACTTGCTCAAGGTCATATACTTAGTTTATAAAAGATCCCGGACTTCAAACTTAAAAGACTGTAAGCAGAAAGGATTGAAGAAATGTTTGCCCATTCATTTTTAATGTGCTAAAGTGTAGCCATGAAAGCATAGCAAGGGCTTCATGCTGGGAAACTGAAATGGCAGACAAAGCAAACTAAACAAAGACCCATTGTCTCATTATGAACTAAGATTTTGAGGAGATTGTGGGTTTACTATGAAGAGCTTAAGGAGCACTAGTTGGGGAGGGGAGAAGTATGACTTTATGCATAGATTTAAGGGACTCTGGGCTCTTTGTGGTTTTAATCAGACATACGATAGTTATCATAAACTATAATTATTATAAGTTACACCCGTGTCCTCCTAGCACAGATATAGTGATATGCATGTATATTATGCATTTTCTCTGCACTCTCTCTGCCTGTATAGTTATATTCATTTGGTAGAACCAAAAATGCATCTTATGGCAAATTTTGATTTCAAGTTGAAATACACCAGTCCGTATGGAGAGTGTTGTCCAGAAATGCAGATGGTTCTTTGAAGAAAAGTACAATCAAACATGGCAGAGACAGTCTTACATAACAAATAACAGGGCTGATGTCAAAGTTATTTGCCAACAGAATACAGTATGTACACCATTAAGTACTTTGCTGTCTTCATATGAATTTGTCCTTAGAAAAACTGCCCCAATCTAAACTGTTACATTAATATCTACTACCATATTAGGATTAGGAGTGCTTACTATGTGTCAGGTACTAGTTTAAACACTTTGCAGGTATTATGAGTGGGATAATTATACCAACTGAATGAAGTACATTACTATTTTCATCATTCCCATTTTATAGATGGAAAATCAAGGTAAGGCAAATTAAGAGTAAGGCAAGTAAATGGAGGAGCTAGGATTCGAATCCAAGCAGCCTGATTCAAATTTTGCATGTTCAGTTGCTATGTCAACAACATCTCAATATGACTGAATCTTTTTCAAGAGAGAAACCAAAACCCAAATGCAAAAGCACTCTGTCCCTTTTAAGGTTGTCATTTGGGAAGTACATACAACTTTCCTAAGAATGCTGTCATACCTTAAATATTTCTGAAATGGATACCTTGGAATTAACGTCAGAGCCTGCAGCTCATTCTTTGACTATCTCCTGTGGTGGCAAATCTCTTTTTGAAGGAGGATTTTGTTTTGGATGCAACCAAAGTCCCTTGCAGCCAAATACCATGACTAAGGTGGGTCTCTAATCTGGGTGATGCCATTTTTGGTCAAAAAAGTGAAACATGCCTGGGCGGCAATGGGGCAGATTGTTTCTCTAAATTGGCTCTGAGGACAGTTCCAAGGAGGAGCTTCAGAGCCTCTGGAGCAATTGCCTGCTCTGGGTTCATGACTTGTAGTCCAAAGTGATTTGACTTGGGGTGAGGGTGTGGTCAATTTAGATATTCAAATCTGGACAAGTTTATCATCACTTGCCTCTGTAACTTGGATTTAATTTTTAAAAATTCATAAATCCAAATAGTCAATAATTTCTGTAGACAATCTTTTGGAAAATTAAGTTGACCTATCTCATTGAGTGAACAGGGATGAAGCTAGCAAAACAGAAGGCATCCATCTGTGTCTTTATTTTTTGCTCCATGCCGGAAGGGTTTCCTGTCCACCCAGCATACCTGGTGGTATTACCTACACACGCCACTCATCTGTATGAGTGGCTGAGCAAGAACGGATCACATGGATCAGACATTTTTGTCTCTGTTATTTCTTCTCCAATATCTGGAACACATCTCCCGCCTGTTTTCATTCCTTTCAACTCAAAGTATCATGTTATGTCTCTACTCCTTCCTTGACCCCTTGACCTGAAGTGATCCCTTGCTTCTGTATTCCTGAGCTCATGTTATTGATGCAATTCACTGGACTCACTTTCTTGTATTGTTATTTTTTCTTTTGTATACATTTTATTTCTCCAGCTATACTATAAGACTAAAGGCAAGAATGATTTTTTTTTCTACCCATTTTATCTTCCTTTCTTTCCATCCTCTTTCCTTTCTCTCTTCCTTCCTTTCTGCATCCTTCCTTTCTCTCCTTTATTTTCTCTCCTTTTTTTTTCTTGTGGGCTCTTATTCAGGCCCTAGGACAGTTCCCTATACAAACTAGTAGCCCAGCGATATTTACTGATTCTTACTCATTCTTGTTATATCAATGGAATGAATAATCTAATTGCCCACTCTGCATATTTATCTTTCTTATTATAATTTTCTTGAGAAAATGTTAAGTTGTTTTCCTTCCTTTGTTTCTTCCTTTCTTTTTTTCTTGACATATACTACTTGAAGGGTTATATTTCAAAAAAAGGCAGCCTTAGTTAAACATCTTTTTTTATTTGTTCAAAGTGATAAAGGGCAAGTATACTACTAAAACTGATTCTATCTTCTTTGCAAGGGATGTTTTTCTTAAAGATATGCTATTAAAGTATAATTGACTCCTCTTGCTACATAAAACCTTTGGGGTCTACAATTTGATTCTTCAGAAGTCTTTGTCAAAATATTGCTTAAAAGTAAGCATTTGTTTTACCAGTATTCATTCTTATATTTTGGGGGTTCAAAATATAAATAAGTATAATATCCAGCAATCTAAAGCAACTTTACTTTTATTGATGCTCTATAATCAACAAACATTCACATTTATTCACATTTTAAATTGTACCTTTTTGTGTGTGGCTATTGATAAAGTCAAGTCTGATAAAATAACTAATTATATGGTCCCACAGTTTGTGGATAGGAAAATTGCTCAGAAAAGTGTTCAGTTCTCTAATTTTGGACTGTTAATAATGCCTTCTTTTTCACTTGTAAAATGATGCTCTTTCCTTTCTCCCAGTCATGCTAAGAACTGAATTTTACTGCTTCAACCATGCCTGCAATATCTAGGAGAGTCCCAAGTGAGGTTTCTTAGAAATGTTTACAAATGCAGAGGATCAAAAGCTTTTCTAAGTATTTAGTTTTGTTTACATTTTAATCTTTTAAATGGCTCACATGCATATGGATGTTAAAGAAAAAAAAATACAGTGCTATGATGACCTTAGGTAGATAACCCAAGTCCTTTGTTTTAAGAAAAGAAAAAGGAGACTAGAGAGCAAAGATAAACAGGATATTCTGCATTTTTTTTAGCAATCTTGTACTGTTGTATATTACATTTGAAGGCCAAATTTAAAAGTTATGCTGAAGGTCTATATGAGAATATTCTGTTATCACTACTGTCAAAGGAAGTCATCAGGACATTTTAATTAGAAAACCACAAGGTTTAACTAATATCTAACTTCTAAAAGAAATTGACCTTGTATTATAGAGCATATTCCAGAGTATGCTGCAGTTTGATAACTAGATATCATCATCTCTGTGGGTCTTTAATAGCAAAGGATCCTGTCCATAGGCTTGGGCTAGCCTTTGAGAATATGTATCCTTATTGTTTCAAATGAAGGTCTCCAGCCAACTTCCATTTATTTGGAATTAGTTTATCAAACCAAAAGATGATGTACACCCCTGCTTTTCTTTTCTTTCCCCTGAAGTATCCTTTGAAATGAAGTTAGTTTTTATTATTACCTCTGGCATACTCTGGGAAGAGAAGAGATATAGCCAAACCTGTTGATTCTACTCCTGTTAATAAGTTTGGTGAAAACACTGAAGGTGAAAGGCTCTGGAACATGCAGAACTGAATAAACCAACTTGAAATTAATGAAAAGCCAGAGCAATATTGTAATGCCAGCACCGCCAGAAGTCGGTCAGTATTTGTGTTCTTTATTTGGTGCATTTCTCTGCTTTTATGAAAGATACAGCAGGGGTCTGATAAATTCTTAGCCCACTTTAAAGAAAAAAATGAAACTGTGCACATAACTGATCTGATACATATGGTGAAGAGCTTCAGATGGAAACCAAATATCTTGGAGATTTAACTATTTACTTAATCTTTCAGCTGAGCTCCCTCATCTACAAATTCAAGGTTGCCAAATGATATGGTCTGCCTGTGTCCCCACCCAAATCTCATCTTGAATTACTACAATTCAAGATAATCGCCATGTGTTGTGGGAGGGCCCTAGTGGGAAGTGATTGGATCATAGAGGAGGTTTCCTCCATGCTGTTCTCATGATAGTGAGTGAGTTCTCATGAGATCTGATGGTTTTATAAGTGTCTGGCATTTCCCTGCTGGCACTCATTCTTTCTCCTGCCGCTCTGTGAAGAGGTGCCTTCCACCATGATTATAAGTTTCTTGAGGCCTCCCCAGCCATGCAGAACTGTGAGTCAATTAAACCTCTCTTCTTTATAAATTACCCAGTCTTGGGTATTTTTTTCATAGCAGCATGAGAATGAACTAATATACCAAATATGACCTCTTCCTGCTTTATCAATGGACTCTACTTCCTTCAAGTTTGAGAGCCAAGAATCTCTCTGATGGTCTTCATATTAATTCCCTTCTCTTCACTCAGCATTTCTTTCCTCAAAAAAAATTCCCTTGATATGTGCTTCAGGTAGTCATAATACATTTATCTTTTGTCCTTAAGATTAAATCCTGAGTACCTGCAAGCAAAAAGTGGTTTTTCGTTTTCATTCTCTACGTAATTTTCTTCCTGTTGGTAGAAAATTGGAGTTCTAGGAGACTTTAATATAAAATATTGAATTTTTTTGTATCCTATGATAATGTTTAAATCTTGCCTCTGTAGGAAAAGTGATAAATTCACAACCTATTACAATAGAGAATCCACTTAATTGCCCTATATTTTACATTGCTGCGGAGCATAAATATTTCTTCCTTCCTTCCTTCTTTCCTTCCTGATTCTTACTTTAATTACCACATAATGATTTCCTCCTGCACTCTGTACTGAACCCTGTTTAGAGAGTGTTTCTGTATTTTTAAGTGTGAGTACTTTAAATACATTTATACTCCTCAAAAAAGCAAGAGTAGAAAAGAACACTAATATATGTCATATTTTAAATTGCTTCAAATACCGATATTGATTTGTAAATTAGACAAAAGAAACATAACTTCTCAGTTTATTTTTAACCTTTTATTGTAGAAAAAAGTCTAATTATACAAAAGTAGAGAACGAAGTATGCATCTCTATCACTCAGCTTTAACAATTATTATCATTTTGTTCATCTAGTTTCATCTATCTTCACATTTTCTATTTTTGCTTGAAATTTTTAAAGAAAATTCTAGACTTTGTATTATGTTACTTCAGTATCTAGCTTTAGTTTTTGAAACAAGATACAATTTAGAAATATCTACCCTAGTTATGAGAGGATAGGATCTTTCCATGGATGTGTTTTTGTTCAAGGTAATAAACACCACTGCATCAATAGGCCAGTGTACCATTTTAATATGTTATATGATGTCAGTACTTATTGGATATTCTTTTCTTCTACTGCTAAGGGAAAAACTTTCTCTGCCCCACTGACAGTTTCTGTATTAGTCCATCTTCACATTGCTATCAAGAACTACCTGAGACTGGGTAATTTATGAAGAAAAGCGGTTTAATCGACTCACAATTCCACAGGCTGTATAGGAAGCACCGTTAGGGAAGTCTCAAGAATCCTGGTGGAACGTGGAGGGAAAGTTGGCCTGTCCTATATGGCTGGAGCAGGCGGAAGAGAGAGCGAAAGGAGAGGTGCTACACACTTTTAAACAACCTGATATCGCAGAACTCTTATCATGAGACAGCACTAGAGCAGTGGTGTTAAACCATTAGAAACCACCCCCATCGGCCGGGCGTGGTGGCTCACGCCTGTAATCCCAGCACTTTGGGAGGCCGAGGCGGGCGGATCACGAGGTCAGGAGACCAAGACCATCCTGGCTAACACAGTGAAACCCCGTCTCTACTAAGAATACAAAAAAATTAGCCCGATATGGTGACGAGCACCTATAGTCCCAGCTACCCAGCTACTCGGGAGGCTGAGGCAGGAGAATGGCGTGAACCCGGGAGGCGGAGCTTGCAGTGAGCTGAGATCGCGCCACTGCACTCCAGCCTGGGAGACAGAGTGAGACTCCGTCTGAAAAAAAAAAAAAAAAAAAAAGAAAAGAAAAAGAAACGACCCCCATTATCCAATCACCTCCCACCAGGCCCCACCTCCAACACTGGAGGATTACAATTCAACAAGATAGTTGGGTGGGAACACAGAGCCAAACCATACCAGTTTCCATAAGAAAAATGAAGAGAGTTGAAAAGGATAATTGAAGAGATTTTGAAAGTTATTTCTACAGAACTTCTGTCATAAAGAGGACTATCATCATCTCATCTTGGCTCTACTCTTTATATGTATGCCTACAATTAAAATCGTAGTTTATTCTTTCACCCTTAGCTTTTGGTGGATTCTTTTGTTCCACAGATAATCTTGAATACATAGGACTATTGTTGTGGGGCTTGAGCCCAGCCTTTTCCTCAATTCTCACGTTTGGCTACTGTTGCACCCTACATTGCTTCAGAACGAAAGGAGTTAATGTGAAAGGACTTAATATCATAATGTGACACACAAAGGGATACTCAGTTTATGTGGATTTGATGCCTACTAGGGATCTATGAGTTTGATTCTCCCAGATCTCCCCTAGTTGTAGGGTATACTTTAAAAAAAATTAAACTGTTACTAACACTAAATTCTTAGAGTTTTCCCATTCATTCATCTTCTTCACTAGTGAACAGGGGCAGAGAGATGGAAAAATGTAAAATTGTGGGAAACCCAAACAGGTTTGAATTTGAAATTAAATTTTTGTACTTTTAGTTATATATAGTATGCATCTCTTTGTAAAATAATTTATATACTGAAGTCAAGATATGAAATCTCTTAGTAATCAACTGACCAATTCATCTGTCTTGAAATCTACCTTCAAGCTTGGAAAAGCCATCGTCATCTAAATACCAATATAACTAACTTTCTTTTATTATATCGTACTACAAAAATGCTTCAGTTTTTGAAAGCTACCTGTTTTGGGAACAATTTAAATAACAACAGAAACTATTTACAGTGTCTTTAAACCACTGGTGAGAAAGTCTTCACACTTAAGGAAAACCACACTAATTAGGGTTTTCCCACCTTTTAAAAAACCACATTTTTTGATGATTAGAAAAATGATATAGCGTGGTTTTTTTGAAGAAAACATGGAAAATTCATGAAGGTACAAAGAAGAAAACAAAAATAGCTAGTTAGGTTACTTTTGTATATATGTTTTGTTGTGCGTGTGTGTGCACACAACTTGGCAGCACAACACGGCTTAATACCTAAGAGTATAGAAGGCGTATGCTCTTGAGGTTGGGTTCTTGTCTTGGTCCATTTACTGTTGCTATAACAGAATATGTGAGCCTGGGCAGCTTATAAAGAAAAGTTTATTTGGCTTGCGGTTCTGCAGGCTGTACAAGAAGCAGGGCACTGGCGTTCGCTTGGCTTCTGGTGAGGGCTTTCATGCTGCGTCAAAATATGGAAGAGAAGGTCTAAGCGGAAGTGGGCAAGTGTGAAAGGAAACCAAAGCCAGGGGATGAGGGATGTCTGTCCGAGCTTTACAGCAACCCACTCTGGAGGGAACTAATCCATTCCCAAGAGAACAAATGCCATTGCTACAGAGTGAGAACTCATTCAGTATGGTTAGATGGCATCCAGACATTCAGAGGGTTCTGGCTCCCTGATCCAAACACCCCCCACTGGGCCCTACCTCCCACCACAGCCATGCTGGGGGATTAAATTTTAACATGAGATTTGGTGTGGACAAACAAACCATATCCAAACCTCAGCGGCAAATGACCCATGCTCTACCTCTTGCTAACTGCCCTACCTAAACCAAGCAGTTCAACCTCCCTTTGCCTCTTTCCTTATCTATAAGATAGAAATTATAATAATGAAGCTTTTTTAGGATTAAGTGAGTTGATTTATATAAAACACATTGTAAATTTCAAAGAATGTTGATTATCAGCTGGGCATGGTGACTCACACGTGTAATCCCAGCACTCTGGGAGGCCGAGGCTGGTAGATCACTTGAGGTCAGGATTCAAGACCAGACTGGCCAACATGGTGAAACCCCATCTCTACTAAAAATAGAAAAATGAGCTGGGCATGGTGGTGCATGCTTGTAAGCCCAGCTACTCCCAGGAGAGTCACTGGAACCCTGGAGGCAGAGGTTGCAGTGAGCCGAGATCGTATCACTGCACTCCAGCCTGGGTGACACAGTGAGACTCCATCTCAATTAAAAAAAAAAAAAAGAATGTTGATTACCATCATTACTATCTGAGATTCAACTTTTCTTATGTCAATAAATACAGTATACCTCTTTGCTGGCTACATTCAGAGTTATGTAACATTCATATATAAATCTTTGTGAAACCTTCAGATTATTTAGCATAGATTCCTAGGAGTAGAAATATCTATATCCAATAATTTGAGTTTTTTGAGGGTTACTTATTAAATAAAAGTCATATCTCACAGGCATAGTTTTAGGAGTTTGGGGAATGGTGAGCAAAACAGACCCAGAGCTAGAAGAGGATATGGTTTCTATGAAAAGTGACAATGGAGAATGTACAGAGTACTTTGAGAGTGCAATCTAGCCTGGGGGGGATTTAAGATAAAGTGACATTGACTTTAAGATCTAAAGAATGATTAGGGATTAATTAAATGGCCATTTGGAAGCAGGAGGTGAAATCAATGGCCAGCAAGAAAGTCTTGAAACAAGTTTGGGAGAAACCTCAAAGGAAGCCAGAAGGGAGGAAGAGAGCTTCTGGATGAAGAGGAACAGTTGGGCAAGATCCTACAAGTCTGGTAATCTGTCTGCAGATTTTGGCTTTATCCTCTACATAGTCAGAGAAGGGTTTGAACAAAAGAATGACATCCATTCTTAGGGTGATGCTTACACTAAAAGCCCAGACTTCACCACTATGCAATATATCCATGAAGCAAAACTGCACTAGTACCCCTTATATTTATATTTTTTAAAAAAATGACATTCGTTTGTATTACCAAAAATGAAACAAAGAACACTCTGGTTGTATGTATTGGAAGGAGCACTGTAAAGGAATGTGGCCTTCCCCTTAAGAGGCCTAGTGGTGGGAGAGATGGCAGCTGGGACTAGGGTGATGGTGATGAGGAGGCAGAGGCATGGAGATGGTGAAAAGACTTTGATGCAGTAGCAGAACCTGCCTATGGGCCACATGTAGAATAGGAGTGGGGAGAAGTAACTTCTAGCTCTCTGCTTCTGCAGCATACTGAGAAGAGAAGTGTAGAGGAAGCAGATCTGTTAAGCTGGAACTACAGGTTGAATTTAACTTTAAATGTATGAACTTTGAGGTTGAAAATTATGATTGCAACTTCAAGAAAGAGTGTTGTGATTTACATCTGCACCAGCAGGATTTGAGGGGGCTTTCACACAATCATACCAATTTTTGATATTATTGTAATTTTTACTAACATTATTTTTAAACTTTGCCTATTTGGAACCTGAATTTTAATCTTGTTTAAAAACATGCACTCTGATTTCTAGTAGTCTGAGCATTTTTTTCTGAACTTTAGGTACATGTAGATTTTTTTCAATTGTCTGTTCAGGTCCTTTGACAATGTCTTGAGTACTTATTTTTATCTATTTGTATGAATTTTTTCTACATAACAGATCACAACCCCATACCTTTTGTATTTAATGAAATACTTTTTTCTTATTTTTTAAAGAATTCTCTTGAAACATGGAGGTATAGAGCTTTTAAGCCAATCAAATCATTCCATGTATCTGTGTGTGTGTGTATTGTGTATATATGTGTGTGTTTGTGTCTTGGTTGTGTAATCACATTCATTGTTTCTGTGTTCACATATACTCTCCCATCCAGGGAGCAGACAAATATATCCTTATATTTACTAATACTTCTTAAGGTTTTTGTGATGGTGGACTTTCTGTGTCAACTTGACTGGGCCCTGGAGTATCTGGATATTTGGTTAAACATTTTTCTGGCTGTTTCTGTCAGGGTGCATTTGCATGAGAATAACTTTTGAATTGGTAGACTGAGTAAAGCGGGTTGGCTTCCCCAGTATGGATGGGTCTCATCTGATTTGTTGAGGATCTGAATAGAACACAAAAACTGAGTAAGGGAGAATTTTCTCTCTCTGCCCAATTGCCTTTGAGCTGGGACATGGATCTTCTTCCAGTATCAGACCTAGACAGAACCATACCATCAGCTCTTCTTCTTTTTGTTTTTTAAGAGATTGCTTCTTGTGAATACCATTCACAGATGCCAACCATCAGATATAGATGTTTGATTAGCCTAGTCTTCTGGGACTCCAGCTCACTGACTACAGTTCTTGTAATTTCTCAGCCTCCTTAATCGTGTGATTAAGGATGGATAGATAGAGAGATCTAGATAGATCTAGATAGATAGATAGATAGATAGATAGAGATTTACTACAAGATTTATTTATTGTAAGACAGATATATTCCCACCCAAACAGAAACAAACAAACAAAAAACCCAGAAGAACTATACAAATCTTTGGAGTCATCTAGCATAGTTTTTTTCTTTTCCTTTCATATCACATTCATCTGCAAGTCTCATTGTCTTGAGCTGTAGAATTTGACCTCTTTTATAACTTCTACAGCTATATAGATAGAGAGACATAGATAAATCTATATAGTTAGGTAGATAGATAGATATCTATATAAATTGATAGTTATAGAGATAGATATCGTATTGGTTCTGTTTCTTTGGAGAACCTTGACTACTACAGTTTTCATTTAAATGCTTTAACTATGTATCTAGAATTTAAGCTGATGAATAGTCCAAAAGAAGCCTCAGAATTTACTTATTTTTCCCAAATATTTTTCAGGGCTATGTTTTGAATGGTCCTTTTCTGCTCACAGATTTATGTTTCTAACTATTATCTAGTAATAATTTGTGGTTAAAGTTACTAAGATTTGTTTCTGGGCTATTTTTTTCATCCAACGTTATGTTTATCAATAATTCTACAACTACCATTTTGTTTTCTAATTGCAAGTTTAGGGTGAATTTACAAATCAAGTCAAACAAGTCTCTTGTATTATACCATGTTTTTCAGTTATGTTTCTCTCTGTTTTTCATTATCAAATTTATTTCTTCAGATGAACTTCAGAATCATGTTATCAAGTTCCAAAAATTTGAGTCATTAGCCAACACTTGAAATTTCATTAAATCTACTCATTATTTTAGGACAAAATAAACAGGTTATGATTTGGAGTCAATCTCAAAGAAATTTGTACGTCTTTTGCTTTATTTGAGTCTTCGTTTTATGTTTTTGTAAAGATTGGCTTTTTTTTTCTTACATATTTGATCTGTCCTTAGCTAGAGAGAGATGTTAAAAATAAATAGAACAGTGCTTTCCTATTGATTATCCTTTGTAATTTTTTTTAAAAGTTTTAAATTTATAGATAGTTGTTTTATTATCCAGGACACATATTTTATTGTGACTTGTACTTTTAATTCACAAAACTATTATTCTTTATTTTATTTTTTGTGTTTCCATCTTAAAAATAATTTGGCTGAAATCAATTCTGTTCCTATTTTCTCTGTGTTTGCCTAATAAATCTTTGCACTTCTTTGACAAAAATGTCATTTTGATTTAGATAGTTTCCTTTTACTTATCATGTCCTTGGATTTTATTTTTAAGCACATCCTGAAGATATTTGTCTTTTAATAGAAGAGTTTAAACAATGTGTTTCCATAATAATGTAATTGGAACTCCGTCATCTTATTTTGTGTTTTTACTTTGCTTTCCATTCTTTACTTTATGGGTTTCATGTGAGTTCTCTTTCCATGAAAAGACTTTTGTGTGTGTTTGTTTTCAAGAAATATCATTCATCTATAGTTATCTAATTACCAAACTCAAGAATAAAATTATATTCTTTGTTAACTCCCAATATAATTTGAGCAAATTCTTTTATAATTTTGTAAATATGACATATGGTTTTGTACTGGAATTATTTTTATTAAAATATCTCACATTATATATCCTCTTTTTTAACAACTATCTTTACATTTCCAGATCATTTTGAAACCATATTCTCTGCAGTTTATATTTTGCTATAGGTGTAACTGGTTTCAATAATACTAGAAATCTTGTATTTTAATTTCTGTTGATCTCTAGGTAGAACACAGCACACATATAAGTTGCACAAAATATCTCCCCACCCAAAACAAAAACAAAAACAAAAAAACAGAAGAACAATACAGATCTCTGGAGTCATCCATGATGGTTTTTTCTTTTCCCTTCACATCTACAAATCTGCACATCTCATTGTCTTGAGCTGTAGAAGTTGACCTCTTTTATTTCTTCTATAGCTATCACCCTAGCTCAGCCCACCATTGCTGTTTATTGCAATTATGGCAATGGTCTTCTATTGGGTCCTCTTCTACAATGGCTTCCAATTAAAATGTTAGGTAAGCATGTCTCTCCTGTGCTCAGTTCCTTTCGCTCCCCATCTTACTCTGAGCAAAATGCAAACATACTGCCTACTTTAGTGGAACATGCTCTCTGCCCTCCACCAACCTCCTATCCTCATTGCTCCAGCCACATTGGCCTCTTGCTGTCCTCTCCATTGCTCCAGCCACATTGGCTTCTTGCTGTCCTCTCCAAGAAGTGAAGCATACTTCCACCTGTAGTGGCCACCCCTCTATTATAATATCCCTCTGAGAGCTATCCCCTTCCATCTCTCTGGTTTCCACCCACATATCTCCTTATTTAAGAAAACTTTCTGTATTATTCTTCATAAAGTTTCACTCCTCACCTCCTTCACACCCCAATAAGTAATTGTTTTGTACTTCTCTTAAGAGCAGCAGAACATAAGACAATAGTAATCCTAAATAAAAAGAAACTACCCTAGCTAACAAAACATGCTAAATTTCAAAAAAAAAAAACTGTACTTTTAGAAACCTACCCTTACATAAAGGCAATATGGCTGCTAGAAGGGGCTGTAAAGAAAAATTCAGGTTTCTGAATTATGGAGACAAGAACACATTGAACAAAGGCCATATAAAGAATTTCCAAGACTGTTTGTGACCAGATGGAGACAAGTGGGGTGAGTGGGCATTGCGTATGGTTCTGAATTCCTCTGTGACTTGCTGTGTTCATGAGTTACTATATTTTATGTTCTGCTGTTCCTATGAGAAAGCATAATTTACTTTGTTGAGAAAACACGTAGATGAACCAAAACATCTTCCATCTTTAATGACATCACTCACTTTCTGCCAATGTCATATGAGTTCACCCATGTCACAGAAATATGTGCATGGCAGAACAGACTACATTTCCCTACTATGATATCTTTGCTTAATTTCCTTGATAGTCCCAGCACACGCAATCTTAATATTAATAAGTATTTTTTTCTTTTGGGAAATCAATGAGGTTAGAAAATTATGGCTGCTGTATATTGTTCCTCTTTCGTTAATATCTGTAGTGGACTCTTCTAGAAGACAAATGAAACAAAGAGCTGGGAACTATTTTTGCCAATCGTAGATGAAATCTCTGATCCGAAAATTGTGCTTGGATTTTTTTTTCTTTTTTTCTAAGATGGTGAACTGGATGCATTGTTAGCATGCCTCTCCCACTTGAAAAGACAAAATACTGTGTAGAAATTCATGCTGTGAACGTTTTTCCAAGAAACAGCATAGGAAATTAATCAAAAAACTGAAAGAAACCACAGACCTATTTCAAAGAAGTGGTGAGCAGCAGCTTACGCCGTGAACCACACAAAAACCTGTGAGTGTCCAGAGCGTGAGAGGGAGAGACTGCATTTATGACACACACTCTCACTGAGGAGCCAGGCAATCCAGGCCACGCTGGGAGGCCTTCACTCTATCCAGCGCTGGAGCTGACTTACTGCTGTGGGGAGCATATGAGGAATGGCGTGCGGATCTGCTTTGTGTTCACTCGCAGAATCCAGTGGTGATGGAAGGAAATCATGCCTGATCCTACCTCACGGAGGACCTCGCAGAAGTCTGCCAGCTAATTGAGTTAATGGTCATGGGATGAGAGATGCTCCCAACAGATGTGCGGTATAATTTTGAGTGGGAATGAACCCCATTGGCCAGAATTGAGAGTCAAGTGGGAACTGTGCTATAGCCACAGGCACAGAAGCTGGATGCCCACGCTTTGCTGGAGGACCAGAAGAGGTGTGGCCTGAAAGCCGCAGTTTCTCTCTCAGCCCAGAATGCTTCTGGCCTGGGGCAGTTTGGAATTCTGAGTGCAGGCTGTCTGGAACCCAGCTAGCTGCTGCTAGTAGAACACTGTGGATGCGAGACCTGCCTTGCCAAGTGTGTGGGGGCTGAGTGGGGCTTACTGCCACCTGCTACCCCCGACTCCCCATGTGGATTCATTTGTACAGCAGAGGCAGCTATACTCCTCCCTGTAACATTACCCCAGCAGGCAGGGAGTTGCCCTCTGATCACCACTGGGGCTGCTGCTTGTACTCACAAGTGGGGAGCCAAACAGCAAACTTGCCTGACCCAGTCCCCACCTGGCTTTGCCCCTTCATCTGCCCTGGTAGTGTGATACAATGGACAGAGACTCCTGGGAGCTCCATGGCCCTGCACATTGCCTGAAATACCAGAGTACGCCACTCCCTTCCCCCCGACTCCCCTACCCATGGTAACATAAGGCAAGCACGAATCCCAAAACTACCAACACAGTTGGCATTCTTTTGCAAGTGCCACCTCCTGGCTGGAGGCCAAGTGGCACAGCCCATTACAACATCTGCAGGTACAATAACACAGTGCCCAGGAAGGAGAAAACTTGCACAACCTCAACTATCACCATTGCCTACATCACCCTGGCTAGCCAGTAGATCTTGAGTCTGTCCATGTGCCCAGTACATGACCACCACAGCCGTATTTGAGAAGGCCAACACACTAAGGCTATTTATAACCACGGAAATCTCACAGGGTCTACGTCACTCCCTTCCCACCCACAACTGAGCTGGTACTGATATCCACTGCTGGGGGACCAGACAGATCACATCACTGGATCCCTTGCAAACATTCACCAGCACCAGCATGGAGTATGGAAACCTCACTGGGGATGAGACCCAGAGGAGCAGCAGTATTCACGGTAGTCTGGCCCTCAGGGACCGCTACTCTTAGGGGTGTGGGAGTGCATCACATTAAAGGAGCATCGTATGGGACAAAGGAAACCAGACTGCAGGCCTTGAGTCCCTGATCTTTCCACTGTGGAAAGTTTCTTTCAGCAGAGGCACAGCTCATCATTTATACCTGTAACAGGAGAGAGCACAAAATCTCTCCTTCTTTCAAGCAAGCGGTTAATCAATCTTCTAAAACCAGGATGTGTGTTTTGAGCTAATCTCTGCCAGCAGAGTATCTTAAACTACTCAGCCTACTGATGAAAAAAAAATTTCACCAGCAGAGGGCTGAAAAACAATGTGGCAACACCAGAAAGTTGTCTGACATTGCCTTGATCTGAGAGGATGATAGGAAATTTTTTGGCTGATTTGATCTCTTAGTGTCCTGAAGTTTAGTGTCATTACTTACATCAAATCAATCTAAGCTATTAAAAAGAAAAGAATTCTGGTGAATGAGGCAAGATCTAAAAGTGACTTTTTAATCTTATGAGCTATCATTTTAGATTTATATATCTCATTTTCTCAAATGGCATGTATAGTTAATGAGGGTCAGGGCATTTCTCATGTATATCCTCCATGTCACTTACTGTGGGGATTTGTACTGCACTAATGTAGACAAATAATTTATTGTGAGAGGTTGTTGTTGCAAGTGGCAAGTTAGGCCACTGAATTGAATGATTAAATTCTGCGTTTAAATGAGTTCTGGAGGAGCAAGACTAGTTCCCACAATGTGAGAAGATGACTTTAACTTTCAGTCCTTTAGTCTAGTAGGTAGGAAAAAAAAATAACCAGAAATTAATTTGATTCTCTGCACCTGTACACCTGACTGCTGAGAATGATATGTTCAATTGCTCAGGGGAAGAACACTTTGAATAACTGAGAGTAAGTTAGAAATTATCACCTATACATAAAAACTAGCATGCTATATTGTAATACCTGTGATATGGTTTGGCTGTGTCCCCACCAAATCTCATCTTGAATTGTAGTTCCCATAATTCCTGTGTGTTGTGGGATGCAGTGGGAGGTAAATGCATCATGGGGGCGGGTCTTTTCTGTGCTGTTGTTGTGATAGTGGATAAGTCTCATCAGATCTGATGGCTTTATAAAGAGGAGTTCCCCTGCACAGGCTCTCTCTCTTTGCCAGCCGCATCCACGCAAGACATGACTTGCTCCATCTTGCCTTCCGCCATGACTGTGAGGCCTCCCTAGCCATGTGGAACTGTGAGTCCACTAAACCTCTTTTTTTTCCCAGTCTTGGGTGTGTCTTTATCAAACTGCAACAGAAGAGGGCACAAACTCCTCCTTTCAAGGAAAAGAAGAAAAACGTAGAGTTCAAAATGTCTGTGGTTAACCACATAATCTGAGTCTTCTAGTAAATACTATTTCCTGGGAGAAGTGTAGTTACTTTGGAAGGAATCTGAACTTTTAGTTATTGATATGCCACTTAGTATTTAAAAGACAGTGATTTACAAAAAGACTATGCAGAAAGGCCTGGGCTTTCCAAGTTTTCTCCAAAACCCCTCAGGTATTCCTGATGAGCAAGTGAAGCATTTAGAGGGTTTAACTCACCATGTATGTCTAACGTTACTACATGTAATTTATGAGTCATTGTTTTCTACTCAATAGCTAAATACTTTCACGTATTTTTACTTATGGGATATAATTGAGGAAGAGATACAAATTCAAAAAGCATCCAGAACTGAAAGCTCTTTCCATTTAATTTATGGTATATACCAGGGTTGGCAAACTGAATCTGCAGAACAAATCTGACCCATTATTTGTTTTTGCAAGTAGTTTTTTTAGAACACAGCCATGTCCATTCACTTACTCATTCTTTATGGCTAGTTTTGTGCTACAACAGCACAGTTGAGCAGTTGTGACATAGATGGTATTGACAGGATAGTTATTGACAGGATTGACAAAGTTGCAAATATTTACCATTTGGCTTTTTACAAAAGAAGTTTGCCAACCACTGATGTATATTATTAGATACATTAGTAACAAATGACATCATAAATTTCTTTCTTTTTAGCAATCATGTATACCAAGGATATAAGAAATACATCTCATTAGAAAAAAATCTTCTATTCAGCCGTCTTGCTTCACCTTCCTCTAGAACAAAATCTTATTGCCAAATAATTTAAGAAAATAATTCGGTCTTCAGATTCAATATTTGTGCCTCAGGTTTCCTTCCTAGGAATGAATTCCCACTTCAAAAAACAGACACACACATTCCAAAAGTGTTCTTTTATTTCTAGTAACATATATTGTATAAATACTCTATTTTATATGCACTTCCACAAAAGCGATATAATTTAAAAGTTTTTTTCATTAGAAATAAATGTATAAAAATAAATATGTTATTATAGGCATTTATTACTAACTATAGTCCTTCTTGGAAGGAACACCCAAACCAATACTTATAAAGTACATGTAATTTATAGTAACATATTTTACTATATACATATGGAAAAAATCATATTCTCACAGAAGAGCTGAACAGACATTCACCAGGATACGACTGTTGGACCAGCTGCTGGAGATGGACCTGCTACCCCTCAGCAGCCTCCCCACCACAAGACAAGTGATCTCAATGTCCCCAAACCTGTGGGACCCTGTTCTACACACCTCATTTTTGTTCCGGCGTTTCATCCTCCTTGTGTGATTGTACTGATTTTCATGAGACACAAGTTACTTCTTTACATCCATATTCCCAAAGCAGGGTTACATGGTAGGAAAGAAAGGAAGTTGGAGGTACTAAGCTCATTGTGTCTCCTCTAGCTTTTACCAGCATCTAATGCTTCACTGCTTTTTTTCCATTGTAGACTTTAATGCACTTGAATAAATACATGGAGTTGTTTTTTCCTCAAAATGAATTACACAAATAAAGACTGAGATGGTCCAAAAAAGGAAAGAGGAAGCCATTTGCGTTATTTCACGTTGCTGAGCCTTTCTCTCATGTTGAACAATCTGAAGTTTTAATTCTCGGTAGAAATAATGTATAAACATTCTCTGAAACCATAGCAGCCATAAACAGTGCTGGTCAAAGATCCTATTTGTACTCCTTTCTCCCCCCATTGTTAGTGAGGTAAAGTAAAACAGGTCTTAGTAAAATCTCACTTTTCTCCTACTTTTCATTTCCCAACCCCCATGATACTAAGTATTTGATAAGTACCAGGAAACAGGGGTTGTAATAGTTCTAACTTTTTTTGACAATTGCTTTGTTTTTTCTAAACTTGTAATAGATGTAACAAAAGAAATAATAATAATAATGCCCGGGGCTTTATTATGCTATATCACTGCTCAGAGGTTAATAATCCTCACTAACTATCCTATCAAATTTGCAACTGGCAGTTTACTCTGATGATTCAACTCCTTTTCTATCTACCCCCATAATCCCACCTTACTGATACACCTCACTGGTTACTGGCAAGATACGCTGGATCCCTCCAGCCTTCTTGCTTTCCCTGCACCAGCCCTTCCTCACTTTGCCTTGCCCTCAAAGCTAACACCACTTAAACCACTTAACTGCATTCTGCCATTGTGCAAAAGTCTATGAAATGTTTAGGTTTCTTTAAAGGATCACAGCTCTCATGAGATAACACCCCTCCATCATGGGACAGACACTTCAAGCTTCTTTTTTTGTAACCCTTCCCACAGGTCTTAGAACATGATGACCACTCCCCCAGCTGCCACTGGGGGCAGGGATGGTCTGCACAAGGTCTGGTGCTGGCTGGCTTCACTTCCTTTGCACACTCGGAAGCAGGCTGTCCATTAATGTCTCGGCATTCTACCAGTCTTCTCTGCCAACCCAATTCACATGACTTAGAACATTCGCCCCACTCTTCAATGACCCATGCTGAAAAAGTGGGGATAGCATTGAAAGATTCCTTCTTCTTCTTTACGAAGTAGGTGTATTTAATTTTAGGTCGAAGGGCATTGCCCACAGTAAGAACCTGGATGGTCAAGGGCTCTTTGAGAGGGCTAAAGCTGCGAATTCTTTCCAATGCCGCAGAGGAGCCGCTGTACCTCAAGACAACACCTTTGTACATAATGTCTTGCTCTAAGGTGGACAAAGTGTAGTCACCATTAAGAATATATGTGCCATCAGCAGCTTTGATGGCAAGAAAGCTGCCATTGTTCCTGGATCCCCTCTGGTTCCGCTGTTTCACTTCGATGTTGGTGGCTCCAGTTGGAATTGTGATGATATCATGATATCCAGGTCTGCAGGTGACAAAAACAGGCATAAATCTCTGATTCATTGGCTAATTAGATTATTTAGCTTAAAAACACATTAATCTTTTATGAGACATATTTTTTTCCCAGACCTGTTGAAAGGCCCATTTAAATTATAAGGTCTGCAAATAGGTGTTTTAAAACTTACTTTGCACTAGTAACTGATCCTGATATTTTTTTACAAGTAGATCCATTTCCCCCGCAAACACCACATTTATCAAACTTCTTTTTGGAGTCTATGATGCGATCACAACCAGCTTTTACACACTGTCCTTGCACACAGACAGAGGTGGAATCTGGGCTACATGGAGTACCATCTACAACCTGAAAAAAGGACACATGTCTAGTGTTACATACAAGCAAAGGAAGGAGATGCTGCAATGATAAGTGTAAACATTTTCTCTCTACTTTCCTGACCATGCTAATTAAACACAGTACCCTCTACACATTATGCATTTCATGCATTTACCCTTCACTTTGGCATATTTTTCAGTACTACGTATAGACATCTGAAGAAATTAGATATTTTTAAAAATTATTTATCTATTGACCTATGTCTCCTCCAGCTAAGGTCAATGAAAGTAGAGCTGTTTGTCACTTTGTTTACTGCTGTATCTTCAGAGCCTAGAATAATTAGTATCTGGCAAGAGTAAGTGCTTCAGAAATCACTTGCTGAATATTGAATCTGCAACTTGGGAATATTTTCATAGCCTATGGTGCTAATGACACACGATCATCTCAATCACATTAAATTCCATTTTCTGTCTCAGATCCAGATGTATTCCCTTAGCAAAACAGCAAAAGAAATGATGCTTTTCCTAGTTCAATATGTGTTTTCAAACATAAAAATAATCAATACTCAGACTACCACTTCTATTATTCTGTTTGCACCTGCTACTGCTAGTTACCCAGTAACAAGTATTTTGGACCATGCATAGACTATTTTCCAAAACTACTGGTTACTGTGTGAATATAAAATGTATCTAACTATGAGCTGTATGTGAAGCCTAGTCGCACAGAGGAGCGCTTGACTGTCCAAAAAGCTTTTCTTTGCATATAAAAGAGTAATAGCGAGCAATTGCAAGCATGTGAAGTGTTAGATTTAAGCTTCATTCATAACTGAAAACACTAAACTCAAAGCAGGCAGTTGCCAATTAATGTAAAAGAAAAGGAGTTCAAATTTGAAATTGAAGATATGTTAATATGGAAAGCAAAGAAAGTATAACAAAAATTGTTTGAAAAGGTAGCAAGCCCAGGCCTTGATTTTTAGGTAAAAATAAGGTAAAAACGAACTACCTTGGGCTGCAAAACGAAGAAGTAGCCAATGCCTTTGGCTTGGCAGATGAGCTTGCACCTGTCCTTTGGTGAGACGCCAGCGTACTTGGGAATCCATTCCACCGCAGGCCCACTCCCAAAGGAAGCTTTTGAAAACTCGTTGTGTGCTTCACATTGTTCCTCTCTAAAGGTTTTTCCTGGAAAGAGAATAATATGATAACATTATCAGTTTCCAATCTTGAGCCACCTGTTTGTGGGTACATCTTTTTTTAATCCAGTTTCTTAAAACCAGAGTCCGTTGCTCCTCACCATTATTGTCTGGACAGTCCTCAAGGTTACAGGATCTGTAGCGCACTCGTTTGCCTTCACAGTACTTCCCTCCATTCTTTGGGACTGGGTTGTCACATTCCCTCATCGTGTACTGGACTCCTCCACCGCACGTTCTCGAACAGTCTCCCCAAGGCCCCCACATTCCCCAGCTTCCATGAAAAGGCGTCTAAATGGAGACATAAATCATCAGCATTAGAATTATCTAAAGAGAACTTTTAGGGTATCAAAGAAAGCCACATGGGACAAAGAATCAGTTCTAAAAATAAGCTATCTCGCATTCCTGCTAGAGGACACGGATGGGGATGTTTAACTTGGTATCATATCTTTTACCATCACTTTGTTCTTTTCAATTCTGAATGTGTTTCAGTAGAAAAACTCACATCAAAATGCTTTCTGTCGGTTTTGTTCACACACTTGCCGTTGATACACCATTTCCCTTCTCCACAGCTGGTGCCATCCGCCCACGGGAAGTGTTTGGTTTGACACACCAGCACCCCACCAGAGGTGCCGGTACACCACAAGGTGCTACATGTGCTGGCTGCATCGGGGCAGTGTTTGGAGTCCTCCCCAAATGTAAACTGGCACTGCCGGTTGGCATCGTACGAGGTGCCAGGGAGATCGCCTGGGAGCTGTATGGGATTCTGAGGCTTGTCCATCAAACATTCCCCTGCAAAGGAAATGCCAACCAATATCAATACAGAGTTAGTGAGGGCATGAAGGGGTAGATCCCATTTCAGAAAATATTTATCATATGAGAAAATAGACAGCAAAGTGATCTGAAAACTGTAAAGCTGGGGGAGGGAAATGCTGAAGAGATTTAGATTACTATTAAGATCTTATCCTCAATGGGGTATTTCTATATTAACAATGACAGGAAGTTATTGATCTGCGAACAATGTGAATGAATGGGCTTTGGGAGCTACTCAACCGGAAGCACTATTTTTTATTTGGAATTAAGATCTCAACAGTTAGGATCTTGACAGAGGAAAAGTAATTTTGAAGTGGGGAAAATAAAAAGAACAAAAAGGAAAGAGTTCATTTAACTAAACTTTATGCGTGAAAGGTTGGATGCCATCTAGAGAGAGTAGCTGGAATATCTCACCATGACCATTATCCAGAAATGATGTAATCATGTAGGCACTGCAAGGAGACCAAGGCTGGCTGTGGTCCAGGTTGGAAAGCATTGACGCCATCATGTGGGAATCCTGGTTCACACCATTAAGGCTGGCACACTGCTTTGCATCATCATGTGGCATGTTAAACACGTGGCCTAGGAAGCAATCCAGAACCCACATTAAAGTATGGATCATGGCTGGGTGCGGTGGCTCACACCTGTAATTCCAGAAGCCGAGGCGGGTGGATCACTTGAGGTCAGGAGTTCAAGACCAGCATGGCCAACATAGTGAAACCCCGTCTCTACTAAAAATACAAAAATTAGCCGGGTGTGGTGGCATGCACCTGTAATCCCAGCTACTGGGCATGCTGAGGCAGCAGAATCGCTTGAACCCAGGAGGCAGAAGTTGCAGTGAGCCGAGATTGTGCCACTCCACTCCAGCCTGGGAGACAGAGTGAGACTCCATCTCAAAAAAAATAATAATAAAATAAAATATGGATGATATGCAGCAGGTTCTTTTTTCCCAACAGGGATTCATTCATTTGTCCCAAAATAACATTTCTAGAGAAAGAAATATATTTAGGAGATTGGCTCTTTTGCAGACCATGTCTACTTTTCACAGGGTGTAAACAAACATACACATTTCCAAATGTCCAGAGCTACTACTATCTTATTTTTTACTTTAATAAAAATGACCATGTTTGAAATAGTGACAAAATATTTTCTATAGTTTCTAAGATGCACTAGGACCTAAAATAGCAATATAACCTACAGACTCTCCTTCTTATATTGTTTTACCAGTTTACATTTCTGAATTGAGCTTAACTTCTACTTTGAAGCAGACTTACCTAATTCATGGGCTGTGGTGAAGGCAGCTTGTAAACCATCATCTTCTATGACGGAGCAGCTTCTGCTCGGATCACACACAGTTCCAACATCAGCCATCCCAAGAGTATCACATGTCTGGGACCCACACAAGTCCTACAAAAAGCAAAGGTAAATACTTATTAATAAGGGGAGCATGACCCTTGGGATCTAACTTTTTTGGCAGGGTGTGCCTTCACATATGCTTTGGAGCATCTACATTCATTATTGTTGACATAAGAAGACTTCATGTGACTTTAATCAAGCTTTTTTCTAATGCTTTTAAAATAGAACTGTGAAACTTGAGATATTTAAATTACAGTAGAAATGAGTAAGATAAACCATGCTAGCCAATTAAAAAAGGTTAACTGCAAAAACACTGGTGAAATGCCTTGTATATATCTTTTTGGTACAACGTAGACTCCTAAGAGGACAGTCTCACAGCTGGTACCATCTTCCTCTTACCTGTCTGGTGAAAAGAATTGCTGTGTCATAGTGCTCTGCATCCCGGTCACTGGGTGGGTTGTGCTGCTTCTGCCAGTTGCAAAAGTTCCGCAGAGTGAGGGCAGCATTGGAGGTCACTTCCGGCCCCTTCTGTTCATCGTGGATGACCAAGATCTTCACCACCACCAGGCTAACTGAATTACGAATGCTGGGGTGTTTGTACAATCTGGCTGCCACCGAAAACAACGTGAGAAGGTAATGCTTTAGACCACTGCCGTGGAATTCTGCCATCGACTGGTCTGCCACAAGCATGGTTTCCACATAGCGGTGACTGGACACAAATCGCTTCTTTCTTATGCTTCCAGTTCCTGTAAAGAAAAAAAAAAGTTTGCTTATGGTCAGGCTGTCCAAGAATAGTTACCTTCCTAGCATATATTAGGAAAGCCTAACCAGTCAAAGCAAACAAAGCAAAAATATACCCAGAACAACAATAACAAAAATATTTGCATATCTTCACTCCAAGTGTTATTTTTAAAGTTCTCTCCTCTCCTTTAAATAAAAAGACCACGCGCTCCTTTGCATGGTCAGGATCTTTCTGTGTGTGAGCAGGATTTCTTCTGTTCTCTTTGAAATCCCACAGTCTGAACAAGGCAATTTCGCACATAATCCTACCCAATTGTAGTAAAATCTTGGAGCAAGAGCGGCAGGCAGAGGCCCTGAGTCACTCTTTCACAGGCGAGGGCTCAAATCCTGAATGAGATCATCAGGCTCCACGTGGAAGGCCTCGGGTAGGGCCTGGGCTGCTGCCAAGGGGCCGGGCCTTAAGGAATCTCAGACTGCACAGCTCTGCTGTCTCATTCCAGGGGTCCCTGGGGTGCTCCGCTCTTGCCAATTCCGGGCACAAGGACCACCCACTCTGCCCAGCAGCCTCTGGCCCCACTCCCACTGCCCCAGCGAAATAAGTTCCAGCTTCCAGGCATGATTGATTATTTGGAACAGAGCCTTCCACTCCGGACTGAGACCCAACCCCTGCAGAAAGTCCTAAACTGGGCTGCGACCACTTTGCTCCCAGGAGCAGAGGAGCAGGGGAAAAGGGGAGAATTCTTTAAAAAATGACACGCGAGAGAGTTAAAGAAGGAAAAAGGCACCAAAGTGATGAAACAAAAAGAACTGGAGAATAAGCACTGCACAGAGAGAAGGCCGTAGCAGGAAGGACCGGCAGTGACTTTCAACAGTGCTTGAGAGCAGAATTATGGCCGCGAGAGGGAGTGCAAACTGGGAGGCGGGGCAAACCCGGGAAAGACCTCCCAAGCAGGTTCTGCGAAGGGGCCCCACCGCCTTCAGCCCGCCTGGGTCAGCCTTATAAGGGGGAAAGGGGACAGAAGTCTGCAGAACAGAGATCCTAGCGTAGCCGCTCAGGGTACCTTCCCAGGTCACCATTGCTCCTCTGCCCTCTCCACATCCGCCCTCCCGTGAGCGCAGGATGCACGCACAGGCAGCGGTTACAAAACTCAGCGCAACGTTGCAACCCGCACAAAAGGCGCACACAAAATCATTAAAAAGAAATACACAGAGTGGAAAGAACTCGCACAAGCTCCAACTCGCTAAAGGTGGAAGGAGTCAGGTTACAAACTCTCCCTCCCCGGCCTAAATGCTTTGCTTTAGTTTGCAGAAAATCGTTTGTCAGTTTTTTTCTTGGTTATTCATTATTCGGGCAAATGCAAGTATGTTTTCTAGCTGAGTTCACCAATCCAAACCTCAAACCACATTCCTCCACTCCAGGCCTCCGTTCTGTCCGCGGACTTATGATCCTGCCTGCCAGCAGGAGTCTACCCTGAAGTCGCGTGGGATAGATAAAGTGAGGAGAGGAGGATGAATGGACAGACAAACGAGAGCAATTCTTCTACCTGTGGGCTGTCCTACGCCTTGCAGTGCCGGGTCCTGCGGCGACCACTGAGCCCCTTCGTCCTCGCCCTCAGTCCCTTCGTCCTCGTCTTCGGTCTCCGCTTTCCCAGTCGGCCGGGGCTCGTCGTCCACGACCCCGCACGTGCCGCCGACGTCGCCCTGCCGATTCCGCCGCAGGAGGTGGAACTGTAGTGGTGCCGGCGGCTTCTCCCCTGGGGCGGCGGTGGCGAGGCGCTCGCTGGCGGCGGGCAGCGGCTGGATGAAATACGCCTCCCCCAGCAGGTAGAAGGCGCCGCGCACGCCCTCGCAGAGGCTGAGGGCGGCAGCCGAGCTGGGATCGCCATTCACGGTGCCGGAGTAGAAGCAGTGCGCCAGGTCGGTTTCCGGAAGCGGCGTCTCGGACCCGGATTTGCGCCCCACGTTCTGGAGCGTGAAGCCGGGCGCCAAAAAGCTGCTGTCGGGCCGCAGCTCCAGATCCAGCTGCTGGTCAAAGGCGTGCAGGCGGAGGCGCGTGGTCCCGTGTCCCGGGGCGCGCTCCAGCTCCGGCACCACTAGCTCCTCGTCCTCCTCGGAGGGGCGCCCGAGTGCGTCCGACACGGCCAGTAGCGCCGCGGCGAGCAGCAGCAGCGTGGGTACTGGCCCAAAGCTCCGAGACCCCGGAGCCCGCTCCGCGTTCCCCATGTCGCTGCCCAGCTTGCGCCTTCCGAACCCCTCGGGCACAGCTCGCTGCATTGGAGCCCCAGGAGACACCGCTCGTAGCAGCGCACGGAGCGAGGGACCTTTAGTTCGGGTCGGGAGAGCAAAGCCTCGTTGGCCTGCTCTGGATTGTTAAAATTAACAATTTCTATTATTCGTTGGAAGGGCGCGCAGAGCCGGCTACAGCCGAAGCTCCCGGAGTCACTAAAAGGAGGCGCTGCAGTTCTGCCGGCGCGCGGGAAGTTTTTCTTCCAGCGCAAAGTTGGAGACACTGAGAGGCAGGCGCAGGCAGAGTGGCTCTGCTGGGACAAGAAGCGCTCTGGGGCGCCTCCGGGGCTGAGGCAACGCGGAGATTGGTGCCTGGCGCCCCTCTTCGGCCTCCGCCTTGGCTGCGATGTTGCTCACTCTGCTCAGGGCTCTCCCCTCTCCGTCCGGTAGCGCACCCTGGCTTTGCAATAGCCCCTGGCTCGGAGCCGCTTTCCAGCGAGTGCAAGAACCGGGCAGCCGAGCGGTCCTTTTATAGTGGACCAGTGAAACCCCCACCCCCACCCCACTCCTCCCCTTTGGCCCTTTTCCATCCCAAAGACGCCGCCCCCGGCTCCGTTGGTGCTAAACCGCGCTCCGCGCTGCGGGCTCGGGAGGGGGAGGGGGCAGCCTCCGCGCTGGCTCCACGCCACTGCTCGTCAATCTAGGGGCGGAAGGGGCGCTGTGACCAGCACTTTGTACTGCTGGGGCCGCTCCAGGGAGAAGACTCTCCCTTCCACCGCTTTTCTCCCTCGCCGGTTTCCTGGACCACCCTTCCTCCCCACCGCCCGGTTGCGGTAACTCAGTTACCGCGCTGGGCTGCGGTTCCCAGGAGGGAGGGTTCGGTTGGAGAACGCAGTCCCTTCTTCAACATTTCCCTATCCTGGAGCTGCCCTGGGTCTCCTTCCCTCCTCCCTCAGTTCCCTCTTCCCCAATCTAGGAGATGAGCTAGGGCTACACTTTCTAGAAAAATACCTCACCCCACTTCTCCACCTTCCCAGCCTGCCAGGAGCTCCTTAGCCGCCGCCTGCTCTCTCTTCGCCCCAGCTTTTCTAGGGAAAGCTTGGCCCTGCGCTTCCCCCAGAAAGCATGCCTGGGTGAGGGGCCAGGTGACACTTCCTACGATCTGGATTTTAAAATATGTTTGCTTATGCCTTCACCCTCCACCAACCCCCACCCCGCACGCCACCTCTTCACCAGAGACGACTTTGTGAGGGCCCGGTTTCACATTTCTGGAATGGGTGATCTGGGACGCGGCTCAATTCCCTAGAGCATAAGGAGGGAATTGCGCTTTTTCTTCTTCATTCGAGAAATGATCGGCTCCCGCCAGTCTGCGTGCTTTCACTCAACAGCAGCTGCAAGCCCTAGGCCAGCGTCGCAGAAACGGCCAGGAACCCCACTTTCCTACCCGGGGGCCAGCAGCGATCGCTGGGGCTAGCAAGCGTGCAGAGGGGGAAAGAAGGAAATCGGCTTCCTTCCCGGACCCCTCCTTCCTCTTCCTACCAGGAAGGGAAAAGGCTATATCCGCGTTACGAAAGCGAGGAGAGGTCCACCAACAGGTCCTTAGGAAAAAAAACTGAGTGGCTCTTCTCTCCAAAAAGTGGGAGGGGCTCAAGGACCCAGAGGAAGGACGTGTTTCACAGGCGGAAAGCCGCGGGGACAATGGCGAGAGCGACCGCCCTAGCCCCGGGCGGACCCGCAACCCTCACACTCGCGCGCCCCCGCGTTAGTGCTCGAACTGGTCTCCGCCTTTCCGCCCCACTCCCGTCCGGTCTCTTGGTTGGCTCCAAGTAGATCTGGGTCCTTTCCTCGCTCCTCCCCAGATCTTCCCCACTTCAGTTGGCCCCAGCCAGAAGCGTCCCTTCTAGTTCTCCCACACGTCCCTCTTACAAGCTTTCTTTTCCGGATGCTTTCCAACTTCTTTTTTCCTAGCGAGATTGCTTACTTGAAAAACAAAAACAAAAACATTGCTTTCCACTCATCAGGAAAAATCAAATGAGCAAGAATGGCAGAGAGAAGCAACTCAGCTTACTTCTGAAGGGCTTAGTAACGACCTCTAGTCCCTACACATTTAGGAGTGGGTGGTTTCGTAGATTTAATTTTGGTTTCCTAAAATCACCCTCATCGTTGAACGTTGAATAATCAACCAAGGCCTTAGATATATTTTGACAGCGCTCGATTAACATTCTGATAGTGTTTCTGCCTACCTCTTTTCACTGAGTCTCTCCTTTGCAGCCCTCGCTGTCTCTCCCCCCCTCCCGCCGTTGCATTTCTCCTTCAAACTCAACATTGACATCCGCACACCTGAGTGTGTGATTCCTTTCTGCATTGTCAAGCATTGTCCAGCCTACCTCCTTCTCTTCGACTTCGAACTACGAGGATTATTCCTTCCTGTTTCTCTGTTTCCCAAGCGTCTTTTCCCAAACATCTGATCATTCCTACTTCCCAGTTTGGTTTTCAGACTTTTTTTTTTAACATTGTTATCTTCTATTACAGTAATTTTTTGACGGTCCATTTTCTATGATTTCATTTCATTTTACTGGTTCTTTCTAGCTAGAAAAAAGGCAAGATACTTGAGAGAACATATGAGGAAAGTCATGTTAGACTTTCAAGATATTGACCGCGGGATCACAAAAGCTTGAAGGCAAAGCCATCCGTACATTTTCAACCTCTTGCTTAGAAAAGGGCTCAGAAGATAATATATGGTGACAACAGTTACAGCCTCAGAGTGGCTTTGAGATGGAGATTTGAGATGGAGATTTTGGACACTCATAATCTCCATCTCAAGGAGAGGTGGCCCAGAGGCTGAATGAAGATGAGTGAAGGTAGATGTGATTCCCTTAAATTGGGGCAAAAAGGGACAAAAACAGCAGAAAATCTGTATCTTTAAAGACATATGTAATGTATTTCAGTCTATCAACTTCTCTACATAAACTTTAGCTTTTAAAAATATGTTAACGTAAGTTTGACCTTTAGTGTGTTTCTACCTGCAGGGTATTCTTATTGGAGGTTTGTTTAAAAGCATACATTTCTGATCTTGAATGGGTTACTACAAATCCATTATAATTGTTTCATATTTCATGTTGCAGATACAAGTAGGGTTGAAAAAACAGTGAGTTAAAGGCAAAAGGATGGCCGGGAACATGGCTTTTTTATTCTCTGGGTTTCTATCCAGATTTCTGTTCTTTTGCATAATGACTCCAATCTGTTGTGCACCTGTAGTTCTGGGAAATGATTCTTTTTTAATCGCTTCAACAGAGACATGGATGTTGGAGTTGCCAACTACTAAGCTGAAAAACTCCATCTATGCTCAGAAGAACATTTAATCCACTTACTTTTTCTCTTTTATTTAAAGATTAGCACTCATCAGGCATTTGTGGTAATATGCAAATATATACATAGGACATATATGTATATTTATAAGCAAAATGTGAATTGGAAAAACATTTGAATGTAGAAACAAGACCACAGGAGTAAATTTGTACAAGGCACTAGTAAAAGTGACATGTAATATGGGGTTCTTGTAGTGAGTTTCATAATCCAATTTTTGCTCCTTGATTTGAATGGGCACCCAAAATAACACATGCTATCCTAATCCCTACTCCCCATATTTTGGGTTTTATTTTTATAGAATACATATGGGCTTATATAAACATTAATCTCAACATGTTCTAATTTACATATGTAAGCTAATTTTTATTTCTAGAGATAACAGAACAAAACTCAAAACATTTGACATAAAATTATTGGAACAATTAACAGTTTGACCTATTAAACACATTATTGTCCTCTATGAACAGAGGGACTGTCTGAAAAAAAGAACAAGTTGTCTGCATTTTAAAGTGAGAGATAAGCATCAAGGTGTCAATTTCTATTTACACCTTATGTGTTCTTATTTGTTTCACAGATTCATATGTTATAGACACAATATTCTATTCACAATTTTCACGACGTCTATACCAAAGTAAGTATTCAACAAGTAGCCATGAAATGAGGAAATCTGGTAATATACATGAGCTATTAGAATTGTTTTAATGTAAACATTGTCTAGAGAAACAACTAATGTGCATATTTCATAACCGGGAAATGCTTTTTATTCACATTTTAGTACCATAAGATTGACTAATTAGAAATAGGGAAGCTGTTTGGTATTAGTCCTACTTTTGGGAACATATGGTCTAAAGTAATATTGGACAAATGGATATTTTAATTGATCACAAATGAGAAAGTAGTTAGAAAACTTCTAGTTTAAACAGGTTATATACCCAGAAGTATTGCAAATATTGGAGACAGAAAAATTATTGTAGCTTGCATTTAGACTCAAAATTGATATTCCCTCCACATCATGCCCTCACAGAACTCAGAGGAGTATGATCTGCCAGATCGACTCCCTTTGTGTAACTGATGCAGAAATGAGACTCAAAAGGGTTAAGTAGTTTTCCCAAGATGTCATAGCGAGAGTCAAACTGGGGGCTTAGAAATGACTCTGACTCATAACTTTTAATCAACTGTTTTGACATTTTAACCTATCTAATTGTGTAGGAGGTAATTATATTGTCAGACTTTGGAATGATGTTGTTTCCAGTAAAGTTTTGTTTTAATTATAAATAGGAATTTTCCAGCAATAAAAAATTTCCACCTTAAAAGATTCTCAGACTTTAGTACATCTTTCTCCAAACACAAGGTGGCGATGGTCTACAACAAATGATGTGCGACTTGGTGTTTTTTTTTTTTTTTTCTTTCCTTTCCTTTTTTATTCTTAATAGTTCAAGTTAAGAATTTGCAAAAGTTTCACATCTTCTCAATCATGTTTAATAAATTCTAATTAAATATTCTCCTACCTCCTAGTATTATGGAAAATATTTTAAAAATATTACAATGTTAAATGAATTTATTCTTGAGGGCATAATAAAATGCGTTTTTAAATCAACTACTTTTTAATTATGTGTTTGTATTACCATAAACAAAAATCCAATTAAACTTTAAAGAAAGAAAACTGCCTCTGACAAAATAATACTGTGGACCGCTTTTATTCATTACATTTGAGAACTTCTTGTCATTCAAATGAAAAGATTAAGTACATTTGCAATCCACTAAAACAGATTAAAAACTCATTCATTTATTCAATAGATATTAAGTACATACAGTATGTTTAGTATACATTAATACTTGACAATCAATACTGGTTAACTGGTTTCCCTGGTTTAGAAATTTTCCTTAGCAACAACGTAAGGCTTAAAATGAAAAAAGAAAAGTGAGAAAATGTTCTACCACCAGGTGGTGACAAAAGATAAAATTTAAAATCGCTCTTAATGAGCACATACTTCATGTAATTCTTGAATACTGCAAATATAAGTGACTTCCGAATGTCATGTGAATTTAAAATCATATTCTAGGAATATTTTATTAATTAAAGCAAATTAATATTAACATATTATCTCTAGTTTAATAAGTGCTGGAATTGGAAGTGGACAGTTTTAGTCAGCAGGCGGCACTTGAGACCATGGAATAAGATATTTTAAACTATTTCACTACTGCTTTTTTTCCCCACCCGGCTTATAATTATTGATTGGCTGATTGAGATAGGAGCTGGTCACCTCCCTACACTTCCACTAGCAGGGATTTAATCAGAGGCTGAAAATCAATTGTCCTTTGAAAGTGATTTTTGCTAAAGATCAAGAGCAATATTTGGTTATATCTCAGCCTCTATCCTACAATATTTATCATTTTATAATGCTCTTTTGTGTAAGATACAATAAATCTTATTAATAACCAAAAACTGAATTATGAATTATTGCAATTCATTGGCCATCTACTTGGGCAATTACAATGGTTAGTAGCTCAGAAGCACTGATATTTGAGCACTGTATCTTCAGATTCCGAGGCCTGGGTTAGGATGCTTGCTGCTGGAAACACTGGCTGGAAAGCTTTCTTGTTCCATGTGGCTCTCAGGTCACCCTGAGAACTGGACACACTCGTAATTGGTTGATGGTAGGCTTGTATATTCATGAAATGTTGATTGGAAAGGCCTAGACAATCTCTCTAAATACATAATTGGACAAGATTGTTGAAAGGATTAGAGTTGGACACTATTCTAAAGTGGCACAATGTCTAAGCATAGAGGCTGGGGGTCTTCCTGTTCCCTGCACTTAATACCCTGGGAGCTAGTGGTGGAGAGCCACGTAATCCACATTTGAATTCTGGCATTCTGACTGCTGCATCCTTACTTTGTGGCTTCAGGGAAGCCATGGATCATCCCTGAGCCTCAGCCTCCTCATATGTAAAATGGAGATGACAACAATCCTGACTTGAAGGATAATGCACCATTGTATTTGCTTCCTCCTCTGTCTCTTCCTTCCTAGTTACCCCCTCCTGTTTCCTAAACTTACTTGCCCTTGCCTCCCCACCTCTACAGGGACTGCATGCACACAAGCCCTTTTCTCAGGTTGTGCTTTCTGGGCTAAACTGAGTTGAAAACAAAGAGCATCAGGAGATCTTCTAGATGGGACTGCTCACTGATCAGAGGGCAGTAGAACCCGTTTGCTGGTGGTGAATGGAATGGGACCGCCCCCGGCATGCAGTGTCAGTGCAATGACAAAGAGTCTCTGTGTGGGATGAGGTGGTAGTATGGGGTGAGAAGCAGGTTTATGCAGCAGCAGCGGCACTTAGACAGTATGAGGAAAATAACAATTGAAAGGAACATGTCATTGGATGGGTTTTTGATAGTTGCTTCAGAGCAGGGGCTGGCAAGCTATGACCTTCAGGCTGACCATCTGTTCTTGTAAATAAAGTTTTACTGGAACAAAGTCACAATCATTTGCTTATGTATTTTTCATGGTTGCTTTCACAATACAAAGCAGAGTTGAATAATTGCAAAAGAGAGCAATGTCCACCAGTCCAAAATATTTGTTATCTGGCCCCTTCAAAAAAGTTTACCAGTGCCTGTTTTGAAGGTTATTTTGGAAATACAGAGATTATATACAGAGATTACATCGTTTTCTAACTTAATTTGAAGACATGCCATAAAAGTCACTTTTATCTCCTGCAATCAGAGAGCAGACGATGCTGAAAATCTAAAAATGTATAATCTTATAGTTGTTTTATATTAAAGTTAGGGTCCTAATAGAAAAACTATGGGATTCTGATACATAAAATGCAGACATTTGGATGGATGAGCCCCAGATTCTCCTAGACCCTGCAGAGGCAGATGTCACCCCCTTGCTAGAAGAGAACACCCTTTTTTGGCCTACAGACTGTAAAGTTCTCAGCAGAGGCAGGTGCCTCAGAAGGATACTTGTCCTGCTCATCTTCTGCCCCATTTCCCCCTCATTCCTAGCCTCTTAAAGTCTAAAATTTCTTCGGGAACTTTTGTTAAGAAACACTGACCATATGTATTAGTCAAGATTCTTCAGAGAGATAGAACATATGTATTTAATGAGATTATGAGGAATTGGCTCAGACGATTATAAGGCTGAGAAGTCCCAAGACCTCCTGTCACCATGCTGGAGACTCAGGAAAGTCAGTGGTTTGATTTTAGTTCAAGTCTGCAGGTCTGAGAGCCAGGGGAGTCGATGATATAAATCCCAGTCCAAGGACAGAAGAAGACTGATGTCCCAGCTCAAGCAGGCAGGAAGACAAAGGAGGGGAAATTCTGAAATTCCTCCTTCCTCTGTCCCTTTTGTTCCATTCAGAGCTTCAGTGGATTGGATCATGCCCACCCACATTGGGGAGAGCAGTCTACTCTACTGGAGTCCACTGATTCAAATGTTAATCGCATCTGGCGACATGCTTACAGACACACCCAGAAATAGTGTTTAATCTAGGCACCCCTTGGCCTGGTTAAGTTGACACATAAAATTAACCATCACACCATCTGAATTATATTTCATAAATATTTTCCAAATTTATAAAATGGAAGCAATAGTGTATGTATCTAATATTGAAAGCAATATATGTTGTAAATATAACATATAGCATATTGGAAGACCTCTCTCTCTCTCCATAGTAAAAATTCTGGGAATCTGGAGGGGTGATAGCCAAACCAAAACCAGGCCCAACTTCACTATGAAGCTTGGTGGTGGTTGTCCATTCAGGTTTAATATCAATCTGATATTGATTCTAGTCAGGTATCTGGCTGAGATTTCCAGGATAGCAACAATGATTCCAGGAATCTTTCAATTGTCTGTCTGATCTAGAGAGATTTGGTTTGAGGAATGCTCATTGTGTGTGTAGTAGGTGGAGATCTCACACTTCAGGTCCCATGTCCTGGCTTCCAGAGCAGCGGCTGCCTGCTGTTTCCTGCCAGACTGATTCTACCCTTTATGTCGCTCCTAACTTAAGAACTCCAGTCCACTCAAGAGAGCCAGCTGGCAGGGGAAGGGAACTAATTGCCAATGACTTTATAATTGAATGTATATTTTTCTACAGTTTTGCTGTGACAATAATAATAATGCCTGATATTTGTTGAGTGCCTACTATATACCATGCCTACTTTATATACATAAGCTAATTAATGCTCACATGTAGATTTATTGCTATTAATATCCCTATATCATTGATGAAGTTACTGAGGCAGAAGTTTGGCTAGCTCACACAGATAATAATTGATGGAGTCAGGTAATCTGTTCTTTTAAACTTTAACACAATGTACTGTATATACACCTGTATTTAAAACATTGTAAGGGTGATGTGGTGTAGAGAAGAAAGAGGACTAGGTTGAGAATCAAAGTATCCAATTCCAGGTTGCAGCCATTAGCTCAATGGCCTCAGTTACCAACTCTCTGGGTCTCAGTTTCTAAATCTAGAATGGATTGAACAGCTCCAACTTGAATATTCCATAAGTCTCAGTGTCAATTCGGTACTTTGAGTGATGATAGATGTACAGATTGATGTACCTTTGTTTTAATGGCATATCTTTGTTTCATAAGTGATTTATTATATCATCAACCATGGTGAGGAAATTATTCCTCAATTAAACTTTGCCTCAATTAGAACATTGTTCATATTGGAATATAAGACACACTTGTTTCTATTTCCAGAAACCCACTGTAGATAATGGCATTATTGTCACCAGTGTCTGGAAACAATGAATTAAAATTCTAAATAAGGCTATTCTGTTTTAGGTAATTTTGCCCATAAATAAACTGAGAAATATGATGGTATACAACAGGGTTTAGTGAGGATTTAGTGACACATTTTGCAGATTCTGTAACTTTAAAAATCATACACAGTCATGTGCCACAAAACAATGTTTCAGTAAGTGTTGGACTGCATATATGACAGTGGTCTTATAAAAATATAGCACTGCCTTTTTACTGTACCTTTTCTATGTTTAGATATACAAATACCATTGTGTACATTTGTGTACAGCATTCGGTACAGTAACACATTGTACAGGTTTGTAGCCTAGAAGCAATAGGGTATATCATACAGCCAAAGTATGGAGTAGGCTTTACCATCTAGATTTGTGTAAATACACTCTATGGTGTTCATACTGAGAGACAGGACTAGCTGGATTTCCTAGGCCGACTAAGAATCCCTAAGCCTAGCTGGGAAGGTGACCGCTTCCACCTTTAAACACGGGGCTTGCAACTTAGCTCACACCCGACCAATCAGATAGTAAAGAGAGCACACTAAAATGCTAATTAGGCAAAAACAGGAGGTAAAGAAATAGCCAATCATCTATTGCCTGAGAGCAAAGCGGGAGGGACAATGATCGGGATAGAAACCCAGGCATTCAAGCCGGAATGGCTACCCTCTTTGGGTCCCCTCCCTTTGTATGGGAGCTCTGTTTTCACTCTATTCAATCTTGCAACTGCACTCTTCTGGTCCGTGTTTGTTACAGCTTGAGCTGAGCTTTCGCTCGCCTTCCACCACTGCTGTTTGCCGCCATCGCAGACCTGCCGTGCTGACTTCCATCCCTCTAGATCTGGCAGGGTGTCCGCTGTGCTCTTGATCCAGCGAGGCGCCCATTGCCGCTCCCGATTGGGCTAAAGGCTTGCAATTGTTCCTGCACGCTAAGTGCCTGGGTTCATCCTCATCAAGCTGGGTTCCACGGTTCTCTTCATGACCCGCAGCTTCTAACAGAGCTATAAAACTCTGTGCATGGCCCAAGATTCCATTCCTTGGAATCTGTGAGGCCAAGAACCCCAGGTCAGAGAACAGGAGGCTTGCCACCATCTTGGAAGTGGCTCGCCACCATCTTAGGAGCTCTGTGAGCGGAGACCCCCACCCCCCGGTAACATTTTGGCGACCACGAAGGGACCTCCAAAGCGGTGAGTAATATTGGATCACTTTCGCTTGCTATTCTGTCCTATCCTTCTTTAGAATTGGAGGAAAATACTGGGCACCTGTCGGCCAGTTAAAAACAATTAGCGTGGCTGCCCGACTTAAGACTCAGGTGTGAGGCTATCTGGGGAAGGGCTTTCTAACAACCCCCAACCCTTCTGGGTTGGGGACGTTGGTCTGCCCCTTCCACTTTCAATTTTCTTGGGGAAGCCAAGGGTCGACTAGAGGCAGAAAGCTGTCGTCCGGAACTCCTGGCAGTAGCCGGTTGAGATCATGGCGCAGCCAGAAGTCTCTACTCAACAGTCGCCCATGCGTGCGCTCCTACCTTTCCTCCTGACCCATACCTCCTGGGTCCCGACGATGACTTTCTTGAAAGTGTAGCCCCAAAATTCTGCTTACCTCTGAATCTACTTCCCCTGATCCCTGGCTCCTAGGTACTAATGGTTCAGTTTCATTTCCTCTAGCAAGTTGTATCTCCAAAGGGATCTAAGGAAGCTCTACGCTGCGTCCTTAGGCATCTAGGCTATAAACCCAGGAAGTCTTGTCCCTGGTGTCCCTCCCGATTTAGGCATACAGCTCTCGACATGGGCAGTTATGTGGGACCCGTTCCCCATCACCCTTGTCAAGGCCCCAAGTTTGTAATGGCTAAGAGGAGAGAGAGAGAAAGAGAGAGAGACGGAGGGGAGAGAGAGAGAGAGAGATGGAGGGGAGAGAGAGAGAGAGAGACGGAGGGGAGAGAGAGAGAGAGAGAGAGACGGAGGGGAGAGAGAGAGAGACGGAGGGGAGAGAGAGAGAGATGGAGGAGAGAAAGACAAAGGGAGTCAAAGAGAAAAAGAAAGAGAAAGACAGAAATGGTAAAACAAACAAAAAACAGCGTGCCCTATTCCTTTAAAAGCCGGGGTAAATTTAAAACCTATAATTGATAATTGAAGGTCTTCTCCATGACCCTATAATACTCCAATACTACCTTGTTGTCAGTGTAAACAAGGGCGTAGCCTGAAAACACTGAGACCACTGACAACCTGCAGCTTTCCTATCAAAAAATCCTTAACCCAGTAACCGGCAGATGCATTCAATCTGTAGCAGCAACTGTTTTGCTAACAGAAGAAAGTAGAAAAGTAACTTTTAGAGGAAACCTCATTGTGAGCACACCTTACCAGTTCAGAATTATTCTAAGTCAAAAAAGCAAAAAGGTAGCTTACTAACTCAAAAATCTTAAAGTATGGGGCTATTGTGTTTAAAAAAAAAAAAAGGTAATTTAACACCAACCACTGATAATTCTCTTAACCCAGCAGGTTTCCTAACAGGGGATTTAAATCTTAATTACCATACAAAGGTCTGACCACACCTAGGAGGAACTCCCTTCAGGACAGGACTATAGAGGGTTCCTCCCAGGTGATTGAGGAAAAAACCACAGTGGGTATTCAGTAATTGATAGGGAGACTCTTGTGGAAGCAGAGTTAGAAAAATTGCCTAATAAATGGTGTCCTCAAAAGTGTGAGCTGTTTGCACTCAGCCAAGCCTTAAAGTACTTACAGAATCGTAAAAACTATCTCAATCCTGACTCAAAAGTTTACTTACACCCTCTCTGAAATGAATTTACATAAGAACTGCTTTTTTGGGAATGCATCTTGATGGGGCAGCTGGGTGGTTATGAAATACTCAGGAAACCAGCCCAGCTCTAGGACACATCCCTGAGCACAAAGGCAATGTTGGGCACGCTGGTAAAGGACCACTAGAATCCAGCAGCCTGGACTCCTTTCTTTGTGGTCAAGAAAGGCAGGAAAACAGGTGCAGGACTGCTACATCAGTGAGCATAACTAATCTGATAAGCAGAGGGCCTTGGGTGGTTACACACCCTGGAAAGGAATTCAACTCTGAGCGCAAAGGCAATGTTGGGCACATTGGTAAAGGACCACTAGAATCCAGCAGCCCAGGCCCCTTTCTTTATGGTCAAGAAAGGCGGGAAAAGGGGTGCAGGACTGTTACCTCGGTGAGCGTAACTAATCCGATAAGCAGAGGTCCATGGGTGATTACGCACCCTGAAAAGAATAAGCATTAGGCCCTTAAAGGATGCTCTAGGACTAATGCTCATTGGAAAATGACTAGGGGTGCTGGCATCCCTATGTTCTTTTCTCAGACGGGAAATGTTCTCCACCCTCCCCAAGGCAAAAACACCCCTAAGATGTATTCTGGAGAATTGGGACCAATTTGACCCCCAGACGCTAAGAAAGAGATGACTTATGTTCTTCTGCAGTACCACCTGGCCACGATATCCTCTTCAAGGGGGAGAAACCTGGCCTCCTGAGGGAAGTATAAATTATAACACCATCTTACAGCTAGACCTCTTCTGTAGAAAGGAGGGCAAATGGAGTGAAGTGCCATATGTGCAAACTTTCTTTTCATTAAGAGACAACTTGCAATTATGTAAGAAGTGTGATTTATGCCCTACAGGAAGCCCTCAGAGTCTACCTCCCTACCCCAGCATCCCCCTGACTCCTTCTCCAACTAATAAGGAACCCCCTTCAACCCAAACGGTCCAAAAGGAGATAGACAAAGGGGTAAACAATGAACCAAAGCGTGCCAATGTTCCCTGATTATGCCCCCTCTAAGCAGTGGGAGGAGGAGAATTTGGCCCAGCCAGTGTGCATGTGCCTTTTTCTCTCTCAGACTTAAAGCAAATTAAAATAGACCTAGGTAAATTCTCAGATAACCCTGATGGCTATATTGATGTTTTATAAGGGTTAGGATAATCCTTTGATCTGACATGGAGAGATATAATGTTACTGCTAGATCAGACACTAACCCCAAATGAGACAAGTGCCGCCATAACTGCAGCCTGAGAGTTTGGCGATCTCTGGTATCTCACTCGGGTCAATGATAGGAGGACAACAGAGGAAAGAGAATGATTCCCCACAGACCAGCAGGCAGTTCCCAGTGTAGACCCTCACTGGGACACAGAATCAGAACATGGACATTGGTGCTGCAGACATTTGCTAACTTACATGCTAGAAGGACTAAGGAAAACTAGGAAGAAGCCTACGAATTATTCAATGATGTCCACTATAACACAGGGAAAGGAAGAAAATCCTACTGCCTTTCTGGAGCGACTAAGGGAGGCATTGAGGAAGCATACTTCCCTGTCACCTGACTCTATTGAAGGCCAACTAATCTTAAAGGATAAGTTTATCACTCAGTCAGCTGAAGACATTAGGAAAAAACTTCAAAAGTCTGCCTTAGGCCCAGAGCAAAACTTAGAAACCCCATTGAACTTGGCAACCTCGGTTTTTTATAATAGAGATCAGGAGGAGCAGGCGGAACAGGACAAACGGGGTAAAAAAAAGGCCACCGCTTTAGTTATGGCCCTCAGGCAAGTGGACTTTGGAGGCTCTGGAAAAGGGAAAAGCTGGGCAAATCGAATGCCTACTAGGGCTTGCTTCCAGAGTGGTCTACAAGGACACTTTGAAAAAGATTGTCCAAGTAGAAATAAGTCGCCCCTTCGTCCATGCCCCTTATATCAAGGGAATCACTGGAAGGCCCACTATCCCAGGGGACAAATGTCCTCTGAGTCAGAAGCCACTAACCAGATGATCCAGCAGCAGGACTGAGGGTGCCCAGGGCAAGCACTAGCCCATGCCGTCACCCTCACAGAGCCCCAGGTATGCTTGACCATTGAGGGCCAGGAGGTTAACTGTCTCCTGGACACTAGCACGGCCTTCTCAGTCTTACTCTCCTTTCCCGGACAACTGTCCTCCAGATCTGTCACTATCCGAGGGTTCCTAGGACAGTCAGTCACTAGATACTTATCCCAGTCACTAAGTTGTGACTGGTGAACTTTACTCTTTTCACATGCTTTTCTAATTATCCCTGAAAGCACCACTCCCTTGTTAGGGCGAGACATTCTAGCAAAAGCAGGGGCCATTATACACCTGAACATAGGAGAAGGAACACCTGTTTGTTGTCCCCTGCTTGAGGAAGGAATTAATCCCGAAGTCTGGGCAACAGAAGGACAATACGGACGAGCAAAGAATGCCTGTGCTGTTCAAGTTAAACTAAAGGATTCCGCCTCCTTTCCCTACCAAAGGCAGTACCCCCTTAGACCTGAGGCCCAACAAGGACTCCAAAAGATTGTTAAGGACCTAAAAGCCCATGGCCTAGTAAAACCATGCAATAGCCCCTGCAATACTCCAATTTTAGGAGTACAGAAACCCAACAGACAGTGGAGGTTAGTGCAAGATCTCAGGATTATCATTGAGGCTGTTGTTCCTGTATAGCCAGCTGTACCTAACCCTTATACTCTGCTTTCCCAAATACCACAGGAAGCAGAGGGGTTTACAGTCCGGGGCCTTAAGGACACCTTTTTCTGCATCCCTGTATATCCTGACTCTCAATTCTTGTTTGCCTTTGAAGATCCTTCAAACTCAACGTCTCAACTCACCTGGAATGTTTTACCCCAAGGGTTCAGGGATAGCCCCCATTAGCCCAAGACTTGAGCCAGTTCTTATACCTGGACACTCTTGTCCTTTGGTACGTGGATGATTTACTTTTAGCCACCTGTTCAGAAACCTTGTGCCATCAAGCCACCCAAGCACTCTTTAATTTCCTCGCCACCTGTGGCTACAGGTTTCCAAACCAAAGGCTCAGCTCTGCTCACAGCAATTTAAATGCTTAGGGCTAAAATTATCCAAAGGCACCAGGGCCCTCAGTGAGGAAAGTATCCGGCCTATACTGGCTTATCCTCATCCCAAAACCCTAAAGCAACTAAGAGTGTTCCTTGGCATAACGGGTTTCTGCCGAATATGGATTCCCAGGTACAGCGAAATAGCCAGACCATTATATACACTAATTAAGGAAACTCAGAAAGCCAATACCCATTTGGTAAGATGGACACCTGAAGCAGAAGCAGATTTCCAGGCCCTAAAGAAGGCCCTGACCCAAGCCCCAGTGTTAAGCTTGCCAATGGGGCAAGACTTTTCTTTATATGTCACAGAAAAAACAGGAATAGCTCCAGGAGTCCTTACGCAGATCCAAGGGACGAGCCTGCAACCCATGGCATACCTGAGTAAGGAAATTAGTGGCAAAGGGTTGGCCTCATTGTTTATGGGTAGTGGCAGCAGTCACAGTCTTAGTAACTGAAGCAGTTAAAATGATACAAGGAAGAGATCTTACTGTGTGGACATCTCATGATGTGAATGGCATACTCACTGCTAAAGGAGACTTGTGACTGTCAGACAACTGTTTACTTAAATATCAGGCTCTATTACTTGAAGGGCCAGTGTTGCGACTGTGCACTTGTGCAACTCTTAACCCAGCCACATTGCTTCCAGACAATGAAGAAAAGATAGAACATAACTGTCAACAAATAATTGCTCAAACCTACACTGCTCGAGGGGACCTTTTAGAAGTTCCCTTGACTGATCCCGATCTCAACTTGTATACTGATGGAAGTTCCTTTGCAGAAAAAGGACTTCAAAAGGCGGTGTATGCAGTAGTCCTTCAAAATCGAAGAGCTTTAGAATTGCTAATCACTGAGAGAGGGGGAACGTTTTTATTTTTAGGGGAAGAATGCTGTTATTATGTTAATCAATTCGGAATCATCACCAAGAAAGTTAAAGAAATTCAAGATCGAATACAACGTAGAACAGAGGAGCTTAAAAAACACTGGACCCTGGGGCCTCCTCAGCCAATGGATGCCCTGGATTCTCCCCTTCTTAGGACCTCTAGCAGCTATATTTCTACTCCTCTTTGGACCCTGTATCTTTAACCTCCGTGTTAAGTTTGTCTCTTCCAGAATCGAAGATGTAAAACTACAAATCGTTCTTCAAATGGACCCCCAGATGCAGTCCATGACTAAGATCTACTGAGGACCCCTGGACCAGCCTGCTAGCCCATGCTCCAATGTTAATGACATTGAAGGCACCCCTCCCAAGGAAATCTCAACTGCACAACCCCTACTATGCTCCAATTCAGCAGGAAGCAGTTACAGTGGTCCTCGGCCAACCTCCCCAACAGCATTTGTATTTTCCTGTTGGGAGGGGGCACTGAGAGACAGGACTAGCTGGATTTCCTAGGCTGACTGAGAATCCCTAAGCCTAGCTGGGAAGGTGACCACTTCCACCTTTAAACACAGGGCTTGCAACTTAGCTCACACCCTACCAATTGGATAGTAAAGAGAGGTCACTAAAATGCTAATTAGGCAAAAACAGGAGGTAAAGAAATAGCCAATCATCCATTGCCTGAGAGCACAGCGGGAGGGACAATGACCAGGATATAAACCCAGGCATTCCAGCCTGCAACGGCAACCCCCTTTGGGTCCCCTCTCTTTGTATGGGAGCTCTGTTTTCACTCTATTCAATCTTGCAACTGCACTCTTCTGGTCCGTGTTTGTTACGGCTCAAGCTGAGCTTTTGCTCACCATCCACCACTGCTGTTTGCCGCCGTTGCAGACCCGTCGCTGACTTCCATCCCTCCAGATCTGGCAGGGTGTCCACTGTGCTCCTGATCCAGCGAGGCACCCATTGCCACTCCCGATCAGGCTAAAGGCTTGCCATTGTTCCTGCACAGCTAAGTGCCTGGGTTCGTCCTAATCAAGCTGAACACTAGTCACTGGGTTCCATGGTTCTCTTCCATGACCCATGGCTTCTAATAGAGCTATAACACTCACCGCATGGCCCAAGATTCCATTCCTTGGAATCCGTGAGGCCAAGAACCCCAGGTCAGAGAACACGAGGCTGCCGCCATCTTGGAAGCTCTATGAGCAAGGACCCCCCAGTAACAATACGATGACAAAATCACTTACCAATGCTTTTCTCAGAATGTATCCCCATTGTTAATTGATGCATGACTGTGTGTGTATAAGTATTTATCGCCAAAAGAAGAAATAGATTTCAAATTTCCATATTGTATCACTGAGGCAAGAAATATAAAGACGTCAGTCATATGACTTTTCACTTAAGGAAACAAAATGGACTCTTGAGTAGATAAATATGATGATTTTTTGGAACTCATCAACATCATTCTCATGATTCCTGATATTTATCAAGCACTTACTATATGCAGACACTGACCTATCTATTCACATTTATTTAGCTTGGCCAAAATTTATCCCTGTATTTTTAAGAGAATGTTTCAACAAGGAAAAGATAAATATATGACAATCTTTTACATCTTTACAAAAACCCTATAAACATTTCTACCTGGAAGAAGAATGTGACACTAACCCAAATTTAAGCAGCTGGTGCACATCCAAATTCAAGGCAACTGCACAAGCTATATATACTTTACATTAGAAATTAGAGACCAAATAAACAGAAGCAGGTGAACCAAAAGAACATTACAAGAGATTTTCAGACACCCATTAAACACAACAGCTCTGTTCTGAACAACTCCTGTGCGATAAGGGAAGAGCAAGAACTCACGTGGTATGAGAAATACTGCAATAAGAAGGCTCAAGTAAATCCCTTTTTGGGTCTATTTTTGCAAAATTAAGAATTAAAAAAAAGAAAATTTGAGACAGCACATAGAAAAAATCAAAAGCATAAAGGAAAAAAGCCTATAAGTTTTTAAGAGAATAGAAAATAACTTTAATGAATTAAGCTTATACCCAAATGCCATTTCTGAGTGTCTGTAGGACATGCCTTTTGAGGGAAAATTGAGTCTGTCAGTCACCTCTTCCCTGTGTTAAGCCTAGGTGCCAATACTTGCCTGAGGTTTAAACACAGACTTGAAGGTTTTAGAGGTTTTAGTACCATTAAAACCAGATTTGAAGTTTTTAATACCACTAAAACAAAAGAAATTAGATTTTTCCCATCAACTATATGTCAAATCACAGATGTCTGTCTGTTCACTTTATTTGCATATAGAAAAGAGTGCATAATGAGAAGAACTTCTCTTAAAATGCTATGCCTTTTTAGCCATTTCTTTACTATTTTTTATAATTTTATTATGCTCTTCTTCCCCACTTTATATTTTGTACACTCTAGTTAAAACAAGTACACAAATCTTATTATTTTATAAGAATATTGCAAATGGTTGTTGACAGCTTCAAGTACTTCAGTGTATGCATACATTTCATGGTTTTTTTTTTTTTTTTTTTGATGGAGTCTCACTCTGTCACCAGGCTGGAGTGCAGTGGTGGGATCTTGGCTCATCACAACCTCCGTCTTCCGGGGTTCAAGCGATTCTCCTGCCTCAGCCTCCTAAGTAGCTGGGACTACAGGTGCGGGCCACCATACTCAGCTAATTTTTTTTTTCTTTTTGATAGAGACAGGGTTTCACCATGTTAGCCTGGATGGTCTCGATCTCTTGACCTCATGACCCGCCTGCCTTGGCCTCCCAAAGTGCTGGGATTACAGGCGTGAACCACTGCACCTGGGTGCATAATTTCCATGTTAAGAAACTGGAGGAAAAGAAGTTTTCTTATCAATTCAAATGACTTTTAAAAGATTGTATCATTTTTCTGTGACTTCGTCAATTTTATTTTCTCTCTTTTTTTCCCTCCTCGCTTCTTTCCTTCCTCTCTTTTTATATTTTTATTTATTTATTTTTCTATATACTGTGCTTAACACAGATTTTTTAATGTTTATTAAATTCCTACTTTGTGTCAGGTGCTGTACTGGACACTAATGGTATATACTTTGCACCCAAAGACTTCACAGTCTTATCAAGAATTGCTAGAATACTTCTGTTTTAGTGTAGTTAGTGATCTACAGGGAAAACAGACAGAATAGAGGGGTTGGGACCATTAACTCTGTTCAAGGGTGCGGGGAGGAGGGAGCAGAGACGTTTTACAAAGGGAGAGTTATTGATCTGATTTTCTTCATTATATTATTTTGAGACTTGATAGATGTATCTTGTATGTGAATAATATTTCCGTTTCTGTTTCTTCTGTAAAAAGTTAAGTATATGGAACACTTCACTTCTTTTGGAAAGGTCACGTGTTCTAGAAAAGATTTTTCAGTTGAGGTTCTACTCATTTACATTAGCACATTTTAGTCTGTGTAGCTTAGTTTCTGCATTCTAAATTGTCCTTATTAATCGTTCTTCTGTTTTGAAGCAATATAAAATCTATATGACCACACACAGATATTCACATATGAAAAGAGTTTATTACTAAGAAATATAGTTTAGCAGTTTCAGGAAATAACAAAGAAAATTATGCTAAACCTAATTTTAAAATCTAAATCTAAATTATGCTAAAATCTAATTTTAAAAGCATAATGAGTAGCTATTGTTTAACTCTTCCTGCTTATCTGTAAAACTTTTCTTTAGCATCATTTGAGAATTTTATCAATGCCTCTTTGTTCTTTGAAAAAAGGAAAAATTATGAGAGCTTATAAAACTCAAACCCTAAAGTGTCATTCACTACTTAGTTTAAAGAATGAATCTGGGGCATTTTTTCATTGTAACGAAAAACTTTAAACTTGGAGTCTTCAATTTAATATTAAAATATTTTAAATATTTTGCATTAATATTTTCTCCTTTACATATGGTTTACTTATTCTCTTTATTCTCTTTTTTTTTTTTTTTTGAGACGGAGTCTCGCTCTGTCGCCCAGGCTGGAGTGCAGTGGTGTGATCTTGGCTTACTGCAAGCTCTGCCTCCCAGGTTCACGCCATTCTCCTACCTCAGCCTCCCAAGTAGCTGGGACTACAGGCGCCCACCACCAAGCCTGGCTATTTTTTTGTATTTTTAGTAGACATGGGGTTTCACCGTGTTAGCCAGGATGGTCTTGATCTCCTGACCTCGTGATCCACCCACCTCAGCCTCCCAAAGTGCTGGGATTACAGGCGTGAGCCACTACACCCAGCCTACTTATTCTCTTTAAAATGATTGTGTGTAAGTAATAGGAAAAGGCTTTTTGACTTCTTGTATTTTTTCCCTACTTTTCTAATTATTTTTGTTAAGGATGGTACATAATAGTGAAATGGTTGATGAGCAGAATCTTATCTTCCTAAGAAAAAACTTGTTTCCACTTCCTTTTCTTAGAGAAGAGGGAAATGCATATATTGAGAAGTAAAAATTACAAATGAAAAATAATTTAGTTTTTGTCCTATACTTATTTTTTGTAGACTACATTATATAGCTATATTTATATGTATACACACAAACATTCATACATTAGAGCAATCAATATATGCCTTTACTTATATTTTTACAAATTGTGATAGTCTTACAGTCTTGAATTATTATCTCAATTGGCACTTTGAATAATATATCATTTTTAATGTGAATCATTTGAGGAGTAGAAAAGTGCCATTTGAATGCAATATGTATTAAACCCAAAAGGTCTTTTTTCCTCATTCATTCTCTGGTAGATATTAATGTAAGTGTTAATATATAGGCTCAATGGTTCCCCAAGAAATCTAAAATAATTAAGAAAATAATCACAATGAAAAATGAATTTTTCTGATTAATAAATGAGTCAAAGACATAAATCATTCAAAAAAATTAGACAATCCAAGGCAAACATATATAAAATATTTTTAACAATACTTGAGTAAAATTGATTTAGCTATAACTCACAATAATGATGATGATAGTGGTGGTGGTATAATAACTCACATTTACTCACTACTGGGGTTTTCAGGCACTACATTAAATACTTCCCATGTATTAGTTTATTTCTTCAAAAGCGCCCTCTGTAATATTTTCTATTAATCGTTGGAAGCTTAGAAATGTTAATTGACCTGCCTAAGGTCCCATAGCTAAGAAGCAGTTTATGTAGTCATTATAAACTGTCTACCAAATATTTCTGGTTCTCTTTCCAAGCACATGTTAGTATTGTACTTCCCTACCCACTTGAAGTTAGGTGTGTCTGTGTGACTTGCTTTAGTAAACTGTGAGCCAAGTGACTTAAATTGGCCAATAAAATGAAAGCAGAGTATGACTTCCAGTTGGAAACTCTGAAGCCACTGAGTGCTTTGCCACGCTCCCTTTCTTTTCCTCTGTAATGACAATGCTTATGTCAAAATCACTGGCTGCTCTATAAGCCTGAGTCTTGGAAGAATGACAGTGACAGCAGAGCTTACAACCATAATGGACAAGCAGATTCAAGATGCTGGCAGGTTCAGTGTCTGGGGAAGATTGATTTTCAGTTCATAGATAACTGTCTTCTAGCTGTGTCCTCACCTGTTTGAAGGGGCTGGGGGTCTCTCTTGGGCCTCTTTTATAAGAGTACTAATCCCACTAATTAGGGCTCTTCCCTCAATGACCTAATCACTTTACAAAGGTGGCTCCTCCTAATGCCATCATCTTGGTGAGGCAGGAGAATAGAGTCTGGAGGCAGGAAACCTGAGACCAATTTATGCTGACTTCCTAGAATTAAATCTAAAGGAAACCCCAACTTTCCATGCCCAAATAACAAAAGGATCAACGGCTACTCCTTTGGCAGCCCTCCCCTTTTGTGCTTTGCAGATAAAAAGTGGAAAGTACCTCTGATAGGTCCCCTCCTGTAACCAGTCAGTCTGGTGGTGGGCCTAGTCTAAATTTGCATAGGGATATAACTTTGTAACTTCACTTCAGCCTCTGATTGGTTGCCTTCCATAACCAATCAGACTGGTCGGGGGCCACTCACCACGTAACCAATGGGAAACCTCTAGAGGGTATTAAAATCCCAGAAAATTCTGTGACCAGCACTCTGGAGCCGCTTGCTTGAGTCTGCTCCCACTCTGTGGAGTGTACTTTCTTTTCAGTAAATCTCTGCTTTCATTGCTTTATTCTTTCATTACTTTGTCTGCATATTTTGTCCAATTTTTTGTTCAGAATGCCCAGAACCTGCACAATTGGTAGTCAAAACCCTCCGCCTGTAACATTAGGGGTTAGGATTTTAACATATAAATTTTGGAAGGGACACAAACATTAAGAACATAGCACTATTTTACTGAAAACTAAGAAAATCAAGTAAAAACTGTATACAATATAATAGCATTGTCATAACTTTCACATATATAAAAAGCAAGTAGTTTAAATACATAATGTAAGAAAAGCTCCCTTCACAACTATAAAAAATTATTAAAATCTTAAAAAGGAGCATGAAAAAATATATTAAAGATTTGCTGAAAAATAATAAAGTTAAAATAAACAACTCGTGTGGGATGCAGAATGATTTGATCAAATGATGTCATACCTTACTGTGGAAGGCTGAGTCCATGGAAAACTCAACATTATAAAAATATTAGTTCTCCATAACTTATACACTTAACATGATCACAATAAAAATATTAACAGAATATTTTTTAGAGGGAACTCAGAATAGCAAGTTTAAAATTTATGTGGAAGAACTAATTCAAAGGAGTTTAGCTTTTGCTTAGGATGTATAAAACTGTCAGAGAACACTGTTAGAAGAATCTGGATGATCAACAAAATCATAACTTTTCTTGAACTGTTCATAAAGCTGCAGTCATAAGGAACTAACTACACTAAATTCCAAAGTATAACAAACCCTTCCGAGGCGAGAACTCACAATTTTTTTTTCACCATTAGTAGGGCACTAAGAAGAGTTACCTACTGCAAAGGTGAGTAAGAAAAAAAAAAAAGCGAAGTATTAGCCAGCATGTCAGAGAGTCCAAACATGAGAAAGCTCTGCACTCACTCACAAGCTGGACGTTTTCCTCCCCTTGGTGATGCTAGGTACAAAGCTCTACCTACTTTCTAGAATTATCTCTTATTTGAAGCCAAAGTTAAAGGGGAAGAATCCACTAACTGTGGGTGTAAACTAAAACAAAACTATCTTCCTTGAGCATAGGAAGGGAAAACAAAGTGAAAGAAAACATTCCACTCCCGGAGGAAAGGGGAAGAGACCCAGGAAGAGGTGAGATTTCTGTTTGATTCCAAAGACAGGGAAAAGCCAATGTGTTAGTTCAAAGGTAGTCAGGTAGGAAGAATTCTTTCTTACTAGGGAGAGGGCCCACCTTTTGTTCTATTTAAGCCTCTGATTGATTGGACAAGGCTCACTCACATAATGGAGTTCAATCTGCTTTACTCACTCCATTGATTTAAATGTTAATCTCATGTAAAATATCCTCCCAGAAACACTCAGAATAATGTTTGAGCCCAGATCTGGGCACCCTGTGACCCAATCAAGTTCATAGATAAAATTAACCATCACTATGTGCTTTTGCGTGTGTGTGTGCGTGTGTGTGTGTGTGTGTGTGTGAGTGACAGGGTCTTGCTCTGTCACCCAGACTGGAGTGCAGTGGTGTGAACATGGCTCACTGCAGCCTCAACCTTCTGGGCTCAAACAATACTTCTACCTTAGCCTCCTGAGTTGCTGGGACCACAGGTGTCAGACTTCATACCCCACCAGCTTTTTATAATATCAAAGAATCAAAGAATGTTAAAATATAAGCAATTTCAGATACATTAGAATACAGGTATATGATTTAGTGCTATGTTGCATAAAAATGCCCTGAGAAGAAACTTTAAAGTCCTGGTAAATTTTTATGATATACTTTTAACTTATTAAAATGTTTACAGAGCATTATGTTTTATATGCCTTTTTAAACTATGTAAAAATGCATGAAAGACATGCAGATATGTATATGTGAATGAATGTCTGCATAATATATATATTGTGTGTATATATATGTCAAACAAACCAATTTTCTTGTTATACTGGTAAAATGGTGTATTTCTATTAAAATGATAATTATATTTTATAGAAATACATAGAAAATACTACAGAAAATGCTAAGTCAAAAGAAAGGGATACAATAAAGAATAAAGAAACATACGGCATGTTTCATGTAGTCCATCTTCCACAAATTTCAAAAATGACATTTTTGTTGTATGAGTTTGTTTGCCCCTTTGGCGCTTCAAACAAAGCTTCCTAGTCATTTAGAAGATAAAATTCAAACTCCTGTTGTGCCCTGGGACAACCTGTCTAGGGTCAACTCTCAGAAGCCCTTCTTGCCCTGTGAATTCTCATGGTACCTAACTCTGTTGTTTTCTGCACACACAATGCTGCTTTATATCTCTGTACTTTTACCTAGTCTATATTCCCTTCCTAGATCGATCTTGAAACATCCTTTACACTCTTGTGAACCTGAAAAACATTTATTATTTTTAGTACTCTGCTCTTCTGGTGACATCATGTTGACGAAATCCCACATGGTGTCAGTTTTCTCCTGAGAAACAAACAGGCTGAGGTAGGAACATCTTCCTTTCTTCTATTTTTATTGCTATATATATAGTTATTTTATTACCTTTTATACGTATAAAATTTCTGTAATTGTTTGGTTACTGATACAGTTTTCACACAGGAGTGTAAACTTCTCAAGGACAGTAGTTGTATCTTATCACCACCTGTAACTAAAAAAAAAATTCTCAGGCACTCAACCAACAAATATTTATTTCAAATTAATTGAAGTGAAAACTATTAAGATCAATATGGAAATAATGTTTGTCTATGATGGAATTCTGAGGAAAGCATACTTCCTTAAGTAAATTTTACGGTGAAGGAATTATTAGGAAGCAGATTTCTTAATGTTGTCCTTTGCGTTTCTTAGTTTTAAGTAACAATTGTTAAGCCATATAATTGTTTTAGGTAAGAAACTTTAATACAAGACTTGGCTAACTGGAGGTCTTTATTTAAATGTACAATACAGGATTCAAAAATTAGTAGACTTTTCTTTCCATTTCAGGCGGTATTTTGGACTAGATTGCCTTAAGATTCCTCCTATGGAAAAGAGCTAAAAGAGACAGAGAAAATATAACAACAAACTCTTTATGAGTGCATCTTGTAAACACACAAGAAAGTAAGGAATTTTTAGAGGGCAAAGAATCAACAGAGGAAAACAAAACTTAGATGTAAATTCTCCTTGAGGAAATTTTCTGTAGGGAGAAAGTTTGTTTTTAAGGACTGTCCATAAGTGGGGAACACGGGATCAACTCCATACAAGATGGATATTCACAGGCAATCACTTCTCTACATCCCATATATTTAACTCTCAGGAGAGGACAAGAAAAATAGTCCATCTTAGACTCTGATGCTGTATAGAGGAAAAAGAAAAATTTTCTTTGAGACTCTGTAACCATAAGCCATCTGATTTCAGTTTTATAGACAGAATTCATACTTCCTGGGTGGTCTCAGTTCTCAGCATACGCTCAGTGTAATGTGGTCCTGGTTACTAGTGTTCCTGGGACCTTGCAGGTCCAGACAAAAGCCCTCTCCCATGAAAACTACCACAGCTTGAGGCTCAAATAATATCCATAGAAATATGAGCTCACAGTAAAAACAAAAGTGAAACAAAGCAAAGCAAAATAAGCAAGCCTTGATGAGTGAGAGCCACCAGAAAAAAAAACAAATCATAGAATCAAATCTGAAAAAAGATGTTAAATGTTGGAATTATCAGACACAACATATAAAACAATGATTTGAAAATAAGTTACGAGAGAGTCTGTAAAAATTGACTGAATACAAAATCCGAATATGATGGGTTTATTAGCAGATTAGACAAAGATGAAGAGCAAATTAGTGAACTGGAAAGAGATATGGAGAAATTTCAAAGAATGTAAGAAAGTCCATGGGATGAAAGATAGAGAAGACATGTTAAGTAAAATGAAAGATAGAGTCAGGTTAAAAACGAGGAATTAATATGTAAACAGTAAATTTATCATAACGGTAAAAATTTAGGTGAACAAAGATAAAACGAAGACTTAACCCTTTTCCGGTTTAGAAAAAAAAGTGCAGCTCACTGCCAAAACAATTTCACATAAATATGCTCTTTGAGGCTGAAGCAAATCTGATTGATTTTCAACATGAAAATAAAATATATAAGCTGTTCTCAGAGTTATTTCTAACCAGAACTAACATCAGAATTGTCTGAATCATGAGAATTATCTATTTCGGAAAAATCAGATTCATCAAATGAATCTTTGATCAGCAACTGTTCAAGAACAACGTTAACATCACATGTAGGAATGCTAGATTTTCTAGGATTTGATATATTTAGCAATGGAGAATTGCCATATTTTGCAAATGGAAATGCCACTACTAAAAACAGAATGCTGTAAATAGAATGACGTTTTCTGTTTCTGAAGTTGATATACAAGAGCAATGCGAAAACAATAATAAAAGCAAAATATTTTGTGGCAAATTTATCTCAGGGTAAATGCTGCAGCTGCAAGCACTGCAGCTTTTATCTATGCAAACTTTTTGAAATGCTACATCAGTGAGTATTCTCAGGGCAAATGGGAAAAGGGTTACAACCTCAGCCAGAAGTATAGACAGCTATGTTCAGTCAGATGATAATTATTCTGAGAAATGATTTCTCCACAGCATCAGTGAAAGCTTGAGGAAAGTGGAATGATATATTTAATATCCTGAGAGAAAGTAACTGTCAGTGCAGAATTGTATACTAGAAAAATCACAAGAATTAGGGCAAAATAATGACATTTTCAGATAAAACCTAACAGAGTTTGTCCACAATAGACTAAGGAAAACCTAAAATATGTATTTCAGTGTAGGGTCCAGCCCTACAGGGCCTGTGGGTTTTTCTCTTCATGTGCGGAGAGGAGAGATCATAGAAATAAACACACAAGACAAAGAGATAGAAGAAAAGACAGTTGGGACCAGGGGACCACTACCACCAAGGCGTGGAGACCGGTAGTGGCTCCGAATGCCTGGCTGCGCTGTTATTTATTGCATACAAGGCAAGAAGGCAGGGTAAGGAGTGTGAGTCATCTCCAATGAGAGGTGAGATCGCACGAGTCACGTGTCCATTGGACAGGGGACACTTCCCTATTTGGTAGCCGAGGCAGAGAGAGACAGGGGACAGCTTATGTCATTATTTCTTCTATGTATTTCTTGGAGAGATCAAAGACTTTAATACTTTGACTAATTCTGCTACTGCTATCTAGAAGTTGGAGCCAGGTGTACATGTCGGAGCATGAAAGTGGACCAGGAGCATGACCGCTGAAGCACAGCATCACAGGGAAACGTTTAGGCCTCTGGATGGCTGTGGGCGGGCGGGCCTGACTGATGTCAGGCCTTCCACAAGAGGTGGTGGAGCAGAGCCTTCTCTGACTCCCCTGGGGAAAGGGAGACTCCCTTTCCCGATCTGCTAAGTAACAGGTGCCTTCCCAGGCACTGGTGCTACCACTAGACCAAGGTCTGCTAAATATACTTACGGGTGACTTCCCAGACACTGGTGGGAAGTCCTCTAGTGGCCCTGTCCGGGCGAGACAGAGGGCTCACACTCCTGTCTTCTGGTCACTTCTCACCGTGTCCCTTCAGCTCCTATCTCTGTATGGTCTGGTTTTTCCTAGGTTATAATTGTAGAACAAAGATTATTATAAAATTGGAATAAAGAGTAATGCTACTAACTAATGATTAATAATATTCATATATAATCATATCTATAATCTATTTCTAGTATAACTATTCTTATTGTATGTATTTTCTTTATTATACTGGAACAGCTTGTGCCTTCGGTCTCTTGCCTCGGCATCTGGGTGGCTTGCCGCCCATATTTCAGGAAGAAAGAATATTATCTTAGACAGAAGTTTTTGTCAGGGGGTCAAGCAACAACTTCATTGTCTATATAATGATTCCAGAGTGTATAAAAAGAAAGAAAAAATTAGCTCTTTATATGAAAATAGCGTAAGTTTGTTAGCAAAAGTCCCCCAAAAAATGAATGAAGAAGGAGAAGAGATATCAGGTCATTTCATTTGTGGCATTGATGGAAAAATGTTTAGTCAAATATTAGAGCAAACATAACTGAGCCATGTACAATAAAGAATATAAATACTTTTTGACCAGGTGGTTTAACTCAGAAGTGCAACAGAGATTCAACATAAAATCAGGCCAGGTGCAGTGGCTCATGCCTTTGATCCCAGCATTTGGGGAGGCCAAGGTGGGAAGATCGCTTGAGGCCAGAAGTATGAGACCAGCCTGGGGCAAGATAGCAAGACTCAGTCTTTATTTAAAAAGAAAAAAGAAAAATCAATAAATGCAAATAAATGCATTAATAATTTGAGGAGAAAAACTTGGCAATTGTAGGAAAAGATACCTAAAAATAGTAAGTTAAGAAAAAGAAATAAAAAGATGGCACAAATAGAAAACAAAGCTAATCACTATGAGTAGATACATCAAAGGCAACTGTACTAAATATTCCGAAGACAAAGATTAAAGATTGTTAGATCAAAATAACAATAATAATAATAAAGAACCACTTGTGTATACTCCTACATGGGACATAACTTTTTAAGAAGGATAAAATATAGATAGGTTGAAAATAGACACTGGAAAGGGTATACGTATTAGGCTATTCTTGAGTTGCTATAAAGAAATACCTGAGACTGGGTAATTTATAAGAAAAGTGGCTTGATTGGGCTCACAGTCCTTTTATTTTTTTTTTTTTTGAGATGGAGTCTCGCTCTGTCGCCCAGTCTGGAGTGCAGTGGTGCAATCTCGGCTCACTGCAAGCTCTGCCTCGATTGGGCTCACAGTTCTACAGGAAGTATGCCACCGGCATTTGCTTCTGGGGAGACCTCAGGAAGCTTTTACTCAGGGCAGAAGGTGAAGCAGGAGCTTGCATGTCCCATGGCAAAAGCAGGAGTGAGAAAAAATTAGGGAGAGTGGGAGGAGGTGCTACACGCTCTTAAATGACCAGATCTTGTGTGAACTCAGAGTGAGAGCTCACTCATTATCAAAGGTATGGCCCAAGCCATTCATGAGGGATCTCCACCCCTATGACCCAAACACCTCCCATCAGGCCCCACCTCCAACACTGGAGATTACAGTTCAACTTGAGATTTGGGAGGGGACAAATATCTAAACTATATCAACATATACTAAAACCTTAAGCAAATATGTGTATTGTGAATGTCTTGTCCTAATCTATGCAAACTTTTTGAAATGCTACATGATATCTTCCAAAAAAACAGAAGTTTTAAGTTCTAGTGCAGTATAATTTATCAACTTTTCCTTTCAGGCTTAGTATTTTCTGAACTTTGTTTTAGGATTTTTGCCTAATTCCAAGTTACAAAGATTCTTTCCCTTTTTTATTTAGATGTTTATAATTTTACTTCTTACATGTAGAGCAATAATCCATTTCAAATTAATATTTGGGCATGGGAAGTGAAGTAGAGATCAAATTTTATTTTATTTTTATATAGATACATAATTGTTTCAGTACTGTTCTAGTGATCAATTTCTGCCAAAAACCAACCAAGCAAAAACAAACAAAACTATCCCAAAACTTAGAAGTTTAAAATAAATAAAGTGAGTAAATAAAATAAAATGGGTAAAACACTCATTTTATTTTTTTCCATGATTCTTTGGGTCAGGAATTATGGAAAGGCTCAGCAAGGTGGTTCATCTCTGCTCTATATTATCTGCTAGGATGCCTGGCTTTGAAGGATCTACTTCCACAATGGCTTCTTCCCTGTTATGTCTGGTGCCCGGGCTTCTTGGCCCCTCTCTATTTCTTAATCTCCACATGGTGTCTCATCCACTAGGGCTTCTCAATGTGGCTTGGGATTTTCACAGAACAGTGACCCAGAGTAGTTGAACTTTTTACATAGCAGCTCATGGTTTCAAGAGACCAAGGTGGAAGCTACCAGCCCACTTATGACAAGGTCCAGAAATAGCATTATAACCAATTCTACCATGCTATGTTGGTGAAAACAGTTACAAAACAGCTCAGATTCAAGGGAAGGGAAACTGACCACATCTCAATGGAAAAAAATGTGAACAAATTTATGGCCATCTTTTTTTTATTATTATGCTTTAAGTACTGGGGTACATGTGCAGAACGTGCAGGTTTGTTACATAGGTATACATGTGCCATGGTGGTTTGCTGCACCCATCAACCTGTCGTCCACATTAGGTATTTCTCGTAATGCTATCCCTCCCCTAGCCCCCCACCCCACAACAGGCCCCGGTGTATGATGCTTCCCTCCCTGTGTCCATGTGTTCTCATTGTTCACCTCCCACTTATGAGTGAGAACATGTGTTCTTTAATTGGCCACAGCATCATATAGAGAGGACCATTCTTTCCCCCATTAAACTGCATCATAGTTATCATAATTTAAAGAAATATTGGCCTATGAATCTATTTCTAAACTGTTTCATAAAATTAAACATGTACTTACCATAGGACCTAGTAATCCTACACCTCAGTATTTACACAATATAAATGAAAAGCTATATTAACATAGAAACCCACCCCATGAATATTTACAGCAGCTTTATGCATAATTATCCAAAACTGGAAATGATTCTAATGTTCTTTCATCAGTGAATGGATAAAGAAACTGTAGTGTAGTGATACAGTGAAACTTATTTAGCAAATAAAGGAAATAACTATTAATTTACACAACAACATAGATGAATCTTAAATACATTTTGCTAAGCAGAGGAAACCAAATTCAAAATGTCATATATTGCTTGATTCCATTCATAAAGTATTATATAAAAAGCAAAATTATAGGATGTGTATTTGTCAGGGTTCTACCAAGAAACAGAAGCAATAACATACGTATAGAGATATATAAGAGATTTCTTACAGGAACTGGCTCATGCGAGTTTGGAGGCTGAAAACTACCTTAGTATTCTATCTGTGAGCTGGAGACTAGAAAGCCAGTGGTGTAATTCAGCCAGAATCCAAAGACCCAAGAACCAGGGGAGTTGAGAACAGGGAGGGGGGTTCCACTGGTGAGAACTGAATGTTCCACCTCTAAAAGAGAGAGAGAGAAAATTCGCTTTTCTTCTCCATTTTTGTTCTATCTAAGCCCTCAGCTGATTGGATGGATGCCGGCCCACATGGGTAAGGGTGGATCTTCTTTACTGGGTCCACTGATTCAAATGACAATCTCCTCTACAAACACCCTCACTAACACACCCAGAAATAATGTTTCATCACGGAAATGTCTGGGCATCCCTCAACCCAGTCACGTTCACACATAAAATTAACCAGTGCGGGATGAAAAAGAAGTCTAGTTGCTAGGTGTTGGGGTGAGGGGAGATGTTGACAGCAAAATGTCATCATAAAGGAATTTGGGGGCTGATGAAACTTTTCAAATCACAACTATAGTGGTAGGCCCATGACTCCATTCATTTTTCAAAACCAATAAAACTGTATACCACAAAGAATGGGTAAGTTAAAGCTAAATTCAAAAAGAGCATCACATAAATACTGCATTGCAGTTAGTAGCTTTGTTTCTTATAGAGATATGGGTTAGTTATTCTGAAACTAATTTATGTGGACACCATGGTTGAAAACACAAGTAGATATATGTAGAAAATAAAAGCCAGGTTTCTTTCTTATTGTTTGAGAATAAAAGTTTCAAATAAGTAAAGGAGGAAGGTTAGAATGAACTCCGTGCTGCTAGACTGGAGTTGGAAATATCTGTATAAAGGTGTGTGTGTGTGTGTGTGTGTGTGTGTGTGTGTGTGCGCGCGTGCGCGCGCGCGCGCACAGAAATAAATATATAATGTGTATGTACATATGTATGAGGTAGTATACATACACATTTCTTCACACTCTGTCTGCTGAAAGGGTTTAAAAGCAATGACAACCCAGTAGCAATAAGAACACTTGAAGCCCAGATTTTGATTTTCAAGTAACATTCTCCAAAGAAAGAAACCACGCTCCTTGGTAAAGAGGTTGCTTGGACAAGGAAAATATAGGACGTGCTTGAAATATCTTGTGGTACCAGAAAGTAAAGTAGTTATAACTATAAATTACTTGTGTTAAACATAATTTTTGGCAAGCAAAAGTATACTGCAGAATACTTGCAGTATCATTCTATTTGTGTGACGTCTACAAATACCCCAAAGTAGACATATTGTTAAAGGATGCAAACATACATGGTGATAATCTAAAGAAAATCGACGACATGCAATTCAGAATGCTATTTTTCTTCTTTGCTAAAAACAAAAACACTGTGGAACTTTCAACGGCTTAATGGCTTCCCCAGTCAGAAAGACTTTCACTTCCTTTATCTCACATATATCTTTGTATTGTTACAATTGCTTCCATCTGTTTGGGGTTCAGTAGATCTAGTGATTGCATCCTCTGGATAGTAGCCAAGCTTAAAATTGAAGATTGATTTTAGCTTTCTTTCGCTAGGGTAAATGATTTTATATCTTAATGCTCGTGTTCTCTAATCATTTAACCCTATTTGCATTATTTCTTTGGTCTGCTCTGAGTTTTCTTCACGTTTTGGCTGGCAAACCTTGATGTAATGCTGTGGAATTGACTACTCCTAAACATAATGAGTGGATGGCCTCTTAATTCCTTCATGCTGTGCACTCTATGATATCAGTGAGCAAATCCAAAATATATTGGCTCTAAATGCAATTTCCAAAAAGGCTTTAATAAGATAGATTTCTATTCCACAATTCCTCAGAAAAATACCCAAGCCTTGAGTGGTTAAAATTATCTGTCCCCTGTCTTTAGTTTTTAGGTATTTGAGAGTAGCATCTCTATCTATGCAAATAGTCCATTTATCTAACCCAGATAGTTTTTAGTCATAGAAATACTTCTATAAACAGTATAAATAATACTATAATGAATATATGAAAATATAAATTTTACTTTCTCCGATTATGTGTGGAATTTATTATTTCAATATTTTCATATAATTTAATGCTTACACAATACACTAAATGTAAACAAATGCACCATGAGAGCAAGATGAAAAGAATAATTATACTAGAAGTTACAAAACCATTGATACAATTCAAAGTTTTCTCTAAGTTTCATACAACCTCTTGGCAAATAAATGTATTAGATTTATTCTTACGTCACATATTTTAATAATAAGTAATATTTATTATATTAATTATACTTATTTATCCAAAATAAATGTAAACATGTTTTCAGAAAAAATTGATCTAACTAAATGCAATGTGGTATCCTGTATTAACTTCTGAAACAGAAAAAGAATTAGAGGAAAAACTGGTGAAACCAGAGTAAAGTCTGCAGTTTAATTTATCAATGTATTGATGTTAATCTTTTAGTTTTGACAATTAAGCCATGGTTGTGTAAGAGGGTTACATTAGGGAAATCAGACTGAAGAGTACATGGAGCCTCTATGTTCTTTGCAACTAAAGCGATTCAAAATAAAAAGTTTATTTAAAAATACTGTATGTTATTTTTAAGTAAACATTTTATTTCATTTAATTAATGTGTTTCTTAAATCTTTTGACATTTTTTACTTAAGAGAATAACTTGCATAAGAATCTAAAAATGTAGTTTCTAGGCCAATTATTTAAAATTATAGATTAAAATTAATGGTGGCCTTTATTTAGAATTTTTCTATCACGTAAACTTATATAAGGTAATAACACACATTTTTGTTTTGAACTAATGCTTTGAAACTGTATTTCCTGGAAATTGGGTGACATTAATTGTCATTTTGTAATTAGAAGTTATATAACTTAAATGTCTTTTGTTTGTGCAGTATAGAATATATAATTGCTTGTAGAAAATATAATTCTATCTTTTATGAACAATATTTCTTTTGGATGAATTCAGTTATATATTTGGTATAAAAGTCCTTAAGTACCAAATAGACCTTCTATTGCATACATTTTCTGTTAGGAGCCAAATGAGCAGTACAGATAACTATTGACATTCTTCAGGAGTTTAAAATATAAATATGTACAAGACAAAAGTAGTACACAATTTTAGTGTGAAGTCTAATGTGGAAGTCAGACCAATGAACTTGGGGGAAAGCCTCAACTCATTTCTGAGGCTGCATTTCCCAGTTTGTGAAAGAAGAAAAACCAAATATATTGTACTTCTTAAATATGCTATGAAGACAAATCCATGTGGGTATTTAAGTGATTCTGGAGGATTCTATTTAGGTATAAACAACAAATTAACTAATTTGCTGCATTTTGTGGACAACAAACAAATAGTACTTTATTATGGATGCTGCATGTTTTCCCCATTATTGGAAGTGATGGTTTCTCGATATACTAACAAAATAGAGAAGGCAATAAGATTTGCACGCTTTACATATGCGTTTATTTTTCAATTAATAGCTGATGTTTAAAGCTAATAATGACTCTGAGAAGTACAGTTTTTCCTGTTTGTGGACATTTATGTTGATTCCCAAACAGAACTGGCTTCCACTATATGGAGAGCAATCGCACAACATTGATTGGCTTTAAATTATTGTCAATGTACACACACTAAAGTGGGCACAGTATACTTTCAGAGGATACAACCTTTAAAACAAATTTGTGTTTCATCATACCATGTGGCAGACAGTAAATAATCTTTTTTTTTTTTTTTTTTTTTTTGAGACGGAGTCTTGCCCTGTCACCCAGGCTGGAGTACAATGGTGAGATCTTGGCTCACAGCAACTTTTGCCTCCCAGGTTAAAGCGAATCTCCTGTCTCAGCCTCCCGAGTAGCTGGGATTACAGGCATGTGCCACCACACCCAGCTAATTTTTTTTTTGTATCTTTAGTAGAGATGGGGTTTCACCGTGTTGGCCAGGCTGGTCTCAAACTTCCGACCTCAGGCTATCTGCCCGCCTCGGCCTCCCAAAGGGCTGGGATTACAGGTGTCAGCCACCACGCCCAGCCAGTAAATAATCTTAAAGCTTAAATAAACTCAGTGAACATGTTGTAGTATTGTGTGGAATGTATTCATTTATATCATTGATGAATTCTAGATTTGTACAGCTTCTTTTCTCCAGTTACTCCTTTCTCACACTGAAGCAGAATTTCTCAAAATGGGTGGGTTCAGGAGGGAAGCACTGAACCACTGGTGAACCATGGGGTGAAGTCAGTGCGTGGGTTCAGAAGGAAGCATAGGTACCATTTCTCAAAAAGTATCCTTGCCTTTGGTGGATTACTATCTGTAATTCACTGTCATAAATTCTTAAGTACATGACCAGAGTGGTTTTGCTTCAGTAAGACAACCTGACTTCTACATGGTAAACTCCTGCTAACCCAGCTCTTCAATCAGACCCAGTGGGCTTCATAAGCTTTCTCTTGAGAATCTTTAGCCATGGCTCTGTCTGATTACAAGTCTTCTTGCCGGCTATCTCAACATGTTCAATACATTATTTTCTCTGTTTATCTTGCATTCGCTCTCATTGTCTTTTGCTTTACCTCTCCATTGGCCTTAGCTATGACCCGTGAAATCTTGGAAGGCTCTTCCACCCCACTCTTGTCTGATGCTAGCTGCAGCAACCACCTCTTTCCTGGAATCCTTGAATTAACCCCTTTCATTTTGACACTTGTGCCACATCCAACAAGATTTAAGATAATTTGGAAAAGCAAACATAACAAAAGGCAGAGCAATTTGGAATGAAAACAAAAACAGAACAGAGGTCACCAGCAAAGAGTAAAAAGAGTAAACATGACCAAATACCTGAGATTATTTAATTATCATAATTGGGCATGAAGTTTGATTTGCCTGGAAGCAAAGACATTTTTTAGTTACAAAATTTAAATGATACCAATTCACTTAACTTTTTTTTTTTTGCATGTAAAAGAGGTGCTCTCATAAGGTACATTAAAAATCAATGAAAAACTACTATGGTTTTACCAAAAATAGCTCTAAAATTGTGTTTAAAGAGATGATGTTTTTACTGACCCAAGAGCTGAATATTATATTATAAATTTATAAAATATTTCTTATGGATACTGTATTAATATTTTTTAGATTTCCTATTGTTCAATGATCTACTTAATTATGGGAATGGGACTTTGAGAATCTAGGTGAATGGGTGGATAATATGCCAAATAGGCTCTTCAATGAATGACCTGTCAATGGTAGATCCTGGGTGACAGTCAATAATATTTTCCATTTCTAACCTAAAGCACAAAGATCCTTGTTGTTGGTCAAATTCAGAACTATAGTTTTAAAAACCCCAGATGTTAGTGTAAGTAATTTTATTATTTTGCTGTAGAATTTTGAGAGCAGATTTTATACTTCACCTGAATTTCAAGCCACTTTTTCGAGATACGAGTAAGCAAAGCAGAGGACATTTGTTAGAGCTAATATATATATTTTTTCAGAATGTGTAAATGTAATTGATGGAGTTAGATTGATGAGACCTAGGTTTGGCTTGAGCTCCACTGCTTGCAAATCATGCGGCATTAGAAAAGCAATTCAATCTTTTCTGGTTGTGTCAATCAATGACATAGATCCTCTAAGCAACCGTGGGAGCATTAAGTTTTTTAAAAGGGAAACAGTAGGTATAATTCAAAGTCAAACTTTACATGAATGTAAGTGCTGGGGTTTATATTGAGGTTGGAGAATATAATGGATGAGATTGGTGGGGGTTGAATCCCACGATTCAAAAAACTCAAGGAAACTTCACAGCTTCTGCTTTATTACAGAAGACAAGTGAAAAGTGTCTCTATCTAAATAAACTGTGCAGTTAATGTGGACAACTAAGAGCATAAACTTAATATGCTAAAGTTCAATTAAAACACACACTGAATTTCCAGCGTTTCAATTTTAATGTTATGTAATAACAAGACCACCCAAAAGGTGGCACTAAAAAGCAGATATGTGACCTCCAAGTAAGTAGAATTTGGTGAGATAAAAGAAATGGTAGAGAAGCTTTAGTCTTCTTTTAGGTTTAAATACTTAAATTGCTTCTTAGTAACTTGTAAATATTAAGCTGTCGATATTTTGAAGAAAAGCTGCTATTTTCAATCCAACTTAAAGCATTTGAAATTCATTTGTCTTGCAGCTATGTATATTTAATTTAATATCTTTCAGCCTACCAAACTAGTGATCTTTTTTTGTGTGTAATCATCAGAGACATTGGCATATGCGGGCTAATCTGATTTTCTTTGGAGTCATGCTTGTACCATAAGTTTTGAATGAACAGATGCCCTTATCTGAATCCAACTTCACACTACTGTGTGCCTCAGGGTTACAGAAAATAGACTGTTTAATGAATGACCTGTCAATGGCAGATCCTGGGTGACAGTCAATAATATTTTCCATTTCTAACCTAAAGCAGAGAGATCCTTATTGTTGGTCAAATTCAAAACTGTGGTTTTGAAAACACGAGACGTTAGTGTAAGTGGGTAATTTTGCTATTTTGTTGTGGGATTTTGAGAGCACATTCTGTACCTCACCTAGAATTCAAGCCGCTTTATCAAGATGGTAAGTAAGCAAAGCAGAGGACATTTATTAGAGCTATTTTTTTTTCAGAATGGGTAAATGTAATTTGATGGAATTAGAATTATGAGACCTAAGTTTGATTTGAATAGAAGCTGTGAAGTTTCCTTATTAGAGTTTTTTGAATCATGGGATTCAACTCCTGCCAACCATATCCATTATATCCCCTCCCCCACTATAAATCCCAGCACTTACATTCATATTGACTTTGAATTATACCTACTCTTTCCCTTTTAAAACACTTAAAAATCAGTAGGCTCCTATGGCTGCTTAGAGGACCTATATCATTGATTGACACAACCAGAAAAAATTAAACTACTTTTCTAATGCCTTAGCATTTTCTAATGCTAGTAGAGAATGTTATGTTCAAACCAATTTTTTTTTTTTTTTTTTGCCTGCAATCCCAGCACTTTGGGAGGCTGACGTGGGTGGATCATTTGAGCTCAAGAGCTGGAGATCAGCCTGGGCAACATGACGAAACCTGTATCTACAAAAAAATACAAAAACTGCTGCGTGTGGTGGCACATGCCTGTAATCCCAGCTACTTGGGAGACTGAGGCAGGAGAATCACTTGAACCTGGGAGGTGGAGGTTGCAGTGAGCCAAGATTGCTCCACTGCACTCCAGGCTGGGCAACAGAGCAAGACTCCATCTCAAAACAAAAACAAAAACAAAAACTATCTGGGTCCGGTGGCTTGTGCCTATGTTCCCATGTTCCCAGCTACTCCAGCAGCTGAGGCCAGAGGATGGCTTGAGCCCTTGGGAGGCAGAGGTTGCAGTGAGCTGGGATCATGCCACTCCAGCCTGGGTGACAGAGTGAGAATCTGTCAAAAAAAAAAAAAAGAATATAATGCATTCATATTGACATATTTTACTTCAAACTGATAGAATTTTACAGAATTTTCTATGAAAAGTTTATCAGTAGCTACACATTCTAATAATGTATTAATATCACTGAATATCAGGTCTAAAGTAGTAGTTGTTTTATAGTAACAGTAAAAAAAGAATGCTACTATAAAGGTTAACAGTGAATATATTTCAGTAAATAAAACAATATGCTACCTTTCTGAGGTTATTTGGGAGATGCAACAAATTGTGCTCCATTTACCCATTCAGCTTCAATTAAGAAACGTAATAAATTAGTTCACGTACAGAGAATAAAATATAATCACCCTTATTACAGTCAAAATTGAAATTAGAGAATGTGTTTTGTATCTGGGAGCATGTGGACTTCTGCACCGAAGGCCTGATTTATATAGCCTTATTCACCTTGTCACAGCAGTGCTTGACTGGGCAGGCTCTACCTATGAAAACAGAAGTCACCCACAGAGAAGTAAAGTAGAACATGGGAGCAGCTGTTTCTTAAGAGAAACAGCGAAGGAAGATGTGGGTTCCACTTGCCCAGGTCTTCCTTCTAACATCACCTGTGAGATAAGCCCCTCCCAGTTATATAAACTATTTGGAAATGAGTGAGAAAGCAAGGGAAGCTGGGAGTATGAAGGAATATTTTCCACAGAGAGGAAAACACAAGGAATAAAGAAGTACTTCCTACCCATGCACGCATGGTCTTTCTAATGAAGGGGTTCTTGTCCATTATGAAACAGCCTTGAGTATTCCCTGATGACACAGTGCTGGAGCACAAGGGAAGTTTATCTTGCACAATGCCTGTTATTTTAGAATTCTCTCTAGGAGAATGAAAAGGCACTTGAAGCAGTGAAACAGCAAAACCAGTGCTATGGTCTGAACGGTTTGTTTGTTTTCCTACTCCCCTAAATTCATACATTGAAATCTGATTTCCAACATGAAAGCATTAGATGGTGAGGCCTTGGGGATGTGATTAGGTCATGAGGGCTCCACCTTCACGAATGGGATTAGCACCCTTATAAAAGAGACCCCAGAGAGCTAGCTAGCCCCTTTCACCATGTGAGGTTACAATGAAAAGATGTCTGTCTATGCAGAACAGAGTCCTCACCAGATACTGAATCTCCCGGTGCCTCGATCTTGGACTTCCCAGCTCCATAACTGTGAGAAATAAATTTATGTTGTTTATATGCTACTCAGACTTAGGTATTTTTGTTATAGTAGCCTAAAGAGACGAAGAGAATAAGACAGTTGCTAGCTTCCACCTTTCAAAGCTCTTCTGGACATTCAAGACTATTTGGCTTTATCACATCAGGTGCATTCTAGACCATCTTTATTGGTCAGCTTAGCTCACATCCATGAGCGGCAGGCTTTTATCTGTGCTAAGGAGGGAATCTCCTAGTATGCCTGGGCTCTTGGCCTTCACATTCTAAGATCATGCTCCTATTCATGCTGCTTTCCATCTGGTCTGACAGCAGGTGACATAAGTGGGTCTGCTAGGACAGGCAGGTACTGTCCTCAATTTTTCTCTACAGGTAGTAATGCTCCAATGTGTAAAACGGCAGTTCTAGACTTAAGAACTTCACTTTCTACATAAGCTTAGCTGAGATAATTAATACAAATTTACAGTGATGGCAATAGTAGTGTTAAGTATTCTGTTCACTCCTATACATTTTATGGCCCACTTGCAAGGTGAGACTATGTGAGCTGAAAGGAATTTTGTCTTCTGATTAGAGGCAATAAAAATTCCTTGCACATTTCTCTAGTTTTTCTCTTCCCTTGCCATTGCAACTGAGCATAATGTAGCACCAAATATGAGAGCCTTTGTTTACTGAATACCTGAGTGACGGCACAGTAGAGCTACCTGATGGCTCATATGGGACATTTAGTGTAAGAAAAAAACTTCTGTGAGGTCATTGAAATTCCTGGATTTTTTGTTAGTACAGCACAAATTAACCTATCTTGACTAGTGTAGTTACACAGAGCTTTTGTATGCAACAAGTGTGTGTTTCACTGGAGGCACTATTAGGAGAAATTGTGCAAATCCTCACAAACATGAGACTGGAACAAGCTTTTAGAAGACAGTTAAGATTATAGGATAAGTTGAGAAAGCCATGAAGACATATTGAGCTGGGAACTCTAGCAAAGGAGTGGGAAGAGAAATGCGTATGGTACAGTAAAGCTGGCTTGAAGAGGACAAGGTGTTTAAGTCATAGAGTTATATAGGATGAACTTTCATGGATGTGGAGAATCCAGAGTGAGGAAACAGCTTGAGAGTTCACATGATGTTTTTAAGGAAGATGAGGAGCAAAAGGGGCCAGATGGAAGCAGTAGGCAAAAGCTCAGGAAGATGATGTTGGCGGTGTTGCTCACAATACCTAGACAAGATGATATTTCACCTAATTAGTTAGTATCAGAGAAAGGTTGGCATGTGCTGGATAATTTGTAACTATAATAATAGATTTATTGGAGCATTCAGTTATAAATCATGAGTGAGAGGAAGAGATAGGAAACAAAAAACACTAAAAAAAAAAAGGAGTTAATGAAGAATGGCCATGCCTCTACAGAAATAGAAGGTGAAAGAGAACTAATTAGAGTGAAGATAACTGATTTACGATTGAATACATTTTGTTTACAATAAAGGCAAGCTCTCTGGACAGTTGTATGTAAGGAAATAAAACAATTAGAAGTAAGAACAGGAGTTACATATTTGGGATTAATGCTAGGTGATGATAATTTGCCTTTAGATTATAATCATATATATAGAGAGAATTATCTATCTGTACAAAGATGTGCAAAGTGCTGATGAGTGTGACTTGTTCATGGTAGAAAAAGGAAGACAAGTTCTTGAAGAACTGCATCAAGTATCTTTTGTAAACAGCATGTTGAGCTCATTACCATATACATGGTGCCTTTTTTGTTGTTACTAATGTGATATGGTTAAGCTTTGTGTCCCCACCCAAATCTCATCTTGAACTGTAATCCCCAGGTATTAAGGTAGGAATCTGGGAGAGGCGATTGGATCATGGGGGCACTTTCCCCCATGTTGTTCTCATGATAGTGACAGAGTTCTCGTGAGATATGATGGTTTTATAAGCTTCTGGCATTTCCCCTGCTTGCTCTTCTGTCTCCTGCTGCCACGTGAAGAAGGTGCTTGCTTCCCCTTCACCCTCCACCATGATTGGAAGTTTCCTGAGACCTCCCTAGCCATGCAGAACTCTGAGTCAATTAAATCTCCTTTATTTATAAATTACCCAGTCTGGAGTAGTATCTTTATAGCAGTGTGAAAACGGACTAATACAAAGTGCCTATGAAACCATGTTTATGTTTTTACAGCTTTTATTCCATTTGACTCCATCCTAGGAGAATATCTGCAGCAATAGTCCACTCATTCTCTGGTTTCTTGTACAACTTTCTATTATTTTTGTCTGAATTTATTTATTCAGGGAAGATCGTCAAAAAAAGGTTGCATATTTCTTCTTGGGCTGCAATGGACAATCTTAGCTCATTCTTACATGTTATAAAACCAATTATCTCAGGCTGGATCATGCATCAATATAGTCAGTGTTATCCCACAACATGAAGAGCTTTATGAACATCTATAGTTTTTTTTGAAATGTCCATGAGAGTTTACCGCTCACTCGAGTCAACAGAAGCTTTACATGAATCTGTAAAGTTTGTTTCCTCTATTGTAATACATTTTTTATGATCTAGAGTTGGCATTTTTAGAGAGTCCTGAAACTCTCTAGGTATTAAGATGTTTCTCGTGCTTACAAGGAGAATGCCTTAAAATGTGTTCTCTGATCTTTTCTATTATTTGGGTCTATAGAAAAGATACTGTATACGTTGCTTCTGAACATATTTTATATGTGTTCAGTTAGTCAATAAACATGTATTGGATGATTTCATGTGCTAGGTGTCCTACTAAGTGTGGAGAATACAAAGATGAAGCAAGCACAGTTTCCAAAATCAAAGAACAGCACCTGCCTTCTAGAAAGAAAGGCAAACAAAGGAAGAGAAAATTAGAGTATAGAGTGATAAATATTGTGTTAGAGGTAGGCACAGAGGGACTAGCACAGCAATACAAAGAGGAAGCAGATTTCTTAGGCCTGGAGGTGGGAAATTCAGAGCTTGTCAGGTGAAATGAGGGCAGTGAGCAGGAAGGGCATTCCAGCCAGAGAAGCAGCCAGTGCTCAGGCCAGATGAGAGAGCTGTAAGTAGCTCAATATGCTTGTAGCACAGAGTGGTGAGAGATGAAGCCGGAGAGATAAGCAAGTGCCAAATCATGATAGACCTTGCTTCTTCAATTGTTTGTTTAGTTACAGCTCACTTTGTTCCAGAAGAGTTTTTACGTGCATTGAAGGGCCGTGAATACCACACTAAGACATTTGGAGCCCTTCCTAAACTGTTGGCAAGCCTCAGGAAGAAAGCAACATGATCAGATTTGCATTTTAGAAGGATAATTCTATCTTCTTAGAGGAGAATGAATTGTAAGGAACAAAGACAGAAGCAGAGAGGCCATTTAGGAAATTGCTGCAGTCCTTCAGATGAGAAATGCACCACGAGGGGCTAAATTAAAGTAGTAGCTTTGGGGATGGAGAGAAACAAGAGATATAGAATAAGCACAATGAACATGGCTTGCTAATAAATATTTTCTCAGTGAATGAGTTGTGACTAATTAGATGTATGGGGTGAGAACAAGAGGTAATTAAAAAATGAATTTCAGGTTTAGACTTGGGAAACCAGGTGGGTGACAAGAGAACTCATTGCTTGGATACTGAATGCATTCCTTCTGAGTTCTTTTTACACCTGGGAACTGTAATTGTTGTGTGTGGATTAATCTTAACTGTGTGGTAAATGCCCTAAGCATAAGTACTGTCTTCCTTTTCTCGTATTATTTTTCTAGCACTGAGAACTTTAGAGTTACGTTCATTGAACTAACTATAATTCAATGAACCTGGCCCAGGTCGTTATCTATTTAAGAATGAGTGACAGGTCTTAACTCTTAATTCACTAGTATTCTTTGGTTGTGTGCAAAAGAAACTGACCCTGACTAACATGAACCAAAGAAAACTGTGGTGAGTTATTGAGGATTCTCAGACTTGATATATAGTCTGGAGAAGTAGGCTTGGAAATAGGCAAGCAGAAAAGTACATGCAGCAAACTGATCAAGAACCACAGAAAGTCTCCTGTAACATGAAGGATCCAGTCAGGAAGCCACTGTGGAAAAGGAGAAACCACAACTTTCAATCTCTTTGTCCCTCTGCTCAAGAATCAAATTCCAGAGAGCTCTGAATTATTGCCTATCTTGAGGAACATTTTCACTGCCTAGCCTACAAGAGGTTTGGGCCCATAATTATAGTCCTGACAGAAGGGAAGGAGGTAATTCCTCAAATATTTAGAAATCATGGTGTACTTAGGAAGAGAAAAAGGATGCTAGCCAGCCAAATAATTACAAATGTCTACTTCCAGCTGATTTTAGCTTTTATTATTTTCTGTTTAGAAAGATTCTTAAAAACAAAATTGAAGCCTTATGAAGTATGGGCATGCGATTTATTTTCTGGCTAAAAAACTTGGAACTCTTTCAACTAAGCTACATTTTCGACAAAAAATTCTATTCTGTAGCTTCTAGGAAGTAAAATGAATATGTTTTTAAAGAGTAGGACATAGGCTCTGAACTAATGAGATACAATCAAAAACTTTATACTTGGAAATAAATATTATTTAGTTCTGAAGGAAAAAATTGAATAGGTGGGATGAGGGGAAGAAAATATATGAGTAAAAGGAGGAACACACACGGAAGAAAAATCCAGCATTATTTGGATAAGCTTCTGAGCAAAATTCAAACCAAATCTAACTCTTGAACATCCGGAGGGAACACTCGCCACTAATTACAGGACTAAGATATACAAGAAGCCACTTCAGGACCGTGGGGCCAAATCAGCCATCCGATTGTAGTTTTTAAGATGTGGCTGTGGTTGTTTGTTTGGTGGTAGGAGAAAGTTTAGATTTGCTTTCACTGGCTTTGGTGGATGTTGATATTTCTTTCATCTCTAATCTCATTCCAGAGCTAGGGAGATACCTGTGCCAACTCTGGCTTTGTTTGCTCTGCCAGACAATCCTGATGCTGCAAAGTCAAATCATCGTGAAGGAAGTTTGTGCAAATGTGGGAAACAGGACTATAATCCTGCTTGAAGTTTGCTTAGATTCCTGGGAAGTCTCCCTATTCCAACCCTTTTTGAGAAAGTAAGTAAAAGAACTGCTTTTATGATTGATTGTAAAAACTATGGAAGGGTTTAAGTTGGTCTCTATTTGAAACCACAATTTTGGTGATATTTCTATTTTCTTTCATTTCTATTTTTTTCCTAGATAACAATCTCTCTCTCTCTCTGTGTGTGTGTTTTCGAAGAAGAGCTCAACCTTGAGAAAGTCCACATTTCTGTGTAGGATAAGATAGAGATGAGACATTAGACAAAACGGGTGAAAAGTACTTTTTGAAAACCGAATGAGTATTTTCTGTGCACAATCTGATTCTGTTATTACAAGTATTAGACATGTTATAGGATGACTTTATAAACCTATACGATTGATGTTTACAGCTTACCTTAGAACTTCTCAGTTTTTCTTTTCCCAAGCTAGACAGATACCCTAGAAAATAAAATAATGATTATAGTGCTTTTACTTACATTTATTATGGGAAGGGGTAATTCCTCAAATTGGAACTAAAATTGGAAATCAGATAGCATAGCTGCTTAAGGAGTAACTAAACTATTTGAATTTGTCACACAGAAAAAAGATCTGACACATTCCTTTTGCTTCAAAAATGTTTTTCTGTCCTTACTGCTAGAAGAATTGATACGCTGTCAGGAATATTGAACACATTAAATATTGGCTTTTGAGTTAGGCAAGACCACTTCTTTAATTCTTTCCAAAAATGAGTTTCTATGTTATTATTGTGGCCAGGGATGTAGCCAAAGATGTGAGCCAAACTGCCTGGGCTTGCATCCTAGCTCTCACCTATGGAATCAGTTGCCATTCATAAATTGCAAAAAATGCAAAAAAAACAGTGGTCTTTGCAGAGCTATATCTATATATACTAGTTGATAAAGAAAAACCTGGAAATTTTATTTTATTAGTTACTCTTTCATTTGATGGTTCTGAAGAGAGTTATAAGAGTGTGAGTGCGTGTGTGTGTGCTTACATATCTATGTATACATATAAGTGCATGTATATATGTGTAAGTGGAAATATTTATTTACTGTATTTTATGTATGTATCTTGTGTGTGTGTATGTGTGTGACAGACTCTCACTCTGCTGCTCAGGCTACAGTGCAGTGGTGCGATCGTGTGTCACAGCAGCCCTGAGGGCCCCAGGCTCAGGTCATCCTCCCAAGTAGCCTCTGCCTCCCAAGTAGCTGAGACTGCAGGTGTGTGCCACCAGACCTGGCTAATTTTTGTATTTTTTAAAAATAAAGATGACAGTTGTAATAAATTGAGTGAATAGTCATAATATTATCAAGCTATCCTGAGAGGAAAATCTCAGGTGAGTATCATAATGTTGCTACCCCAACCCATTTCACATGGAATACAGTTATAGCAGGCTTAAACCACTTTTGTTTTAACTCCTTTGCCAAGCATTGTCACTTTTTGTAGTAGAGTTGAGATGATTAGGTAGGTAGAACCCAACAGAACCCAAGACTGATCCTTGTTTACAATGGAGGTGAGTGTTGAGATGCTGCCCCATAACTGCCATCAAGACTAACTGCTGATATGGAATATGGAATGGCATGTTAGTGATGAATGCTTAGTAATTCAATTTTTAGAAAGATTTGTTTTAGCATTTCCTTAGTCATCTCTACCTTCCTTCTAGCCTGTCATTTGTTCAAGGTGATGGAGGGTATGTGATAACTTGGAGAAATTGTTTGAACTGAATTAATCAGACTACTATTGGCAATAATATTGTGTGGCTCTTTGAGTGTTTTTTAGATTATTTCAGGAGATGTTTGAAATGAAACTTACTGGCCCTGAAGCCATTTTGAGTTACCTACCAAATTAAGAAATGGTATTCCCTGAGAAATGGACATAAAATTGCACTGCATTCCTAGTTATATTTTCTGATAAATTTTCATGGAAAGTAGGTGTCCTTGGATTTTATAACAGATGAATAAATTCCCAACTACAAAACGTCATTTCCAGCTTTATTCCAGTTTCCAATACGATGACTGTGATGGTTAATATTGACTGTCAACTTGATTGGATTGAAGTGCAAAGTATTATTCCTGGGTGTGTCTGTGAGGGTGTTGCCAAAGGAGATAAACATTTGAGTCAGTGGACTTGGTGAGGCAGATCCACCCTCAATTTGGGTGGGCACCATCTAATCAGCTGCCAGTGTGGCTGAATAAAGCAGGCAAGAGAAGATGGAAGACAAGACTTGCTGAGTCTTCAGCCTTCATCTTTCTCTCAAGCTGGATGCTTCCTGCATTCGAACCAGGGACTCCAAGTTCTTCAGCTTTTGGACTCTTGGAGTTATACCAGTGGTTTGCTAGGGGCTCTCCAGCCTTTGACCATAGACTGAAGGCTGCACTGTTGGTTTCCCTACTTTTGAGTTTTTGGGACTCGGACTGATTCACCACTGGCTTCCTTGGTCCCCAACTTGCAGACAGCCTATCATGGGACTTTACCTTGTGATCGTGTGAGTCATTTCTCTTTAATAAACACCCTTTCATGTATACATATATTCTATTAGTTCTGTCCCTCTAGAGAACCCTGACTAATACAATGACCTTGTATGATTTTTATTCTAGGGAAAGGAGAGGGAGCAGAAAAAGGAATTGTAATAAGTAACCATGAGAAAGTTTTAAAATCATACCTTCTTTTTAGCATTTACAGTTCCTGTGTTGCCATGTCCTGATTTGGGGAGGAAAATACCAGTGATACTACTTGGGGTCTGAGAGGTTTACAGTGGATTTTTCACTCGGATATCTATATCTATCTATCTATATATACATATATATCTCAAAACTATTCAGGACTCTCTAAATTCTTCTCATGGATTCATCATCAATTCATGCCACAGTGAGAACTTCATTCATATATGGCAGCACATCTGGAAACTGGGTGGCAAGGTCAGATTGAAGTCATGGAACATTCCAGGGAGGTCAAACATTCTAAATAGAAGCAGCTTAACTCAGAATGTTCTTCAGTAAGTGATGATTGTTTTGGCTTCTGCAGTAGCCTCATTGATGATCTGCCATTAAGAAGCTTTCAACAAGCAAATTTTTCAAAAACTTGACCTTCTGAAAGGAGGGTAAGAATTTCATTAACTGTAAGCATTAGACCATGAGCACATTATGCTTTAAATTCAGAATGTTTCTCAGAAAGTCTCACATCATCATTATTCTTTGGTTTTAGCATGACTTTGTCCAATATAGTAGCCATTAGCCACATGTGACTATTGAGCACTTGAAATGAATGTAACTAGTGAGACTGAGGAACTGAATTTTTAATTTTTAAAAAATTTTACTTTATTCAATTAAAAAATTGAATATAACATATATCATTCATATTTTTATATTGATCATATGTTAAAATAGTTGTATTTTGAATATATTGAGTTAAATAATGTGCATTACTATTAATAATTTTACCTGTTCTTTACACATTTTTGTTAATGTGACCACCACAAAATTTAAAATTACATATGTGGCTTGTATTATATTTCTATTAGGCCAGTTCTGCCTTTTACTTGTTGGAGACTCAAAGGTGTCTAATTTACTTAGATACATAATCTGTCTTCCTTTTTTCACCTCTAGAGTGATGGTATATAATTGTTTTCATTAATTGATTTAATAGCTGGTTTCAGAAGAAATGACTCTGATTCTTCCATCCAATCATCTAATTACTCTGAGAATATCTTGCTTTTTCTGAGAACAAATTCACTATTATCAGATAGTCGAGGTCACTATTATAATGCTCTGTTATTTCTTTTTCCCTTAGCCCCCTTTAATTCTCAAGGCTAACCCATGCAACAGTCATAGCATGTCATTAAAAAATATTTTTGTTCATAGTTTTGATTCAATAATACCTCCAGGATGTCTTAATTATATCTGCTTTAGTCCAGCTAGTACATTGCTTCCTCCGGATTTCTGATATTCTTGACCTTAAACTTCTTGTCTCATCTCACATGCTCTTGTTGATCTTGATCTAAATTACTTCCCATGTCTTTTCTCAGAATTCTGCTTTCTAAGTAATATCCTCTCAATTCCACACCTTGATTGTTGGAACCCAGAATGGTGCAAAGCTGGATGCAAAGGCTATTGTAGGTGCTGGATACAGCTCCATAGGAAGACATGGCTTCTGACCTTATGTGACCCACAGTCTAGTGGGGGAAACACAAAGTAAACATGTGTGTTTCTTTTCCAGGATGCTAGAACCTGCCTTTCCTGTAAGCTCAGAGAGGAGAAGTAGCTGGGCATTTATTTCTCCCTGGGAACAGCCCTTGGCTAATAACTGATACATTAAGGAATAGAAATACTCCATCCCCTAATCAGGACACCTCTAAGCTGAGAACAACATGGAATGCAAACTGCCTCTGGATTATTGAGCCTAAGATACATTCTGCTGGGCTATGCTTGCTATCACAGCCTTCCTTGGTCTCCTTCCTCTTCTGGTCCCAACTCCTTCCTCCTTTACTTCTGTCCTGGGAATACTTCAAATAAGCCACTTTACCCCTAAATCCTCATTTCAGTATGATGCTTCTGGGGAATCCAACCCTATATCAGTAATTTTAGGTACTGAAATTGGTTCTAGGAAGCCAACTTTTAGGATGAGACTTAGAATTAAATCACTCAATGCCCAGATGGCAACAGAGAAGCTGTTGTTTGTGGTGAGTGAAGGGATGATATCCTCTGGCCTGCTGTAGCATTAAATTGTTGATATTTTTACCTGTGGTGAGTTGGGATGGAATACAAGTGAAAAGGGATGCACTGGACCACACAGCAGCTATGAAATTTAATACTTTTGTAATTTGATAGTAATTATAAGAAGGATGGGGTTGTTTAGTGGCTGCTAATTGATGTACTGCAGAAAGAAAACACTGTGCTTTGGTTAGTCAATTGCCAGTTCATGGGGAAGAAGGAGATCAAGAATTCTGTTTCACAGATATTTAGTTTGTATCTGAGGGCGATTTTAAGGAGAGTTCATATATCTGCAGATTGGGTCAAAAGCAGAAAAATAAATTTTCAAATCATCCCTCTTTACATGGTATTTAAGACAATTTGTATTAATAAGAGTTAATACTAGCAAACAACACTAAAAGGGATCATCTCAAGAAGAAAAGAATATTGAATGGATGTTGGGTCATTCAAAGAATTGCCAGGATATCTCAGGGAATTGTCAGGAACAAAGAGGGCTGGCAAGAGCCAGAATTGCAAGACCACGATAATGGCACAGATTCTCTCCAAAGAGGACACTGCTACTGCCATGATGCAACTGAGTATCTCAGCTTATACAATCTCTACTTCTAGCTCTGATTCCTGGATGCCACCATAGATAGGCATCTCAGCTACTGGTGCCCTGGATAATGAGTGTAGCTGCAGCTGACATTAGAAAGAATTCCCTATGGACTGTGTTTGTTCTATCTCACAAGCTCCAAATTTGAAGATTGGTGGATTTTTGTGATTAGACAAGCCAAGGCCATGCTGCCTTGTGTCCCACATAAGACACCAGTGCAGCGTGTCCTCTTTGAAACTCAGGATAACGTTTTTGAGATTCAGCCAAACTGTTGCATGTATCATGCAAATTCATTATTTTCTATTTCTGAGTAGTATTCCATTGTGTAGGGACACAACAGTTTGTTTATATCCTAGTATATCCTTGCCTTCATTGAGTTCTCAAAGTTTTTTTTTTTTATAGTTCTCTTTTAGAAGCTGAATAGCTTTAGCTTTAACATTTAGGTTTATGATCCAGTCTGAGAAAATTTTCTGTATATTTAATAGTATGAAATATTGAAGTTTTTTTCCACATAGATATCCATTTGCTTCACTACTATTTTTGAAAAAACGATCCTTTTCCCATTGTATTTCTGTAGCACATTTATTGAAACATAACACTGTGCCCCGCAAATACATACAATTATTATATGTCAGTTAAGAATAAAATTAAAATACAAAAATAAAAGAAAACGACCATATATATGTGTATATACTTCTAAAGTTTCTATTCTGTTCCATTGAGTGATATGTTGATACAATTGACATTATCACCTTTGTGATCACTACAGCTTTGTGGTGAGTCTTAAATTGCATTAGTACACTACCTCCAACTTTTTTCTTTAAAAAAATTTTTCTTGCCTATTCTAATCATTTGAATTTCAAAATAAATATTTGAATCAGCTTATTAGTTAGAAGGAAAAAGCTCTGCTGAAATTATGATTAGAATGATCAATACATCAACTTGGGAAAATTGACTTTTTAATATTGTGTTCTAATGAACATAATATATCTCTTCATTTAATTTTTCATAATTCCTCTCAGCAATGTTTTGTAATTTTTACAATAGAAGTCATGCATTATTTATATCCATAGCTAAATATTTTATGCTATTGAAATTATTTTTAAACATTTCAATATGCCATTATTAGTTGCTAATATATAGAATTATAATTAATTTTTAAAATATTGATCTTCTATCCTATATTCTTACATTATTTTAAATTTATAGCATATTCTGAGTAGATATTTTGTAGCTTCTTTAATTTTTTTTATGCTTATTATCATACTGTCTTCCAGTAAAGAAAGTTTTGTTTTATTCCCAATTTGCTAGGAGCATTTATCATGATTAGTTATTGAATGTTGTCAAATAGTTTTTTCTCCATTTAGTGAGATAGCATATTATTTCTTTCTCTCCTCTGTTAATATCACAAATTACCTTGATTTGCTATTCAACTATTAACCAAACTTGAAATATTGTGATAAGCCCAAATTGGTCATGTGGCACTAAATTTTTGTTTTGCTGGATTTTACTTGCTAATCTTTGGTAAAGACTTTTGTGTTTATGTTTATAAGGTATATTGGTAGTTTTCTTTTTTTTTTATTATTATTTATACTTTAAGTTTTAGGGTACATGTGCACAATGTGCAGGTTAGTTACATGTGCCATGCTGGTGCACTGCACCCACTAACTCATCATCTAGCATTAGGTATATCTCCCAATGCTATCCCTCCCCATTCCCCCCACCCCACCACAGTCCCCAGAGTGTGATATTCCCCTTCCTGTGTCCATGTATTCTCATTGTTCAATTCCCACCTACGAGTGAGAACATGCGGTGTTTGGTTTTTTGTTCCTGCAATAGTTTACTGAGAATGATGATTTCCAATTTCATCCATGTCCCTACAAAGGACGTGAACTCATCATTTTTTATGGCTGCATAGTATTCCATGGTGTATATGTGCCACATTTTCTTAATCCAGTCTATCATTGTTGGACATTTGGGTTGGTTCCAAGTCTTTGCTATTGTGAATAATGCCGCAATAAACATACGTGTGCATGTGTCTTTATAGCAGCATGATTTATAGTCCTTTGGGTATATACCCAGTAATGGGATGGCTGGGTCAAATGGTATTTCTGGTTCTAGATCCCTGAGGAATCGCCACACTGACTTCCACAATGGTTGAACTAGTTTACAGCCCCACCAACAGTGTAAAAGTGTTCCTATTTGTCCACATACTCTCCAGCACCTGTTGTTTCCTGACTTTTTAATGATTGCCATTCTAACTGGTGTGAGATGGTATCTCATTGTGGCTTTGATTTGCATTTCTCTGATGGCCAGTGATGGTGAGCATTTTTTCATGTGTTTTTTGGTTGCATAAATGTCTTCTTTTGAGAAGTGTCTGTTCATGTCCTTCGCCCACTTTTTGATGGGGTTGTTTTTTTCTTGTAAATTTGTTTGAGTTCATTGTAGATTCTGGATATTAGCCCTTTGTCAGATGAGTAGGTTGTGAAAATTTTCTCCCATTTTATGGGTTGCCTGTTCACTCTGATGGTAGTTTCTTTTGCTGTGCAGAAGCTCTTTAGTTTAATTAGATCCCATTTGTCCATTTTGGCTTTTGTTGCCATTGCTTTTGGTGTTTTAGACATGAAGTCTTTGCCCATGCCTATGTCCTGAATGGTAATGCCTAGGGAGACTTTAACACCCCACTGCCAACATTATACAGATCAATGAGACAGAAAGTTAACAAGGATACCCAGGAATTGAACTCATCTCTGCACGAAGCGGACCTAATAGACATCTGCAGATCTCTCCACCCCAAATCAACAGAATATACATTTTTTTCCGCACCACACGACTCCTATTCCAAAATTGACCACATAGTTGGAAGTAAAGCTCTCCTCAGCAAATGTAAAAGAACAGAAATTATAACAAACTATCTCTCAGACCACAGTGCAATCAAACTAGAACTCAGGATTAAGAAACTCACTCAAAACCACTCTACTACATGGAAACTGAACAACCTGCTCCTGAATGACTGCTGGGTACATAATGAAATGAAGGCAGAAATAAAGATATTCTTTGGAACCAACGAGAACAAAGACACAACATACCAGAATCTCTGGGACACATTCAAAGTAGTGTGTAGAGGGAAATTTATAGCACTAAATGCCCACAAGAGAAAGCAGGAAAGATCCAAAATTGACACCCTAACATCACAATTAAAAGAACTAGAAAAGCAAGAGCAAACTCATTCAAAAACTAGCAGAAGGCAAGAAATAACTAAAATCAGAGCAGAACTGAAGGAAATAGAGACACAAAAAACCCTTCAAAAAATTAATGAATCCAGGAGCTGGTTTTTTGAAAGGATCAACAAAATTGATAGACCGCTAGCAAGACTAATAAAGAAAAAAAGAGAGAAGAATCAACTAGACGCAATAAAAAATGATAAAGGGGATATCACCACCGATCCCACAGAAATACAAACTACCATCAGAGATTACTACAAACACCGCTATGCAAATAAACTAGAAAATCTAGAAGAAATGGATGAATTCCTCGACACATACACTCTCCCAAGACTAAACCAGGAAGAAGTTGAATCTCTGAATAGACCAATAACAGGATCTGAAATTGTGGCAATAATCAATAGCTTACTAACCAAAAAGAGTCCAGGACCAGATGGTAGTTTTCTTGTAATCTGTCTTTCTGCTTTTGGTATTTCAGCAAAGCCAGTCTCATAAAATGAATTGGAAATTATTCCCCCCTCTAATTCTAATTAACGAGTTCATGTAAAACTATTGTTTTCTTTCTTCAATGTTTAATAGAATTCAGCAGTGAAAGACATTCTGCCTACCCAATGCTTCTTTTTTTTACTAGTATTCAATAATATGATTAAAATATGGCTTCTGTGGTTTTCTTTGTCTTTATCCTCTTTGTTGAGTTTCTCAGAACTGCAGATTTATAGTTGTATTAGTCCATTTTCACATTGCTAAAAGGAAATACATGAGACCGGGTAATTTACAAAGGAAAGAGGTTTAATTGACTCACAGTCGGGCCTGAGCAGGCCCAAGGAAACTTACAATCATGGTGGAAGGCTAAGGGGAGGCAGGCACTTTCTTCACAAGATGGCTGGAGAAAGAAGCGCTGAATTGAAGGGGGAAGAATCCCTTATAAAACCATCAGACCTCGTGAGAACTCACTGTCACAAGAACAGCATGGGGGAAACTACCCCCATGATTCAATTACCTCCATGTGGTCTCTCACTTGACACATGGGGATTATGGGGATTACAATTCAAGATGAAATTTGGGTGGGGACAGAAAGTCTAACCATATCAATAGTTTTCATCAAAGTTGGAGAAAATTTGACTATTATTGCTTTAATCTGACCTTTCCTCCTCTTTTTCTGGAAGTCCAGTTGTCCCACAGGTAAGTGAGACTGTATTTATTTTTCAAGATTTTTTCCTTTCAGTATTTTTGTTTGCATACTTTCGTTGCTATGTCTTCAAGTTCATTGGTCTTTTATTATATGGTCTGTTATCTACTACAAAGTCCATCCATTTAATTTTTTCTCCCAGATATTATGCTTGTCAACTCTATGAAGTACATTTGTTTTCCCAAGTCTTCCACTGCTCTAGTACCTTGTTTTCTTTTAAATCCTTAAGACTATGTATAATGTTTTAATGTACTTGTCTGCTACTTCCATCATCTCTAATTTGTTTGGTTCTATCACGTTTCTCATGATTATGAGTCATAAATTCCTGCTTCATGTTCAGTAGTTTTTATATGATATTGGACATTGTGAAATTATGGTGATAAGTGTGTGGATCTTGCTGTCTTCATGTAAAGAGTGTTGAAGTATATTTTGGCAGAAAATTTAATCATTTGTGCATTATTTTGAACTTTATCTCTCATCTTTTTAAGGGTGGCATATAGTAGCCCTACTATGAAGTACCCTCTGCATTTTCTTTTAAATGCCTCAGACATTCAACAAAGTATCCCCTTTTGGCTTGATCAGTGTGAAGTTGTCTCCCATTCCTGTATGATCTTCGGGAATCATTCAGCTTACAGCTGCGCAGTAGCTTTTCATTTTTGTACAGGCTCATGGAGTTTTACCCTATTCATTACTTAGTTTTACCTCATGCATATATTGCTTAGTGTTCAACCAAGCTATCAAGGGGATCCATGCAGATTTCTAGAGCTATTTACTCTTTCTTGCAAGTTCAGCTGCTTCAGCCTTTCTGAACTCTAATTGCTGTTCCATCAACTAGGTGAGACTGTCATGCTTGGTTTGGGCTCCCCTTATCTGCTCTGAAATTAAGAAAGGTGTTTCCAGGAAGAAAGTGCAGTGATTATATAGTTCACCTCTTTTGTTTCCCTTTTTTAAAGCAATGCAGTCCTGTACTTCCAGCTGTCCAATGCCTGAAAATAGCTGTTTTACATATTTTGTCAGTTTTCTAGTTGTTTTTAGTGGGAAAGCAAGTTCAATTTCTGTGATTGTGTCATAAGCTGAAATAGCTGTTCTTTCTTAACTTTTAAACCTCTATCTTGAAATTTAAAACTGTGTCAAAATAATAATTGGTAATATACTTTCAAAATCCAAATGGTCATCAAATATGCTGGTCTTAAGTGAAATTAGCAATCTAGCATTTTATTTTGGGAATGCCTAGATACCTCTGACTGTCAAAATAATAATATGGCTTCAATTTTTGATAGTGACATCAAAAAATAAAACCTTTTACCAAATAAATCCCCCAAATCAGAATAGCAAAGTCTTTTGTATTCCTCAAATCAGTCAAAGGTGTTTTGTTTTAATTTTTCATTTATAGTTTCAGAGAAAAATTTATATTCTTTAGAATATATTTGTAGTAGTTGGTGTTCTCATTTCTTTTTCTTATTTTACATACTAGAATCATACTCTTGGATCAAATTCAAAAGCAAATATACAAAAAGACAGGATAAAAATCGACCATCAGCCAAAAAAAAACCCAGTATTTAATCTAAACTCCTTTGCTCTTTTTTCTTGAATTATTTTGCCATACAAGTAAATGAACACAAAAGAGACAATCAAGTATTCCCTGGCTGATAATGTATAAAGATGAATTTCAACACTTCTCTTTGGAAGCTTTAAGTAATGTTCAGTCCTGAAACAGGACTTTAAAGGGATCCATTTTCATTCACAGTCACATAGATAGAGTCAATGCTTTAACTTTGGTCACAATCTCATTTTGGTCCCTTTGTCTGATCTCTCATTCCTTAAGTTGTGTCTGCTCCTGCTCTAAATCAGACCACATATCACAAAGGCAGCACAGGGATTTGTGGGTGGAACAATCCCAAGTTTCCTACTGAAGACTAGCAGTACTGTGTGCTCACTGAGTCTCTGAAGCTCAGAGAGGTATTAGTTTTAGTGTTTGCGGTGGGAAGGGCAGGGACAGGAGAGGTTGGGCATGGTACCATGCTCGCTATGGTAAGGCATAGAGAAGTGTCACATGGAAATGTGAAGTGTTGTGAGGACATCAATGTGAACTTGGTCTTTTTGAACCAATAGATGAACAGGTGCTGTTGACAGCGTTGGCAAGTAATTTGACTTCTGGTTATGAATTATTGATCTCGTCCCATAAAAATGCAATGGGGCAGGTGACCACACATTTTTAAATTACTTTTGGCATCATCAGCTTCTGGTCATCTCTTTATGTAAGTGTTTTCATTTTTAAATTAGATTTGGCATCATCAGCTTCTGGCCATCTCTTTGTGTAAGCGTTTTATCCTACAGGTAAATAAACTGACTCCAGCTGTCTTGCGTGTCAACTCTTCCAACAAGCCTGACACTTAGCTATGATTTGGCTGCATACAAACCAAGCACTGTCTCCAACCAACACTTATTTTGGCTTCTATTTCCTAGGTCCATGGTATACATGAAAATTTCTCACGTGATTTTAATATAGTTTTATCCGATAGAGCAAACATTGAATCAGCATCTATGTTGAGTTAGTCAGACAAAGTATGATGCCGTATTTGAATGCATTTATAAAAATAACACTACTATCTTAGGTATAAGAAAGGATTATCATTTTTCTGGGGATTTGAGGTTTTAAAAGTGTGTATCTTGAGTGACTGATAACATTTTGTTAGCATTATCTGAGGTCGGGGCATACACTGTGATCATCTTCTCAAGTCTCCTAAGATTCTTGAGACTAAATTTAGTGAAGTGAACAATAAATGGTTATAGGCTAAGCTATGATGTGAAACTGATTTAGTGGATGAAGATATGACCAGTTTTCAAGGTGTTTATGCTTTAAACACATTTTTTCTGTTTGGTTGATGTTTTCCCCCTCATTTTCCTATTGCTAGTCAGTTATTCATCTTAGTTCAAAGCTAGCACTTTAGTACTTTTGGAAAAGGACATAGAGAATAAAGGAATGGTTACCAGAGGCTGGGAAGGGTACTAGGGGGTTGAGGGGGAGGTGGGGATGGATCATGCGTACAAAAAAAAAGGGAGAAAAGATGAATAAGACCTACTCTTTGATAGCATAATAGGGTGACTATAGCCAATAATAATTTAATTGTATATTTTTAAATAAATAATGTAATTGGATTGTTTGGAACTCAAAGGATAAACGCTTGAGGGGATGGATACCCCATTCTCCATGATGTGCTTATTTCACATTGCATGCTTGTATCAAGACATCTCATGTACCCCATAAATATATACACCTACTGTGTGCCCACAAGAATTTTTTTAAAAATACAAACAATTAAAAAAATACACAGAAATTCAGAAAATTAAAATGAAAGGATATACTGTGGGGCCAAAAACTAAAGCAGTGACTATAAGTGAGGCCGAAGGGCTTCTCAGAAGCAAGAAAGTCTAGATCCCATTTGCTTTGATGTTTTGGGTAAGGCTTTGTCATTGTTTGCTTCTTGACTCAGCTAGATAGGTCTAGTTAGTATTTAAATTCCAACTTCCAAATCACAAAGTGATCTCACATTCACTTTGTGACTTTTAACGCTTACATTAGTAATAGGCTTATCAACATTTTGATGCCAGTAGAGGGGACCAATAATTATTGAGATCTAACGGAAATAAAATAAAGGTTTAACTTATTTAGTTGATTCTCTCAGATGTTCATATTTAGCCTAGGGAAAATATATTTGCTAAGTTTTTGTTATAGGAGCCACAGGAATAAACATTTATTCTCTCTCCCAAAGTTTTCTTCTCACATTCTTTCTGTTTTACTCAGTGACTCTCTGTCTCCCTCTATTTTTATTCATGACTTGATTTTGTTGGTATATTCAGTTCGTCATTCATTCATTAAATGTGAGTGGAAGTGAAGTTCCATTAGAAGTTTAGCACAAACATGACTGGTTTATTTCAGGGTAAGCCCATCAACCAAAGGTGGAAAAAATTCCAAAAAAATTCTATTTGCTGGAAAATTTGCTAACAAACTTGGATACTCAAAAGACTTGCTCACAATGTGGGATTTGAGGGTGGGGGCCCGGGTGGAGAAAATGCAAAATATAATAAACACAACAGACATTCACTGGCATAAAACTGATTGGAGTGCTTTAGGAAAACAAGTTACGAGAGAACTATGAAAACAGCTTTGTACTTTGTGAAGTGGAACATTTTAGAGATGCAGATTATAAAGATTGGAACTAATAGCAAAGCCCCAAAATGAGGTTTTTGTTTTGGGTCTGCACATGCACAATTTATTCTTCATTCAAAAAGAAATTTTAGTTTGCAAACAGGATGTATACCAGACCCCTTAACAATCTAAGTATTTCATCTACACAGAGGATTAGTATAAACACTTGCCCTTTTATAGTGAAAAAAGGTTAAGCTAAAATGAAACAAATTGCATTTAGCTTATCTTTTTAAAATTAGAAGAAAAAATATAAATGAAGCATTAGGTTTTTTATTAAAAACATATTTTAGAATGTTTCTTTTTCAGGTATATTTATTTTCTTCTTTCATTTGTTGACTTCACCGTGAACTTAAATAAGTTCTTGGCATGTTCTTGGTTTATTTGACTTTTGACTTAACAAGGCAAGGTATGAATTTGAGTCTCTAAATTTGGAAGAAGTTCTTTGAAGTGAGGCCCTCTTAGCTTCCTGGAGGAAGCGACAATTAAATTTGCCCTTAGGGAAAGGACACAATTTCAGTAACAAAAGGATGGGGTAGAGTACTCATACAGAGGGGATGGGCCCCTAGAATGCAAGGATGTGGGGGACAGCCAAGTCATGTCAGGTGGTTGAGAGTAACCTCAGGGTGCAGGACATAGGCAAAGTGGAAGGTAAAGCAGGAAAGTTAGGCTTGCCCACACCCTATCATGTCAGGATTCAGAGGTTTATTTTAATAATTGGCACCTGGTAGCCTTTAACAGCTTTAAGTAGAGTTCCATGAAAAAGAGTGGATAAGAAAGAAAGAATCACTGAAAAAAAGAGACCAAATATTTATGGAGCTATTCCTCTGTGCTACATATTATATAGTTATGCTATATCCCCTATCATGCAGATGGGGAAACTAAAGCTCAGATGTGTTTAAAAACTTGCTAAGATTTATAGATTGATAATTTTGATTCACATTTATTGATTGAACAAAACTTAAGCTTCAAGAGGATTCAGGATTCAAGAGAGGATTCAACAGAGGCTTCAAGATGGGAGATCTGGCCTTAGGCATAAGAGACTGGGAGTGGGGATACTAGATAGATGTGAGCCACTAGCCTGCATCCAGATGAAACTCATAAACTGTATCTAATGTTCCAGAACATAGGGCAAACACCAGAATTTTTAGTTTTATTATTTTTTTTTTCTGGTTATAAAAGTATATAGGAGGCCGAGCATGGTGGCTCATGCCTGCAATCCCAGCACTTTGGGAGGCTGAGGCAGGTGGATTACCTGAGGTCAGGAGTTTGAGACCAACCTGACCAACATGGTTAAACCCCGTCTCTACTAAAAATACAAAAATTAGTCAGGCATGGTGGCAGGCAGATGTAATCCCAGCTACTCAGGAGGCTGAGGCAGGAGAATCGTTTGAACCTGGGAGGCAGAGGTTGCAGTGAGCCGAGGTTGCACCACTGCACTCCAGCCTGGGTGACAGAATGAGACTCTGTCTCAAAAAAAAAAAAAAAAAAGTATATATATATGATTTCTGAGTTAGAATACTAGGCATGCTTAATAGTATACCTCGTCTGAACTTCCTTTTAAAATTCCCATAATAATACACAGATAGTGGCAGCAGCACTATAAATTAAATACAAGAGGCGAACAAGGGCAGAATTTTCTCTAATTTCATCTCTGGTGTGACAGATTTGAAAAGCATATTCTTGGGTTCCACATTCTAGGTTCCAATCTCTGAGCTTGGACAAGAAAGAAGCCACCAAGCTGGGGCCTGGGGGTGGAGCGAGGTGGCTCACGCCTGTAATCCCAGCTCTTTGGGAGGCCGAGGTTGATGGATGGCCTGAGCTCAGCGGTTTGAGACCAGCCTGGGCAATATGTTGAAATCCTCTCTCCACCAAAAACACAAAAAATTAGCCAGGCAAGGTGATGCACCTCCTTTTGGCTTTTAGATCAAGACTAGAAAACTCCCCTAAATGAAGTGAAACTTGATGGAGGCTAGCTCCTCTCTTTATTGCAAAAATCATCGTCTGGATTGACAATTTTTTTCCTCTCAAAGATGAGCAACTAAACACCAAACCAAAGCATATAGTCTATGAAAAAAATTCTAGAACAAGGAATGAGAACATTGTCATAAAGATGTACAGAAATAATTTGTTTCACTGCTTCACTTTGGAAATCTCCTGAGGAGAAAAAGAAAAAAAAACAAAACAAAATGCCTGTGCCTCAACCCAGAGCTTCTGATTTAGTTGGTCTGGAGTGAGGCCTGGATGTTGTTTTTTGTTTGTTTGTTTGTTTTTAATAGATTTGTTTTTTAGAGCATTTACAGCTTCATAGCAAAATTGAAAGGAAGGTAGAGAGACTTCCCATATACACCCTTCTCCCACATATGCACAGCCTCCCTTGTTCCCAGCATCTCCCACCAGAATGGTACATTTGTTACAATTGATGAACCTACATTGACACATTATTATCACCCTAAGTCCATGCGTTAGGGCTCACTCTTGGTGTTGTACATTCTATGAGTTTGGACAAATGTATAATGACATGTATCCACCATTATAGTATCATACAGAGCAGTTTCACTGCCTAATATGGTTTGGTTCTCTGTCCCCACCCAAATTTCATCTTGTAGCTCCCATAATTCCCATGTGTTGTGCGAGGGACCCGGTAGGAGATGATGGAATTCTGAGGGTGGGTCTTACCATTGCTGTTCTTGTGATGGTGAATGGGTCTCACAAGATTTGATGGTTTTAAAAATGGGAGTTGCCCTGCACATGCTCTCTTTGCCTCCCGCCATCCACGTAAGATGTGACTTGCCCCTCCTTGCCTACCACCATGATTGTGAGGTCTCCCCAGCCATGTGGAACTGTGAGTCCAATTAAACCTGTTTTTTTTTTGTAAATTGCCGAGTCTCAGGTATGTTTTTATGAGCAGCATGACAACAGACTAATACACTGCCCTGAAAATCTCCTTTGCTCTGCATATTTATCCCTCCCTATGCCCAAACCCTGGCAACTAGTAATCTTTTTACTGTCTCCATAGTTTTGCCCTTTACAGAATGTCAAACATTTGGAATCACAAAGTATGCAGGCTTTCCATATTGGCTTCTTTCACTTAGTATCATGCATTTCAGTTTTTGCTATGCCTTTTCATGGTTTTATAGCTCATAGCTCATTTATTTTAGCACTTGATAATATCCCAATGTCTGGATGTACCACAGCTTATTTATTCATTCACCTGCTGAAGGACATCTTCGTTGTTTCCAGGTTTTAGCAATTATGAATAAAGCTGCTATAAACATCTTTGTGTGGACAGAAGTTTCAGTCTTTCTGGGTAAATATCAAAAAGTACAATTGCTGGATTAAATGGTAATAGTATATTTAGTTTTGTAGGAATCTGTCAAAATGTCTTCCAAAGTGCCTGTATTATTTTTCATTCTTACCAGCAATGAATGAGCGTTCCTGTTGCTCCACAGGTATTTTTAAAAAGTGCCACAGGTGACTTTAATGCAGCCAAGTTTCAGAAGCCACTGACTTAGGGCAAGAACATCTGTCAGCAAACATCTTCTCTCACTTAGTATTAGTTTCCTTATCTGGTAGAAGAGAAGCCTTCCATAAGACAATAGATCATTGCTTCTTTCTGACTTTCTTGAACATGCTGTTACTTTAATGTTTTTATTATAAAATCCTTCAAGGAAATACATGTCCATGCCAAAATATGAGACCCAATTGGCAAATGGAATAAGCCAGAATTACCAAGGATCTAAGATTACTTCTTTGTGCTTTTTAAATTTTAAAATATATTGTCATCTAAGATACATTGACTACAGAATGATAGAGAACAGTACCAACAAAGCCAAGATCTTGAACTGGTGCCAATGCATAGGAAAGCTTATTGGGCTCTGTTCATGGCCACAGACCTCTAACCTGATGAAGGCCTCACATTACCGACAAAAAAAGAAGAAAAGGTATGTTCCTAGACTACTTTCTCCTAAACTCCTGGCCCTTAGGTGCTTGCTTTATCTTTAAAAGGAAGGGAGTGGATGATACGATTTTTAAGCTTCCTTAATTCTCTAATCTATGCATTACATTATTTTTCTTCAGTAACAGAATTTCATTAGCATTGACGACAAGTTAAAAAGCATGTTCTACTAACTTTTCATCAGCTACGTTAGGTGTAATAAATATTCTTATACTGGGTCTATGATAAGATAAGTGAAAGACTTGCTTCCAGCACCAAATTTGAGCAGGGCGGAGGTTTGGTAGACTTTGTTATCAAGAAAAATTATACTTTAGTGTTACAGTTTTAAAAATTTAAATTACTGCACAACAATCCACGATGGATAAATCATCAACAGTTCTAAATAGAGACAGATTGCATTTTTAAATTAAATGTTTTGTATTATAAATTAATATCTACAATGTTTGTTCTAGCTAATATTAAAATCCATATTCATGTAATCATTCATACAACAAACTTGTAGTGATTACAAATATAAGGATGTTTAAAACATGACTTTGCCCTCTCAAGACTTATAATGTTATGTGGGGTAGTGACGTTGTCAGGGTAAGGAAGAAACAGACTTCTGCAATTTATTTAAAGTCAAGGCAAAAATAGAAAAGTATAATAATATAGATACCCATAATATCGACATTTAGAAGCCATAGTAATTGGTTTTTACTGGAAATGAGTGTGTTTGTGCGTATGTGTGTGTGTATGTGTGTAGTAGAATAGTAGCAGCAGAATTGGGCCATCTGCTTGACAAATTAGACCTTTTAACTGCATAGAGCTTTGTTAGGAAAGATGATTGAAAGACAACCTGGCTGAAGAATTATATGGCAAAGACCCAGAGACATGAGCATTTAGAGGAAATCTGGCCTTTGTGTCAGAATCATCAGTGTGTTTGATCAGGTATAGCAGTTGCACATGTGGCTAGAAAAGTTGGTTGGAATTTAGATAAGTACCTGTCATCTGCTAGATTCCAGAGGAAGGCATGCACTATGGGGTCAAACACTGAGCTGCAAATATTCTTTAAAGTGTGGAATCCTCACAAGTGAGAATCCACTGTATTTCTAAATACAATAGTGTTTTGGAATTTTGTTGCTTTGACCTAGTAATGTTAGCTGAGAAGATTTAGTTAAACATCCAGGAAAACACGCTGCCTCCAAAGTTTAGCTTTGAACTGAGAAAAGGAATTATTCACTGCTTCATCTATATCATATGCACAGTGAATCAAAACCAATATAATTTGTTTTTAGTGACTACCTTTCATTTTGGTGGCTTGAGTACTTTAACATACTAGTCTCTGTGTATATCAGGCTTTGAATTGAGTCAAGATTGACAATTATGATTGAGAATCATTTCCATGAGAGAAAAGCAAGCACATCAAAGTGCAATCATTTTTCAAATCGTACACTTGATTCTGGAGATGTAGTTAGTGTCTTTGGCCTTGACTTGAAAGCTGTGGTGTTGAGTCCTTTAGGAGGTGGAAGGTAATGGGTTTAGACAGCAGAAATAAACAAGAACTTCAGGAATCCTGGTTTGACATGATGGAATCCAGTGGCAAGTACACTGTATATATCTAAAAATGAATAACAACCTCATGAAAATGTAAGTAGAACTTCATAGTGCTTTCTACCCTGATCTTACCTGATCTTAGCCATAGTGCTTGTAGCCTTCTCTTTCTTTCTCTCCTTCCCCCTTCTCTTCCACTCTTCCTCTTCCTCCCTCCCTTCTCCTCTTCCTCTTCTTATTCTTCCTCCTCCTCCTCCTTTCTCTCTATTTGTCTCTCATTTCTTGACCTCTAAGATATTGTTTATTGTGGTTCCTTTTTGGTATTGACCAAATTTCTGGCTATTGTGTTACTGGTGACTTCTTTTCTAAATTAGGAAATTGTGTTTGGAAAAACAGAAAGAAAAATACTCCCCTTGCTCCCCAAATTTTTGTTTCTTTCGTCAATTAGAATAACATTAGGGCCAAGTTTAATGGCCCTAATGTTAAATAGCCAAGTTTAAGAATGTATATTTTGGCATAAATCTTCATGTACAAGCTTTTAAATAACTCTTACTCTCAAGCAAAAGTTTAAGAATTTTTAAACAAAAAGATTATTAAACAAAAAACCAATATCTATGCTAAGAAATGCACATTGGAAACTGAATTAGGATTGTCTGTTGTAGTATCATGTTTTTGTACTTCCTAGAATTCCCTAAAAACTAGAACATGGTCATTTACAGAGTTTATTATTTAAAAATACACGCTATTTGCACCTAAAATAAGATATTATTTAAAAATGCCATTGAGGAAACAAAACTTTCATTCTTCTCAACTCTTTTCATTTGGCTATATGGAAAACATTCCATTTAACTCATTCAGAAAATGTGCAAAACTGGCTTTAGGTACAACACTAATTTTCTAAAATGCATGGGCCAGGGCCGTTTTCCATAGATTTCTTGCAATCAGTTGCATATGGCTGGAAGTAGAACTAACGGTGATTTACAGTAATTGCCTGTCATCAGTCTATGCCATGTTCACCTGCATAATCCATCAATTGTCCCAACAGTGCCCACAGCTCATAACCTACCTGAGGTTATTTGGGTCTCAGGAAACACACAGCATGTGCCAATGTTCCAAGAATGAAGCTCTGGTTCCCAGCTTCTGCTGCTCCAACTTCTATAGCAGCAAGGAGAAAAGAGTAACAGACATACTGATCACATCTAATTAGAAGGTAAGAAGTATTCCCTTGAGCATGTTTATGACACAGGCACAATAGGACAGGAGTAGTCTATTCAAGCGGGTTCCTCAATCTCAGGACTACTGACATTCTGGAGAGAAACATTCTTTGTGTCGGGGGATGGGGGCTGTTCTGTGCATTTCAAAAGCTTCTTTGGATTCTTTCCACTAGATGTCAATAGCATCCCTCCCACCACTGTGGCAATCCACAACATCTCCAAACATCACTAATATCCCACAGGGAGAAAATTTTTCCGGATTTAGAACCACTGTACTAAGGGAAAATTAAAACTAGAAATTTGTAATTGGTCAGCATTATATACTGAATGCATGAAGTATAAGTAGTCTACATAGTGAAAAAATAATAGGACAAATATTCGTAAAACTAACTTAAAGTGATGTGTATAAACACAAAGCATACATTGACCTTTTGGAAAACTTTTCATGGGTGAAAGGGAGTGGTAAAAGTAAACCTCTACAGTTATGACCCTTCTGAAGCAACTGTGTTTGGAAGAAAAAATGAAATGTGAGAATGGTAGAAACTTTTTTCTACACTGGTTCTTACTTTGACCAACTCATTGGTTTTCATTGTACCCTTCGGCTTATGTAAAATAATTATAACTTTTCTTTTCCATGATAGCCTTTCAACTATTTGAAAGCACATGCTGTTTTGTTCTGAAGTCCATTTTCCAAACTTTATTTTGTTATACAAAATAGGACATAGTTTTAGATCCTCCATCTTTCTAACCTTTCTCTAAGCAGAGCTTCAATCTGTTTATATTATTATTAAGATTCCCAAGGTTGAGAATCCTAATTCCCATGAGAAACTGAATCAGTTAGAAATGCTTTTGTCTCCAAAATTCAGAATATCCTGCAGTGATTTAATCCTTTAACAAAAAAAGTTCTTACATAACAAAAATTCCAGGGATGGTTAATTGTTGATATTTGTTCAACTGCTCAAAGACCTAGTCTCTAGCTGAGCAGATGTTATTATGGAGCAAAAAAAGCAGGTGGAATGGAAGTTAGCAGTGTCAGAATCTGCAACATACCTTATCAATGCAGACTAGGAAGAGCATCACCATTTATAACTGTATTAATGCACTTTAAGAGCTTGTTGCTTCTCTGGGTATTGTATTACATGATTGATACTGTATCTACCTGTATCATAGAAGCAATTCCACTGCAATGTAATTTCCTATATATGCACCCCGTTGGCTTTTGCTTGTTGAATATTGAAACCGAGTCTTATTTGTGATCACATCCCTGTATTATTCTGGGTCATATTACATATGTGCTCAAGAATTGTTTAAAGGATCAATGAATACTAAATATGTTCTAATTTTAGGAGCAAAATTTTCACTTGTGAGAAATTACTTCTTAGAAAATTTCCATTTACAGCACATTTGTTTTTGTTTATGTTACATTGGATTTTCTTATTTAGCTTCTGGAGGTATATAAATTATCTCAAATTTGTACATAATATTTTGTGTGCATGCTCATTTATTAAGTAAACTACAGCTTTAATAAGTTTCTTAAAGAAGCATTTGGTTCCCTGCATCAGATGTTAAGTTCCTATACAATACAGATTTTTTGGAAGAGGATAAATGAAAGATCAAAGTTAAAGGACTTCGAGAGAACATTTATTTTCAAGAAAATGTGACAGCCAGCTGGGGCCTATTTTAGAGAGATTTCTGTGTCCTCCTATGACCCCAAAGTAAAAAAAAAAAAAAAAAAATCTACAACGACAATTCCGGATTTTATGTCTAATTCTGTCACTGAGCTCACATAATGGGGAGCAGTCAATGCAAAAATTTTGGAAATGGCTTAGGAGTCTGATTCTAATGGATTGGAAAAATAACAATAATGTGCTCCAGAAACACTCAATCAATATTAAAATAGTTTCATTCTTTCAGTATGAGGAGGGTGCAACATACAATCTGTCCTTTCTGTAGTTTCCTGACCCATTTTTAGCGGTAGGTGCCTTTTAAAGTCTGTGTTGATGAATTTATATAATTGATCCATAATCTCTGATCAGCCCCATAGGAGCAATGGCAGAGGAACACGCAGGACTTAGGAGTGAGCTGTATCACTTGAATGGAGCTGGAACTTAATTGTAGCTTCATTAAATAGATCCAAACTAAGGCTAGCTACATTTTCTAAGTATCACATTTCCCAAGTCTTCATTTTCCTCATTAGAGGGGTTTCAGTTGCTCACAAAAGACTCAGCAGATGCCTGAACAATTCATTATACTCTTGTACACATCTGGCTTAATCAATTTTGTAAAATGAAGATGTCTTGTCCAACTTTACATGTAGAACAGATAAAAACTTTCTTTCCTACTGGAAAATATATTTGGGGCCTGCTTACATCCTGATTCACAGAATGGTCCCCTTACTTCCTGTCTACCTTATATCTGAATACCTCTGGTTCACAGAGTAACAACACCTTTCAGAAATGTTGAAATTTTTTTTTCAGGGTAAGGCATTTAGATTGGGAGACAAACAAACAAACAAGCAAAAGAATCAATTCATCCTCCCCACCCTCACCAAGGAAGCTTCCCCAGTCAGAGCACTAAGTTAATTACAATACTGAGACTTCTTATCTGCAGTTTGCTTATCTTATACTTGATCGCTTCTCAGCCTTTTGGCTAAGAGCAAGTGTAGTATTTTATACTTGAATGGATACAAAGGGTAGTAATCTCCTCCTCACTGATAACTATTATGCCTTTGTAATTCTAAATATTGTTTCTGAAATAAGAGCCTCATTTTTTCTGCATGTAGGAAAGACATGTTAACAATGAAAAATTTACTTTAAAAGGTTGGTAACCAAAGTATAAAGTGGCATATTTTATAATTTTTCCATTTCTCGAAGAATCAAGGTAGTATCTTTGAGTGTTGTTGATTCACGCGTTGTGAAATTTTTAATTAGTTGTGTTACAAAGGAATATTCTGGCACTTCCAAGGCTTGAGCATAAAACATCTTAGAGATTCTACTTGGTTTTCTGGAAAAACCTATTCTTAGAACCCTTAGCCACTTTGTAAGAAGAGTGAATACCCTGTTGAAGAGGCCACACAGAAAGGCCTTGCGAATACCTGGAGAGGGAGGGGAACCCAGCTGAGACTGATTATCTAGCTGTCCCATCCAAGACATGAGGCATGTGATTAAACCTGTCTTGGACCTTCCAGTTAAGTCCAGTTGGTGTGTGGAGCAGAAGTATCACCCAGCTGAGAGCCCTGACTCACAAAATCATAATATTCAATAAAGTGTTGCTTTAAACCACTCCATTTTGGGAAATTAAGTAATAACAGCAATATATAACCAAAACACGTTTGTCAAATCTTTGACCCATTTGATTAAAACCGTTACACATGTATTGATTGCCAACAAAGAATTTTTAGCTGCATTTGGAAAACATTTTTCCAGGCAATAAATCTCCATATCCATCAATTTCCTGCCCCTGTTTTCTGCCTTGTGTTTGCTTGTTTTTATCACTGTGACTACAGATTGCTACTCTACATCACATTTTTAACCAATCCTGTCCTGGAGTCAGTGTGTATATATGCAGCCCTTGTTAACAGCTCAAGTGACTTGATAGCAAAATTAGATTAGCGATGGTCTTGTTCCAAGATTTTGTGCCTGATCTGGTAACTCTGAGTTTGAGTTTTTCTTGTTTCCACCTTGTCCTGTAACCGTGATAGTGACAGGAGGCTACCAAATGCCTAGGCTGATGGGGCAGGTCCCATCCAAAGACAGTTTAAAGCCTGAAAGCCAAGCTACAATTTAAATTTTCACACCGGATTAAGAACTTGTCTTCCCGCTTGGCATGCTTTCCTCTGACTGATCACCACCCTTAGCCTATTTTACATATACCTACCCTTTCCTAATTGTTTTTCTACACTGTCGTGCCCACCTTTGAGTGGTGTTTTTGCTTCAAACTTTTTTGCATACTCACAAACCAATCAGCATGCACTCCCCATTTTGAGTCCATAAAAGCTCCAGGCTCACTCATATTGGGGGACTTTCCTGCTTTTAGGTAGGGGAAGCACCCCCCGCCCTTCTTTCTCTTTGCTGAGAGCTTTCCTTTCATTTAATACATTCTACTCCACTCACTCTCTGGTGTCTGTGTGCCTAATTCTTCCTGGTCATGAGACAAGAACCCGTACCTAGCTGAGCTAAGGAGCAGAAAAAAATCCTGCATCAACCCCAATAACTGGATTGTAATCTTGTTCATTCTGCTTATAGGCCTAACATGGTAGCCTTTCTAATAATCCACTCTAGATTGAGATTATTCCTTGTTTTCGTGTGTACATTCATTTTCTATTACTACCATAACAAATGCCAATCATTCAGCATCTTTACCAAACCTATTTATAATATCACAGTTCATAGATATCTAAGCTCAGCAGAGCTCAGCTGGGCCTCTGCTCTGGGTTTACAAGGCTGGAACCAAGGTATCAGCAGTGCTGCATTCCTTTCTAGAAGATCTAAGGATGAATCCGATTCCAACAAACTCCTTCATGTTTTAGCTAGAATTCATTTGTTTTGAAGTTGTAGAACTGAGGTTCTCATTTCCCTGCTGGCTGTCCCATTGGCCAGGTGTCATTCTCAGCTTTCTAGACACTGCCTGAATCCTTTTGATCCCTTTCTTCATCTTCCTAGCCAGCAGTGGAGCATGGACTCCTTCTCATGCTTGGAGTTCCTCTAACTTCCCCTTCTGCCTTTCTCTTCTGCTTTTAAGAGTTCATGTGATTAAACTGGGCTCTCAAATTAATCCAGACTAATCTTCCTATTTTAAGGTTTGTTGGTTATAAACATTAATTCCATATCCACAGTATTTTCACAGCAGTACCTCAATTTGTGTTTGATTGAATGACCAAGAGACAGGAACTATGGGGGCACATCTTTAGAATCCTGTCTTCCACTTTGGTGTCATACCAGGAACTGAAGATCTGTCTTTGAATCAAGTAACCAGGTTCTTGCTACTACCCATCTACCATGGCTCCTCTACTTCTTGGGCCTAAACTTGGCTTGATTTTTTTCTAAAATTTTTTTTTTAAACAGCATTACTTGTTAAAAATATTTATATACCCACATTTTGCCATTTTGCAGAGACATCATCAACCATTTCCTGAACCCTTTAATAATTATTATTTGACTGGGTTGCCATCAATTTATTGATTCAGTCATTTATTCAACAAGTACTTATTGAATGCCAGGTACCTTCTTAGGAGCTGGTAATACAGCAATGATACAAAATAAAGAGTATGGTCTCAAAGTATGTACATTTCTACATCTGGTTATATGATAGGGATAACAGACTTATACAAACGAGGATATGGTGAAATTTCAGGAATTTACAAGTGACATGAACAAAAATGAAGGAGAAATGTGTCTATTTAATTTAGGGTGGTCAGGAATGGACTCTCTGAGGGATAACATTTAAGTACAGACTTGAAGGAAGCCAGGAAGCCAGTGTATATCTGGAGAAGAGCGTTTTAGGCAAAAGATTCTGGAAAAGGTTTAAACTTGATGCCGTAAAGAGTAGCAGAGAGGCAAAGTAGCTGGGGAGTGAACCAAGGGGTAAGAAAAGGAGGGAAAATCAGACAGGTCGGTGGTATCAGATCCTGTGCGGCCTTGAAGCCTGTGGAAAGAAGATTGTTTCCTACTTTCAGTGAGTTAGTAAGGTGTTGGAGAATATTTGGCAGAGGATTTAAATGATCTCACTTAAAGCTTTTCATTATTAGTCTAGCTGCTGAAGGCAGCAAGAAGTCCCATAAAGAGGCATTTGCTGTTGTTCAGGATAGAAAAGATTAAAGGATTCTACTCAAGTGGTAGCAGTGTAGGAGCTATGAACTGGCTGGTCTTAACATAATCTTAAAAAAAGAGACATCTATTGCTTGTTCTCATATACTAATATTCTGTCTGACACTCTTATAGCTGGTCATAGTCAGGCACTTCCTTTGAGTGTTCAAAGCAACATCTTTGAACAGAGGGATGGTAAAGGAGCTTGACAGTAAAGAAACAATCTAGGTGGAATCTTTACAATGTCTAGTAGGTAGCAGACATATTTGGAAGATGAAGAGGTTAATGCTTCTCAAAGTTTTGTAGATAAAATACTCTTTTTAAAATCTAAAACTGGCTCAGCCACTATTTTTGGAAGCAGTCTACTTATAAGTGATTAAGAAATATTTTCCCATGCTTTCCAAGATTTAGATGCTTCTTATAGTAAATAACAACAATAAAAAGCCCATAATTCCAATTGAAAGCAAATCCCAAAGGAGGCTTAGTAGGGAGACAAAGCATTGGAGGTAGCTAGAAGTAGAAGGAGAAATCTATATTACAGAAAATCTTATGAATGTACATTGGAGTGAGGTCTTGGGCTAGGTACTGCCCCAGATGGTTAATCATTCTGGCATCGTGTCTCCTTATGTGACAGACATGGATAGGAACTAGAAAAAGCAGGGCTATTCTACTATACTCCCTCACCTGTATCTACATAATGACATATAATCATTTATTTTGTGGGAATTTAATTTAACAGAATTTAATTGAACAGATAAAACACTCAATAATATATCAGAAAAGACCCAACAGAATCTGAGAAATAGAGATGATTTGGACTTCACAAACATCTAGAGTTCCATTTCTAAGCATCCCCTTTGTTCATTCTACTCCTAATCCAAAAGCTATCCCCATTACCACTTTTATGCCTTTGACCTTGTCTGACCCAACTCATTTCCAGCTGTGAAGGAGTTTGTAAGGTAAAATACCAAACTCTTTTTTGAAAAACTCTTACCAGCAATTTCTTAGTTTTCTACATCAAATTATCTCTCCTCTTTCCTTAAACAACAATCTTCTGTGCTACCTTCAGCTCCTGGCTCTATCCTTACTGCTTGCCTAATTCTTCATAGTTTCCTTAACATTTTCATTGGAATTTTAGGAATGTTCTTGCTTTTACTCAGGGGGCCTACACATTAGGCGTAAACACTTCCCTCCATTTCTCTAATCTCCCAGTCAATCCTTCAACCACCCTGCAATCTCTCGCTCAGATTCACTTTTGCACCAACCTAATAGCTAATAATTAATGGCTATCATATTGTGACTGTTATCTGTAACATGGAATCTTAATACCAGTATCACAAGAGCCAAAGGGCATGGAGAGAAATTTGTGGTAGAAAGTTTGTGGGGTGATTACCACAGGGCCTAACTCAATGAGATGTTGAACAAATCTTAGCTATATTTTGATAGCTAGTGTGTATGTATATATTATACCATCTTTTTAAAAATATAGATGTTTTAAATCATTTCTTTAAAAGCATACATCCTCCTAAGGAGAAAATTTAAAGTACCGCCATTCTACAATACTGTTTGATAGGGAAATTCAGCATTTGAAATGTACGCTAAAAAGTAATGATTCCAGGTTTAAAAAGAATTAATGCTCCTAGGAAGCTTAATGTTATAAATGTTATAAAATAGACTTTTGCTAGTCAATTTCAGGTTGTTTTTTTTTTTTTAATTTCTATGCTTGCATTATTATCTCAACTCTTTAACTTTGTATCTGGACTAAGTTTAGACATAAAAATTAAAAATGAAGCAGTAGATTATGTTGCTTGCTGTTTCTAATTTAACACCAGAATTTTAATAGTATGCAATCTTCAAGGGTTGGTAGTCTGGTAAAAACTTGAAGCAATAGTTTCATAGAACTTTAACTAAGATAAAGTATTAATTGTCTATGCCAAAGAGGGTGAGCAATGATAGAGATTATAAAGAGCCTAGGGCTTCCCTGAGACCCACCTTGGTGCTACCACTGTTAAGAGAAAATTAAAAATAAATGAACAATAGTTTCCAACTCTAAAACATATTATATGCAGTACATACTTTAACCTAGTTTACAATTTATATTTATTATGCCCACTGAACCCACAAAAGCAGTGTTTAATTTTACAGTTTAAAGTCACACATAGGGAAATGCTTTACAAAATAGGATATTGTTCCTCAATGAAAATATTACAGTATAGGTCCCAAACGGCTCAGTTCAAGTCTTTTACCTGAATAACAGAGCTGTTGTGGAATGCAGGCTACAAGACACAGTAATGCTTTAAATAGTTGATTAAGATTTGAAGGTTGCCAAAGCTGAGAGACATTTTAAACAAGACCCGTCTTAGTTTTCCAAGATTTTTGGTTTTTCAACTGCATTATATACCATTGCTTCTGGAAAATTGAGGGTAATAAGCAGCGTACATTTTACATCTTATATACAGTATGTAAATCTTCAATGATTTTCTCTACCATCAAAGCAAGTTTCAAGGTTTAAAAATCTGTTATACCTACTTAGGTTTATTACTTGACTTTACTCACAGACTCTAATATAGAAACCAAATATTTATGCAATTGCTTCTATCAAATGCAACATATTTCTTCAGTCTATTTAGTTATCTGCAAAGTCTATTTACAAAGCATATGTATGATTTCCTCTGACTAATAGGTCATACAAATACGTAAGTAGTGTTTTTCAACTCGTAATTGTAGCAAGATGAGCCATCAAGGTTTACGTTGTGCCTGAGTGTATAATGCAAAAATAGCATCCAGAGATTATATATTTCTTAATCAAAAGTCTAGCTTTACAAAGTCACATACAGTATGTTCTTCTATTGTAAATATACTCTCAGTATAGGTAGACGTGTTTCTAATATATTGTGAGTTGTTAAAGAAAAGGCTGAGATATAGTCACCAAGTGTTTACCAATAACATAAATTATTGCAAAGCTTGAAAAAAAATCAGGCCAAATATACACGACAGTTTGAATGGAATGCTGAGGACTTAGTGAATGCTGAAATATGACTCATCTAAAAGTCTGCTACTCCGGCCTGATGCTCCTCAAATTTTAATGACCCCTTAAATGTCCTCAGATGCACATGCAGTTTACGTCACTGACCACTGTTGGTCAAAACAATCATTGGATGTGCTTATTTTTCAAATTTTGAGTATCAAGTTGTGCCCTACCGTGACACAAAGCTTAGAGGTCTTTCTTGCAAACTGTAAAATCATGTAGAAAAATAGTAACTCAAAAATACCACATTTGACAGTCGGTCACGAAAGATGTTAGCACCTCAATAAAAATTAGAATTGTTCATTGGGTGTGCCAAAGGAAAGTGGAAAAAAATTAAAAAGCATGCCCTGTTTTTTATTTGTTTTTTTTTTTTTTCCTACAAATCACAGTTTTCCTCACAGTGTTAGACTTTTAGGTCACTCTGATGTAGCAGTACCTTACAGGATGAGGGGCCACTGCTCGTTTTTTCCATTTGACCTTTACAGTCCACATGGTCCAGTTAGTTGAAGCCACAAAATAAAGACCAGAGACAGCAAAATTATTGCTAATGTGCAACTATATTAGTAGAATGCAATTAACTGGGCTAACTAATGTGTATGTTAATGTCTTTTTTTTTTCAAAACCAACATCATCTAACAACATATTCTTTTAGTTTTTCCATAAAACCTGCATTGAGAATGATATCATAGCCCCAGGCAGGCATTTACCAGACTGAATGTTTTGCTGATCTGAACACTACCTGTATTCCAATTTTTTGGCTAATGCATGGTTTTGTATTTCAATATGTTCTCATACATTAAATAAATGAAACACAATTATACATTATAGAGTTTATATGCATCATGATGATATAATTTGAGAAATTATCTCTATAGATTATGCTAACAAAGGATTCTTAGGAAGATTTTTCAATGTACTAGCCAGTTAAGTTGATCTATCTGTTTGATAACCTAAAACTATAGATTGTTGGCAAATGAGAAAAATAATAGGGAAAACATACAAGTTCCTTTTCTGTGTGTCTAAATGATACATTGTCTTGAATTTGGTTCTATTAAAGCTTTAAATGACCATTTCTGTACACATGGCTATTTCATTTATTTAGTAGTTTTGAAATGTTAGCAAATATAAGGTATTTGTAAAGCATCTTTCATTATAAAGAGATTAGTAATATTCACCAATCATGCCAATGAGATTATACACTCTGCCAAAGACTACTAGAAAAATTTGATCATTATTAAATTCAATGTTATTTGACAGTGTGAACTCTATGTAACAGCACAAATTCTGGACTTTGAATCTGGCTGCTGTCCTCACCTGAACCATTAAAATGACCTTGTTAACAAGGAAGGAATCAATGGGGAAATATCACAACCAGAGATTGGCTGTGTGTCCAAGGGTGCTTTGTCTTGTTGCCAGGATCAGACTGTGAAATCACAGAGGCAAGCTGATGTCATCAGAGGTGACTCTGCCTATTTCAAGTCCTATAATCACCCCATGGGATTCAACAGCAGTAGGAAAACATCACATTCTCTTAATGGACACCCCATATTTGTAGAAACAGTTATGACTATTAGCATTTGTTATACAAACCCAATCTATTTGTGCTCATCTGTAGAATCCTACAGACACTAGAGACTAAATGATATTAATTTTAGGAGGTGTTTCTAAAGGAGAAACAGACAACATTTGGTTTTATTATCGTTTGTATCCCTCAGAAGTTGTGTGTAGACAACTTTCATCTAATACATCAATATCGACTTGTCCAAGTTTCTCGATGAAGTGAAAGGATCTGATTATTGGCTGTGTCTTAGCGTCTGTAGGAAGCTTCTAGGCTATTTGTGTACCCAAATTTAAAACTTGCACCTTGTTTCATTGAATAAGTGTTTTTCTTATTTGTGACTTGGAAAAAATAGTGTTAATGTGATGTAAAAAACCTATTATCATAGGCACAAGTAATGAACACTATTGGTCATGACAGATTAAAATTTCCTTGGAAAGAAAAATGATAGTATCAGAATAAGAATACATGAGGAATATATACATATACACCTGCTTCACACAGAAAGCTTTCTGTAAAAAAATACAAAAGCAACCAGTGCTGTATATTATGTAAACTCACAAAGTGTAAAAGTGTACTTTATACACAAACATGAAGCATAAATTAAAAAGTAGGACAACAGCAAAACATTTTAAATATAGAAAAATTTGAACATATTTTTGTTAAATAAGAATAAATAATTTTATCACACAAATTCACATACCAGTTGCAAAAACAATAAATTACTTTTTTTCAGTGCTGCAACTTTTTTTTTGTTTGTGATTTATCCCCTAATTCCTAGTTTAGTGGGATAAAACTGTTTCCACAGGAAGGCAAAGGAACATAAATTTATTGAATAAATTATAACAATGCCCACATATTTCTAAACAGCAAGGCAGGGCTTAATTTAAATTTTTCTGATCTAGAAGAAATAAATGTCATTTTTTCTGGCTCCCTTTGTACTTAATAAAACTTATTATGGAGTGCTTAGTTATGTAAGTGAGATTAGATTCTTACAAACCTGAGCATTTTCAGACGAATTCTTTTTTTTTTTTTTTTTTAAAGAAGTAGCCCCTAGCATCCTGAATTCTAGACATTTTAAAAAATTCAAGATGCAACAATGGAAAGGTGAAAGACAGTACGAAGTCAAAGTGGACTGACTTAGATTGAGTTGTATAGAATTTTCCCTTTGTTCACAATTCGTGGTATCTATTGAACACTCCATTTCTCTGAATTTCAGTTTCCAATCCATATCATCTTCTCCAGGAATTTAGACATACATTCCTCAGTCAATCTAGTGAGACTCATAAGAAAAAGGTGGAGAAAACTACTTAAAAGCATGGAATAGTGGTTTAATTGCTCTGAGCTCTCTAGGATTGTTTCCATGACAGGTGTAAACCATCACTATTTGAGGGAAACATGAATCATTGATAAACCATATTAAAAATGTATGAGTATAGTAAGAGAAGCAGAGTAGGAGACAACTACATTTATGCCTCGAGTATTTTTTAATGTTGTTGGGAATATAACCACAAAAAATAAAAATAAATTTTGTCACATTTGAGTTACTTGATTAAAATTATTTCCAAAATGGAAAAAAGTAACATTAACCTCTCTCCTAATTCTCTTTGCACAGACAAATGGCACTGGGATTATTATTTTTTTTCTCACCTATTTAACTAGGTTTGCTTTCTGCCCTTGGCATTGGGTGATCTCCATCACATATAGGTTATCAGCCTTGTACAGGCCTCATTTCTCAAAGTGATAATTTATTGAGAAAAAAAATTTCTACGTCAAAAGCAAAGTCAGTCTATGAAAATTCAAAGGATAATTATTGGTTTTGTAAAACAATTATTTGTTTTAAAAGCAATTTCTTAAGAAAATACTGAAAACAGCAAGACATCTATTTTCCTGGCCCACTGAAATGATGTAATATAGTGATCAGTTACATAATTCTTTTATATTAAAAACATCTTATAATAAAAATAAACTCTCATGAGCTTGTAGAACTCAAACAGTGGTTCCCTAAGATCTTCACATGCAAATCTTTAACAATAGGCACATTTGGCAGGATTACTATGAATTTTTATAAAGAAAAATTGGCTTTGCAGTGTTTCACAACAAAAGAAATCCCAAAGAAATCAAACAACTTAGATTTTCTAAGTTGTGAGGTTGGTGATGGGGGGGTGTACATTTTATCATCTAAAAAGATATCTTTAGGTGTGTGCTTATAAAATAATTTCCATGTCTAACTATTCAAACTTACAACCTACTTAAACAGGCTATGGAAACAAAAACAACAACTTTCTGAAAATCATCACATGTCATCACTCAAACACTTACGGGTACAATCAAGTGCTTTCCAGTTGGGAAAAATATTTAGTACAATAGGAATATACTTAGATTTTTTAAATTAAGAAATTATTGCCTATGGTGTGGAAACAGTCTTATTAATATTAACCACTTTTTGGCATTAACCACATTAACAATGATAACCACTTCTCAATGTGGCTAACTACCAAGTGATCTTTAATGTTTCTAATAAAATAAGTCAAGAAATACAAAACATTGTAGGTCTTACTGAACCCTTGAACAAAACAAATAAGCAAACACAAATGCATTTTAAAGGCTTGCTGGTAGGAGGTATACCAGTGTTGAATGTGTTGGACATGATAGAAAACTTGCTGTGTGTTTTGTACGTATATCATACATTGTGAGATATCAGATGAAAGCTCTGGAGAGAGAAAGTAGTTGTGAAAATATAAATTGAAAACACAGTGAAATACGATTTTTTTCCTTTTAAATTTCCAACACAAGGAAACTAGTTTTTAGACTCTTGAGTATGATCACACACACACACGCAAACCCTACTTCTACATCTGAAATTATGCATTAATTTGGCTAGCTACCTGAAAAAAATACAGGCAGTCAAAGGTTTAAGTAAATGAACCCGTGTATGTATTTAAGTGACTAGATACACTGAGATCTATTTACTTTTCAAAATTTCTCAGAAGATACTTGCTGTCAAAATGGTTTTTTGACTGAAATTTTATCTCCTGTAGTCAGAAAATATACTACATCTTATTAAAACAGCAGCAAGTTCTTAATTTCCAGTAAAATATCCACAGCTCTTTCTGGAAACGGAAGGAAGTTGAAATAGCTGCAGACCTACTTTGGTCAAACACTTTTTTTATAGAAATATATATGGATATTTTAATAGAACCAGGGGATATAAAGTGACATACCAAGGGAGAATGTATTTACAAACAGTAAGAAGAAGCTACTGTGTATTATGGGTGAAAATGATTATGATACCATTAAAGACATTCTATCAGAGGTAGGTGACAAGGGGGAGACAGTTCTGCCATCTTCAAATGTCCCCTGATTTTACATTCATCAGTGTTTCTTGTAAGCCCAGGGGATGTTCAATAACTCCCAAGTTTTTCTATATTGCAAGGTCACCACTGTCACGTGAAGCAGTGCACATCCTCTTTTGGTCACAGAGAGCAGATTCTGCCCATAATTGGACTCCTGTTGACAATGTCACTGAAGCATGACTTTCTGTGCGTTAGGTAGACCTCCTGTTCACCACGACTGCATCAGTGCTGAATCCTCCAGTTATCTTTGTGCATAAGATCATAACCACAGGCTAACATTTCTTCAACAAGCATTGCTTAAACGCAGAAGGCCTTTGGGAGAGAGGACATCCTTTTGCTAACTTCCGGTTTCCATCCTGGCACTGCACCGTTCTGGTGTGCCAACCTGTGTCACAGGTCCTAGAGCAGGCGAGCCATGGGCCCGTGACCCACTGCGGCTGCGAAGTGTGTGATCCCACTTTATTGCTGCCATGACTAGTGACAGAGTTTACTTTTGGAGTGGACTTCTTGGGAACAAAAAAGCTATAACGGACATCTAATGGTTTAGTGGGGTCTGTTGCAAGAATCTGCACTATTAGAATTTCCTTCGTGGCAGAGTAGCCCATGCCATGCAGGAAGTCATCCCTGTGGCTCCAACCGCTATAGTTCATGACTGTTCCATTGATGTCAATGATAGTCTCTGAAGTGGAGATCATGTACTTTCCATTGATAAGGTACTCACCGTTTTTCTTTTTCAGGGCTAAATAGGCAGTGAATCTAGTCTGGTCTTTGGCTTTGAACTGTCGAACTTTTATGTGGGTTGCCCCTTCAGGAATCCTCACCACGTCAGTGTAACCCTTACTGGAAGTAGGAATGTTCACAGGAAGTGGGGGAAGGTGGTTAAAAAAAGGGAGAAAAAAATGAGTAAACACTTAACAAATAAATACACAAACAGAAGTTCTCTAAAAAGTCTTCTCTTAACACACAGTTTTAATGGATTAGTTTAAAATTGGGTTTAAAAATTATTTTTTATGAGAAAATTGCAATTATACTACAGTATTGTATACACTTTAATTGAGGTGTTCAAAATTAGGATGATGCTAGCAACCTGCCTTCATTTAAAACATTTATACTAACTTTCAAGATTTATACAACCATTTTCATCCTTATCAGATCCTATCATCTTTACAAATCTACTTTCCATTCTTTCTGGCACAAAATGGGATCTGTTTAAACACAAACTGACAAAAATATGCCTTCACTTAATCTCACATAATTCTTTAATATTTCTCAGATTGCTTCCACATTAGAATCACGTGGGGATCTTTTAAATCTTTCAGAGCCTACCCACACCTCAGACCAATTAAATCCCCATCTTCCAGGGTCGGGCACAGTCAAGAGCACTTTTGAAACTTCTCACATTGTTCCAATGTGCAGACTAACTTGGGAACACAGAATTAATTAGTTTTTGGACTAGAGGTGAGTAGAGTCTCTGCATTCCTTTCTACTAGAATTCTGGATTTGGTGGGACAGGCCATAAATGAAGCATGCAATTCTGAAATTGGGTAATGATATTACTAATACCATCATAAAAGGGGAATTTTTTTAAATGACTTAGAGAATTTTTCTGAATTCTTAGTGCCCATAAGATACGATAGATTGAGAAAGGCTTTATGGTGAGTGACATATAAGTCTTCAAAGAGCCATCATCTGGACAAAAAAATGGGGAAAGACACAAATATCTTTAATACCCATAAACCTGTGAGGAATGCTAGGATGGAAATGCTAATTAAGCACCAAGGGTGAAATGACGAGTCAACTTTTGTCCACATTTTTGCCTTTTTAAGTAATTTCATAATAGGGTCCCTTCACTTTCCTAGTTATTTAAACAGGAATACTATTGGCTTGAGCAGTTTGACTGACGTGTGGAGCTGAACTGTCTCATTTCCAGTTCTCATTCACATGCTAAAAATCCAAGTGTGTTTCCCTTACTCCAGAGTTTCCTCTGAATTGGAAAGGAAGCTTATCGCCAAGGAAGTCCCCTGTCTGCAGGGCAATCTGTTCTACAGTGACAGCCACACAGGTGGTAAAGCTTCCTACAGTGTTGAAGAGAGATGATGCAATGCTCAGGGCGTTCCTTATTCTGTCTAACTCGATTCATTATTTTTATTTTTGTAATACATTACAGATCAGATTTTGTTACAGATGTGTTTTGTAGTACCTAATATTAATAAATAATCCATGAAACTATAGTGGCTTCAAAGAAAGTCAAAAGGGATGTTGGAGAATTCCTCGAGGTCAGGAGTTTAAGAGCAGCCTGGGAAATACAGGGGAGGCCTTGTCTCTACAAAAAGTAAAAGAGTTAGCCAGGGATGGTGGCGCATGCCTATGGTCCTAGCTACTGGCAAGGCTGAAGTGGGAGGATCGCTTTAGCCCAGGTCTTGGCTGCAGTGAGTGCACCACTGCACTCCAGCCCGAGTAACAGAATGAGATCCTGTCTAAACAGAAGGTAGTTGGAGATAAATATAACATCTTACACAAAAAGAGTATGAAATGGGGATATATGACAGTATTTGAACAAGTTCACTTTAGAGCTGATTAGTGGCAGTGTTAGGCTTAAAAGCCAGGCTTGGCTGGATGCCGTGGCTCACACCTGTAATCCCAGCACTTTGGGAGACTGAGGCAAGGGGATCACCTGAGGACAGGAGTTCCTGACCAGCCTGGCAAACATAGGGAAACCCTGTCTGTACTAAAAATACAAAAAGTAGCTGGGCATGCTGGCCCGTGCCTCTAATCCCAGCTATGCTGGAGGCTGAGGCAGGAGAATCGCTTGAACCTGGGAGGCAGAGGTTGCAGTGAGCCAAGATGGTGTTATTCCAGCCTGGGCAACAGAGTGAGACCCTGTCTTAAAAAAAAAAAAAAAAAAAGCCAGGCTCTTGACTCCCAATTAGCGCTCTTTTTCACTATATCCCCAGGCATAAAATCCTGACCCCTGCCAGCCATATGTTATAGCAGTTAAATGAAATTAAATTCTGGTTATGTGCAGAGTTTAAATGATGCCCAGTAAGGAGTAAGTAAAATAAAGAATAAAGGGTAAGGGAAGCTTTTTTGGGTGTTTACCCTTGTTCCTTAGAGCTTATCTCATCTTGATGAGAATTAGTATGATGGTCAGTATTGCTGCAGGTCTTCAAACTGAGTTTCACAAGCACTAGTAAACCTGAGTATTAGTGCCCTGATTTTTTAGTGCCTTAGTAAGAGATGATTCTCTTGATATTCCTGATTCCTTTTCTTTACATCCTGCTTGGTATCATTTAAACTCCAGACACTAACCAGCTTTCCCGACTACCATAAGTGAATGCAATTTTCATACAACTCTTACAAAGTATGGCTGGCAGGGCAAAGGAATCTTGTTTTGTTCAGGGCTATCTGCACAGTGCCAAGGACAATGTCTGTCATGAAAAAATATATTCATTTATATTCAAGCATGCTCTCAGGGAAGGGATGTTTTAGTCCGCTCCCAGCAAACAAAATATGTGGTGATATCAATTGATAAGAGCTGTGAAGAAACGGAGTAAGGTAAGAAGTTGCACAGTAGTGGTGGGAGTGGAGGAGATGTCCTCTTGTACATTTACGGTAGCCACCATCTGGGGAGGTGATATTTGACAGAGACCTAAAGAGATTCTGGAAAGTGTACTGCTCATTAATAGCAGAAAGTGTTCCAGGCAGAGGAAACAGCATTCTCATACCTGGTGTCATGTTTTTGAAGTGCGAGAAAGTGCATTCTGGTCAGAGCAGAGCATGAGAAAGGGACAGTGTAGAAAAGACATAGAGGAGGGAAGGGGCCAGATCTTTTAGCACCTTAGAGATTACAAAACAGTCTTGGGTATTGAGTCTAAGTAAGATGGAAGCCATTGGAGGCTACTGATCAAAGGAATGCAATGATCTGGTTTAGGTAATAGCCATGGCTTCCCTTGCTTGGTAAGATGAGATTGAGGAGCAAAGGATCCAGAGGTCAGCGAGAAGACTGCAGTGTTAGTCCAGGCAAGATCTGATGAACACTTGGATTGCGGTGGGAGCGGTCACGGTGGTGAGGGGCACCCAGATTCTGGAGATGTGGTGGAAATAGAACTGACAGGATCTGCTGATGGATGGATGTGGGGTGTGAGAGAAAATGAGACGTGAACCATGCCTCCAAAGTTTTGGCCTCAATAGTAGAAAGACTGAGTTGCCATTTACTGAGATGAGGAAAACTGAGGGAGGAGCGAGTTAAGATTAGGGTCATATTGTGAATGGGCTTAAAATTGATGAAATATTTTAATATGTATTACCTCATTTCACCTTCACAACAGTTTTATTAACCATATGATAATAATTACCAGTATTTCCACTTTACTTTTGAGAAATCTCCTGGTAAAGAAATTAGGTGACAATTCAAAGATCACATGTCTAAGGAATCATTGAGCCAAAGCTTGATTACAAATATTGCAGTATGAGATCAATGTTCTTTTTCATAAATCATATAAATTACTATGGCCTCCCTAGGTAATTAATTTGAACTACTCAAACATGTCATTTGTACCATAGTAGAATCTTGGTCAAACCAATTTTCAGGTGGTTACATTGCATACCACTTGTTGCTATAATGAATTTCTTCTTTTTCATGTGAAAAAATGTGCAGATATTAGTTGTCAGCACAAAAATACTTAAAATGCTAAATTTAGCAATTTTAAAACTGGTTTATAACTTTATATAGAAGAGAATATGTACCATAAAGTGTATAAGGTATTACTTTTTAAAAGTAGTTTTGTTTCTAATTTGATTCCTGAATTCCCTCTCTCCCTCCTTTCCTTTTTCTTTCCTTCCTTCCTTCCTTCCTCTTTCTTTCTCTTTCCTTTGTCTTTCTTTCTCTTTCTTTCTTTCTTTTTCTTTCTTTCTCTCTCTCTCTTTCTTTCTTTCTCTCTTTCTTCTATCTCTCTTTCTTCTTTTTTTTTTCAAAGTGACCTGTGTATTCTAGGATTTCAGTTATGGTGTCTGCTCTTCTCTGGCATTCATCAGCCATGGATAATTGGCTAACTCCTATATTTTCAGAGTCCAACTCATTTTTAAAACAGAAGGTTGGACTGATCATCTCCAAGGTGTTTTATACCTTTGAAACATATAAAAATGCAGGATATAATTGGGCATGCAGGGTTTTTGACATAGATGGTCTAACACAATTAGGTGAATAATTATTTCATTAGCAAATAGAATTAGTAACGCATATTTTAACTCAGAATAAATTTTTCAGCCATATATTTTCAAATCACATCAGAGAAAATTTATAGTTTTTTACATTAACATGTTTAATTATTTTAATAAATCCTATTGTTAATTTCGTTTGCATATTACTCTCAAGTTACAGACAACACAGCACGTACATCAAGAATACAGATACATTTGACTAATAACACTCAGCCTAAGAGTGGTTTGGGAAGAAAAGCAAGCCTGTATTTTACCAGACTCTAGTCAACTCAGTCATCCTACCTGATAGCATATTTTATGCCGGAAATTGGTACTTCATAAACTTGAATATTTAAAGCAAAAATCTAGGACCATAAGAGGAAGCAGGAGAGAGACACTGCTGTATATATTTCTTTAGAGAGTAGATATAAACCAGGATACTTCACTGTTGCCCACACCATTGCAATGAACTTACATTTTGCAAGGGGAAATATTTTCTTAAGGAAAACACAGTGTAAGGATAATTTGTTTTTAAAAATATAGTTAAGATCAAAACCAACCAACCTTCCCTAAATTATGTTTTAGGAATAACACTAGATCTGCAAGATATCACTAAAGTGGAATGTCCCCCACTTTTTCTTTTCAGTTTTCTGACTCTACAAGCTATTGATTCCCATGGCTACTGCAGTTTATCTGCTTCCAGAGGCAGCATGAGTTTTCCCTGAGCAACCAGAGTTTTATTCATCTCCTGTCTCTTCCTTCTCATATTTAAAATGTGTTTCTAGAGCCACGTTAGACCTCCTCATACAGATAGCTTATGATGTAATATGAATCCTCCTTTATCAATTCTGCAAGAGTCTAAAGCTTTGTTCAATTCACATAAAGACAAAGGTTCTATCATATTACCTTTTCTTATTAAAGGTTCCAACAATCTTTGTACAGCTGGAGTTGTCTCCTCCACATACTCCGCACTTGTCATACTGCAGCTTTGAGCCAATGATGCCGTCACAGCCAGTTCTCACACACTTCCCCCGGACGCAGACGGAATTACTGTACAGCCTACATTCAGTGCCATCGGTCACCTGAATCATGGCAAATGCATTAGGAGTGGGAAATGTTTGCATCAGTATTTGCTCCTTTGGTCAACTAGTAAGTTCTCATTTGTGATTTTTTGAGTTTGATTGGTATGGACAGTCCATTGAAAAAAAAAAAAGCCAAAAAAACATAGTTTCCAGAAGTAGCTAACTGAAAAATCCTTGTCATATTGCCAGAAAGCAGATTTTGGATAAGCCTAGGTTACACATTTTCTCTCTTAACCTTACCTCTGAATGTGTTAAGAGACACAAGGTACTCATCTTCGTTTTTGTATGCATAATACATTCTCACTAGAAGTAATCTTTTCACTTAGTGTTTCAGACTATCATTTGTGTGCAGAACTGAATATGAGCAGGCTTGAGAATGCAAAGATCCTTCTTTGTTGCATAGTTGTTATTATAATGACAAATTTGAAAATCTAAACTTGACATTCAAAACTGTGTCATGGTTGGAGAGCATTCCCTATTGTGTGTTGAACTGTCAGACACTGAAATCGACACAACCAAATTAGTGCAGAAAAAGGAGTCTGGGGAAGTTAGATGAACGGACTTACTGGAAGAGACTGAATATATTTTGAATAAACGGATTAGTGTATAGTTTAAAAGCTAGTTATAAAACAGTGTGTATATAGATTGTGGCTTGTGCATGTGAGTATATGTAATATATATACACTCATATATATAAATAAGCCTGTAAATTTTATATTTATGTATATAGAAAACTCTTTTTATGCATGTGTATGAGTATGTTGTGAATGCGTGTGTGTGTGAGTTGAAGTAGAATATACTTTATCAGGTTAATAGCTCTGTAGATGGTGGTATTTTCAGGTGATTTTTATGTTTTTACTTCTGTGTAATATTTTTGAATGAAAATGCATTATTTTCTAATAAAAACATGAGCTTTAAAAAATTTCATAAATTGACATTAGCTTGTTTTTCAATAACATATTATAAATATCTGAAGGCCAAGTTTCAGAGGTAATTTTTTTTTTGAGACAGAGTCTCGCTCTGTCACCAGACTGGAGTGCAGTGGCGTGATCTCGGCTCACTGCAATCTCTGCCTCCCGAGTTCAAATGATTCTCCTGCCTCAGCCTCCCGAGTAGCTGGGATTACAGGTGTGTGCCACCACGCCCAGCTAATTTTTGTATTTTTAGTAGAGACAGGGTTTCACCATGTTGGTCAGGATGGTCTTGATCTCCTGACCTTGTGATCTGCCCGCCTCAGCTTCCCAAAGTGCTGGGATTACGGGTGTGAGCCACTGCGCCCAGCCATAGGTGATTTTAAATGTAGCAACTGTTTACAAATTTGTAAATTGCTGTATAACACTGACCATAAGAATAAAACTCTGCTATAGATTTAGAAAATGCTCACTTGTGAAAAATAAGGCATGTTCCATACACAAATATTATACACATACACAAGGATTATAACATATATAACTAGAGGGACATTGATTCATATTAAGGGTTCTTGACTTATTCAAAAGCCTGAGTCAGAGGTATATGATCTTGAAACCCATCTCCACGGCTCATCAAAGGAATTCTTAAGTAAATCATAGAAAAATAGAAAAAGTTTTCTTGCTTTATGGTCTCCTTTACAATGCTGCTTAGGAAATACTAGTTGTTTTCATGGTTACTTTAAAGTTAAGGTCACACTTTGCCTTCCTTGACAGTGAGTTACACCTTTTACAGTGAGTTACACCTTTTAAATATAGCTTTTAAAACATTTACTTGTTCTGTTTATAAAATAATTTTTATTCATTGTGTAAAGTTTGAAAATATAGAAGTTATAGAGATGAAAATAAAAACCTTCCAAAATCTAACTGACCCCAAACTAATAACTGTTTACGTCTGGCGTCCGCAGGCTTCATTCTACCAAATAATTTCCACCAGTACGCCTACTGCTTCTGGACAGTTGGTGTGTAGTTACCTTTGGAGAAAATACCACATAGTAGCCAGTGCCCTTGGCTCTGCAGGTCAGCTTGCACACATCCGCTGGCAGGACACCTGCATATTTGGGAACCCATTCCACAAAAGTTTTGACTCCTTTTGCATCAGACTGATAGCCATTTTTGGCCTCACACTGTTCATGACGAAATGATTTACCTAGAAAACAAACATGTTTCAGTATTACCTTATCAGTTCTGAAACTTAGATATATTCTTGTGGGTTTAAATAGTTAATTTTAAGGGGAAGATGCAAACGTGTTTTTTTTATCCCACAGTCTCTTTACTCACCAATGCTGATGGATTTTATCTATACATAGAGTTCAAAATGGTGATTATTTATTCCAATTCTCTGAATATTGCTTATAATAAAACTTAAAAATCACATATGTGGCTGGGCGTGGTGCCTCATGCCTGTAATCCCAGCACTTTAGGGGGCCGAGGAGGGTGGATCACAAGGTCAGGAGTGTGAGACCAGTCTGGCCAACATAGTGAAACCCCGTCTCTACTAAAAATAAAAAATAAAGAAAAAATAGCCAAGTGTGGTGGTGTGCACCTGTAATCCCGGCTACTCAGGAAGCTGAGGCAGGAGAATCATGTGAACCCAGGAGGTGGAGATTGCAGTGAGCCAAGATTGTGCCATTGCACTCCAGCCTGGACAACAGTGTGAGACTCCATCTCAAAAAAAAACAAACACATAGGTGTTTGTTATTGATCTGCATATTGGTGGAACTGTGCAGTATAAGATTAATATTATTTCCCCAGCTTCCCTTATTCATTATTGCTAGAATACAAATGACATGTAGCATATGATGGTTGCTGACACTTGGGAGCAGCGTACCATTGGGTGGGCAGGGCATGAGACTGCAGGAGCGGTAGATGGCCCTCTTCCCTGTGCAGTAGCGTCCGTTGTTTCTGGGAGCAGGGTTATTACAGTGACGATAGGCAAACTGCACTCCTCCTCCACATGAGCGAGAACACTGGCCCCAGGATCCCCAAGATCCCCAGTTGCCATGGCTTGACGTCTGAAATAGAGAATAGAATATATTTTAACTCCAATGAGAGAAAAACATTGAAAGTGTGCATTTGGAAATCACCTGCATTTAATGACAAAGTGGAAACTTTGTCACAGATACAGTTATATTTTCACTGAATTTAACATGATCATGCTTTGGAAATGCAACACATTTCCAGTGCTAAGCAATTCATCTTTTCCACCCTCCCAACTCCAGCACTAGAAGATCTGAAAGCATCATCCTAAGTACTGAGCACACCACAAAGATTATCACCTTTTGGTTTCTACGGACCATTGTAAATTATGTCTTCTAATATGGTCCATCTCTGTTAATATCACTGAACCATGGTAACTTTTTGTCCACTCTGATGTTGGATCTTTATTGAAACGTATAATGCTGAAGGATCTGCATGGCACTGGGCATTATTTAATTGTGTTTGCATCTCTTCAGCAGTAAAACTCTGCAGTCCCTTTGTTGACATCCCACATCCTGTCTGTGACCGACTCCATGACGTTCATAAATGTACCGGACCCAACTTGGCTTAATTCCTAATTAGATGTGACAGATACTGAAATGCACTCACGCCATACATGCAGACACACCCCTTAGGGAAGGAAGAGCCCTTTTATGGCAACCTAAGTCTGTTTCTCTGGAAACATTCCTGGAGGGAGCTTAGAGATTCTGAAAGGAAGAATATGATCAGCTGCTTTGCTGAGGGAATCTGTGAATTGCCTCTGGCTGACTGTGTCAGGTTATCTGATGATGAATGGTTGGGTGATGCCCTGGAAAGATACAGGCAATGGGCACAGGATAATTCTCTTCTAGGGACTTTGCAAATCTTGTGGGTTGAGAGCGAGCACTTATTTTACTTAGGCCTCGAAAATTAATAGGGCAGTTGCTGACCTGAAGCTGGACTGTGTATATAGTGGCAGACGTGTTTCCCCGGAGCAGTCGTAAGTTACTTTAGCTCCTAAATTTAGATTAACTTATTGTCAAGGGGAAAAAAGTGACCATTTGGAGCTCACCAAATATGTACAAGCACCACATGTATCGGCTCTGCTATTACCTCCTTACTGAATTTAAATACTTATATTCTGATAACTTTAGCAAGAGAAGCTTGAAAGTAAACTTCCCAAAAGCAATTAATAGGGTCCTACCTGAGGTCTCAATTAGACAGAATCTGAGTTACATAAGTATTTGTTAAAAGATGTAAACTGCAAATAAATTCCCAGTATCTGCATTTTCCCCAGTAAATCTCGGATCACTGAGAATGGCTACTGCGGGTAAAAGAAGAAGCTCTAAATAAACCTCAAAATGAAAAGTTTTTAAATTAGAAAATAAAGCCTTCTGAGAACAGTGCCCATACCCATCACAAGAATGCACTTCACTTCTTGGGCCTCCAGGCATTGACTGATGAGAAAATCACTTACTGAATAATATTTTTTCTTGGTTTTGTCCACACATTTGCCCTGCAGGCAGATTCTCCCCTTTCCACAAGGCGTCCCTTCCACCGCAGGCAGCTTCTTGGTCAGACAGACCATCTGGCCCTGGCGTACCACAGCACACCACAGGCGAGCACAGACATCCATGCCGGGACACACGGAGTACTCAGGCCCGAATGTCAGGTTGCACTGCTGGGTGGCATCGTAGGTCTGTCCTGGGAGTTCTTCGGGGCCCAGGATCTGCTTTCGTGGTAGGTCCAGCAAACAGTTACCTACAAGAATAACTGAGATTGACCACGGCTCTGTGTTTAGGTTTCAAACCGCTAAAATCATGGATCTAAAAATGAAATGCCCCGGCTGGTGTTGGAGCACGAGGCACCCATGAATCTGTAGTGTAATGCTCTGGAGAGGGACTCCATGGGGACAAGGCTGGGAGCCCCCTTGGACGCACCAGACCCTCCAGGGTTCTCAGGAGTGATGCGCTCCGGAGTGTCTGTAACAACAGAGGTGAGGTTGGCAGGGGTGTGATGGAATAAAATGATTCTGTAATGATTAGTTGTGAAAATAGCCCTTGTGCTAAGGCACTAAACAAAATTGGGATGGACCTAGAGAAAATCAGATGGTGAATTTTAATAATAATAATAATAATGATAATGAAGCATTTACTCTACCACTTTGAGAAACAGAGTTTGTCCTTGGCACTCTATCTGTATAACCCATTACCCATTTCTAACTCACCCCTTCCCCATGTGCCTATCACATGTCTCCTTTCCACTAATTCCATAAATAATAGCCAAGCTGGCTCCTCATTCATTCTTACAGTCACTCGACAAGCATTTGTTCAGCACCTACAATGTTCTAGAAAACACACTAGGTATCTGAAATACAGAAAAATGACCCAGATCTACCTTTGAAGGCCTTCCAATAAAGTCACAGAGATAAAGTATTTCTCTCAGACTGATATAATTTTAATAAAAAGTTTTCAAGATTCACAGAACAAAGGAGCAGTGAAAAAAGAAAAAATAGTCTTTGATAATTTAGGATTAAGTTAGTCTTTATACTCTTTGCTTTATGTCTATTTAATGGAATTGGTGTTTGTTGAGTATTTGGATCTATCTGCCGAAACAAGGTAGGCATCTCATTGCATCATATATGAGGGTGTACAGGCAGAGGGGTGAGATGGGGAATCCACAAAAGCTGGAACATGGACGATGAGAATCCAAAACCTTAAATTTGCTTCCTCTTCCTCTCCTTCCCCTCCCCGCAAAAGCTTCCCTAAGAATCCCTGTCCGGTGAGTTAACATCATTAATTTTCTTTTGTCACCCACATATGCATGCATATTGCCCATCTGTTTCTGTATTTTTCTGTTTACTTTATTTTAGGATTTACACAATTATTATAATAGCAATAAAATAACAAATATTTGTTACACACACTATTCTCCATTCTTTACATATATGAGCTCATTTAATCCTCACCACAACCCCATCAGGCAGATTCTAGTGCATATTTTATTTATCCTACAGATAAGGAAACTGAGGCCCATAGGAGGCAGACCAGTTACCCAAGGTCACACAGCTGTTATGGTTTCATGCTCAGAGCCTGCCCTTTTCTTCTGATGCCATATGGCTTCTGTTAGCATGTGAGTAGCTGCCTGATTGTATTGCTGAAGGGCAGCCATGTGTAAGGATCCTTTAAGTGGTAGATATTGAGCTTAATGGAAGAAACACCCAGTCTGAAGTCTTACTCTGGTGAAATACTAAATGGTTGAGTGCTCCTGGCTAAGTTAGCTAACCTCTCCCTAATTTATTTTCAAGATCTGCATAATGCTTCTCTTCTCACTGTGATACTGTAAATGTGAAATTAGCTAACAAAGATCTTAAGGGTGACCAGAAAAATACAAAGCAATGGTAGTTGTATCCCAGTATATTTAACAGCCTTTTAGATGTACTACAGTTATTCTTTTTATTCAACAAAAAAGTCATATTCAAATCCTTATGTGCCACTGAGAAATAGAATATTCAGCATATTTTAAGTATACTGTAAATTTTTAAGGACTACATTCAAATTTCTTCAAAGTGAATACCTTAGAATTTGTCAATCTGTGTTGGGGGCATTATATAAAAATGAATAAAGAGCAAAGTTCCTATTTAACTTCTGAGCCAGAACGTTTGAAGAGGTAAAGCTTCTTAAGGCAAGCCAGAAAAAGCATTAAAAATAAGAATCCAGCCAAAGAGAACTTTGGGAGAAAAACACCAAGTTAAAAGAAAAACACGAACATCAAGCCGATAGGAAAGAATGATAGTAAAAGCTCACTAAGCTTTGTTTATAAGACAGAGTGCGATTAGGGCTTCAGAACTCCACGAAAAACATTATCTTCATTGCAGAATCAAAAAAGAAGTACTGTGTAAACTAGGGGATGCTTGGCAGATTGCTGATGTTAGAAGACTGTCAACAAATCTCTGAGTCTGCAATAATGTTTTCCAGTTCTTCAAAAGTGCTGTTTTAAGAAAGTTTTTAAAAAAAATTTTACTAAAAAGCACAGACCATAAGACTGGGTAACTAAATATTAGCTAGGAAGTCTTTACCATGTGTGCATGCACATGGCATGGATCTATCTCATTTTTCTGGAGTCAAAATAACTCACCACCTGACTATGCATACACAGTCACTGACACCTGTTCTACCTCACTAGTAGATGACAAGTGAAAAAGAAACGTGTAATGCAATTTGAAATCGGCTTCCAACAAGGAGACTTCAAGATGTGGCATCTCTTTAAAAAGCTTAACTTAGAACTGTAAGTTTTAAAAATAAATAACACATTAGCTTTCTATTCAAAATAAGATATATCAGCTCTATAATTTTCCCTTAGAGGTCATACATGTGGAGATGATCTTCTCTTGCTTAAAATAAAATAATTTATTTCAGAATTGCAATTAATGTGTTATGCCAATGTTCTCAGTACTAGGATTTGTAGCTGCATCAATTTCTGTTTATGCCAAAGCATATATAATTTAATTTTTACATTGAATTATGTCCTTTTGCAACAAAATAGGTACAAGCATCTCTACCAAATGGCAGAATGGTGCCAAGAAACAGTAACAAAAATCAATACAGAGCCTAAGTCTGAAACTCACAGTATAAAATGTTTAAAATCTAAGTAATAACAGATTGGATATACATTTTATATGTTTAAGAAATGTATACAGTTTGGGGAAGGAGTAAAAGGGGAAACTGATCAACCTTTCAGTATCATTTCTAGTGAGCTCTAGAGGCATCCAACCTAGTGCTGATTTTTTTCTTAATCTGTTTTAATTTTATTCTCAACCACTTCTTCACATCTACTTCACATATTTTCTAATTCATCGTAGTCTGAAATTTGATCTGGATCTTCCTGGGAACACTTTGACCCTTCCCTCCTTCTTCCTTTTGTTTTAACATTGTATATTTATAAATGGATAGACTATAAAATAAAGTCAGGCCAGGTGCGGTGGCTCATGCCTGTAATCCCAGCACTTTGGGAGGCTGAGGCGGGTGGATCACCTGAGGTCAAGAGTTCGCGACCAGCCTGGCCAACATGGTGAAACCCTGTCTGTACTAAAAATACAAAAATTAGCTGGGTGTGGTGGCGGGCGCCTGTAGTCCCAGCTACTCGGGAGGGAGGCTGAGGCAGGAGAATCGCTTGAACCTGGGAGGTGGAGTTTGCAGTGAGCCAAGATCGCACCATTGCACTCCAGCCTGGGCAACAAAGAGCGAAACTCCGTCTCAAAAAAAAAAAGAAAAGAAAGAAAGTCAATAGGAATGTGTGCATATTGCATACATGTTTTTACCATTCATGTTAAACTAAATGCTTAAAATAAGGCAAAAAAATAAAAAGTAAAATGTTGTGATTTGAGGCGAACCAGTAAGAAAATGTGTTGGCAGAATTCCACTAAAGGTGTTGGAAGGAATGCCACGCCTCCAGGAAATGGAACAGAAAAATCTCTAGTTTCATATGTCTGACTTATAGCACTATTTGTCTCTCATATTAATGATTAACCAAAGTTGTTTTTTTGTTTTGTTTTGTTTTCAGATGGAGTCTAGCTCTGTTGTCCAGGCTGGAGTGCAGTGGTGCAATCTCGGCTCACTGCAACCTCCATCTCCCAGATTCAAGTGATTTTCCTGCCTCAGCCTCCTGAGTAGCTGGGATTACAGGCATGCGCCAACATGCCCAACTGATTTTTGTATTTTTAGTAGAGACTATGTTTCGCCGTGTTGGCCAGGCTGGTTTCAAACTCCTGACCTCAGGTGATCCGCCCACCTTGGCCTCCCAAAGTGCTGGGATTACAGGGAGTGAGCCACCATGCCCGGTCTCAAAGTTGTTGTTCTTTATTGTTTTCAAATTTTTCTTCCCTATTTCTAGCACTAACATTATTTCCATCTTCTCTTCCTTTTCAATATGCAGGTATGAAATTAAGCATGACCCAAATATTCATGATGCAGGAGAAATCAATTAATGTTCCTAATCAAACTCATCCGAAGAAGCCTAACACCACTGCTTACAATCTCCCTTTGCTTCCACTCTTCATCTCACTGCCCTTGCCCCTCAGCTTTTAGGTCTTTACTTGAATGTCTAATGTTAAAAGAAAAATGGGTGCATTTGCCTGCTCTTTGATCACTCATTCTGGGCCCAGTGATATAAGAATGAACAAGAGCACTTCAAAAAACCAGACAATTGTTGTCAAAAAGCAATTCAAGGGGTCTGGGTATGAAGCTGTTAGATGCATTAGGTATATTGTTGAGCAGATGTAATGGCAAGGAAATTAAATTAAAGATTCCCTGTGATAGAGGATAAAGGAAAGTTTTTAAAAATATAAGTCACCGTGGCCTTAAACTATATGTCTTATTTTCACACTCTATTAAAGAGCATATTTAGTATGAAAATCAAGATACAACCATAGTGTTGGCTTTGAATTTTATTAATGCCACCTTAAAAACTGATGTTAAGCTCTCCTGGCTAGCTTTAGTCTATATACTTAACAAAAGATTCAGAGAACTGGTTTTCCAATATCATTTTATGTGCAAAGTTCTGTGTTCAGTAAGTGGCTGTAAACTTAGCTCTTTACACTACATGACGAATTTTCAAAACCATCCATAGATTTTCCTTAGCAACCTGTGTTGTGAGTGTTCTTGAGCTGTATCTACATAAGTCATGGCCTTTCTCATCATCTGGCACTGTGGACTCAGGGATACAGCAGACACAGCTATCTTTTCTGGACTCAAGGTTAGTAAACATTTGAGAAAGGAAATTCAATAACCTGCTTTCACTGCACAATTTCTTTGCCAGTGCTTACCTTTATTTTTGAGGATCATACTCCTAGCCAGCTTGCCTAGAGCTAGCTTGTATAAACACTGCAGAATGTCTACAAGTATCTTGGCCAAGGTTGGGAGGAGGGGGGTCCCATGAGACATGGCTTCTCCTTTTCTGAATCACAAATCTGCAGACACAGTGACTTTAGAGTGAGCACGCTGGTTTTTCAACCATAACCTAATTGCTGCATATTTCTTGTTGGAACTAAATCAGGAAACACTCAGTACTAATGAATTTACATTTGGCAGTGGACGAGTGCTACAAATGTCCAGCTACTTATGGCTAATAATTTTAAAAATAAATCAAATGCTTTGAATTTAACTTTACTCTCCGACCTCATTTCTCCAGTATTGCTGAAGGTGAGAGGGGGTGGGGTAAGATATTAGACATAAATGGAATTCCCATTTATAATGTACTCTTTAGGTACCATTGAAAAATTGTATATGTGTTGTCAGATTACCTGCTTAAAAATAGCAAATTGCTTTTCTGCCTTTATACTGGTCACAGTTTAACTTTCCTAGATAACTGAAAGTCATTTTTTTCTGTGTGTCAATTATTGTATCATGCTGAAATATAGCACTAACTTGAGGGACCATGTTGGTGAGATAGGGCTTTTGACCTTTAGAAAATGGTACCAGACCACTGTGCCTTTCATGTTTTCAGGCTATTTATAGCCTTTCTCTTATTGTTAAATAATATCATTTCTTGTTCTCAGATTACCTGTCTAAAGTCTCCCCACCCTCATCCATCATGACTATTTTATTGCTTAAAAAAATTGAGTGGCCTAGAAAATTAGAACAGAAAAATGGTAGAACTGTAAAATACTAATAAATGGGCTCTGAGTGGAAGCCTGTGTAGCTTTCTATGAGTAAAGTTAAAAGGTTTTATAATATAGTTTTGTGACATCGTTTAGTCTTCTAACAAAGATGCATCTTTGTTATTCTATCATCTTGGACTGTGACTGTCTTCTTAGTTCTCTCCCATGCTCTGTAGTTGAAATGTTAGCACCTCAATCATCTCTAAAGTGGGTTTGGTAGTTTCTATGGCCACACTTTCACTTACATTGACTTAAGTGAGCTTTTTGGTTACAATTTAAAAGTTATTAAGTTATTTCAATTCATCTTTAAATAATAGCACTACAGGGAGTACCACTGTTTCAATTCTGAATCTGAGTATGCTCTTTTGAAACAAAGTAAGACAGACATAACTGAGCTTTGTCATTGTGCCACACTGCTTTTCTTTGGTTTTTGTTATTCTGAAATCACTTTATTCATGTTATAAGCTACTGATAAAATAGGATTATTTTTATTGAAACAAAAGGCTGCCTAACCAAACCAAGATATTCAAAAGTGAGAAAGTCTAGATTGGATGAAAAAAATCAAATAAGTAAACTATAAGCATTTTCTGCTCAAGGAATTTTGATAATTGAATTTATTTAATATATATACATGAGAAATTTAGATACTTTTTTATTAGTGCAAATGAACAAGATCTATTTCTATTAAAATTATGTTCTTAGTTGTTCTCTATCATGAGCCCTTTGGAACAGAAACAGATATAAAAATATGTAAATTTGTTATAAAATCTTTAAAAAATCAGAGCATAGACTCTTTTAAATATAGAATTAATGTTAAAAATGAAGACAATGCTGAAAGCATATTTACTGCATAGAAATTAAGATCACAAATTCCATAAACATGAAATAAATGAATCATTCCAAAATTAGGAACAAAATTCTCCACAGCATTGTAATTAGCTGACCTAATATTTGCACAGGGAAAAAAATTTGGTCTCATTTTAGCCATAAGTATTTGCTGCCTTAGCAACTAAATCCATTCATTTAGTGATTCAAGGTTTAGCTCAACTTCTTGGAATGTGTAACATGTGATTTTGAAATAAAATATTAATGTTATTTTATTTTCAGAAAACCTGAAAAGAAGTAAAACAGAAAAGCAATATTATGCGTGGAGACTTAAGATTCCACCCAAGAAGGACTTTATGAGATACTGACCTGATCAATGTAGATAGGATGATAGTAAGGTAACATTCATTTTAGGACTTTATCTGCATTTAATCCACAATGTAAACTGAGCTAAACATAAAATTACCATTGTATTACTGGTCTAAGGAAAAAGCTTCATACGTTAATTCTTATTGTTGTTTCCAAGTCTTTAAATTATTGACATATTTTTTCAACTAAAAAGGAACTTTTTTTTTGTATTGAGATATATTTTAAACCAAGCTGGACTCAGATTGCTTTTCAAAATGAGACAAGCAAATATATAGTAACAGGCAGCTAAAGCCTTACCTGTTCACCACGAATGGAGCAAGAATGGGTTAATGAACATATTTTGACTCCATGGTATCAGAGAACTGTGCAGCTGAATTTCTTTAAGTCTGAAATAATTTGAATTTGTCCATTGTTCTGGTATTATGTAGCCACAGTTCCAAACAGTCAACATACTAAAAAATTATGGGACATTGAGTCATAAACTTTGTGGAACTGGGAAAAAGACGGTTGCCATAGATTATTCAACTTTGAACCGTATATCATGAGGTAATTTTATAGAAAATTATTATGATCAATAATTTCTGTCACATTCAATTTAACTACTAGTTTTAGAAACATAAATTTTAAGAGAACATAAAATAAATGAGAATATGTCCATTTCTGTAACATAGGAAATTTCAGCTACATAATGTCTGATGATTCTTTAGAGTGCTAATGCATCTATCCTCCTGTGTTTTTATTACTTTAAAGTACTGAAGAATGCTTGGAAATTTGCAACAGCTTGTTTCAAAGATTACTTAGGGGTCAGAATTTATTATTTCTAAAAATTGTAACTTCCTCAGTATTTCAATGTAATTTACAGCACTGATCCTAGTCTTACAGAATTTAATAAAGTATGTTGTGCTCTTGAACTATATTTGAAGGATAAAGCCAAAGATTTTCTTTTGAAGTTCTTAAAGTGTTTTCCCATCATTCAGATTGCTTTTCTATTTCTGTTATGCAGTTTTTACTCTACTTTCAGGAGAATCTCCTATCAGAATAAAACCAAATTCTTCTAGTCAGTGCAAATCTAGAAAGCTTCCTCTTCTGGGCTTATGTTGCCATAAAGAGAATCCAGTAGAATTGTCACCTACACCTTAACTGCACCCCTATAATAGGCATGTAACAAATAATTCTGAGAGTCATATTAATAGCAGGGAAACCAAGATGTCTGCCAAAGTTCTCACAGGAAGCTAGTGGTAAAAGAAGGAATAAAAGCCAGACTTTCAGGGCACTAGCTAGGCATTCTGTGTGGTCTTCCACACTGCTTCTCCTTTGAAATTTTTCAATTCAAAAGCCAAAATACCATAGCTAAAATGCCACCAAGGACGTTGGCAGTACATACCCACATATGATCAATTTTCTTGGTCTTTCTTCTGACACTATCCACACAACTATTGTCTTAGAGGGCAAGATGAATATTATGAGGATATAATGAAGTCAAACTCCTAAGAATCCCAAATTTTGTTTCTCAGTCTGTGTTCTCCTAAATGATACATACCATGGCCATCATCCAGGAATTCTGTGATGGTGGCTGAAGTGCATTTGGACCAGGGCTTAGATGCATCAATGCTGGTAAGGATGGAAGACATTAAGCGCTTATCTTCTGTGGAACCAAAGGTCTCTTCACAGAATTTGGAATCGTCATGGGAGAGGCCAAGTAAATGTCCTAAGGGAGACAACAGAGGAAGTACAAATAATCCGTGATTGTGTATTTCTATCTTTCCATGACAATTATGCTAGGGCTTGATTTTTTTCCCCTAATTGTAGATGAGTTCACTTTAACTGCTTTCTCACCCAGAGACTGGACCTCCAGGGAAATAAAAGTTGCATGGAGTTAGTGTAGCAGTTGCTTTTGGTGAACATTTCGATGGAAACTGAAAAACTAAAGAGTAGATGTTCCCATAATTCATCTGGATCACATATGCTTAATGTCATGTGGAAACAAAGCCTTATTTAGAATCTAGAGTTTGCGAGACAATTGTGGGATTATGTCATAGCCCTCACCACGTATCATTTTGATTGTCTAATTTTCTGCCTTCTCTGATCAAGCCCCATGAGATCAAAGTGCATTTGCTCCCATATACTGTTGAAACCTCTGTATTGAACTTAGTGCTGTGCAAGTTGCAAACACTTAGTAGATGGTTTTTGAATGTCAGTGACTTATTTTCTTAGTCAAGTAAATAGGTGGCTAATAAAAGGGAGGACTAGGGGAGACAAAGAAAGAGAAGTGAAATGAGGAAGTTTCCGGTTTCTTGCAAAACTAAGCTTGCTTCATCCGTTCATTTCTTTTGGTGATTTAGTGAGTTATGAATGTTTACTATTGTCACAAACATATAGCTCATTTTGAAAACATACCCATTTACATTTTAAAATGTCAAAATACCAATAATATGGAGTTTGAGAGCTTGAAGAAAGGACAGCTTGGTTTCCCAAGTGATAGTTGTGAGTGTTCAAAACCACTCAGCCAGGTGATATTTGTGCTTAAGCCTCTCAACCAACAATGTTCTCTGAAGTTCCAGTCAAGCTAGATATTATTTCACAGAGCCCATAATTGCATTCTTATAATCCAAGTAAATTGCTTTTTATTACATAAGATCAATTTTCATGCAGTCTAAAGATAAAATGATATTCCACAACAAATTTACAATGCTATTTAAAACATCTAGGACAGTAGTTTGAGCAATTACAAACTCTAAAAAGTAGACAGCAAATCATCCTAGTGGTGTTTTTAACAAAGCTTTCTAGAATCATACACAAACCACTAAAACAAATTTAGGAAACACTGTAGCAAACTGATGACTACATTCTCCTTGGGATCTTGAATGCCAAACGCAGAAAACTTTGGCCATTCTAGCAAAAGAGTCCAGTGTGCACCAATAAAACCCAACAGAGATGAAATCTTTCACTTTATATTCCGACTACTTTGGGCCAACTTGTTAAATCACCAACACCTCATAACAAAATTGTCCACTGAGCAACTGACTGCTGTTATGGCTGAAAATAAGTGGCTAGGGCTCGGTGACCTTCCAAGCCTCCACATTTTTATGTTATTTATACAGATATTTACTTCGACAGCATTTACTAGGCTTACAAGTTTTCTCTGGGAAGTTCTCCCACCACCACTTAACATTTTGTTTGGTCAGTAGCATAAGTGTGCATTATAGTCTATATATAAAGTATGTCCCAAATAACTTGCAAAGGAAATTAGCAGGGGCTCATCTAATTTTTGAGTGGTTTGTTGAGTTTTTCAAGAAACTCACAGCTCACAGAAAAAAAAAAAAAACAATCTTTCATTCATGTACTATTAGAAATGACTTAAAGTTACTTAGTACATGAAATACTTGCTGATATCGCACTCTACACTTCCCGAAATTTTCCAAGATAGAAGATTTATCAGTTAACACTGAGGGATATGGTGGAAATTTCACTCTTGAGTTTTTTCCTCTGGCATAGAAGAAAAGTGTCCCCAAGTGACCTCTGCAACATAATATTTATTTGAATCCAGGTTTTTACTTAAAAAATGTGATGTATACATTCTACTTCATAGGATATTTATATTTATTTAATGAAGTAATGGCCTTTTCCTCCAAATCTATATAAATACATAGCACTTTCCATATGCCTTTTTATTATTGTATCAAGAGATTTTCACTTCATTTGGAGGGTAGATTTTAGAATTCTGATTTAAAATATAGGACACATGGCAGACACGAAATTCACTTTGAGGGACCTGAGAAAGTACCTTCATTCTCTCTTTCAGAGAGGTGAAGCATGTAATTTTAAAGGTTTCAATTATGTAAGCAAGTCAATTTAATTTTGAAATATTTCAGCATCATTTATGAATCTTTTGGAATACTAGTTAATATAACATTATGACTTCTATGCTCCCCAAATTTGCTCATTTTCCACTGAAACTTAATTGCCACTGAAGATGCATAGAGGAAATTGCACTGCGAAAGACTGCCTTTCAAGCATGAACAAATCTTTGCTTCACCTCAGCAAGGGGATGTGACTTTTGTAAGATCTCCAAAAGTCAGGCAGAAACAGACTGCTTAGAGTCAACTGAAAGAGATCGACTCTTTTGAGGGCGAATGAACACTCTGTGCTCCATGAAGAAAGCCTGTCAGCTCTCTGGGAGAGGCATGCTCTCTCAAGGGCAGCGAGAGTCCTGGGCAATGTGAAGAACACTTAAGCACCCAAAGTAACAGGCAGCCAGTTCCAGAGTAGCTGGAACCAGGGCATGGCGAGAGAACCGCGTGACTTCCCTTCAGGAGCTGGACAGGATATGAAAGGGAAGATCAATGTGAGGGATGTTTGGATGCTCTTCAGGAAAGACGTGACACACATTCTAAAGGCTGCAAACAGCAAAAGGAGTGGTATTTTGTAATTCGAGCCCCCAGTCAATTATGCTAAGACATTTACTCTTAGTTGAAATCGGCCTTGAAATAGCAAAAGTATACAAAAGTATAAGCAATTTTAAAGGAGTGCTCACGGTAAAGACGGCACGCTATGATACCAAAAGCTAACTACCAGAGAAAATCCAGAATCCGGGGAATTTAAAATACAGTGTCACAGCTGACAACTGTCTTTTAAGTAGGGATTGTGAAGGGGAATTGGAAAAGCTAATAGCTTTGAAGACATCTGCCTTTTCAGGGAGAGTTTGTTCATAAATCATTCACAGAGATGTTTAAAATGAATGGTGTGGTTTGGAGATTAAGCATTTCTTGGACAAGCAGACCCCAGGAGCATTAGCAGCAGATAGGATTAGATATCCCTGTCTCAGAGAGTAAAACAGCACATGAAGAATATAAAAGAGTGTGGAGAAAATGTGTACAATGCCAAAAGTAATTTGTTGTTTACATCAAATTGTATTACATGATGAGTTTTTAGAGCAATACAGAGCAACAGAGTTAGTTGAGGGTGAGGTTTTAGAGGAGGCAGGGGGATGGAATCGAGAAATCCACATAGAATGGCAATCCTTACCCTTGGAAAAAGAGAAAGAGTTCTTTTTTGGAGAGTCAGAGTGTTGCAAGAGAAGGGTGGGGAGGACTGAAAGCCATTTTGACAGAGATCTGAGGAAGCTCCCTCACTAAAATAGGACGTGAAACTCCTAGTGAGAGAAAAGGCAGAGGTGGGTTTCGAGGTAACTATCTGCTGTCAGGATTTAAAGCAGAGGTAGTGAAGTCTTGCTTTAGGGAAGAATTAGTGTTTGTGTTTAGGACCATTTATAATCAGCAGACATGCAAAAGATCGAAAAGCAGTTTGCTTGAGCAATTTTGTTTACAATACTCTTTCTCAGCTATCTTTAATTCTTGATGATGTAATTGGAAGCTTTTCACCTAAAACCCTGAGGCAACTAAGGACCAAACACACTTGTGTAATAGATGCACTTGTTAATGACCTCTGTATTTATATGCTAAATAGGGTTTTAACTGGGGAGGGGAGATAGAAGCCAGAGTGAAATTCAGAGAATAATGCAACTGTCTAATCCACGAGTATTTTCCAAGCGGTGCCTACCTCAGAACTATATTTATTTTCTTTTTTTCTTTTTCTTTTTCTTTTTTTTTTTGAGATGGAGTTTCTCTCTTGTCGTCCAGGCTGGAGTGCAAAGGCAAGATCTCTGCTCACTGCAATCTCCACCTCCCGGGTTCAAGTGATTCTCCTGCCTCAGCCTTCTGAGTAACTGGCAGTACAGGCGCACACCACCATTCCTGGCTAGTTTTTTGTATTTTCAGTAGAGACAGGGTTTCACCATGTTGGCCGGGGTGGTCTCGAACTCCTGACCTCAGTTGATCCACCTGTCTTGGCCTCCCAAAGTGCTGGGATTACAGGTGTGAACCACTGCGCCCGATCAGAACTGTATTTCGCTGTTTGAAATAATTAGTAAAAGCTAAGGTGTAAATTGTGTTAGATGATGTTGACCTATTCTTAATTGATGTTAAATCATACAACAGTCATGCTGAGTGTCTGTCAGCAAGTAACATCAGAAAGGAGTTTATTTGAATTAATCTAAGAAATTAAATGTAATGATAAATTATGTCAGAGTAAAGTCTATAGGACTGAGAGTTTGAGTTACATTGTTAGCTCAGAAATAGCAAACAAATCGTCACCTGATAACTTTTCTGGTATGAAAATTCTCTTTTTCAATTGGCAAAGGGGTGACATTTTATAAAATAAATGTTATCTTTGATATTCCCAATACAGATTTTAAGAACACCTTGCTTCATTAAATTCACAAGAGAATCTGGTGTTAGAAAATCTGTGATAATGTGTAGCCAGATGAAGACACATCACTTTAAAGGAAACTGTTGGTTCAGCTTCTTATTCAACCCAGGCATTACTGTACAACCAGGGCTGACTTATAACATTAACCTCAGGAAGGAAATTGGTTGTTTTTCTAAACTTTGGTCTGCAAATTAAACAGAATTTCAAGCTCTTGTCTCCTGATCCCAAACTGACCAATGGTCAAGGGGACACAGTACCACATCCTAAAAAAATGTCACAAGAAGCTCTGTAATGTGTTTACTCGGGAAAGCACTGCTCAGATGAAGCATCTGTTTCTTAATGAGGTCATGTTTTTATTTTACCTAATTTTCCAGCTGGGATTATGGAGGTGCACGGTCTTGCCAGGGGTTGAAAAGTGAGTCAACTGCTCACATGGAATCAGAATCTAGAATCCTTGAAGAAGGGAACCATGAGCTCCAGTCATTGGATCATGCATGCTTATTCAAACACGAATCTTTACATAGATGTGATAAAACTCTTATAACTCCCATTTGAAAGCATTAAACATGAATGGTAAATGTGGTATCAATTATGTAATTTGGAAGGAAGAAACTCTAACTTTTTCACCTTATAACTAGCTGTGTCAATATCCTTTTGAATCCATTTCAGAATTATAGCCTTTAAAGTAAAAACTGTCTAAAAAAACATTCTAGAAGCATATAAACATCTTGAGCTCTGGAGCCAGATGGATTGGGTTTTAATCTCACTTTAGCAGTATATTAGTTGTTGACCTTAGACGGGTTTAGAAAGTACCCTGTGTGTTAGCTTCATTCTCTCTCTTGGGTGACCCACTAATGGTACTTACCTCATGGCATTTTGTAAGAATTAAATGATATAAAACATGCAAAGTGATTAGAATATGTGCTTGACATATATCAAAGGACCAGTGATTGTTAGCTAACTTTATTGTCCTCATTGATATTCTGGGATTGTTATATACTTTTACTTATGAGTATTCTAGTAATCAGTGATATATATATATATATATCACACATATATCCATATATATATATCACACATATATATATATATGGAGAGAGAGAGAGAGAGAGAGAGAGTCTTGCTGTATCACCCAGGCTGGTGTGCAGTCATGCTATCAAAGCCCACTGAAGCCTCCATCTCTTGGGTTCAAATGATCCTCATACCTTCTGACTAGCTGGGACTACAGGTGCACACCACCACCCTTGGCTAATTTATTTATTTATTACTTATTTATTTATTTTTTTACTTTTTGTAGAGACAGGGTCTCACTATGATGCCAGGGCTTGTCTCAAACTGTTGGGATTACAAGCATGAGCCACCACACCAGCCAACAAGCTTTGATATTACTAGACACTCTTTATGTGGGAGGGAAGAGGAAACTTCCTAAACATAAAAGAAAAAAAATCACTCAGCAAGTGTGTGTTAGAGTTACTTTTTATGCCACCTTCAATTTGCTGGTTTCCACACATGTGCTAGATAATCTATAGGTTTCTCCCTAGAGAAACATGAATTGGGATTAAGTTTTTAAAAACTGACAATAGACACAAAATCTCTCAATATTCCTCAACATATAGCAAAAACTTATTCCCACATTTTATTTGGGGGCCAAGAAAGACATAGTGTGGCTTTCCTCCAAACTGCTTGTTGATTAAAGCAATGGGTTTGCGGGAAAATATCAAGTTTAATCCTAGTTTCCTTCGAACTTTACATCTTACAACAAGCCTGGACATCTGATTCTGTGTATTTGGATTTGGTCTGTGGTGTTTCAAGAACCTCTGCAGCTTTTCAAAATATGGCCGTGTTTAATCTAATCATCTACAGAAGCAGAGTCACACACAGATCAGCACAACCAGGGAACACCTTTTAACCACACCAAAACACAGGCGGCTTTGCTGTTGTGTCTCAACCACTTCCTAAGTCTCAGCTGAATATTTGGTCTTGACTTGTTAAGTTGCCTGAGTTTAGCTTAGGAAGCACACTGGAGTCTTTCACAGTAGAGAGATTCACTTAGTGCATTTTATAATTAACCACTATAAAGCAAAGCTTCGGCATGTTTGCAAATTATGGATTTCATTTGTCTAAATAAAATCAGATTGTTCCTCCTAGTGTATTAGAAGCTGGCCCAACATCAATAAAATTATTGTTTTTAAGGACCATATGTGCAGCAGGTGAAATCTTTATTATTACAAGTCAATAATAAAAGTTTGACAAGTTAAAATATAAACTCAAAATGTAAACTTACACTAACTTGAAAACTTTCTGCAGTTCACATTTGGATTGTAAAGTGGCTGTAAACACATTCCTGCCTCCACTCGAGGAACATGGATGGGGACTGTGTTTTTGATAGTTTGAAGTGACTTTCTGAAATGTCTTAACAATTTAGCCAACATTTACATGCATATAACACAAGAAGGAAAGCACTTTTTGACTGCCTATCCAGAATCAATGTCAATCAATATCCATCTTCCAGAAGTCTGTATTGGCATCAGTTGATTAGTTACCTTCAAAATCTAGCAGCTTTTTTGAAAGAATTAGCAGAAAAAAAGAAGTGTTCTAGTTTCAAATGGTATATGAAAAGAGTAAGTTTTCATAATTGTTCATTTTTAACCTGTGTCATTTTGACTTCAAATAATTTAATGCCGTGGGTAGAAATGGTGTCAGATAGAGACTACAGCTCTGCCTCTATTTACCTTATGAGTTAATTATCAAGGTAAGATTTTTTTTTAGGTGGGGGGCTCACTCTGTCACCCAGGCTGGAGTGCAGTGGTGTAATCATAGCTCATTTTATCCTCTGTCTCCTGGGCTCAAGCAGTCCTCCCACCTCAGCCTTCTGAGTAGCTGGGACTACAGGCATGCACCACCATGCCCAGCTATTTTTTCTTTTTAATTTTTTGTAGAGACAGGGTCTCCCTATGTTGCCCAGGCTGTTAATGAACTAAAAAGAAAATTTTGATTCAGTTTATTCATGCACAAAATAGATATGACTTTCTATTTTAAACCACTGTGAAGAGAAAGAGGAAACAGTTGTGCGTTTCCACGAGAACCTGTAAGTAGGTTAATGGAAGAGTTATTCTTGCTCAAATATATCCTTTTACTGCTTATAGAAGAAATAAAGTAGAAAAATTATGGGAACAGCCTGGGAATCTCTCCTAGCTTGTGTTTTGAGCACAGTAACACATTCACACTGTTTGCATAAAGGAAATTACACATTTTGGAATGAGGCTAGAGTAAATTTAAAACACTGGAAAACTGAGCATTCAAAACGTCATTTTCATCGCCATACTTTGACCATATACACATCTTCCAAATCTAGAAAGTCACAAATGTCTAGTAAAAAGGAAGGGGGATGGTGAAACCCCATCTCTACTAAAAATACAAAAATCAGCCAGGTGTGGTGGTTGGTGCCTGTAATCCCAGCTGCTTGGGGGGCTGAGGCAGGAGAATCTCTTGAACCTGGGAGGCAGAGGTTGCAGTGAGCTGAGCCTGCGCCATTGCACTCCAGCCTGGGCAACAAGAGTGACCCTCCATCTCAAAAAAAAAAAAAAAAAAAAAAAAAAAAAAAAAAAAAAAAAAAATTAGGAAGAGAGAAGATTGCAGGAATTGAGAATTAGAATCGAGAGCATGGTTAGCTCAGACTGAGAGCTTCACACAGCAATCCAAAAAATACAGCACGGGAAACAAACCAGCAAGCTGCATTATCCAAGATCACACTGGCTGGAGGGGCAAGACTCTGTAATAATACACAGATGATCAGGAAATCTTTTGTCAGGCTATCTTTCCTAAACGTTGAAGGCTTATTTTTTATAACACATGTTCATAATATTTAGGCAAAAAGTGAAATTAAAGAATAATAAAGAGATTAGAAAATAAACTGAATGAGAACCAGATTCTTTTATGAAAGCAGAATTGAATCCATATTCCCCCACTTCCAGACCTTAAATAGCTCAGATTAGTTCATATGTAATACAAAAGGGAAGTTAAATAGAGAGTGTTTGATTGGGCAATGAATTACAGGGACTTCTAAAGAAATAAACAAAGATGATCCAACCAAAAATTTAAGTGCACAGAAGGGCATAATCATATATCAAAGATTTAGGTTTTAGTTTTCATACAGAAGCCCACCTTTCTCCTACGTTGTTTCCTTGTATAACTATGTCTAATATTCTTGTACTATTGAGAAAAGTTCTTACTGTGTGTGTACACACACATGTATATATTTAGTTTTAATATAACGTTTGTGCTTATCAGCATCTGGCTTCCTGCCTCTCAGACTGCTGCATCAGCCTTGTAACCCAAGATTGCCTTAGGAATTCAGGAGAGCTGGGAAAGGTGACCCTGCAGGGCTCTTCAATCCTCCCTAGTTAACTTGAGGTCAAAGCATCCCTGAAGAAGCTGCACTTATTGCCACAGTGTTTGTCTTACAGGGAAATCTCCCAGATGCAGTCAATGTGTGAAAACCAATCACTAGAAAGGAAAGAAACTGCCCTTCCTTTAAGGAATGTGGAATCTTTCCTTTTGAAGATCAAGATTTGGAGCCCATAATCCTGTGGATGGATGACGCCAACATTCAGCTCTGCTGCTTATTCCCCATAATTTCTCCGCTTGACCTGTGACGAATCAGCTTCTGCCTTTCCAGGGACTTAGAACCTTTCTTATGGGACTCCTCTCACTCTGAATGATGGTGATTAATTACCAGTGTACTTTAAAAGTCTCCTCTATTTAATTACATCCTCCTGAGTATTTGGACTAATTCCTCTTAGTTTCCGGTGCAGATCGGAATGTTGCCTTGAGCAAGTCTCATGTTTCTTTCTCCCGCTTACGCAGTCAAGCACATACATAGATACGTAATAAATATTGATTAAGGTTCTGTATTAGGCTGTGTTTTTATCAGTAAGGATTAATAGGCATAAATGAGAGACATGATCCCTACCCTGGAGCCTAAATGGCATGTGTTATAAAGACGCTTTCAGGCTGACCAGTTCTTCTAGTGCAGCTGAGAAGACAGCCATGCCTCCTCATTAGCCCACTTTATAGGGAAGAAATGGAGACTCAAAGTATCTAAATCACTTGTCTGAGATAAAACAGAGAACCCAGAGACAGAGCTGGGACTCCACTCAGATCTTTGACTACTGAAGCCAAAGACGCCTAATCAATAAAACACTGAATTATTCTCAGTGATGCTATTGGATAATTATTTACGTTTAGGTTTTATATTTGTGTTTTTCTGCTTAGGAGGTAAGAAACGTGTCAGGAACATTAATGCCATACTTAAGAACTGACATTTAACTACTGAATTCTGTTTTACTGCGGCAATATTGTGAATTATGCAATTACACTGTACCTTGGATTAGAAGTTATTTAACTCCCCAAAGAAAACATAGCAGTTAGAAATGGATGCTTTGTGAAAATATTCTCTGCCTATTAGGAATGTAAAAAAGTAGTTTTAATTCCCATTTAAAAGTTATAATTTTAACCTTAAAAATCAAAATCTGTTTAAATCAAAATCTTTTTTGCTATAGATGGCAAAAGGTACCATAATTATCAAACCATGCTTTGCTCCCAAAAATGTGATGCTGAGTTGATACATACATTTCAAAAGCAAATGAACTATTTAGCTAAAAAGCAAAACATAAGTACATGTGGATATAAATAACATCTACTATCTAAACTCTACCCAATATATTCCCCAAAATAATTCCCTGAAATAGGCACTATTATCCCTATGTTTCAGATATGAAAACTGGAGCTCAGAGAGTTTAAATAATTAGACCAGTGTGACATAGGTATAAAGTAATTTAGCAAAAATTGGGCTCATTTAGGACTAGATGTTGGAATTAGACAGAAAAAAGTTAGACACAAAAAATTGTGTCTAATTCCAACATCTAGTCCTAAATGTACTAAGCCAATTTCTCATACACCTAGTAATCTAGGTCAATAATTAGGAAGCACATATTCTTTATTTTGGAAATATTTTTTAGCAATCAACTCAGTCCTCTATTTATAGATGTAGGATTTAGATGTGTTTCTTACAACAAACAAATTAGGTAAGTGACATTTTAAAGCAAACCCTGTTGAGTGTCAGGCTTGGCTTCCTTTCCTTGCTATTAAGAACAAGACAGAAATATTTACCATAAGCCATTGATGACCTTTGACAGGAGCCTACAATTATCACTGACAATGAAATAAAACATGTTAAATTTCTGTGCAAACTGATTAGCCCTGGATGAGCCAGTACTGTCTCCAGTAACTTCTAAGAAGGACATCTCTGCATACCAAAGTTGCCTGTGACAAATTTCATCCAGGGGTCATTTACGGATGCTTAAAAAGATAGTAAGAAGGCAGTAGCAGTAGCAAATTTCTCTTGAACTTTTAAATGACACTGTCAGAAGAAAACATCCACCGTGTTGCTGACTTTGCCTTCCCTGTCGCTCGTATTAGTTAACCTTAAAAGTGCAGATATAAACAAATTTAATTCCCAGTGGTACATCTGAACCAGGAGAAATCTGGAATTAATTGCTAAGTATTTTGGTTCCTGTTGCAGCTGTTACAAGTGTTTGATTTGGTGAGGGAAAAGAAAAGGCGCTGCATACCGATTTCGTGAGCCACAGTGAAGGCTGCGTGGAGGCCATCGTCTTCAATCACAGCACAGCTGCGCTCTGGAGAACATATGGTCCCAACGTCTGCCATTCCCAGGGTGTCACATGAATGATGCCCACATAAATCCTGCCCAGGAGAAAGAAAGAAATCATTAAAATCAATTTACATCCAGAAGGAGCCGCCACATAGAGCCACTTGCTTACCCCAAATGGCAACAGGGATATGTTTATGGTATCACCTGTTCCTCTCTGGAAACGTTCCAAAGGCAAACTCAAGGCAGAGACTCTTCTGAACTGCTCTGGGGCCCAGAAACACAGAAGGATAATGGAACTCAATTACATTTAAAAAGATGTCTTAGGATTGTAACTTGTCTATTACAATAGCACCCGCAGCTTTAACAAAGCCGTAATGCAGATACGTCTCTGATCACCTTCCCATATGGTCATGCTTAGGAAAGTCCTAAAATTCTGATGGAAATTCATGCTAAATTTATCAAAATCTGGCCTTATAATTTGTTTTCTATTACAGGGGCAAACTGCAGCCAGACGTCTGCAGCAGAGTATAAATTTATTAGAAATTTGGATAGAAAACTAAATTTTAATTCATAATTTGAGGAAAGGTCATCTTTTACTCCCCAAATGAGCTGTAATTTCATAGGTTGTGTCTTCTGAAATCTGTACCTTCTTACTCATAACATTTAATGTAGCATTTCTCAACCTGACCAATCTGCAGAAAATATATGTCATATATTAATTGTGTATACATGAATATATGCATTTTTCTGGTAAAAAGTCATAGTTTTTCATAGATGTCATGTAATCTTTTAAGAGATTCTCAAATAGGAACATGATTCCACCCCAATAATGGTGAAAAATGATCAATTTAGATGAAAGGGACCTCAACAAGCCTCTTGAGATATGAAACATAAAGAGAAAATATAAGCCGCAACTTTTTGACATGACAGATTCATAATGATAAACTTTCCCTTTAAATGCTATTTGAGTATTAATGGACATTAGCATTTCTTGTGCTTGACCACAATTTTCCATGAAAATTTACTAACAATGTGCTCATTTATATTCCCAAAGAGCAAGATCGTGTTTCTAGTAAGCCATAAGTTAGGAACTCTAAAAGGAAAAGTTTTAAAAATATACTAATTATTGTAAAGACAACTGTTTATTGGTTAAAATAATAAATGTTTCTATTATACAACAATCATTTTTGTATGCCCAACTTCCATATTCTCCAGCTTATATAGTAGGAACTCAGCAAACATTTGTTTCATTGAGTTGTGACCTACAGTCAGATACATTATAGTGCTCCCACATCTTTAATATGCTGTATGCCAGCAGGACCTCAGCAGGCTCCAGACAACCAGTACAAGGCAGTGTGACTACATAACCAGTGCTACATACTCAATGGCAACATACTCTTCTAACCCTTTGCTATTTTGCTGCATAAAAATCCTACCAAGGTGAAGAGTATTTAGAAACTCAGCTGTATTCTCTTCTCTTAACTTCATTCTCAGGTCCTTATTGTGTTCTGTTTATTATGAGTTCCCAGCTGAGATAAGTTACAGTGTGGCCACCAAGTTACTGTAGCTTTAGACACTGGAAATCTCAGCCAAGTAGCCTTGGTTAATCATGTCACAAAACCAACAGCCTTCCAAAGTTTCCTGTATATCCTCCCATGTCATCCCATGGGATGCCAAATTACAGCTGTTGAGTACAAATCAGTAGTTTTTCAAATTGAAATTGGAACACACTTTTGCATAATAATCAGTCTTTGAGATAATAATGTAGCACAATACATTTTTAAGCCCCTCCCCCACAATCATTTCACTATCTCTAGGACCAAAAACCTAGGTCATGCCTTAAGGGAGCTGCTAGACACTCTAGGTTATATCTGCACACATTTTTTTTAAAACAAGATTTATGTTTATATCACAATTTGGGGTATTTATCTTTAAATAATAAAATCCAAGAATTACATTTTCCCTTCTTACTCTATAAATAAGCTAAGATGAAGAGCCACAGCAAAGGGAAATGACCCTCCTCTTCTCGATAGAGATTAAACTAGATTCTTAATATCTCTCTGTTTACTGCTAATCAATTGCTCATTAGAGGCCATCAACCCTCCTTGTCATCCTTGAATTGGATTAAATGCATTTGGCCTTTTGCCACGGAAATGTGACAAAATTATGAACAGAAGCACTTGTTATTTTTTTAACCACACTGATTAAACTCCTTGACTACTCAGCCACACTATATATTTCTGTAGCTATAATTATGTAAACTGGCAACCTTTCCATTTCACTCACACAATTTCAAATCTTGGCAAACAGTTACAGTTTCAGCCTCAAGGCTTATAATGAACATCTGAATTTCTTTGTGAACAATGTTCATTTCAATGAATTAAAACTAATGTGCGTCAAATTGTTAAGAATACAGCATCTCGCATTCATGTCTACTTTCTGTTGATGATTTCTAACAACATTTATAGGTGTAAACCTTATTTGAAGTTTATAGAATACTTTCTTAAATTCTTAAATTCTGAGCAGGAGTAAAGATATTATTGGGGCAATAGTATATGTGTATATGTGTATACATATATACACATTTGCTATTATATATGTGTATGTATACACACACATATATGTGATACACGGATATGTGTGTGTGTCTATAGATAGATGGATAGATGATAGATAGATAGATAGATAGATAGATAGATATAATCTAGACCTGGAAGCAGGAGATACTGGAGAGATGTGAATCACATACAATACCATGTAAGAGGTAAACGAATTAAAAGTTCTGACAAAAGCTTATCTGCTTGTTCAGTGTAGATCTGAAGGTAAGTGATTATCTTTGTCATATCAAATAAGGCTTGTTTTATGCAAGATCAATATCTTATCACTACTGTGTGGACAGTAATGCAGTGGAAGATTTAGTAAAATATGAAGGTTGCAAAGGTTGCAGAGATTTATCTAGTGGTTTTGTGGTATGGTGTTGGCCAGGATACAAGACTGAGACATTGTATCTAACTCAGAAGTGTATTCATGGTGGTCTGCACCACCAGCAGAGATTCGATAGGAAGGTCATTGACACTGTGACCATTCACCAGGTATGACCTTTTAGGAGACTATAAATATGGCCAAGCTTGTGATTTATCACAGAATTTTGAAGCCGTAATAATACCCAAGATCTACTGGGCACTTCTTGGGGATGGGATGGGGGACAGGGAGCCAGTAAAGGATGCTGCCTTGAGAAGCAGATGCTCAGAAGATAGTGTGAACTTTGAAAATCCCAGTGGGCAGTACTGGGTGGTGAAAATGAACCAGTCAGACCCAAATGTCCTAAGGTGGACAAATCACAGGAATCATAGGATTTCTTGTCTTGACTGAGAGATTGTTTTCACATGCAGTGCAAATACGCTGAGGGAGGGAGCCAGAGGCAACACAAATGCTGACACAGGTAGATACCATCACAGCTGCAGCCACAGCAGCTGAAATTAAGGAAGAACACCTTATATCAGAGTTAAATAATAGCAACTTCTGTTTCTATAGATCTTACCCCTTGGTAAGGGCAAGCATGGAGCTCAAGGGAAGAGCACATACACACACACACACAAACGCATGCATATTTGTTCTGTGGATCTGATTCTTGATTCTTGAGGAGTCCTTTGCCTTTCTGGCTACCTATCCAGCAGTCCCCAATAATAGGGGTTTTAATTTTAGATTTCAGCAGAGACTACATTAATTGGAACTGTTATGCCAACCTTTACGATGACCCATTTTATACAATCTCTATCCTTGTCTCTTGATACACCTAAGGGATACCAAACACACAGAGCCCAGATGGATTAGGGTCCCAGAGATCCAGACGTGTTTATTCCTAAAACAATTATTGTGTGCCTACAATCTGCCAGACACTGTGGAAGTGCTGACACTGTGGTAAATAGATGAAATAAGATCTGATCCTGAGCTTTAGGGAACATCAGGCTCTAAGGAGCAAAACAGATATGTCAAGAACAAAGCAAACTGTGACTTCCATTATGAACAGATTGTTCAGGGAGAACAGAAGAGGCATTGATGAATTCTCCTTGAGGGAATCCATAAAGGTGTCTCCACGGAAGTGAGTGGATCTGATAGCCTGGGAGGAAGGATACTCTGGCAAGGAAGGACTAGTGGAAACATAATGGAATGGGAAAAGGCAGAGTCTTTTGGGAATGACAAGAAGTTTGTTTTGGCTGGAACACAGGATCTGTTGAGCAGAGGGCTAGCAGGGAAGCTGGAAAGAGAGTCTGGGCCCAGAGTTCCAAGTCAGGAAGCTTTCTCTGACAAATGTGAGGTAAGAAGGGGAAGAAGAGATGGAGCAAGTTGGAGACAGGGAGCAGGGGAGTAGATGCTTGACGGAGTCATTCTGGTAAAGAGAAATGGAAGCTGGTTAGAGAGTGAATGGAAGGTAGATTGCTTTTTAATTCAATGCTGTTAGTGAGAAGCACTGTGTAAATCATTTACATGCTTTGAGACAAAGTTCCCTCATCATTAACATCAGGAGTTTGGTCCAGGTCATCTCTAGGGTTTGTTCCAGCTACACATGTCCTGATATTAACTAAAAGCATTCCAATTTATAAAGAAATTAAAGCTCAGGGGCATTAAATGCTCCAAATCTCAAGTTTGTCCATACTGAAGCTGAAATTCAAACCTGTATCTAAACACTCAGAATCCTGAACTTACTTCACCATGGTTTTGTTAAGTCATCACATACGTTATTCTTGACATTAATCTTATCTTTTGTATTCATAATCTACACTTGATTAAGCAAATTTCTTTCTTGCAGCAAATAAAGAATATCCTGGTTTTCTCTCTATGCTGTGTTGGAAAAACTAGATAATTTAGAGGTATACTAAATATATGAAATACACTGTGAAAGATATTCCAGAAAACAAGAAAATGGAAGCACTGGATAAGAAAACTGGTGACATCATTAACTCGCCTCCTTCTCTCACCTGTCACATCTAATTAGCCACTGTAAGTCACTGTAGTTGTCCTCTATTTCTCATTTTTTTCTACTATTATTTCCTGCCTGAATTATAACCCGAGACTTCTAACTGGTCCCTTTTCCTCCTGTAACTTCCTTATCTATATGCTCAAGTCAGTCACCTTCTTAGAGCACAGATCTTATTAGATTCCTCCAGTCCTTCATGTCAGCCTTAGCCTGGCATTCAAAACCTGGCACACTACAGCCTCAGTCTTTCTGTCTGCCTCCACTGTACCTTCCTGCTCCATTCTGTCCACTATTTTGTGCATATCTCATGAATATTTTGGCCTCTGAAGCTCAGCCCAAGACATTCCTTCTGCTACAAAGAATTTTTACTCACATCCACCTCTTCCTAACATTTCTTGACCCAATCTATGCCTCTCAATTCCTAATGCCACTGCTTTAGTTTAGACCACCTTGAGCCTCCTCTTGAAGATTTCTGAAACAGCCTGCTCACCCAGGATCCAGTCCACTACTTAGACCAGAAGGTTCATTTCAGAACACACCTCTGATCATTGCTGTCTTCCTACTAATGTTCTTTTCAATGATTGCCATTGCACTTAATTTACAATTAAAACTTGTCAGCATGGTGGAGTAGACTGAATTGTGTCCTCTCCAAACTCATCTATTTGGAGATAGGGCCTACAAGGAGGTAAATGAGGTTAAATGAGGTCATGAGGACAGGACTCTAATCAGATAGGGTTAGTGTCCTTAGAAGAAGTGATACCCAAGAGTGTTCACTCTGTTTCTACTTGCAGGCAGTGGGAAGGCTTTGTGAGTACACAGTGAGAGGGTGGCCATTTATAGGACAGGAAGAGAGCCCTCACTAGAAATCAAATTGGCTGGAGCCTTGGTCTTGGACTTTCTGGACTCCAGAACTGTGAGAAGACATACTTCGGTGGTTAAATCCACCCATTGTACAATATTCTGTTACGGTGGCCTGAGCAGACTAGCAGACATAGTGTATAGTTTTGTTTTTCCATAGTTGGGTTGTTATTATCTTCTCCAAACTAATCTATTACCATTTCCCATTGAACATGATGGTTTGCTGATGTCTGCAATGCCTATCTCCTCCTTACGTATCTGGCTAACTCCCACTCTTTCTTCAAAATTGAACTCAGATGGAGTGAGCAATCTTCTAATGCACTTCCATAATACCTTACAAATACATCTACTGTAAGAGCCATCATGCTGTGCAGCAATGACCATTTCCCTGTCTGTTTCCAGGAATAGATTCTTAAGAAAGGGGCTACTTTTTAAATCTCTGAATCCCTCCTTGCCTACGAGGAGCATATTAAAGGTTTGAATAAATTAGTGATAATGCTTTTAGTTTAGAGAGCACTAGACAGGACTGTCTTCTCTGTCTGCCATTTGTTAGCTGTTAGTCTAAGAAGTTTATCTTTGTTTCTCTTCACATGAATTCTGTCAAGATAATTACACAATGGTTACAGATTGTTGAAATGATTAATTGTAAAATAGTTTGTGGCCATGGATAGTACATAAGAAATGCTCAATAGCAGCTGGCTGAATCTAAATCCAATCTATCCATCCTTTGAGGACCAATTCAATTCTACATTTGCAATGAGACCTACAGAAAGGTCCATAGGCAGAATTAACTGTTACCTTCCTTTTCCTTTCACAGACTTTGTTTATATCTCAGTATGGGATTTATCAGAGTTTTCCTAACAGTAGTGTGATTTCCACGTGTATCTGTTTCCACTCTGCTGGGGATACGCCTAGTGGGCAGGGAGCAGGTATTTCTACCTCGCTGCCTTAAACTGCCTACATGAGTCTCACACATAGGAGGTGCATGTAGGCAGATACTGCACAGATTTTAGATTTTTCATAATATCCCTCACAGTTTATTGTAAAAATGTTAATTAGAGCTGCTTAGTCTGCTACCAGTCTCCCCACTTCTGAGTTATTTATCCTTTTATTGATTAGGATTGACCTATAGGCTCTGATTCCTTGACAAGGGTTCACTTTTGACTTTAAATGAGATTTCAGCTCAAATATGTGACTGAATTAGTCCAGGCAGCAAGCCAATAAGAAAAAGCCCATCCCTCTCCCTCTTCCAAACTTCTGGTCTTCCTCTACTGCCCCCTGTTGTCAGAATCAAGCCAGGAGCCACGTGGTAAAGGAGAAATGCCGTGTGGGGAGACCCGGTCCCAGCAATCTAAGGCAGAATGTACAGAGTTTTAGCTGAGACAGTGATCTATCAACTGGCATATTGATAGTTAATGAAAGGGAATTATCTTTTTATATTGCACAATCTCTTAGTTGGTTCGATTTTAATTCAGTGTTTCAATCTATGAAAGAGTAAGGTTTTTGCTGCTTTCATGAAGGGGTGGAGGGATATTAAACAATTTCCTATTTTGTTATCAAGCAGGTAGGCTTTTGTTTCTAAAGAGCAAATGGTCTAAAAAAAAACGACTGTAAGAGTTTGTCTTTGAAGAAATTATCTTGAAATAAAAGAGGACGTCCAGAACAAGGAAAGGATTCTGGAAAGCAAAGCTAAATCCTGGGGAGATTGGATTTCTACTGTTTGATGGCAGAAGTGGTGTGAATTCCAGCATTAGTGCCATTTCAGAATGAAAACAGCTTTTATGCCAGGAAATTGACTGGTGCTAACTCTCTCTAATTAGAATAGTACTGGAGTGCTGGGTACAGTCCTGACAGTGAAGTGTGATCGTTTGATAAATGAGTTACTAGCTCTATTCTGCTGACTTCCAGATGCAACTTTCAAGGTGGCCTCAGCTAGTAAACAGAGGTAGAAAACATATCCTCGTACATTCGCTTCATGCCTAAAAAACAAGCAATTTAGGAGAAGACATCTGGACCTAAATTTGAGCAGGACTCAGAGCCCATCAAAACATGGATTTCATAGCTTGGCGTCTGGCTGCTAAGCAACGCACTTCTTACATTCAAAACAGAGTTGTAAAAGTAGAATCTTGGTGCCAACTCTGGGTATTTCTCATTGAAAAGGAAATAGCTCTGAAAGCTTTTCTTTGGGCCTTAAGATAATCTGATTTTCATGAGATGGAAGACCTCAGATCATCTCTCCTCCAGACTTCTTTTTTTTTTTCATGCTCTGAAGTATTAGGCAAAGTTCACTTTGCATTGTGAAATACTCTCAAATGAATGCTGCATAAATGCCTTGAAATTTTTTTCAACCCCCTAATTAGTAACACTCTTTTAAATTGGGCGCATCTATTGAAAATACACATGCATTTCAAATATTTGCTTCTTGTGAAGTTAGATGTGTATACTACAGGGCCAACCACAAATGAAATTTGTTTTCCTAAAAGTATGCTTCTGCTTGGCAAGGAGACCAGAGAGGGCCCATGTGAAATATTTTCCATGTGTAGACTAGTTTGAAAAATGCATGTCCTTATAATACTGACAAAAATTAAGATGGACCATTAATTTATTTGTCCCTTGCTTTGTATCTATTTAAAATATGCTGTTAAGTTTCAGACTTTGGAAAAATAGGGACAGTTAACTATCCAAACAAAAAACAAATTCGGAAAAAGTAATCGACAAATCATTGAGAATCACTGAGTAGTTTCCTGTTTTCTGGGAAACAATTAGGAATGTTATGGGGCAGGAGGTAGGAAGTAACAGACCTTCTATTAATTTTTATTTATTTTAAAATTATGAAATGTGGATTTGTGTTTAAAAATGAAAGTGAACTACTAAAATGACCCACTCCTTGGCGCAGTATGCTTACAAAAGTATTTCTTCCTCTTCCTTTAGAGAACCTCCTTCCATAAACTCTCCAAAGCCTCCTTCTTGGCATCCTCTTGTGATGTAGCAGAGCAAGGAACCCCAGACACGGAAAGTTGCTTACCAAAAAAAAAAAAAAAAAAAAAAAAAAAAAAAAAAAAAAAAAAAAAAGAGCTTGGAAACCTAACAAGAAATGGATAGTTTTACAGAACTTCATTTTGCAGAGAAGGCTACAAATGAATGTTCTACCGCTTCAAAGACTAATGTTGTGCAGAGGAATTAAAGGATGGCTTCCAGAAAATCACTTAATGAGGAAAAAAATGTTTTCCATTGTGCACAGCACTGCGCGCTGCTTGGCTCTCCCTAAACTGCCGCCCTCCAGCATCTTTGTTTACATGTGGTTTACATTAATGTCCACCCTATGAACCACAAGTGTTTCTCTACTCCAAATTTATCAACACTTTTCCTTCATACCAGGGGTGCCTTAGTAAAAATAGAAGAATTAGGTAGCGAAGCTGTGTGATTCTAAAGTCTGCAATCCATCATTTAATTTCCTATCCTTGTTCTGTTTGCTTCATTTCATACCATGATTTTACATAATACTTCAAAGTTTGTAATCCTTAATCTATTCTGGATGGGTCTCAAATACTTAAAGAATGAGCTTTAGAAGTCAATTCTTACCAGGCATTTAAGAGGCACAACTTAAAACTGCCAATCAGAGTCGAGTTGTGACAACTGAGGCTTAGAACTATGCGCAAGCCAGGCCCCAAACCAACCCAGACTTTTTGTGTAAATGTCACACTAACGTAGTGGTCAAATACTGTGTAAATAGATACTGCGTTCCTCCCTGAGCCTCTGAGCCTTAAAGATCCATTTCTTTGCTTCCCCATAACCATCTTTCTTAAAAGGGGGAAATGCTGGGAAAACATTTCTTCCTTCTGTCTTGACTCTTCGCCCAGATCTTCTGCACTGGGGCTTCGGAAACATATTCATCCAAAACCCAAACACGCAAACGGGATGTGACCCTCCCTAGGCGGCGGAGTTGGCCTGGGCAGTGCTTGCGACGCACTGGTCGACTAAGCAAAGGAGTTGTTAAGGAACCTCACAAGTTTGTCCTCTCATCTGATTGGGTCTCTGTACCCTGCTGGCCCGCCCACATTCCTTCCTTCCCAGGAACTGAGATTCCAAGGTGGACATGTAAGAACTCCATTAGGAATCCAACCTGGAAAAAGAGTCCTTGAGAAAGTTTTCTCATCCTCTGTGTAACAGAAGGGATTCTAGTAAAAAGGTGTGGACACTTACAAAAGAAGGTCATCGGATAACAGTGAGTACCGTGAGTGAACCATCCAGCCCTTTCCATTAGGTGGGACAAGGTTATATTTTATTTTCACTGGAAAGAAGAAGACCCATGATCCCAAAGGCAACTTTGTTTTCCTTCCTTTTCCCCATTTAACTGTATCATTTCCCCAAGCATCCTTGTGCCTTCTTATGTTTACGTTCCTATGCCACAACACCTCAGACTAGATGACATGCAGCACTACTGGGTCTTCATCATCACCTAAGCAAGTCTTGGCATTTAAGGCAAAAATTTCTGCGGGGCTAACGTGAATACAGGAGCAGAGTTGAAGGCTGGTTGGATTTCCTGCAAGAAGCAGTTAAACACATCCACAGCTGCAGGAGGTTTGAGGGAGAAGCAAAGCCACCAGCAAGATTCCCTTCTACCTACCTCCTGATATCAGCGCTGGGACCCCCGCATCCCGGCTGGACCTACCTCCCGAGTAAACAGGATAGCTGCATCGTAGTGCTCCTCATGGTCATCTCCCAGCTGGTTGTGTTGGTGCTGCCACTTGCAAAAGTTCTTGAGTGTGGTGGCAGCGTTCTTGCTCACTTCCAGGCTCTTGTCCTTGTCGCCTAGCACCACCACCTTCACCACGGCCAGGCGGATGTGGTTCTCGATGCTAGCATGGCTGTACAGCCTATTGGCGATGGAGGCCAGGGTCAGCAGGTAATGCTGCAGGCCCCGGCCATACAACCGCGCCATGGACGCGTCAGCCACCAGAAGCAGCTCCACCTGGCGGGCCCGGGAGATGGAGCGGCGCCGCCGCCGCCACCACGTCTGCGGTCCTGAGCCCCCAGCGGGCGAGAGAGCGGACTGGTCCAAGAGCTGCGAGGCCAGTGCTGCGCGTCCGCTCGGGTTGCTGTGCGCCGGAGCATGCTCGTGGGCCTCCGGTGTGGACGCGGGGGTTTCGCAGCTGGCGCGCGGCGGCAGGGCCTCGAAGCTGAAGCCCTCGCGGGTGTAGACGTGCAGGATCCGTGCGGACCCATCCCCGTACACGCGCCCCTTTTCTTCCTCCGCCCAGGGTCCGCGCAGCAGTGGCTTTAGGGTGTAGCGCGCGTGCTTGACCGCGAAGAAGCCGTCGAGACCCCCACAGAGGTCAAAGACAGCCAGAGAGCGGGGACTACCGTCCACTGTGCCCCGATAGAAGCAGTGGCTCCGGTGGCGCCAGGGCGCACTCGTCCCGCCTCCTGCGGGCACGAAGCCAGCAATGCCCACCGAACCATCTCGCTCCAGGTCCAAGAGGAACCTCCGGCCGCCCGCGTAGACGAGGTAGCCCACCTTGCCGCCGCCGGAGTAGAGTTGGTCGATGTTCTGCACCAGCCCCTTGCTCCTGCGCCGCTGCGCCAGGGGGTGCGGGTGGCCGGGAGGCTCGGCTCGCTCCTGCACCTCCTCCCCCTGCCGCCGGCGGGGCTGGGCGGCTGCTGCAGCAGTCGGAGGCTGCCCGGCTTTATCCTGGGCAGGTGTCGCGGCGGGGCCGACCGCGGCCAGGGGCAGGCGGAACGCGCACAGCAGCAGGGACGCCCACCCGAGCAGCATAGTGCGCTGCCCGCGGGGAGGGGCTGCGCGACTGGGACTTTATGGGTATTTGTTATTTGCTATGAAGTTAACGGGGCGGGGGATGGGGACACACACACACTTGCTTGCAGGATTGAGTCAAGTGTCGGAGGGAGGGGGGCCCGGCAGCAGCGCCAGCCTGTCCGGGCTGCGGTGCCAGCGTGCGAACTTTTCTTTGTTGCTTGGGAAAATGTTTGGATTCGTGCTCCAGAAAGAGGTGGGGTGGGGGGGGGGGGAAAGAAAAGATTAAAAAAAAAAAGTCGGATAGTGGAGATTCAGCAAATACGGGAAAAGGAAAAAAACAAAAACCAAAAAACCACCAAATGCAGGCACGATCGCTGTTTCAAGAAAAGTAAGGAAAGGTACCGCGCACCGGGCTGGCAACTGGTGCGCGCAGCCTCCCGCCCCCGCGCTGCGCTGGACAAGCCGGCTGTGGAGGTTCCAAGCTCCGGGGCCCACTTCCTTTCTTATTTTGTGGGTTTCCTTGGCTCTGCTGGGACCAGGAGGAAGGGAAGAAAGAGAGGGGAAAAAGCCGTAAAAATTAAAACAAAAATGCAGGGGGGCAGCCTGAGGCGAGCTGGTGAAGCGGCGTGTCTGTGTCCCTTCGGCTGCGGTCTCCTCCTGCCCGCCGTCATCCCCAGTCGGCAGCTGCGAGCGCCGAGAGCAGCGCGAGCGCTGTGAAGATGCGAGGAGGTGGAACAATGAATTTATAGCGGCATGCCATCCTGCAATGGCAATTTCAACAGTTCGTCACTGCACGCTGCCTCTTAAAGGGAGAGCTTCCCCCACCACTCCCACCCTTCCCAGTCCGCGCCTAATCAGATGGGGGAGGGCAAAAGAGGAGGGTGATCGAGGAAAGGGAGACGAAGTAGGAGGAAGGGACTGGGACCCGGCGAGGTGGTAGGAGGGGAGAGGGGAAAATAAAAAGTAATGGGGCAAGAAAAACAGATTTCCTTGGCCACTTTTAAAGCCACAGCGGCTCCGGGTCTGTCTGATATTTCACAACCAATTGGGGTTGGCTAACCTTGGCTTACCTCATCTCCTGAACGGGTGTTTTGGTTAAAGTTATTGAGACGTTTCAAGTCTCTCCCTGCCTCCTTCTTGCCTGCTTTTCTCGCCCTCGGTGGGAAGTTCCTGCCGCAAGTTTTTCCCCTTTGCACACCCGTGCGCTCTGGCCTCGCAGACCGTGCAACTCCATCCACCAGCCAGAGCTTTTCAGCTTCCCGTGCGTCCCCTAACCACCGCGTTCCCTTCGCTTCCTCCCCTCCGTCCCGGCACCCGGTTTCCTCCCTCCCCATTCTCCAGCCTCTTGATGCTTTGACGCTCGCCGGATTCGGGCTCCGGGTGACTAACTTCTCCCGGCCACCAGCAGAGCGGCTGGACAGCCAGAGAGCCCAGGGCGCTTCCTGGCGCGCTGCGGTACCCCGGGGCGAGAACGCCCGCCGCTTGGGAACTCCGCAGCTTTGTGTGCGAACGGCGGGCTCCCAGCTTTCTCCAGCACGCCTTTCGTCAGGGTCCACAATCTGTCCCTTACTCCCAGCCCACTGGAACTTCCTTTGCTCTAAAAAGGCAGAGCGAGAAAGAGTTAACTCTTAGAGGGAATTCCGCTCATTTTTTTTCCCTGAAAGATTTTAAAATTTTGCGCTCATACTTTTATTTTTTGCTTAAATGATACTTTAATAATAAATTCCTATATCTGTTTTTGTCTCTTCTAAAGCAACCACTTATCGCCATAGGCCTTGACCTACCTTCATTCTCAGAAATTCCTTTTAGAAGAAAAAGAATACTTTTGGCGGAAGGAAGATTGGTGCTTATTAGTACGCGGGTGACATTATCACTGCTACTCGTTTCCTCTGACCTCTTTGTTTCCTCTAATTATCATTCTAAGAAGGGAGAAGGAAAACCCGACGACTTATGGTTAGAAGGTCTACCTTCTACTGTAGGGGTAAGAGCTCCCTCCATGCCCAAATTATTCTTCAGGCTAATTAACTAATGCACCAGTGAAAAATGAATGTGGTGTAATTTGTACATTTCCATCTTTTTCTACGTTTAACTTTGGCTACGCTGGGGATAGCAGGGCGGGTGCCTTAATGGGGCCCCAAGCTGATCGCTTTCTCTGGGAGGGAACCATGAGGGTCCAGAGCTTGATGGAGGTTCTTAGAGTGGCAATAATCCTCTGGAAGGAATTTCAGAATTGCCCGGCAACAATACCCATTGCCGTGTGCCTGGGAACACCCTCTGGAGTCTTGTGAGGGGCAGATGTATCATCTTGTTTTAACTTATAAATAAAGAAATCACTGGGGCCTTAGGGACACCCAACAGCCCCTGATAGATTCTGAAATACATCAGGACCAGGGAGGAAGTTACTATTGCTGAAGGCCATTGCTTTATAATTCCACAATGCCTCAGCCTCTCAGTGGCCAGTTGACCCAGGCCAATGCTAACAGCTGGATGGGTCAGAATAGGAGGTTCCAGCCATTTTCTCTATCCCACCAAGGCCTTTGAGCCTTGCATTAGCCGTTCTCTTTTGTGGTCCTTGCTTTGCACCTACAAATAGCAAACTTTTATCTTTTTAACCAGTTACAGTGAAAAGGAGTCCAATATTTGGCACTAAACACCATTTCTAATACAACCTTGATTCAATAAATTTAACAATTTTGTCATTGTTCATGCCAAAGAATCATTTTAATAGGCATTTTAGGTGACAGTGGTTAAAATTTGTTAATTACAATTATTTTCATTCACAGATAGATTTTGTTATTTAGGATTTCAGGAAATTCCAACAGATTCTCTTTTCTTTGATGGTCTTGAACTCATAACCTCCAGGGATTCTCCCACCTGATGAGACACAGTGACGGCTTGAATTTTCTTCTTAATGAAGCTTTTCTCCTCTTTCACAAACACCGTGCTGAATCCTGAATCTGAATATTATGCCTTTAAGTTTAATTATATAGTGACATTTGTACTCAGTTTATTCAAATATTTAAAAATACATGGGGAGAACAGGATAGACACAGATAAAGTTCCAAACATGAATATCAAGCACAGAATATTTACTAGAGGTATATATTCACAAGGAAATAAATACTAAATCTTATGAATACAATGAATAAATTCTTACATCTCAGAAAATTTCTACTTCGATATAATTTTTTTTTTAGAAAGTAACTTGGACACTTTGGAAACTTCATTTGGTAGTATTTTTAAAACATTACACTAGTGGATTAGGATGAGCTGCTACGTTGTGGAAAAAATTACTATCTGTCACTCTAAGGAAGTAATTTGCACTGGATAAAAGTAGCTGAACTTTTTATTTTTACAGTAGAAAGGAAAAATATATTAGCAATCATGTTTAAGCAGAATAACTGCTACTCATTCAAAGTAACAGTTTTATTTGTGCACATTTAATGAGAAATTTCCACTGAATTTATAGAGTATATGATCACAAATACCATGATAGATGATTTTACATTTCCTAAAAGGAAGAAGGACTTACTACTCCAGAATGTTATAATTTATCTTGGAGATCAGGTAGGGCAACTTTCTCCATCTAACTGTGAAAAGCTGAGACCCAGAGGCCAAAATGGCTTGCCTGTGGATAAAAAAGTCCACTAGTGGCCGAATGTCCTGAAACCTAAATCTCCCAGCTCCTAATTTGGGCTCATTCTACAACACTTCTTACAATGTATCCAGTTTAACAAATATCTATCAAGGTCCTACTGCAAAGTGCTTTATGAGGCTCTCTGGAGGCATGAGAAGATGAACAAGTCATGAGTAATGTCTGGAGGAAACTCACAGTTTAGAGATGGAGCCGTTTGTATAATAGATGCACAGAATACAAACTGGAAAATACAAATATAGAGGGGGAGAAAGCAAGAGAATTACTCCTGCAGGTGCTCTGAGCCCTGTATTTCCAATATAGCTCCACTCCATAATTTGTATACTCTTTTAAGTAGCATTTTCTCAAATTTCCATTTGCTAAAGTGTCATTTCCTACCCCCCACCCCAAACTATGATTTTAATGGTAAGAGTGAGGAAATATCTGACAGTAAAATATTCCCTTCCGGCCAAACACCTGCTCCTTACCTCCCATGTAGAAGAATTACAGTCTTTCAACTCTGCGTTTTTCTTTCCCACATCAAGATCCCTACCCTAGGCCTGCTGAATTGGAAACCCTTTTAGTATCGGCACCCTTGGTGGTAGCAGGGTGTGTGGATTCTATGGGTAAGATCTCCACTACTAAGCTCCACTACTGCGTGGGACCATGAATGAATGCCTTAAAGACACTGGGTGAGCTTTTCCCTTTTGTGACACTCGCTTTGCAAATTCTCGTTTTTAGAGGGCTTTGCTTCAAAACCAAAGGTCACACTTTGGGAGTGATTCTAGCTTTGATATGAACTCTTCATTTTTAGAGGGTGAAACTACACTTAAATAGTCCTTCTTCCCTCCTTCCCCAGCTCTTTTTCCCCCCGTCCATCCCCTCTGATATTTACAATGGCAGAACATGGACCCTGATGCACTAATGCATGTGTACCCAATCTCATATGCATTAGTACACACAGCACATGTCAGCATGCATGTGCCACACACGTACTCACTTGAACTCATGTTTCCCTCTAGGCTGCACTGATGGCTTGATAGAAATCCTAATTAGAGCTCAGATAATAGAAGAGGGGATTAAACCAACCATCCTCTGCCTTTACGAAGAAAACTTTCTAGAGACCTGCATTGTAGAGATTCTTTTATTTTGCCCCTCGGGAAACCTTACTGAATGCCTGATAAAACTCGAAACCATCTTCTCTGCTATCTGATTAGGACATATTACAAAACAATCTATCTATTGTGATGGATAACATATGCTTTAGAATCTGTTTTACTTAATATTATAGAAAATATATTTCTAGAAAGCCAGATTTTCATTTTTTATACACAGTAATTTTATACTATATAGAAGTCTTCAAATGAATAATGTACATATGTATTATTTAAGACATACAGGTGTTATCTGTAAAGTAAAACCGACAAGTCATTTTTTATGCTGACCAGCTGTGAAATGTTGTTTTAGCTTTTCTCACACAATTATGCACATATTACTTGCTTTTATGAGTTACTTGAGTTCTATTTTTCCTTATTTTCCAAAAATCATCAAAAATCAAACCTTACTAGAAACACATGGAAAATCAGGAATTTCCAGCAGAAAGTAATTTGAAACATTTGAGGTTTTCTTTCCCTTCCTTCATAATGGCAAATTTCAAGCAAAGTTTTCAAATTACTTAATGAGTAGTAGCTGTAATTGTAGTAGGAGTTGTTTCTCGGTTCTATAATTATGTATATATATTTTTACAGTTAAGATTGTATCTTAACATCACCTTTCTCAAGCTCTAAAATATTATAGTCTTCCTCAAAACTATTTGGTCTCTCCATGTTAAATACATTCTTCTGGTAAATAAGGTAAGAACTGGAAGTAAGTTCACATAAAGCTGATAAATATCAGTTGGTTACAGTCTCACCCCTGGCAAGTAGGGAAATGGAAACTGTAGCTTCTTGATCAATGTAATTATCTCCTACCCATGATGTTGGGGTCATTGCAAGTTGCTTATGTGGTCAGTGGAAGAAAACATACAGTTTCTTTTTTCAGACTCTCCATACACTATTACATACCTCTCTCATACACACCTTTCCTAGTCAGGGACTAACAGGTGGAAGAGCAGTTATCTGTGTTACACTCCTAGACCTGGGTTCAAGTAAATACATTACAGGTTTTTCTCACTTTATTTGACTTAGGAGGTGTTGCTCTTCCTACGTCTCTGCTTCTTACTCTTTTAAATCAAGCTGGAAAGAGGAAGTGACAATGCACTGTCACTTACTGGCTGAATGATGATTTGATTCTAAGTCCCAGGAAGGAACCCTCTTCCAGGAACTCACCATCAACTCTCCCCCTTTTCTCCTTCCAGCTGGCCCAACCTGGACCTGTCGGAAACTTCTCCTTCACCACTATGCCCCAGGGTCCCAAATGCCCCAGGATCCCAAAAAGATTGCCACCTCTGACCTTTGAAAATATGAGCATGTGAGCTTGAGGCAGCAGGAGAAGAGGAAGTGGGCTTTGACTGATTTACAATTCAGGGAACTAACTCTTGCCCATAGCTTCTAGTGTGGTTCTTTCCAAGAGCCAGACTACCACTTTTGCTCCTCTCTTTTTCTCATTTCAGGACCCTCTTCCAATCCATCTATACCCTGTCCGGTTTATGTTAGTGACAAAACAAGACTCCCCCATCCTTCAAGGAGGTGGAGCATCAGAATCTTTTCAGAATAGGGGTGGAGAGGAAAGGATTCAGTTGTGGTGCCCTCATTTGTGAGACTCGAGCCCTTGTTCAAAATCATCTTCTCAGATAAATCCCCACCAGATCTGCCCAGAAAGTTTATCAGACCCTCCATGGCCCATGTCATTTTGGTTCCAAATGTTTCAGGTGACTTTTGAATTGCAACTGAAAAAGTTATTCTGATTTTTGACATTATAGAGTTCATTATCGACAGCTGGCTATAAATTACTAAATTTATAATTAACTATATAATCCCTGGCTTGTTTTTTTGCACCTCAAACTCACACTTATTTCTGATAAGCCTTAATCAAATAGGCAATTATTTCATTCATCTATTAGCTTAGTAGGTGTCTTCCTTTCTTTAGGAAATTCAGATGAGGAAAATGGTGCAGATTGAATCTAAGAAAGGTAGAGGTATTAACATAGGGAAACTAGCCAGTATGACACAGAGAAAGCCTCTTACATATGTTGTATAGCTAAATTCCAGAGACGTTCCGGAGAATCCATAAATAACTTTAACAAATTGCTGGTTTTCAGAGCATTAAAGAGCAAAGTAACCTGATTAGAGTCTCTGCTAGCTTCCAGCCAACCAGTTTACCTTCCAGAAAATGCAAAACAGTGTCTTGAGATTATGAGATTTTTTTCCCCTCTTTTCTATCATAAGTTTCATTTTTGCTTTTGATTGTTGGCAGTAGTCTGATGGTTGGGTCCCTCCTACATGAGTAAACTTTTTGCATGCTAAGGATAATAATGTCTCAGAATTATTTTTGGCTAACGTCTCTTTCTTCTTTCCACATTCTTTTCTTTTCTTTCTCTTTTTCTTTCTGTCTTCACCATAGAATGTATGTTCTATGAAACCAGGGACCATGCTTGTCTTCCTCACCACGGTATCTCCAGTTTCTAATTCAGTAACTAGCAAATTGGAGGCATACATGGACACATGTAAAATATGCAAAACACATATGTTAACTATTTTTAAAATTATGTATGTGGGTGGTTACTGATATTTTCCTGTTGCTCTTCTTTACCATCCTTGTCTCTGGTAATAAAAACACACCTTTCCAAGGAAAGTCAATCCACATGTTTGAATAAAGCTGATGGCTTTCCTTCAGATCTGGATACTGGATACCGAGCCTGACAAGTCAGAGTGCCCCATACATCTGGCCAGAGCTGATGGTTCTGGGAAGAACTCTGCCCACTGGACATTTGCTCAAACCATTAGCTGAAAGCACTTTTCCTCTGGGATCAGACAATCTAAGGATCATGTATTAAGAAGGAAAGTTGAACTGCTGTAACAAATACCTTTAAATTCTCAGTGGTTTCACATAAAGTGTATTCTTTGCTCCTGTCACTGTCCCCTGTGGGTTGATGGCCAGCACAGTAGTGATCCATGCAGTAGGAGCTCAAGCTTGCTCTATCCTGTAGTCTTTCCCCTCAACTGCCTCCAAGGCTGATGCAGAAAGAGAAGAAAGAGAGAGAGATAGTAGAGAAGGCACAGTCTCCCTTGCTTGCCTCTTCCTAGAAGTAGCATACTTCTGGTCCATTGGCAGAAATATAGTCCATATGGCAGTAATAGCCCTATGGCCCCACCCAGATGTAAAGATGGTAGTGGGAAGCTGAAAACTACAAACCAGTAGTGAGCCAAGAAGAAGAAAGAGGGGGAAACATCTAGCCAGTCTCTGCTGATTGCCATTTTATCTCACAGATCCCACCAAATGGGAAAAGTCTAAGAATGAAGTTGAACAGAGATGAGAAAGGGAGAAGGCAGGAGGAAGTAAAAAAGAGAGGAGAGAAAAAGGGGAGATAAATCATCACAATCCTCGAATCCAATAATGTTAATAAAATTCTTACTTTTGTTTAAGTAAGTGTAATCAGGGATTTTGTCACCTAAAACAGAAATAACCTGGTTAACATACTACTTTGTCCTGGCCATGTTATGTCTAGCCCCTAGCTCAGTCCTTTGCATATATATTAGATAATCTAAGTATTTTTGGTATCAACGAGCATAAGAATGAATACTTAATATTAAGACATTGAGTTAAAACTGTGTATAGTTATTGGTGCGATCGATGTTAACTAACAAGCTTATCTCTTACATTATTCCTAAAAGTTGTAGTCTCAGGTAACTAATAAGTGTGCAACATTTATTCTATTATTGTAGTTCCTGTTTTTCTGTTCTGTCACTTACCTATGAATGTCACTTACCTGCTGGTCTATGTAAAAATTGTCAGTGCCTTTTATCTGGGTGGGTATACTAAATATAAAATGTTTACATTCGTAATTAATCAAAACCAAGACTTCCATTGTAATTCTATTATTCTAAGCTTGCCTAGTCTTACTAAATACCGTAATTATCTGTAAAATCCTGGAATGTAAGGACATTAACCTTCCTCCAGTGTTTATTCTGAAGAAATGTTTGGCTAGCCTTCCTCATCTCACTGCGTGACCTTGCAGTATAGAAAAATACCAATCATCGTGGCTCTTAAACAGTTAGAACTAACTGCCTAGCTGAACATCATAACAAAATTCTTCTACCAAACGACAAGGCATGGAAGGAGAACACTCCCCGTGTGCTAACTTTCTTTATGGTCGAGCACACCCTGCCAAAACAAGCAGCCAAAAGGCCTGACTTTATGTCCTAGCCTAGGCACTGTATGGGATCCTGGGGAAGTTATTTAGATACTTTGTGTACTTTTTTCCTCATCTGCAAAAGAGTGACAATTATAACACATGCCTCATTGGGTTTTTATGAAGGTTAGCAAGGTTAAGAATTTGAATTGGTGTGCAATACCTAGTACATGGCAAATAAATAATAAATGTATTATTGTTATTTTAAATTACCCACTATAGCAGTTAAGGGTTTTGTTTTAACTCTTTCATTTTCACTTAAATTTTGCCTCAGAGATTACCTCTGACTTTGTTCTGATAGAAGCTTTTGGAAGAGAATCACTAAGGCTGCGAGCAATAAAGAAGTTTAAGACATTTCAGTTACTAAGGCTGGAGAAAAGTCTGATGCAAATAAGTAGAAAATCCAAAAAGGTGTATAAAGATGCACAACTTCTATGTGGACTACATATAGAGAAGACTTTTAAGAAACAGTGCATCCTTTCCATTCATGTCCTTTTGTGTTTATAGTCCCTGATAGTGTTAAAGCCATTTGTGTGCTTATTTTTCTGTTGCTCCTGTCACATGCCAGGCTGCCATCACACAGAGCATGAGGACTCCATCTACACACATGGCACCTCCGGTGCCTAGCACAACATCGGACTTTACAATTTTTTGACAAACATTGGCTTAATTGATTTCAATTAAATCAATCTCATATAGTCCCATAGAGTTTAGGTGAGGAGAGAGAAAACTATATATATATATATATATATATATATATGTGTGTGTGTGTATATATATACATATATACGTGTATATATATATATATACGTGTATATATATACATATATACGTGTATATATATATACGTGTATATATATACATATATACGTGTATATATATATACGTGTATATATATACATATATACATATATACGTGTATATATATACATATATACATATATACGTGTATATATATACATATATACATATATACGTGTATATATATACATATATACATATATACGTGTATATATATACATATATACATATATGTATATATATATAATTTTAAAAAATCTTTAAGTTAAAGAAAAAGAATTATAGCTTAAGAAAGTAATCATGACTATCTATAACTTAGTTTAATAGAAACTTTTGTGTTCTAGAGCACCACACCTCAAAGAAAACTCAGGTATTGATATGGTTTGGCTGTGTCCCCATCCAAATCTCATCTTGAATTGTAATCCGAATTGTAATCCCCATGTGTCGAGGGAGGGACTTGGGGGGAGGTGATTGGATCATGGGGCCGTTTCCTTCATGGTGTTCTTTTGATAGTGAGTGAGTTCTCAGAAGATCTGATGGTTTAAAAGTGTGTGGCTTCCTTTGCTGTTCCTCTCTCCTGCTGCCATGAAAGATGGGCCTTGCTTCAACTTGGCCTTCTTGTGATTGCAAACTTGGGATTGCAAATTTCCTGAGGTCTCCCCAGCCATGCGGAGCTGTGAGTCAATTAAACCTCTTTCCTTCACAAAATACCCAGTCTCAGGTAATATCTTTATAGCAGTGTGAGAACAGACTAATACAGGTAGTTACAAATGGTATTGGTTGCTTTTAACTTGAGGGAAGAATCAATGACTCTCATCTTTCCCATCACATAATGTAATATTTGACCCTTAGGATTAGTGTATATGGTATTCACATTTTCAATCTCTGAGAGGTTTCCTGAAGAACTTAGATGGATAGTACATAGCAATTCATAATTTGAAATGTGATCAGCCTATGCAGTTGCATGGCATTTCTTGTTCTGCGTTTTGTTGGTTTGTTTGTCTTGGTTTGAATACTCATTGTTACATAGCAAGCAGCTAAGGTAAAGAGATTAAAGCAAAAGCTGAAGCCACAACTCTGTTTCTTTTAGAGAAATGCTCCTCCTAAAAAGGTTAGCTATTATTGTTGGTGGTGGAAGTGATGAGAACATAAATAAGTGCAAGACAGTTGTGTTTTAAGACAGAAAGTAGAACAGATAGATTTAAAAAGGGAATTCAGTAATGGCTCAAATCTACCAAGGGAATAATCTCAATTATGCTGCCCTCAGGTAGAGGAAAAGGTGGTAGATGAGATAGCCCCTTCCAGGCAGTTCATCCATTGCAGAATTCACTCATCAATAAATGCTTGGGAGAAGTTGTAAAATGGTCAAATGTGTTATTACACACAAAACAACACATCTGTGAGTTTCCATTAAAATGAGGTTGAAGAAAGGGAGTCAAGAGTGCAAACATTTCAACAAAGCTACAGGTGGTGAAGGCAAGTTGTAGGCAGCTAAACTAGGCACACCTGTAGTAAATGTTGCTTTTAAACTTCCAGAAACATTTTATAGTTTTTGCCACATGTGAGGTCAACAAATGCATTGTTTGACTTACTGCCCCACTTGTGTTCTCTTGACGGGAAGAAACTCCTAGAAGAGAAATAATATGTTTAATAAAGAAAATACTGGCCTATGTTAGAAGAAAATACTTTCCCAAATATTCATCCATGAGATGGGTAAGAAAACACGATGATTTAAGGAAGCCAAGGATAAATTGACTCATCTACTTTTGTGGCAATGCAGCATATTTTGGGATTAAGACTCACTTGTTTTCCTGTTCTGCCATTTCCCAGTATTAAGGAACTTGAATAGGAACTGGCTGAATGTTTATTGACATTCCATTAAAAAGAGCATAAGACACAGCCAGATTTTTTTTTCCTTCAAAAATGTCCACAAGTACATTGAGCTAAGGTGGTATTTTAAAACGTGGGTTCTCAGTATTTTCTTGACATATCTGTAAGAGTAGGAGAGCGTACTTTCTCTTTCTTTGTATGTCTATTGACCAAGGAAAAACAAACTTCCATACTCTAGAAAGCGGTGAATCTCAAATATTTTGGGGCCCTTTTATCCCTTTAAAAATTCTCAAAAACCTACAAAACGTTTGTTTATGTAGGTTATATCTACTAATATTTACCACAATAGAAATTACAACTAAAAAAAGAAATATTTGTTAATAACAATACCACAACTATGATATGCTAACGTAGGTAACATTTTTATGATAAGGAATCATATTCTCCAAAACAAAAAAAAATAGTGAAACAAATGGTGTTGTTTTATATATTGACAAGTTTCTTTAAAGAAGATAGCTGGATTCTAATATCTTGTCCTGTATTTAATCATTTTAACATCACATGTACCCTCCAGGAAACTCCACTGTAATATCTCTGTATTATTATAAGAACTTTTTTTTTTTTTTTAATCTTGGGGCTTTCCTGAAAAAGCTTCACAAATCTTGCTCTAGAAACTCGCTACTCAAAACCAGCATCTGCATGACCTAGAGCTGGTAAGAAATGCAAAATCTCAGGTTAGACCCCAGACCTACTGGATTTGCAGTTTCACACAACTTCCAGATAATTATCGTATGCATTAGTAAATAGAAGGATGCTGTTACTTTGTTTTCATTGCTTACTGACTTCTCCCCAGGGAAAAAGTGGATCAACTTTTTCCACTTCGGTGACATGATTGGTGGAATGAAAAGGTAGACAAATGTTGGCCTACATTTCCCAGTTGAATGTAATTAATTTGGCAAAAATCACTGGGTGTATGTGGCCTTTTTGTGTGTTGAGGTGGTTGGAGGGTGGGATGGATCCTCTGTGCTTAAAGTTTCATGTAGCAAACCTGCTAAATGTCGTGCTCTTCCCATAGCAGGTCCCAAGGCTAACCAAGGAAGTCAGAAGGATAGAGAATCAAGTTAAAGCACCATCCTTCAATTAAGCTTTACCAATTATATTTTGATCTGTATCCTGTTTCTAAGCTGGTTCAGAAAGGGAGAAGACTGTGATAATTTACTATTCCCACATATCTCTAAACCTAGCAAATGTCTTCCGCACAATGCCTAGCCCAGTCAGTGCATGTACCCATTATGTGTTGCTGCTGCTATTGGATGTAGAAAAATAGACTAGAACTTAATATTGGTTCAATTATTCTTTTTCTTTTTTTCTGAGACAAGGTCTCACTCTGTTACTCAGGGTGGTGTGTAGTGGTGCAATTACAGTTCACTGCAGCTTTGACTCCTGGGCTCAAGCGATCCTCCCACCTTAGCCTACAGAATAGCTGGGACTACAAGCACATGCCACCACATCTGCCTATTTTTTTTTATTTTGTTGTAGAGATGGGGTCTCATTATGTTGCCCCAGGCTGGTTTGGAACTCCTAGGCTCAAGTGATCTTCCTGCCTTGGACTCCCAAAGTGCTGAGATTTAGGTGCAAGCCACGGTACCCAGACCAATTATTCTTTTACTTTGAAAAAAATAGACTGTAAATATTTTTACAAGATTAGATATTAACAGCTAGGATCCACAAAGCACATAAAGTTTATACTTTTACACCTAAGTTACAATTAAAAATATATAAACTTACATTTTAAATTTATATTTATGCATGTTTACATCCCTCTACTCAAGCATGCAGTGAATATGGGTAACATAAAATATGAAAAGAGAAAAATAGAAAAACGCATTCTCTAAAGCCTATCTCTTTAGATCAGAAACAGAAACTCAAAGTTTTGAGATGAGAGGCTTTCTGGACTCTGCGATAAGCAGGCAATGGCATCTAAGTGTTTGGCCCCTGTGTGCTAATAGAGGCAAAAAAAAAAAAATAATAAAAAATAAAAAAAACCCAACTATATCACAATAAATGGAGACCTAAAGTCTGTCTCATTAGTTAAAGCTCAAACTTAAATCTTACTACTGATCCCTAGATTATGGTAGCAGGCTTAGGAAAATGGCAACTAACTGTTACCTGCAACAATGTTTTGTAGCAAGCTATGGTCCGGGTCAGTAACAGAACCAAGCTCGGAAACCATAAACTGAACCAAGAAACCTGGTGGACTAGTGAATACTTCTGTGATATCCCTAGTGTCTCCTCTGGCAGGAGCGCTGAAATCATGAAGTGTTAGGCTGTTAGAGCTAGTGACTGCTAAACAGAGATGGGTAAGTACAGAGGAAAATTTTAAAAAAATTCCCATCTAAGTGCACAAATGATATTACACAGAAATCAAATGCTAAAATTACAGCCAACAAAATCAAAATTCAAAATATAAATATAATTTCAGTGGAGGTTGACAAAAATTTTAAGTGAAGTTTCTGAGGATGTTTGAAGAGATAAATGAAGAAATAAGTTTGATTAAAAAGAATAGAATATTTGGTAAAATGAAGGTAAAATATAAAGTAAGAGGGCCAGGCGCAGTGGCTCACGCCTGTAATCCCAGCACTTTGAGAGGCTGAGGCGGGCGGATCACAAGGTCAGGAGATCAAGACCATCCTGGCTAACACAGTGAAACCCCGTCTCTACTAAAAATACAAAAAATTAGCTGGGCGTGGTGGCGGGTGTCTGTAGTCCCAGCTACTCGGGAGGCTGAGGCAGGAGAATGGCGTGAACCTGGGAGGCACAGCTTGCAGTGATCCGAGATAGCACCACTGCACTCCAGCCTGGGTGACAGAGCAAGACTCCATCTCAAAAAAAAAAAAAAAAAAAAAAAAAGTAAGAGGAAGTAATAAACTCGAAATCTTGAAAGTAAAAAATATATATTTAAAAAACATAAAACTATTTTAATGGATTCCGTAAATGGTGCATACATTTGAAGGGAATTAGTGATTTGGAGGAAGGTACCTTCATCTAAAGTTCTTCATAATAGAGACACAAAAGGCCAGGTAAATGGTGTATAGGTTAATAAGGAGGGTAGCAATAGAATAAGGGAATGAAAGGAATGATAGAAAAGCATATATGAATAGAAAATATTTGATAATTTTCCAGAATTCATTAGATCAAAACTTTACTCTGAATGAAAAATGAATAAAAATAATTTTAATTTAGACTCATCGTGTTGAATTTTACTAACAAGAGGGATAATTCATTTATCTTAATGGTTTCTAGATTGAGGAGAAATCCAAATTAATACATTTTAGGCAAATTTTTTTATCAGCAAAAGTAGATAACAGAAAACAGTATATTCATATCTTTAAAGGACTGAAAATTTAAACTTAAATTTTTATACCCAGCTATATTATTTTTCAAAAATGAAGACAAAATATTCTTTAAACATTTTTCAGAACTAAGAAATTTTACTATCAATTAATAGGCCTTTATAAAGGAATTGTTAAAAAATAAAATTTAGCAAGAAGGAAGGCCAGCACAGAGGGAAGATGATGAATGCAAAATTGATAAAATATGTTGATAAATATATTGAATTTTGATATAGAGGTAAAACAGCCCAGCTTGTGTGCTTTTTCTTATTTTGTTCAAGGTAATAAGATGGGAGAAATTATGAGCTTTAATATAGAAGCTATCCTGAAAAAGCTTCTAATGGCCAAAGATGGAACAATTTGAAGAGCAAAATAAATGACGTAGTGTAGGATTGTAACTCAAAGCAAAAAATAAATAAACATCTATAAGTCCATATTGATATGAACACATTATTAAACAAATAAAAGAAAGAAAAGATACAAATCTTCCATACAGAAGAATACTACATAACATGTTAACACTCCCTTTCTTAAGGAGTTAGTGCTTAGCTCTCTGTCTCTTGAAAATGGGTTACACTTAATAACCTGCTTCCAATGAATACAGTGTGGAAGGGGAGAAAAGTGTCTTCACAATAGAAAAATCCTGCCAACACTACCTTGCCAGGGGATCGAGATTAACTACATCACTGATAATTAATGTGGATAGTATGTAACTGTCATATGATATGATGAAAATGACACTTCATCTCTACTGTCTTCCTTTTTAAAAACTTTAGTCAAATCATGAGAAAACCACACTGAGAAAATGGGGGAGAGGGGGGCTAATGTTGCTGGAAATTTAGGAAGGAATAAAAAGAGGGGAGAGTTATGAGGGGCCCAGAAGGCTTTTTAGTGAAATTGAAATGTAAATATACGAAAATAAAATGAGGGAAAATGAAGGCCAGATTCAGATCCAACTGGACGGACAGAAAGAACTAGTGAGCTTTTAAAGCTTTAACAATGAAAAGAGACAGAAAATTGTCAAGTAATGTGTGGCAATATCCAGACAGGATTTAACTTTAAAAAGTGAGAACTCCTGGACAAGTTGAAGGGAAAGAGAAACAGATTTTGTGAATGGTGATGCTGTTTTGGAAAATTTGGTTTTCTAAACCAAGTTTGAGTGCCTATACCATGGGACAGAACTCAGGCTAAGTAGGTAGGATAAGGCTCCCTCGTTTATGATTTATACATGACGTTGATGGGAAATGGTTCCCTTTTTTAATTTCTATTTTTTAAGAGCAATCCATCATCTACAATGTTGTATAGAAGGCAAGTCTACATAATCTAAACATAGGGTGGCCATGGGAGTCTCAGATTCCAGATCTCAGTTTTCTCCAAAGAGGAGGCTTGGAAGAGAAGATTTTACCAGATACAGGTGTGGTAAGAGGGAATTCCTAGAAAGTACTGAAAGCAAGAGTTGAGGACTATGTACTTTGCATCAAAGGGATCACTCTTAAATGAATTTTCTCATGCTCTAGTAAATTCAATGAGGCACTTGTCTTAACTACAGGTGGTTCCCACTTACGGCAATTTGACTTATAATGAGTCATAGGCTCAGTGCTCTGCCAGTTACTCAGAGCCCTGGCAGAAGGCCACACACAGCTACATCATTGGCACTGTCTTCTTTCTGACAGGCACCAATATTTAAGACCCTTTTGCCTGGGTCCTTGACTTTAGATGACCTCTTAAAAGCCTTGCAGCTTCCTCGGTGTGGGTTCTCTATGGTACTTGTTTTCAAACATTCCTGCTAACAATCAATAATAACAATGTAGAATATATTATATAAAGCTTTGCTACTTACCCTTGTGGACATATTCTTTCATTCTGTACTAACATCAATAGCCAAGTATCTATTGAGCACTTACTATGTGACAGTCACTATAGCAGTCACTTTAAATAGATGAGTGTATTTAATCCCCTAAGAGACCTATGAGGAGGACATTATTAATTGTATTTTGCTTAAAAATGCTGATATGGTTTGGCTGTGTCCTCACCCAAATCTCATTTTGAAATGTAGCTCCTCTAATCCCCACGTGTCGTGGGAGGAACCCAGTTGGTGGTAATTAAATCATGGAGGCAGTTACCCCCATGCTGTTCTCGCGATAGTGAGTGAGTTCTTATGAGATCTGATGGTTTTATAAGAGGCTTTTCCCGCTTTGCTCGGCGTTTTTCTCTCCTGCCACCGTGTGAAGAAGGTGTTTCCTTCCGCTCCACCATGATTGTAAGTTTCCTGAGGCCTCCCCAGCCATGAAGAACTGTGAGTGAATGAAACCTCTTTTCTTTATAAATTACGCAGTCTTGGGCAGTTCTTTATAGCAGCATGAGAAATGACTAATACAGGGAAATTTAGGTTTGAAAATGATGTCTGACTTGGGTAAAGGCAAAGAGCTGGTATGTGGGAGAGCTGGGACTAATATCTAAGTTTCCTGATTCCAAATACAGTTCCTTTTTTACTGTACAATTTTGCTCCTCCTCAGGAAGACCCTTTATTGTTAATTTTCAGCTACAAGTCCTTCTACCAGTTATACTTTCAATCATATTTGTGTCTTATTATTGCATTTGTTCAAGTATATTAGCTTCTATGTATGTAAAAACCTTTATACCATACAGTGTATAAGTTTATGCTTTAATGACAAATAATTTTGATAGGCTGTGATTATTTCATTTACAAATTGAGCATCAGGCTGTTGATTAGGAAATAATCCCTTATTATGACATTGTACCTGTAAGAAAACTAAAGTCGACTTGAGTCATTTCATTTATAGCTTGAGTAATTAGCTTTACATTCAAGCACTGTCTTAGAATGATCTAGGAAAAGAATAGAGGGCAAGGTCTGAAAGAGAAATATCATCTTCACTTTTGATTTTTGGGTATAGAAAGTATGACATTAACTTGAAAGAGACTAAGACATCTAGCTATTTTCTTGTACTTTGAAACTGCCCTCATCAAGGACAACTCTTAATTCTGATAGGGTATCATTCTGAGGTGTGAGTGGGCTGTATTTTGAGTTCAGCTTACTGTTCACCAAAAATTCTCAGAGATTCTTATTACCTTGGTGAATTTTCATGGTCTAAGGTCTGGTCATTAGTCTTGAAGATAAGAAACTGGGCCTTTCATCTCCCCAGCTCACCCACTGTTTTTCTGCTGACAACCCTCCTTGATATGCACTTTCTTTGGCATATTAAATTTGCTGATAAAGTCAGCAGCTCCTTTAGTCCTGGAAAACATTTTTGTACCCTCTCATTTTGTGTTGAGTCCAATAACCAGCAGGGGATAACCTTTTATCCTGGCTAGTAGTAAGATGTAATATATATAAACATAGAAATGTATGTGCTTCTCCCTTTCCCCACCACTGAGTTCTTTCTTTTTAAAAACCCTTAAAATATTTTCAAAAATAGAATAAATTACAAAAGAAATTGTTTATCTTAAAGAGTCAGTAGTAAATTTTGAGTTATGTAACATGGAAAAAAGTTGAGGAAAACATGGTAATTACCTATAATAACACTTTAGTTGTTAAGCAATGATAGTTTTTACATATTTTTTCCAGCCTTCAATTTTACAATTTTGTTAATTGTATTTTTTATCACCTAGAATTTAAAAAAGGCTAAAAGGCTTAAAGTGAACAAATAATGTCCCCAGGCACCTCCAGACCCACTAGTTTTATTCCTCAGAAGTAACATTTCCATTTTCAAAGTGTTTTAGCTATTTCTTTTGATATTTATTTTCATATTATGAGGTGTATGTTAATAATGTGCTTTCTTTATCAGTTTTAGTCATCACCCAGTTACTTCTCACAGTAGCCAAAGACTGATCTTATATACCCTTCCCACTCGTTTCTTTTCCCTATATATACCCAATATAGATAAATAAAATGTTTGGGAAAAAACAGTAGTGTGCAGAAGTCCTGTTTTTTCAATAACAAGGAGCAAGGGTACTAGTTGAGAGTGAAGGAAATTCGAGGTCTGAGGTAAGAGGAGAATAAGAGGAAGGATGGTCTGGGAGTAAGAGAATAAATTGGTTAATGATTCATTTCAGTATGTTCTTGAGAAAGAAAGACAATTAATACATGTGATCAATCTCATATGCTTAAAGAACAACAAAAATCACAAAAATTTATTCACAAAACATGCATATAATTAAATGTTATGAGTTTTTATTTAGCTTAAATATGATGGTCAATGGTATACCATGGTTAAAAATAAATAAAGGCACTTTGAATTCCAGAGATGTAACATCTCTAGTTGAAGCGTGTATGTATGCCCTTAGCTACCTGCTTTAAACCAATCAAAGAAAATATCTATAAATATGCTAAGCTTTCATTACAATAGAAAAAATTTTTGCCCAAAGAACTAAATCTTGGTCAAAAGAAACAAAAATGTGTCGATTATTTAGGGATTTTAAGCAGCATGTTCATGAGGTAGCTTGTTTTGCTAAGAATAGCATGACTTTGGGGTTGAAGAGTCTCGTGTTTGGTTTGAATCTCAATTCTGCCAGTAAAATCCCTCATCTATTAAAATATCTACAATAATACTTTTGTCATTTATTAAAATGAGGAAATTACCAGTTTTCATATTTATTACAATAACTGTTCCTTTGCTGCAATGTTGGGTGGAGTAGAAGTCATTTTTACACAGTACCCAGTACATTGTAGGCCTTTAATAATTAGAAATTGCTCTGCCATAGAATTACACCATAGCAATTCTATGGAGCATCCATTGGAGGAAATGCATATGGCATGCTATCTGTATTTAAATCCAAAGCATTTCAAAGTCAATCAATTAAAGGTTACATTTTTCATTTCTGTTCAAGGCAATATTAACATTGGTATTGGTAACTGATTAACAACTTATTTTAACAGTTTCACATTTTTCACTTCCATGTTTACCATCCTCCTGTGTCCAGACTACAACCTCTTCACCCACCATCTCTCCTTTCCACACTGCCTGCCCAGTCAGAAAACAAAACAAAACACAAAAGTTCCACACTTCCAGAGTGACTTGTTTCTCTCCTCACCCTCCTTGCATTGCTTGACCTCCTTCTGGTCCTGGAATCACTCCAAGCTGAACATCATTAACCCAGAGCTCGGACAAATTAGGTAGATAGAAATATTTATCAAGTGAATGAATGAATCGTACAAAGAGCCCACAAGTCCCCCTATCATTCTTTTTTCAGTTAATGACATTAGTATTCATTCATCTGCTGAATTAAGAAGCCTTGGATTCATTCTCATTCCTGACATATATTTGATCAGCAAGTCCTGGCAGTTTGACTTCAGAAATAACTCTTAAATTCATATTCTTTCCGTCACCTCTGTCTTATAATCTCCCCCGGGATGTTGCCATTGGTTTTTTAACTGGTCTCCTGGTCTCTGCCTGACCCCACACTAGTTTCTTCTCTATATGTCTTCTAAGGTGAACACTATAACATATAAACAAAATCATATCTCATGAACCCCTATTGGCTTACTGCATTAAAGATCTTGAGAGTTCCCCATTTCTTACATATAAGTTCAAATTCCTTAGGACCACACAAAAAGTCATCCACAATAAGGTCCCAGGTTACCTCTTAAACTTCATTACTAGCCTTCCTTTCGCTTATCCCCTACTCCACTCAAATAGGCCTGTTCCACATTGTGAACACCTGTTACTATTTGATTGCCTCTGCACCTTTGTGCTATCTATCTAATCACCTTCTTTCTCTTACTTATCTGGATAAGATGAATTTAATCTGCAAGTACAGCTGAAAAAATTTTTGTGACATGACCTTGACTCAAGGAGAAAGCAGTCTTTCCTTTTTTGTTAATGATTCATTTCATTAACACCATTAATGTTGTTTTTGTAAAGGATTTTTATTATTTCTGACATGTCTGTGAACCCTACAAGACTGTGATCATCTCTGTGAAGGGATTCCTGTCTTTTCTTTGTACCTGTATTAATTTTCCATGTCTTCTTTAACAAATTATCACACACTTGGTGGCTTAAAAAAAAAAAAAAAAAAAAAAAGAAGACATTTGTTCTCTTCTAGTACTGGAGGCCAAGGGTTTAAAATTAGTATCTTTAGGCCAACAGCAAGTCATCAGCAGGGCCATGCTCCCTCAGGAGGCTTCAGGGGAGAATCTAATAAACATTCCTTCTCTTCCTGGTGGTTACAGGCACCTCTTGACTTGTAGCTGCATCAATCCATTATTTCCCTTCGAGGTCACATTGCCTTCTCCTCTCTTGTCAAATCTTTCTCTGTCTCCTTATGAGGATGCATGTGATGGTATTTAGGACCCAAGCAAATAATCAAGGATAATCTCTTTATCTCAAGACCCTTAAATTAATACCTCTGCAAGTACCTTTCCTCCCCTCCCCCCACAAATAAGGCAACAGTTACAGGTTCTTGATTCCTTTGAGGACCACCATTCAATCTACTACAGTTTACCCTCTGGCCTCCAAAGTTTCATGTCCATCTCACATGCAAAATACACTCAAACCATTTCATCATTTCTGAAAGTCTCAACCCATTACAGCATCAACTCAAGCCCAAAATTTCATTTAAACATGTCTGATTAAAAGCCCAAACCTCATCACCTTAATCATCTAAATCAGGAATAGATGAGACTGTGGGTATAATTCAACCAAAGGCAAAAAACTCACCATCTGTGGACCTGTAAAACTAGAAAACAAGTTATCTACTCACAAAATACAATGGTGAGACAGAAGTATAACAGTTATAGAAATTCCTATTCCAAAAAGGAGACAATGGAAGGAAGAAAGGGGTTACTGATTCCAAGCAACTTTGAAATCCAGCAGGACAAATTAATTGGGTTTCAAAACCTGGGAATTATTCTCAGTGGCTCAAGGCCCTGGCCTCTGCTTTTGAAGTTGTGCTTGCTTTTTATTGAAGGGTAGTGCATGCCTGAAACTGAGTAGTTTCATCATCCTGTTACCTGCTTCTAGAGCTTTGGAAGTCTGACAATCTTCTTTCATTTGCCTGTCTCTGTTACTTTCAAGACAAGCTCACAGTGTTTTTGCTGCAATAACACTCTCAAAAATGTTGTGGCTCTCCTGTGTATGTTATGGAATTCCTTCAATTAGACCAAATGATCCTCCAAAGAGCTTTCCTAGTTAATTCTGTCTCTGTTTTTGTCTTCTGCTGAGATGACCTGGTAGATCCATGAGTCATATGCCAAACCTCTTTAGTACCAGCAAAAGGTTGTCCAGCCACACTTTTGATCTTCTCTCCAGAGCACCCTTTCCTAATGAGTGAATCACCAAATTTTAGCATTTTTGTTTCCAATCTGGATAGGCTGAGAATTTACCCATAATTAAATGTAGATTCTTTTTTCCTTAATTGTTCTTTTTTTCACTCTACCTCTTTCCACCCTCATTTTACTATCAGCAGAAAGAAGCAATTGAGCTGCACTTTCAACATTTTGCTTGAAATTTCCTCAGTTATATAGCCAAATTCATTGCTTTACAAGTCTTGCTTTCCACACAACTATAGGGCACAATTCAGTTAACAAGCTGCCACTGTATAACAAGAATTACCATTCCTCCAGTTTCCAATAACATGTTCTTCATTTTTTCCTGAATCTTACCAGAAGTGTTTTTAAAATCCATATTTCTACAAAAAGTCTATTTAAGGCAATCTAGATCTTTTCTATCCTGTGTCTCAAAATCCATCAAGCCTCTACTCATTACTCAGTTTCAAAGCCACCTCCACATATTTACTTGTTATATTGGCATCCTATACCCTACCTGCTGGTACCAAAATCTATATTGTTAAATTTCTACCAGAGAAACAGAATGAATGGTTTGAATAGGTTCTGTTTTCTTTCTTTCTTTCTTTCTCTCTCTCTCTTTCTTTCTTTCTTTCTTTCTTTCTTTCTTTCTTTCTTTCTTTCTTTCTTTCTTTTCTCTTTCTTCTCTTCTTTCTTTCATTATCATCTAATCTACCTATCTATAGCTATCTATTCAAATATAAATATAGACAAAGATATATATATAGATACATTAAGAGATTTGTTGCAAGAAACTGGTGTATGCAATTATGGAAACTGGTGAAGTAGATAGAAAATCCATAGGGCGGGCCATCAGGAAAGCCAGGCTGTAAGTCTTAAGCACAATCTGAAGCTGCAGTCCACAGGCAGGATTTCTTGGTCAAGTATGTCTCAGTTCTGCTCTCAGGCCTTTTAAATGGATGAAAAATAATCCATCTGAATTATCTAGGATATCTTCTGTACTTTGTAGACACCTAATTATTATTATTTTTTAAAAGACTGGGTCTTGCTCTATTGCTCAGGCTGGAGTGCAGTGGTGCGATCATGGCTCACTGCAGCCTCAACCTCTTGGGCTCAAGTGATTCTCCCACTTCAGCCTTCTGGGTAGCTGGGACTACAGGTGTACCACCACACCCAGCTAATTTTTTTATATATTTGTTTTTTGTAGAGATGGAGTCTCACTGTGTTGCCCAGGCTGGTCTTGAGTCCTGGCTCAAGTGATCCTCCCACCTCAGCCTCCCAAAGTGCTAGGATTACAGGCATGAGTCATGATGGCTGGCCTAATTACAGATGTTAGTCACATCTACAAAATGCCTTTACAACAACACCTACATCTGTTTGATTGACTAACTGCAGACTGGGGATTGTAGTCAAGCTGACACATAAAACTGATTGTCACAGTATTCTAGTGGTTAGGACAGGTTCTGGTACATCGTAGGCCTTCGCTTCATTTATGCAAATAAATAAGTGATGTCCCACTTTATAAGCTATACTTCTGCTATACTTGACTCTCTGTGGAGCTTGAATTCTATGGTTAGTTTCTTAAATAATGCCATTGTGAACACATTTAGCCATTCCTCAACAAGGGGTCAGCCCCACTGTGCATTTTTACCACTCCTGATCATAGGTATTAGTCATGATACCAAGAACATTTGCATAGAAAAATCATAGTTAAGAAGGGAAAGAAGTCTATATTGAGTCTCTAGTTTTTAAAAGGTACTTTTCATAAACGTTTCAAAGGATTTATTGTTTTGAATCCATTATTTAAAAGCTTATTTATTTAAATAATCTTATGAGTGTATTTGAGATTAGTTTTTCCCTCTTATTAATTACTATTCTATATACTTACTATATTTGTTCCTTTTTCTCTACCTCCCTTCCAGAATCATGAATATGAGAAGTTATCTAGTGGTAGCAAGTTTCTACACACAGTTTACCAAGCTCTCCTAGAAAATTTCCAAAAAGTCAAACTAAAGTTAAATCCTTAAATTCCCAGAGATGTGAACTCTTCTTAATATACTGAAATACTGCAAGTATTCCACATAAGTTTATTACCTCATTAAAGTGGAAATCCCTACTCTACATTTTTAACCACTTTGAAAATCAAAATGATATGTTAGTATTTTGTAGTTTTCACATTTTCCACGAATTACCAAAGATTACCTATAGAGACTTGGCTCATTCTCTGCAATTTTGTTCAAGTTCCTACAATATAACTCAGCAGGCCCAGACACTAAAGCATATTAAAAAATTAATATCTGTATCTATAATCCCAGCATTTTGGGAGGCTGAGGCGAGCAGATCATTTGAGGTCAGGAGTTCGAGACCAGCCTGGTCAACATGGTGAAACCCCGTCTCTACCAAAAATACAAAATTTAGCTGTGGGTGGGGTTACATGCTTATAATCCCAGCTACTCGGGAGTTTGAGTCAGGAGAATCGCTTGAGCCTGGGAGGCGGAGATTGCAGTGAGCAGATATCGTGCCACTGCACTCCAGCTTGGGCAACAGAGTAAGACTTTCTCAAAACAAAAATAATCATATTATCCTTGCTCTTTTTTCACTAATTTGAGGCTTCAATTTTAACTAAATGATTCATCTGTGTTTGAAAGTTACTCTTTTGACAGAGAAAATAAAAATAATATATAAGATTGTTGAATCTCAGCTCTTAAACTTATACACATCAACGATGTATCTCCTCTATTTTGTTTGGGTCTTTCTTAGACTTTAAACAGTTGCTGAATGAATGATAAATTTTTACTGTTCTTAGCGTTTCTCAAAAGCCTCAGTTTTGTACTGTTTCTTCAGTAGTTTCAATTGTTATTTGTCTCTAGTAACCACTACTTTTCTTTCTTGTGTTTTTTTTTGGGGGGTGGTGGGGGGGTAGCGGGGAACGGAATCTCGTTCCTTTGCCTAGGCTGGAGTGCAGTGGCATGATCACAGTCTCAGCTCACTACAACCTCTGCCCACCTGGTTCAAGTGATTCTCCTGCTTCAGCCTCCTGAGTAGCTGGGATTACAGGCACCCGCCACCATGCCCGGCTAATTTTTGTATTTTTAGTAGACGGAGTTTCGCAATGTTGGCCAGGCTGGTCTCGAACTCCTGACCTTAGGTAATCTGCCAGCCTTGGCCTCCCTAACTGCTGGGATTCAAGTCATGAGCCACCGTGCTCGGCCTCTTTTGTGTTTCTGATTTGCAACTATACATGTACCCAGGAGCTCTTAGCCCAGATGTGTAGATTGCCTGAAGCATATGAACATTTTTCTTCTCCATGGGCACAATTTTTAATTACATACTTAGAATTTCACTTGCGATACACCCCAGTGTTGGTTCGTGGCTGGGATTCTTAATATTCCATCTTAATATTCCCTCCCTTGCAGAATTTTTATTCATGCGATCATCTTTGTGCTTTTTTCTCAATTTCTTGAAATCCTGGTTATTAACTCTAGAATTTATGTTTGATAGGGTCAGATGCCAGGCAGTATGGATATACCAAATTGTTAAAATGTATTTCAAGTTGAGTCAACAACCCAGGGAATTGTTGAGCTTGTTTGGTGTGAAAATTTGAGTCAGGTACATTCTGTGGAATATTTTAATCTGAGTTTCCGTTAAATTGATTGGAAAAATGCCAAACCATGTGTTATTCGTAATTTGTTTTTCCACCCTGCCTCCTCCACTGTTACCCACATTCACCTGACCGTAAAAGGCCTTTTAACTAGGACGAACCCATCCATGTTTTGGTTCCTCAAATGTTTCAAGTTATTTTTCCAACTGTTGGGGTTTGGCAAACTCTTGTCAGCTTTTTGCCAAGGTGGTTATTTTTTTCTTTTAAATTTTCAAACCTGAGTGTGTTTTCTGGAAATGTAGTCCATATGTTTCTTATTTTTTTATATATAACTCATAAAAATAGTTTTTAATAATTATTTTATGTTCACAATATCTGTATGCTATTCCGTATCGGTCTCTTAGTCCATCCAGGAATGTTCCACCTTTTGTCTTTTAACTTAGGTGAAAAATTTTGAACCAAATCTGAAACTTGATAGGCCAGTACATTGAACGGTTGGCAAAATTTATTTTTCATTTCTCTCATTACCTTTAATAGAAACAAATAGTGTCCCTTTTGCCTAATTCAACAAAAAGTCAGGTCAGCTCAAATAACTAACAAGGAACACATGCAAATAGTATGTTAGAAATCAATGGGGAATGAGTTATTTATATTGTATCTATAATTGCTAGACCCTTTTATTTTGGAAATCTTCTCCTTTCCACTCCCAGACAGACTTTTTTTCCAGAGACAATCATAATACTAATTCTCAAGTAGAACACATTTGAATTCTTTTCATTTTTTAGCATAAACCAAAAATGTTCAGTTGAATTTAAATCTTGATGTCTAAAGTCACTGGCACTTGTACTAAATTTTGACTTGTTTTCGTGTTTCATCTTAACTTATCTTACCTCCATCAGCTTACCTACTGTCTGAAGTGTGTTCTCCCTGAGTCTGCCCCAGCACATCACCGCACTAGTGCTGCCATTGCCCTCACCATTACCCTACAGATCTCTTTCCTTGCTTCCACCTCTCTCTGCCTCTAATCCAGCCTTCACACTGCTACCTGTGAGGCTGAAGGATTGTATTAGGTGCTTTATCTGACTCCCTGAGTTAATTATTTTTAATCCAAAAGATAGGTAAATAGATTTAAATTTCTGCAAGCATAAGAAAATCATTGGTATCCAGTGATCACTGCTCAATTTCAGTTTGCATATATGTTCAGATTTTTAAGGAACAAAATCAAATCCATTTAATTGCAATAAAATACAAATATAACCCTAGAAGTCGAGCTCAGGGGTAAATGTTAGCTACTTTTACAATTTCATAGAGAAGCATGGTATTGTCTATCAGTCAGTGAGCCAGGAGGAAACAGGTAATACATTTAAATGATGATCATTCCAGAAGGCTTTAATGAAGGAACTGTTGGCAAATGTGTGGGCATAGTGTGGGGGAATCAAGGGTTGGTGCAGGGTAATGAGAGATAATGACAGTGACAAAAGTTGGGCACAGCAGGAAAAGAGGCTGAATCAGTTTTCAGGACCCTGAAAAGAGTCTGTAGAAAGGGACACATGGAAAGGAGCAATGACCTTTGGTTGAAGAATGCAGCCAGCCTGAGGCAACCCCACAAGAAGATGGCTTTGGAGGCAAATAAATTCACTTGCCTCCTCTTTTTTGACCAAATGCAACAGAAGCCAGAAGACAATGATGTCCGCTAATATACAGATGTTCCTCAAGTTACAATGGGGATACATCCTGATAAACCCACAGTAACTTGAAAATATCATAAGTTGAAAATGTATTCAATACACCTAACCTACTGAACATCATAGCTTAGACTAGCCTACCTTAAACATGTTCAGAACACTTACATTAGCTTACAGTTGGGCATATTCACCTCTATTTTATAATATAGTGTTATCTCATGATTGCTACCCTTGAGTGTACGTGGCTGACTGGCAGCTGCAGCTCCCGGCCACTGCCCAGCATTGCGGAAGAGTATCTTCCCCAACTTCTCCAGCCCAGGAAAAGATCACAATTCAAAATTCCAACCACATTTCTACTGAGTGTGTATCCTTTTGTGCTATTGTAAAATCAAAACATCTTAAGTCAAACTATCATTAGGGCCCCTTCTGTCGTCCACACAGGTCAGCTTTCCAAGAGAGAAGGCAGGGTGGAAAAGGATGGGAAATGGATTTGGAGGGTCTAACAGAAATTTATCTGGGACATATTGCAAGGGCCACCAAAGACTTGTACAGTGAAGCTACAAAGGAGACACAGTGTTTACTATACTCACTTGACTAGATAGTTCTAGGTACCTTCAACAGCTTTATAATTCATTTGCTTTTGATAATTGTCTCTGGTGTTGCTGGTTGACATCTTCTATTGCATATGGACAATGATCATCTATAATGTCAGGATAATCGCAGGCCTCTAATTAAAAATGAGGAACATAATATTCTGTGACTATAAGCCTGGGAAGGATTATCCTGCTCAAGCACATGGCCTTCAAAGAATATACTGTACAGTCGCCCCTGGTATCCAAGGCAGACTGGTTCCAGGACCTCCATGGATACCAAAATGTGTGGATGCTCAAGTCCCTTAGTCAGCCCTGTGGAACCCGTGGATACAAAAAGCTGGTTCTCTGTATTGGGGTTGGGGGATTGTTTCACATCCCCCAAATACTGAACTGTGTTCTCCATCTGCAGTTGGTTGAATCCCAGGAGGCAGAACCCATGGATACAGAAAGCTGACTGTATTCAATTTTTGCACTAGATTGTATCAAGTTTCCTTGGACTATTCAGATCCAATTTCTGGGGCCATCACACATGCCCTGATCTTGCCTAACCCTTCAGAGAGCCTCTTCTGATGGAAGGAGCATGGGTGAAGGAGTTAACAACAGACAGGTGAAAATTTTGGTTTTGGTTCTTAGAAAAGCCATTTAACCTTGCTTAAGATTTATTAATGGGTTCCAGCCACAGGCATTCTGACTTGGTAGGTACAGGATGGTTTCTGGTTGTTCATGTCTTTTTGTAAAGTTCCACAAGTGATTTTCATGTGTGGTAGGACCGTTAATATGCAGAGTTCGATAAAGTGGAAGTGATTGCTTTGAGGGTTACATAACACTCCCTGCCTCTTAGCCACTGTAGCTTTTTGTTGAAATATTGAGTGGCCTTATTCACATTTATGAGTTTTTGTGAGAACCATGCGCTGCTAAAGAGATAAGACAGGCTACTGGCATCAGACAGATTTAAAGGTCTGAATATACTCTCCCTTACATCATTTCCAGACTGTGTTCCGTAAAACTCTAGGTCTCAACAAAAATGCTTCTGATTTTTTAATAAATGTTTGATTTAAATTTCATTTTTATTTATTATTGACAAAAATTTATATATTATATATTTACAGTGTACATTGTATGTATGTGTGTATATGTATGTGTGTATATGTGTATATGTATATTTTTATATGTATGGTTATATATATACATAAATATATATAGTGTATATATAAGTACAAATATACATGTTTAATGGTTCAGAGCCCTCAATAGACAATGCCATTATGCTCAAATTCAGCTAAATATTGACCCATTGGAATAACCAGCACATTAACTTGAACTTTATAGTGTATCTTTTTTGGGGGAGCGGGTGGAAGTGGAGTGGGGGAAGGTCAATCTTAGAAGAAATATTTTTCTGTAATATTTAAATGTCTAATAAATATATAATTGAAATAAAAGTATTAATTTTGCATTATTTTTAAATTATCCAGTCTAATGCATATCTGCAAAAGTAAAATAATACTAGAAAATGTACTCTTTCCATACCTGTCATTAGGGTAAAGATTAAGGTCATCTACTCAGTGAAAGATGTTAATTTCACTTGTGAAGTAACAACTAATGTCATTATATCTCATTGGGATGATTTGTTAGCTATATCAAGCACTTGCTATAGGTAAAGCATGACAGCCTTGTTTTTAAGTAATTCAACTTTGAAACAAAATTGCTCACTGCAACGTTTTTAAAATATTTGAATTGGCTTAGCCTGTCCTGAGATTGCAAAGAGAGACACTGAATGACTGGTGTCATTATAATTGCTTATTTATGTATGTCTGCTTTTCTTAGAGAAATAAAATATTTGCAAGGTTGATATGGAAACAGACAAGCATAATGCATACTTAAAAATTTTTTTAATAAATTTTTAAAAATTAAAAAAATAAATACTTTTTTATTTTAAATTAAATTTTAAAGAATAAATTTAAAAAAATTTAAAAAAGTGTCGGTATTTTCTTAGAGAAATAAAATATTTACCAAGGTTGATGTGGAAACAAACAAGCATAATCTATACTTAGTTTTAAAAAATTATTCAGCAGAGCTTCATTTTCTGAATGATTGATTCTGCCATAAATTTTAACTTACCAAACAAACTCATACCAATAAAAGCTGTTCGTATCTGATTGTGGACTGTGATGAGTGTATGAGTGAGATTTTATTTAGTAAACAGTTTTCCTTGCTAAAAATTAAAATATCTGATAACCGTGAATCTTATAGGCCTATACCCATTGAAAACCATGTTGTTTAATAGGCCTAAAAGAATGACTGTATAACATGAGTTGGCTAGTTGAGCCTTAATGACTATAATTGCATCCTTCTCTTTCAAAATAAACTCTATTTTCTCAATTCTGTCTCAGGGCTGTTTAGCACCTAAGCTATTTCATTTCAGATGTTTCTGGAACAATTTGGCATGCTGGTTTTCCCTCTATTTCTTCAAGTTTTCCTATAGAACAAGTCAATGTCTGGTTAATTAATTCATTGTTTCATTTAATTTTTATTATGATCTAGGCACTTTTCTAGAAATAGGATACAAAAATGATAAAAAGGACTTTAGAGATTCTTGTACTCAATTGTTATACCCGGTGGTTAATATCTTTTTCTTCCATGAGCCCATTAAGTTTTTGCTGTTGTCATTATGAATTCATTTGGTTGTTTTCTTTTCTTTCTCTGTTAATATCCCTTCAAGATATCTAGGCTATATATATTACCTTCCTAAATCACCGTGTGGAGCAGGGTAGACCAGCTTTTTGCTCCCACAGGTGGACCAGGGAAAGAAGCTAGACAAGTATGTTCAGGAGTTTCCCACAGGATATTGTGAAGCTTAAATCATACCAAGAGATTGTCCTGCCCAGAAGCCAGGGGGATGGACTGTTAGGTCCCTTTTCAGTTAGCCATTGGCTATGAGGCAGCCCAGGAGTGGTGGTGGGGCGGAGTTAACTTGGTATGCATCTCCAGTTGAGTTAGCTCCTGTCTTGGTATAAGCTGTTAGCAGCCAACTACCGCAGCATCTAAGGGGTGAATACAGTGGTTCAGTGAAAGGAATCTGGGTAGGGCACCAAGAAGTTATGTTGCAGATATTTTGAGAAGTGGGTAAATTTCACTGTAATAGAAATGTGATATTTGAGAAAGATGGATAACTGGTAGAGGCATATATATATATATGCCCCTAAGATTATATGTATCTGCTAATGTATGTGTGTATATGTGTGTGTGTGTGTATACATATATATATATGTATGTATGTATCTGCTAATGTGTAGACATACACATACACACACACAGACATACATATATATCTTAACGGAATACTTGGAATTTGAGGTTCCAGATAAACTTTATTGTAGGAAAAATACCAGCATCCCATGTTTAGTTTCTTTTTTTTTTTTTTTTTTTTTTTTTGAGACGGAGTCTCGCTCGGTTCCCCAGGCTGGAGTGCAGTGGCGTGATCTCAGCTCACTGCAAGCTCCGCCTCCCAGGTTCACGCCATTCTCCTGCCTCAGCCTCCCGAGTAGCTGGGACTATAGGCGCCTGCCAACACGCCCAGCTAATTTTTTGTATTTTTAGTAGAGACGGGGTTTCACCGTGTTAGCCAGGATGGTCTCGATCTCCTGACCTCGTGATCCGCCCGTCTGGGCCCCCCAAAGTGCTGGGATTACAGGCGTGAGCCACCGCGCCCGGCCCTGTTTAGTTTCTTTGTAAAAACTTTATCACCTAATAGTGCCAATACTATGTCTTGAATATGAAATTATACAATTACGGCACTAAGATGACTCATTAGTCCAGGGATATGGTTATATTTGATCACACAACCTACAAGTTCTGTCATTATTCCATCCCACATAGTAACAAGGGTATGTAATCCCTGGATTGCCATTACCAGGTCGCAAATGGACCACCCTCATGACCCCATCATCAGCCATTGGTAATGATAAAAGAATAATGGAGACACCCCGACAAGGCACACATTGATTCAATTTTCAATGAACACAGACCCTGAAAGTGGCAAGAGTCTTTGGTGTTTTTTCCCCACATTTCAAATACAAGTGCACCTGTGTATCCATTCATAGAGATTGAGCATTTAATCTCTATGAACTTTATTAATCTACCTGAAGACCTCCTAAATTCACCAGTCCAGTCTAATCTGGTGATGAAGCTGAAATGTCAGGAACTATGAGACATAGAATTGAGGCTTCATTATGTATGAGGCCCCACTGGGGCCAGGAACCTACTAGGCATCACTTGTTGGGGAAAAGAGCTCCTAAATTGAACATTGATTTCAAACTACAGTAAAAACTGGCTAGAATGCTAACTTTGCCCCCAAGATAAATCATAGTGTAGAGTTACTTCTAAATCTTACTTATTAACCCAAATCAACATAATGACAACATCTATCACTTCTGGAATAGGACAAGTTTCTATTAGATCCTTACAAGCTTCCACTGTTCCCTGACTAATTAGTTAAAACTTCATCAAGACCAAATTACAAGGAAAAAACTTACGGTTTCCAAATACTTCTAAGAAATCACCAGCTCTTCCCTCTGGAACAACACACTCAGTGATGACCCAATAGTTCAGGATGCATCACATTAGGCCAAGATCCACTGTTAGACCAAGATGCCACCAAAACCAAACCACAGCTTTCAGCATCCACCATGTCGTTCCTATGCCAAAAAGGCCACAGACAGAAGTCAGAGGCCTTGCTAGTCCCTAAAGAACAGCACTAGACTCCATGAATTGTCAACAGTTGCACAAAGGAATAAGTAAGTTCCAACCACCAGGCCCAACCCACAAGTTTCACTATTATAAATATCCAAAAGAGAGCTCTTTCACCTTTGCCTGGCAACAGACCTTCACACTAAATCAATGCACTTAGCCTTGCAATGGTCTGTGCACTGCCTTCTCCTCAAACCAGACTCAAGTTAAGGTTTGGCAGGTCATCCAAAGCTTTTGACCAATTTCTTCTTGCCAAATCCAAGCCCAGGGAAACTCTGCTTGCTCTTCCACTGAAGAGATTTCAGATCCCAGGATCCTCATCTTTCTAATGATAATCGTTTTCCTTATAAGAACCTGTATTCGTCCATTTTCACACTGCTATAAAGAAATACCGGAGACTGGGTAATTTATAAAGGAAAGACGTTTAATTGACTCACAGTTCCACATGGCTTGGGAGGCCTTAGAAACTTACAATCATTGCAGAAGGTGAAGGAGAAGTAAGTACCTTGTTCACCGGTGGCAGAAAAGAGAAAGAGAATGAAGGGGGAAGAACCTATTATAAAACCATCAGATCTCGTGAGAATTAACTCACTATCACGAGAACAGGATTGGGGGAAACAGCTCCCGTGATTCAGTTATCTCCACACAGGAAATAAGACACACGCATATGTCCCTCCCGTGACACGTAGGGATTATGGGAACTACAATGCAAGATGAGATTTGCGTGGGGACACAGCCAAACCATATTAACACCTAACAGTTTATACAAATTGAAAGCTCACACAGACTTTACTTTCAAGTAGAGATGATCCTAATGAAAATATAAGGGTCAAGTTTTCTTTGTATTATCCTTTCTTTCTGTTGCCACAGCCCCTGATCCTGACAGTACCTTCTTAGTTCAGCCCTTCCTGGTGCTTAAGCATGACACTTAGGTGTAATGATGTTTTTCAGGATGAAAAGTGTTATTAGTTCTATCCTCTCTTTGGCTTGCAAACTGGTAAACCTGATAAAGAAATGTGCTCCAGAAACATTTTAACTGTGGCTTTTTTATTTGTTAGTTTTTTTGAGGATAATGTCCTTACCTTGTTTGCTAATTTTCTGGTGGTTTTCACACACTAAGCCATGACAGGCTTAAATTACTTCAGCCACCATGGAAAGCAGTCTGGATATTCCTCAAAAAACTTGAAACTACCATTTGACCCAGCAATCCCATTATTGAATATATACTCAAAGGAGTACAAATCATTCTACCAGAAAGACATACGCATATGTACGTTCATTGCAGCATTATTTACATTAGCAAAAACATGGAATCAATCTAGGTGCCCATCAATGGTAGACTGGATAAAGAAAATGTGGTGCATATACACCATGGAACACTATGCAGTCGTAAAAATAATGAGATCATATCCTTTGCAGCAACATGACTGGAGCTTGATGCCATTATCCTTAGAAAACTGATGCAGGAACAGAAAATGAAATACTGAATATTTTTACTTGTAAGTGGGAGCTAAACATTGAGTCCATATGGACAAAAAGAAAGGAACAATAAACACAGGCCTACTTGAAAGGGGATGGTGGGAGGGGAGTGAGGATTGAAAAACTACCTATTAGGTATTATGCTGATTACCTGGGTGACAAAATTGTCTGCACACCAAATCCCCGTGACATGCAATTCACCGCTGTAACAAACCTGCACACGTACCCCTTGAGCCTAAAATAAAAAATGAAAATAAAAACATAAATTATAAAAGAAGAAAGTTATTTAGGCCAAGCATGGTAGCTCAGCCTGTAATCCCTGTGCTTTGGGAGGCCAAGGTGGGAGGATTGCCTGGGGGTTTAGTTCAAGACCAGCCTGGGCAATATAGTGAGACCCCCATCTCTAGAAAAAATTTTTAAACTAGCTGTGTGTGGTAGCACTCGACTGTAGTTCCAGCTACTCTGGAGCCTGAGGTGAGAGAATCATTTGAGCCCGGAATTTTGAGGCTGCATTGTGCTATGATTGCACCACTGCACTCCAGCCTGGGTCGCAGAGTGAGACTCTATCTCTTAATAATAATAATAATAATAAAGTTATTTAAAGAACCAAAATGATGAAGATGCAGATCACATTTTTGTGTTTTACTATGAAGATGCAAATACAGCAAACACTATGACCAATAACTGCCATTTATGAAGCACCTGCTGTCTGCCAGACATTTTAGGTGCAATATAATATTCAGCTGTAACAATAACCCTAAGAAACAACTACTATTATCCTCATTATACATTTAACTCAACTGATGTTCAGAAATGTACATCATTTGTCCATAGCCAAGTAGTAATTAACAGAACTGCTGTTAGACCCTGATTACTTGAGATGCTAGAATGAGGCCTCTTCTTTCACTGCCCTGTGGCCTCCCAGCTAAGTGAGATGAACTCAGGCTGGGGCATGTTTTCAGAATGTGGTTTCTCGGGAGGTTTTTGCTCCAAATATTCTTTCACCAATGATTATGATGCTTGAAATTTCTCCAAAGGACATTTATTTCTCTGAGTCAGAAGGGATTTTAGTTCATGTAGACTCTTAAACTAAAATACAAATGCACTTGAGGTTAAAATGAAGTTTAATTAGGTAACAACTTAACAATTACTGATGAATGGCTGGCCAGAGCTTCTGTGACATAGGAGAAAAAAGTCCACTGAAGGGATAAATGAGAGCAATCATAAAATTTGCCACTTTTACTTCTTAGAAATCTTGCCATTTTGGTTGCTTCTGACCTTGCTATGCAGTTTTCAAAACATCGGACTCGAAGAACAAAACATTTTGCTGAAGTGGAGTGATTTGTAACATTTGCATTTTAGAAGAGCAGTTGGGTATTCCCTTTGATGGAGTCTCTTAGAAGTGGTGGAAAGTAGGCCTTAGGAAATGGTCAATGGTTATCAGATGGCACTGGCTTATAAAACCACAGGGCTCTGGGAATCTGCTCTATCTCTAACTCCAACTTATGGACAAGCACGTTAGTGGTCTGGGAGTTCTAGCAAAGGCCATGATTATTTTAAAAGGAATAGACTTGTTACAGTTTTTGGGGTCATGGATACATATGATTCTGTGTGTCTGTGTGTATACTCTGTGTGTTTGAAATTTGAACTGAATGGTTTTCTTTACAACATTTCTGAATACACCGACAAAATAGAAAAGGAATGAAAATATTAATTACTTTTTTGAATAATTGCATCTAAAGTGATAATCTTACCTCAAACATAGTTATTTCAAAGAGGCAGTTTCCTTAATATCAAATTCTTCTATATGTAGATATTCACTATACATGAGACTCAATAAATTGTTTTTCAAGTGAATTATTAGCCTTGCATTAGTTTGTTCTCATGCTGCTAATAAAGACATACTTGAGACTGGGTAATTTATAAAGAAAAAGAGGCTTAATGGACTCCCTGTTCCACATGGCTGGGGAGACCTCACAATCATTGTGGAAGGTGAAGAGGAAGCAAGACATGTCTTACATGGCAGCAAGCAAGAGAGCTTGTGCAGGGGAACTCCCATTTATAAAACCATCAGATCAAGGTGAGACTTATTCACTACCAGGAGAACAGTATGGGGGAAACCACCCCCCTGATTCAATTATCTCTACCTGGCCCTGCCCTTGACATGTGAGGATTATTACAATTCAAGGTGTGGTTTGGGTGGGGACACAGCCAAACCTTATCAAGCCTCCATGATAGATGGTGACATATGCTTTCACCAGTAGCAAAACACATTAGAAAAGAATCAGATTATAGAACTAAACTTCTTTAATAACAGCGACTTTTTAGTTTGAATTGAGAGAATTCTCAACTGATGGACTTTAATTAAAATATTCAGAAATATGACTTTTGGAAATATCTCGATTAGGGTAAAATCATAACTTTTAAAAAATATTTTGGAATACTTCCAAACTTACAGAAAAGTTACAAAAATAGGACAATATTTTTACCCTTAACCGTTTTTCAGGAAATAATTGTTTGATGCCCTTCACCTCTGAATACTCTAGTGTATAATTTCAACAAAGAAATTACCCAACATAACCATGATATAACCGTCCAAATCAGAAAATTAGCACTGATAACATGACTGCCACCTTCTCCTCAGATCTCATTGAGGGTTTTCCAGTTGTCTTCAGAAAATGTCCTTGATAGCAAAAGAAACCATTCCAGGATTATGTATTATATTAATTTCATGTCTCTTTAATCTTCTTCAATCTGAGAGTTTCTCAGTCTTTCCTTCACTTTCATGACCTTGATGCATTGAAGATTATGGAACATATATTTTGTTCTGTCACTGCCTCTCCACCCGCCAAGTTTGGGTTTGCCTACCGTTTTCTTCCTGATTAGATTCGGATTTTGTGTATTAGCAGAAATATCATAGAAAGGGTACTTTGTTTTTGTTAGTGCATTCTATCAGAAGTTATGTGGTTTCAATTTGTCTCATTACTGGTGATGTTAACTTTGATCACTTGATTAACATGATTTCTGTCAAGTTTCTTCACTATAAAATTACACTTTTTTTGTAATTAATACTTTTTCTGTAGGGAGGTACTTTAAAACTAGGTAACTATTCTATTCTTCATCAGTTTCTGCTGTGACTATTTCTCCCACTACATTAAAAATTTATTATGACTGGCTTATTGGAAAGCTATTGATTTTATGTGTTTACCTTGTACTTAAGTGTGTTTCTAAACATTTATAAGTTCCAATAGATTTTTAAAAAACAATTCCCATGAATTTTCTGTAGTAAATTATTTGCCAGTATAGTATGTAAGTCTTTTTATTTCCTTCCCTTATTTTATTGTCATGCCCAAGAATTCTAGTAAAATGTTAAATTTCTGGCTTAAATGAAAGTGCTTCTGAATTTTCTCCATTAATTACTGTTTTTAAGATGAACTTTTTACAGATGTATAATCAAATAGGTCTAGATTTCTAAGAAGACCGTTTTGTTTTATAAATCAAGAATGGCTATGTAAATTAGTAAATAATTTTTGGCAACTGTTGAATTGATAATATCTTTTTCCTTCAAATTTTAATATAGTAACTTAAATTGACATATTTTCTAAAATAAAAAGGACCTTATTCTTGGAACAAACTCTAGATAGTTATAATATATTTTTAATGTACAGCTGGATTAAATCTGCTAATATTGTCATAGGATTTTCAAAACTTTATTCACAGGTGGTAGAGTCCTGTACTTGATTGTGTGTGTATGAGTGTGTCTATGTGAGTGAGTATGCACTTTATTCTTATTTGCTTGTATGATCTTTCTTTGTTATAATTCTTATTAATTATAAGAATTCTTATTAATTATAACTAATTTCAGGGCTACCCTTGCATTAACCTCTTTCAAGTCCTGTTATCTAATTTTGTATTCGTAAGTGTGTATTCTCTTCTCTAAAAAAGATATTCCATGATTATGTAAACAATGGATTCCAAAAGCTTGGATCACTCTTTGAGTTGAGCATATTAATGTTTGTCAACACAAGGAAATTCTAACCATAGAAATAGCCATATTGGTTTCAACTCTGGGGACATGGAAGATGCAATCATCATGCTTCAGTGGAGCTTCTCAGCTCTAACTTCCAGTACCTACCTACTCAATAGGCGGATATGGGACAGGAATTAGCCATGAGATAGCAGTTTATATGGTAGAAGGTGGATTGCTATGAGATTCTTGCATCTTATTTTGATAGATCTTTCTTGTTAAATCGTTGTTGATTATATCACAATAAATTAAATTATAGAACTGATTGTACTGCATGAACTCAAAATTTTGTCGATCCTAGAAAATGGGTTATAGATTTGATGAGTTTCCTTCCTTTTGCTATAAGCTCCATGATGGGCTCTCCATGATGGCAAGGACTGTATCTTGTTCGCTGTCTCTATTAGAATGTGAAACACATACTAAATAATCAGTGATTATTTGAATGATTCTTGAATAAGGTTTTCCCAGAACAAATAACATTGTTTGTTTGGAATACATTACAAACTCAATACACGGTAAAGTGTGGACAAGCGTCAGGAAGAGTTTATGTCTTGTAAAGCTGCTTAATGACTGCTAAAGATAAATTTTGCTTGGAATTTCTGGATTAATATGTTTAGATAATAAAATATTTTTATTTATTTTAAAAATTATTAGGTCTGTCTTACAATGATAAAGTCATCGCATCTTAGCAGCTTTGATTCAGAGATAGGAAGCAACCAGGCAAAAAAGTTTTGACATAATATAAGAACAAGAAACTTAAAAAGGAAAAAGAAATATTAAAAAATATAAGAACTCTAATTCAATTTATATTTAAATTTTGTAATCTAAAATATAAAAATTAAGAATATATAATCCATGGCTCAAATAATACCCATCTGGGCTTCAATATATTCCACGAATCAAATTTAGATATTGTTTGTCTTGAGCAGAGCGTTTTTTCACCAGAATACCTTTTTTAGTTGAAAAAGCAAAGGCAAATGAAAACTATAGAAGTTCTAATTGCTAATAAAGAAATGCCATCTGAAAATTACAGATAATTTTATTTTAAAATTTTATTTCAATAGTTTTGGGGGTACAGGTGGTGTTTGGGTACATGGATACATTCTTTAATGGTGATTTCTAAGATTTTGGTGTACCCGTCACCGGAGCAGGGTCCACTGTACCCAATATGTAGGTTTTCATCCCTCACCCCCCTCCCACTCCTCCTCAGTGAGTCCCCAGAGTCCATTATATCATTCTTATGCCGTTGCATCCTCATAGCTTAGCTCCCCCTTATAAGTGAGAACATGCAATATTTGGTTTTCCATTCCTGAGTTACTTAAAATAATGGTGTCTAGCTCCACCCAAGTTGCCACAAAAGATATTATTTTTAGATGTGTTGGAATGATTTGATTATTACTCTATAAAACAATGACCTGTCCCTTTGGTACAAGTCTTTAGCATACTTGCAGCCTTATAAAATATAATCAGATGATAGTAAGCCTTTTCTTTAATGAATTTGTCCTCACTCTACCCTTTTTCTCTTAGAGTATTTAACATAAAATAAAACTGATTATTTTTTCTCATACAATATTTAGCATAAAATAAAACATTATTAAACCATGTTTATGGCAGCCTTGTTTGATATCTCATTTTTTCTTAATTAAAAATTTTATGGCTCTCTGAATCACTTAGAATGAATTTTCTGAAGAGAAACATCAAGAACTTACATCTCATTTCTGTTGCTTTTTCAGGAAATCTCATTTTTAGAATCTGTTTTATTACCACTGTTGTTTACCAGACCACAGAAATATCTCCTTTGACTGTCTAAAATCCATCTGCACAAATTATTTACCAATCATCCTTTTAATGTGTCTGTGTGTTTCTTGAAGCTAGAGATAATGCTTTTTAGTCCTTTAAGCCATACCCTAATAGAGTAAGGCTTAAAGCAATGCATAAGAAATAGCAATACACAAGTAATATTAGTCTCTTTATTCACTCCCCACTATCATCTACTTCCTGAAAGCAGACTTTTGCTTCAATATATTCTAGCTGTCAAACATTATGGCACATTTTTCTGTTTCTGCCTCATTAGAAAGAATCACTAGGAGAGATTCTTTGCAGTAATTATCACACAAACTTCTCATCTTGATTAGGTGTTATCTTCTGGCTCATTTGGCAGGAAGATTTGAGGAGCAAATACCCATAAACTTCACGATCACCTACAGGCTATAAGGAATGAGATTGCATATACAGGCTGGATTTTAAGTTGATAATGTTTCATACTTTACTTGGAAACATAGTCCTGAAGCGTTGCATATTGGAAAGGATATTAATGTTATATTAATATTAGAGATGTCATGAATTTAACTCGTATATCTGCTATTTACTGGTTTTCTTTGATTCTGGGATAGTTACCTTAATTTTCTCATTTGTAAAAGTCTACAACATAGGATAGCAAGGCATAATATTTTGGGGTGATGAAATGAGGTGCTCTATTTAAAAGAATATTTCTTACACAGACTTATAAAGAAAGATATATTGTATCATCAGTGATATTAATTCATGGGACTCCAGTTTGGTGGCCCATGCCATATGATTGTAGACAGTATTACACAAAATGTTAACAACTAAACATCGCTTACCCTAGGAGAAAGATTTTTTAAGAACTCTATTACATTTTGTTCCATTTTAAGTTTTTTTTATGACTAAGAATGGTGTGTATCTTCTTTTATTATCTTTCAAATAAAAGATCCTAGAGAAGAATTTTAAAACGTACCATCAACCCAAGGGAAAAAGTACAGGTAGAAAACAGCCAAAACTGTCTAATGTGATCTATTTTGCAAACAGTATGGTAGTGGATCCAAAATAGAATATTAAACCACACCACATAATCAGGATGGCAGTATGCTGCCTTATCTTATACTTTTAAAGAAAAAACAGTAAATGATTGTGGCTAAGCAGTAGAGTGGGGAAAATAGGATTCCAAAAAAACACGGTAGCATCTGGCATTGTGTTTAAACTAAAAAAATCAAAAACTAAGGTTTTACCCTAATCAAGATATTTCCAAAACAGTCATATTTCTGAATATTTTAATTAAAGTCCATCAGTTGAGAATTCTCTCAATTCAAACTAAAAAGTCACTGTTATTAAAGAAGTTTAGTTCTATAATCTGATTCTTTTCTAATGTGTTTTGCTACTGGTGAAAGCATATGTCACCATCTATCATGGAGGCTTGATAAGGTTTGGCTGTGTCCCCACCCAAACCACACCTTGAATTGTAATAATCCTCACATGTCAAGGGCAGGGCCAGGTAGAGATAATTGAATCATGGGGGTGGTTTCCCCCATACTGTTCTCCTGGTAGTGAATAAGTCTCACCTTGATCTGATGGTTTTATAAATGGGAGTTCCCCTGCACAAGCTCTCTTGCTTGCTGCCATGTAAGACATGTCTTGCTTCCCCTTCACCGTCCACAATGATTGTGAGGCCTCCCCAGCCATGTGGAACAGGGAGTCCATTAAGCCTCTTTTTCTTTATAAATTACCCAGTCTTATGTATGTCTTCATATGGGAGATTTTAAGGACAGCTTGTGGTAAATATTCTCTCAGGTAAGAACTTTGCAATACTTGTACATTGTGAGTAACGTGAGAAAATAAGAAAGGAGAACATTAAATATGAGGTATACTTACTGCTTGGATTATGTTTCCTGTTTGTGTTACTACATTTCAACCATAACATAATTCAACATTTAGATTTCACATCTTATTTGTTTCTCTTGCTTTGTAAAAACAAAACATTTAAATTATTGTCATATATATGTCATACATATACATATTCAGACCATTTTGCAAATAAAATGGAAAATCAAGACAAATAATAAAACATTTATGTCAAAAAGTCTCAATCTCACAGTGACCTGAATTCCTAAAAGAATTAGCAAACCCAAAACCTGGTTCTGAAATTTTGGTAAATTTCTCCAACCTCTCTTATGCCTTAGTGTTCCCATATTTAAATAGGAATATTAATATGAATATTATTATTCTGTAGGATTTTTGTGATTATTTCAAAGGGTCCATTTATTAATTAAACTTGAGAAGCACTGGTCAAAGGTCCTCTGTTTCTATTAAATAGGGCCATTCAGTAATAATCTGTGTTCACTGTGGGGAGCAATTGCTGTTGATGTCCCCTGGTTCCCATCATACTTGTCTCCCCAGTCCCGCTCATGTCCCTGTATACCAAATGGCCAGAACCTGCATACCAATGCCCAAGAGCTTTGCCCTGATGCTGGAGCCCCTTTAATGGCCACTGAAGACCAGGACTGTGGCTTTCAAAAAATGCTTTTGTTTGTAAATACCATAGCCCTCTTACCCTCATGTATGATAACTATAGAACTTGTGTTCTACATTGAATCCCAGAGTTTCTCTAATGGAGTTAGTCTGTAGTCTCTAGTGCCACTAGTAGTAGACACCTTTTATTAGCTGCCTTCTTTTTTTTAAATCTCACTCCCAACCTCCCTACCTGGCCTCTTTAACTTCCAAAATAAATGATTTGTATGGTATACAAATTCTTGTCTCAGGGTCTGCTTTTGGGAAGCCCAAACCAAAACACCCTATTCTCAGGGTACTTTAACTTTACCATTTCCCAAAATAGTATACAAGATTTATGTAATTTTGATGTCCCTTTTATCTATTTAATCTGCTATGGAGAGGTATCAAAAATGTTCTTGGTCACACAATGATAGATGTCTTTGTGTCAATCTGCATAGCACTGAATTCTTGTGGGTGGGCACCACCAGTCACAAAATATGAAAACCATAGGAAGGAGATGCTCTTGCCAAATGAGATCCCTAAGGGAAAATATTTTAAAAATTTGAGCCAATGATCACATTGTAAATATATGAGGACTTGGTATACCAGAAAGCTGGCTCTATAAATCAATAGTTTAAAAAGCAGATTGTTTAATACATGCTATTGAGGAAACTACTTCCTCTATGGAAGAAAATAAAACTTTAGATGGATTAAAGAACTAAATATGAAAAGTACAAAACTATAAAATTGTTAGATAAAAGTATAAGAAATTATCTTTTTGACATAAAGTTAAAAACAAGTTGCCAGAATAGGAAAAATATTGAGATAGCTAAAATTGAGAAGAGGGGAACAAAACCTAAATAAAGTGCATGAAAATCAATAATTAAACGTAGAAAATGGGTAGTATCTAGGAATAGGAAAGTTAAAGAAGAGGAAACTTTAAAATCTTAGAATCATATAATAAAATACATTGAATATTTAATGCCAGGGAAATGCAAATTAAAATGACGTATACATTTGTATATCTAAGACTGAAAAAAATTTACAAATCCAGCTAATGTCAAATGTTGGTGTGATCATAAAGTCTATCTGTTTGGATGGGCAAGCATTAGCTATGAAGACGAATAACACAAAAACCTTGGTGGCTAAATACACTGAAGGTTTATTTATTGTTCATCCCACATGTAAATTACAGTGTTATAGTCCCCCACTCATGCACGCAGAAACCCAGGCTCATATATCACAACCAATTGAACATTGTTGATCATCATGCAGGTGGGAAAAGGAAAGCTCTCTGAGCTGAAAATGGGGGAGTTAGTTGTGGGGAACTGGGGCTTTGTATAAGCAAATAAATGATGCGTGTAACTTCTGCCCACAATTCACTGGTCAGAAGTATCCATAGGTTTCCAACTACATGGAATGAAAGGAACCCTCAAGCATTTCTGGTAGAAGTGAAGGCTGCTTTGACCCATTTTTGCAGGGCAATATAGCAATACTTAGTCAAGTTAAGAATATTTGTACACTGTGTTCCATTTTCTTCTTAGTGACTTTAAAACATCTCTCTGTTAGACTGCTCTCAGCTAAAGGTGCTGCAAGACTCTCAGTTTTGTGTCCTAGAGTATCCTTCATTGCATTAGACTCTCTTAGCATTTGGAAAGATATCAATATATTGGAACTATCAATACCACTGAAGCAAGATACTTACGCCCTCCTCGGTCTTTCTTACAGATCGAAACTTGTTTCTGTCACAGTTAACTTTTTTAAAGATGCCAGATTTTTAACTTGTAAACAAAAATTCAAAACTAAGCATATTTTTCATATAGATGTTTCCCAATAATACATGATGAGCAGTGATGTCAAGCTACCTATTTTTAGTTTAATAATTGGATTTTCTTGCTCACCTGGAAGGACAGTCTTCACGGGGACAGAGAACTCGCTGTCATCCAGCCTGTCTGTGTCCTTGTTGCTATTTTTGAGACTTAATGGATTTCTCCCCTTTCTCTTCATCTGCATGATGCTCATCCACTCCGGTCCATTTGAATCTCAACCTAGTGTGCCTCTTGAAGAATGGTTTGCTTAAATTGCTATGGCAAAAAACAAAGCATAAGGGGGAAACTGTTTCTAGAATGAATCTTCTCCATTCATATTTCTGAGCAGTATTTGTTCAAAGCCTTAAGGATATAATCCAAGCCAAAAATAATGCATCTGAGGCCGCTGGCCCACAGATGCTCAGCAAGCCCTTGAAATGCACTTTTGTGGAGTCTTTTCCTCTTGTTAGAACTAATCCTTTTGGAATGTCAGATTGTCCCCAAGACTGATAATTAAACATGAAAAATTAGGCTTTGGGGAAGTCATGAAAATTAGAGCCAACAAGCCTTGACTTCTTTCTTACTGTTCTGTACCTAGAAGAAGAATAGTTTATTCCCTTTAATATCTAAAATGTCCTGATTATGAACGTTTCTTTTCTGACTGTTTCCAATTTACCTGTCAGTTCACCAGAACTGGAGACACTTAAAGCTTGTTTTACAGTGTGTTGCTAGCACCCAGAAGAGTCCCTAACATATAATATAAGCTCAATAAATACATGTTTATTGAACGAGTAAATAAATTACAGGTCCGGTTTCATGGAAAAAAATGAAAATGCATTGGAGATGTGTCTTCAAAACATAAATAAGTAACGTAAATGGAGAAACTTGCAATTTAAGAGACTAGAAGCAATATCAAATGATGAATCAAGTATTTGTTACCCACAAGAAACTATTGGTCAGTTTTATGGGTTGAATTTTGTCCCTCAATAAAATTCGTATGTTGAAGTTTTAACCTCCAGTGTCCCTGAATGTGACCTTATGTGGAAATAAGGTTATTGCAGATGTAATTAGTTAAGATGGGGTTATACCAGACTAAGGTGGTCCTCCAATCCAATTTGACTAATGTCCTTAAAAAAAAGGGAAATTTGGATACAGACAGGCACAAAGTGAGAATGCCATTTGAAAACTGGAGATATGCTGCCATAGTCAAGGGAGGTCAGAGATTGCCAGCAAACCACAAGACCTTACAGAAAAGACCTCAGCCATTTTCCATGGTAAGCAGAAGAAACCAACTCTGCCAACATCCTGATTTTGGGCTTCTAGCCTCTAAAACTGTGGGACAACATATTTCTCTTCTTTAAGGTACCCAGTTTGTGGTTCTTTTTATGGCAGCCCTGGCAAACCAATACAGTTAGTAATGGTGATATTGTTTTAAAAAGTTAATAGAGGGTTGGGCACATGGTTCAGTCCTGTAATCCCAGCACTTTGGGAGACTGAGGTGGGCAGATTGCTTGAGTGCAGGAGTTCAAGACCAGCCTGGTCAACATGGTGAAACCCCATCTCTACAAAAAATATAAAAATTAGCCGGGCATGGTGACACATGCCTCTAGTCCCCGCTACTTGGGAGGCAGAGATGAGAGGATCGCTTGAGCCTGGGAGTGAGCTAAGATCACACCACCACACTCTAGCCTGGGTGACAGGGCGAGACTCTCTCAAAAAAAAAAAAAAAAAGTAAATAAAAAAACTAAGGTTGATACAGGTGCTTGTGACAAAGCCAATAGCTCAGACAACATTTCCCCTGCAAACTCAGATTCCATTAATTCACGGAAAAGTTTCTCTTTTTGACATGTGCAATTAGAAAAATTAGAACAGTGGCTGGACTCTATGTTACTGAAATGCAAGGGTGTGTACAAATGAAGGTTATGGAAGAGGATGTGCTCCAATAATAAATGAGAAAGCTGGGCAAGTTCATGAAATATTTCAATTTGAGAAGGTACCAGTTTGCCAGAGACTAACAGGTCCTACTCAAAGTCTTCTAGTGTTTTATCTACTTCCCTAATTTTAAATTAAGAATCTCAGTACATCCAATGGGGACCCTGGGATATTCAGACGTAGTTTAAGAATTGAGAACCATCCAGCTGCTGAATCTTGAGTAAGAAGGCAAAGACTACAATAAGCTGATAGGAACACATGTTCTCTTATCTTTATGCCTTTCTGCAGGGAGGCAATCATAAAACAGGATGAGGAAAACACTCTGATTTGGTTTGGCTGTGTCTCTACCCAAATCTCATCTTGAATTATAGCTTCTATAATTCCCATGCATTGTAGGAGCGACCTGTTGGGAGGTAATTGAATCACAGGGACAGGCCTTACCCATGCTGTTCTCATGATAGTGAATAAGTCTCAGGAGATCTGATGGTTTTATAAAGGTGAATTCCCCTGCACAAGCTCCTCTTGCCTGCCTCCATGTAAAACATCTCTTTGCTCTTCCTTTGTCTTCCACCATGATTGTGAGGCATCTGGAACAACTCCTGAACTAGGATTACATGTGGAACTGTGAGTCCATTAAACTTATTTCCTTTATAAATTACCCAGTCTCAGCTATGTCTTTATTAGCAACATGAGAACAGACTAATACATCCTCCTGGAAACTTTTCAGCTGACTTAGTCCAGCAGAAACACCATCACAACACCTAAGTGAAGGATGAAGGGTGAAGCCTGTGACAATGGCTTTCATAGTGGATTTCTCGAACAGGATTTATTTTCTGTGACAGAGATGTGTCTCTGATGCCATATCTATAAAATATCAATAAAGCTGATAAAGAAAATGCCAAATCGGAAGTGGCTGAGGGGAGAATTTTCCCACAATACTTTGAAAGAACCCCATTGATAATTTTTCTTCTCTTCATCAAAGATTGGGAAAACAGTGAATCAAAGTTGGGCACTTCAAATTAGATGGAGTAGAGTTGTTTATATGATTTTTTTTTAGTAATGTTGCTTTCCCACATCCTATTCTGACTCTTTTTAAACTTCATGTTGGCCATTCAAAGCAAGGGGACATTTTTAGAGGCATGTTAACTTGCTATGGAGACAGTGACCCTAGCATTTGGGGCTTCTGTGGGAAGGAAGGCCTTAGCCACAGGCAATTCCTGTTGACGTTCACAGTGAGGCAGCATCTGAGACGATCCTTCTACTCTTCAAAGTGTAATAAAAGACATATTTTTAAAAGTGAGTACTCATTTAGTGAATGCTTCCAAGTAATCTTCCACCTAACAACTTAGGGCAGAGAGTTTGTACTTCGGAATATATCGGGAAGATACATGTATTTGTTATCACCTATTTTTACATTTATTTTTATTGAAATAGATATTTAGGCCACTACCCTAGTTTTGTAGCTACATACTGGCAGAAAATTCTTAAGTTATTAGCAAGATTCATGAAAATAACAAAGATAGAACAAATATAGTTCGTGTGAAATGAAGAGTTAACGACAATGTCAAAGGGGAAGTCATAGGAAGATGCAGATTTACTCACTTCAGCTCTGTACTGGAAACTCTTATTTTTTCTCCTTTACAAAAATCTACGAACTATATTTTGCTTTGTTAATTTGAACAACTTAGGTTTCTTCTTTGTTATTTTTCACTCATGTAGGTGCAGAGATATAAAATCAGTGATTTTGAAGAGTAACTAAAAATGAATTAATAGCCATACATTTATGCAGACAGAACTTTATTTTTATCATCTGTTTGTCTAAATAAATAAAAAAGAAGTAACCAAACCAATTTTTCCTTTGCTGTTTGTTATTAGTCATTCAAATATTTGCCTTCTCATTGAGTTAGCGTTTTAGTCAAAATAGCTTTCAATATGCTAAAATAAGTAAACTATTAAGTTCTGGTGGAGTTTTTAAATTAAAAATAATTTATTATGCAGTGATGTATATTAAATGGATAGTTTAATATATGTATATGTAAATAATGTTTTTAAATAGCATTATATTTAATATAATATTTAAATAAATGTTGCCCACATTTAAAAATTTCTTATTTGTTTTTAGTTTAGTAGCTCTAAAAATTCTTTAAAATATAATACAAAATAAAACACAGTAGATTCTGTCAATTACTGAAGAGTGTATGCATATATAACATACCTATATGTTACACATATATAACATGCACATGTATAACAACATATAATGCTTTTCTTTGTTGTTTTTCCAAGGGCCATTATTATAAAATCAGAGATATGTTCTTCCAGAAAATGTTTGACTTGAAACATAATGGAAAATTTTAAATTAAATAACATTTAATTTTAAGTAAAAACATCTTCTGACATGATATAAATTCTCAACCTATTATTGTAATGAATTTTACCCTAATATATTAACTGGTAAAAAATATGAAAAAATACCTAAGGTTGAAATTTCTTCTTAAAATATACGTGCTAACTTTATTTATTTATTTATTTATTTATTTTCAGACGGAGTCTTGCTCTGTCGCCCAGGCTGGAGTGCAGTGGCGCGATCTCCGCTCACTGCAAGCTCCGCCTCCCAGGTTCATGCCATTCTCTAGCCTCAGCCTCCCGAGTAGCTGCGACTACAGACACCTGCCACCACGCCCGGCTAATTTTTTTTTTGTATTTTTAGTAGAGACGGGGTTTCACCGTGTTAGCCAGGATGGTCTCGATCTCCTGACCTCGTGATCCGCTGGCCTTGGCCTCCCAAAGTGCCGGGATTACAGGCGTGAGCCACTGTGCCCGGCCATATAGGTGCTAACTTTAAATAATAAAGTGCCATTTACCTCCATTAAAATAAAAAATGTTTAAATTATAATAGAGCAATTAAGGAAGATTTGGAAGAAATTGATATGCTCATGTGAAGAAAAACAATTCATTCAGAGAGACCACTGATTATTTTTTCTTGCAATTTATCCCGAGAGACTTAGCATGAGGGAAAATAAGAACAATAGAAGAAAGCTATTTCCCAAACTGTTCTTTTCTTGTATACAATAATTCAATATTTGCTAAATAGGGGAGTAGTTAATTAAATCAAGGCCTATTTACTTAATCAAAATATGTGCCATTAAAAGAAAATTTATAAATATTTTGTAAGAATATGGATATAGTGTTAAGTTGGAAAAAATAAAAATTGTTCTTGTTGTAATAGTGTTAACAACACATTAGAAGTACGTGTATATATTTGATAGTAGTCATTGCAGTGGTTAGGATAGTGAGATTATAGGTAAAATTTCTCTATTTTTCGTAATTTTATGATATCACGATATCACCTGTATAATGCAAAATAAACTTAAAGGTATTATAATACATTTGGAATTCTAAACCCCAGTGAAAGCTCTTTATTATTTCCTATGTACCAGACAGTTAAACCCAATGATACTTAGAAAGTAAAGGCAAAAAAGCAAGTGAGAATCTTCCTGAAGCTGGAAGCCATTACCTTCAGCAGACTAACACACAGGAACAGGAAACCAAACACTGCACGCTCTGACTTATAAGTGAGAGCTGAACACTGAGAACGCATAGACACAGGGGAGGAGAACAACACACACTAGGGCCTGTCAGGGGGCGGCGGGAGGGAGTGCATCAAGATAAACAGCAAACAGGGCTTCATACCTAGGTGATGTGGGTTGATAGGTGCCCCAACCCACCATGGCACACGTTTACCTGTACACAAACCTGCATGTCCTGCGCATGTATCCTGGAACTTTAAAAAATGTATTTTCTATATCCACTCTCATTATTCTGTGTTGTGCATTATTCACAATAGTCCAGGATAAGCTGTGATAAGAAACATGCCCGGCCTGTCAGAGTCAGAACATATCAACAGTTTATTTCTCAATTGCATGGTGCCTGGTGACTCTGTGCTGACTCTTCTGCTAGTAGCTACACTTGGCTTGTAAATTCTCTACCATCAGGGGAAGAGAAAGAGGAGGCACACAAGCTTTTAACTGACTTGTTCCAGAAGATACACACAACACTTCCACACACAGAACATCTACTGAAAGTCTGTTGATCAGCAGGAGACACAGTCCTGACGGTTAACTTCAAAGAGGTCTGGGGAATGTTGCAGAAGGCCATGGCCTATTAGATAATCTCTGTCACATTCAGAAAGCAATAAAGTTCTTTGTTCAAACGACTAAGACCTCCACAAACAATGATTCAAATTCACTTTCTATCACTCACCAGCAAATAATCAGACATGTGGAAATGACCATTACGGAATTCAAAGCTAGAAGTGATGCAGAAAGCTCCTCTCCTTAGAGGGGCAGCTTGAGACTTTATTTTCCTCAATTTGATGTATTCTGATTCATCAGGTGATAGCTGGAAGCTTCGAGTCTTATACCTCAGCCTGTCTAACCCTTGTTTGGGATAGTGATGTACTCTCTTTCGGGTATCCTCTGTTCTGTTTAGTTTCTCTCTTCCTTGGCATATGGCTTTCACTTAGATTTACAATTACTATTTTTCTCAACAGGAATGTCCTTCTCTGACATCATTTCTCCTTCTTTTACTATTCTCCAGCATTGTTTTAGGTGCCAGGAATTCTTATGTGATTAAGACCGGAAACAATGTGACCCTCTTGGAGATTACTTCCTGTTGGTGGAGGGGCCATACATGAGAAAAAAAAGAGGGCCTTCAGGCCTTCTGGAGAGGACTGCCCAGCTGCTATCCTCCACAGCTCTGTCCATCATTATTTGCCTTGTGACTAAAAGGACCAATCTCATCATGCGCTTTATTGCTGGAATGTCAGTCATCTCGTATGTTTATTTCTCATCTCCCTATAGAGTATGGGGTTACTTTTCTGATTGCATCTCCCACTCCCTGCTCATATCCCTCCCACTCAGCATCATTTTAATCCCTTCTATGGTTTTGATGACACAGTCAAAATGCTTATACCTTATCTTTCCAAAGAAGGTTTCATTCTCCTTCTTGCCCTGGCTTGCTGCTGATTATACAGCTCATCTTGGTGTGTCAAGTAGTAGCTGTATCTCACCAACAAGCTTGGCATCATGGGCTGCAAATGGAGTAAGTGTGCTTTTTGCCTCTCTCTGAAGTTCTGAAACAATTCTTACTTCCTCCTTCCTAAAGTGCCCCCCTTTTCCCCTTTAAATCTCAAGCCTTCAGACTAAACCATTTTCTCTCCTTTCTCGTGCAAGTGCCTACTGATCTCAAAACAAATCCCTTTATTCCCTGATGACATTAGCCCCCAGGTGAATGTCACATGCACCAAAGTATTCCTCTAATAATTTTTGTGAATATCTGTGTAAACCTTTCCTTCGATGGACCTCTTCATGTTTTACTTCCTTTGGAGTTATCTTATTCTCCACCTACGTCAGTCACTACTCGTACAGTCATAGTTAGGTTAACAGCAATTGAAAACCCTCTATACTCTCAATTTCAAGTGTGTCTCCTCCTGACCCTTACTTACTACCATGCTAACTTATGTCTTTCCGGTAGCCTGACTTCAACAATCTTCTGATCCCCACATAGACTCACAAGCCATTCATCCCATTGCCTTTTCATTGCCCCATGCCCCCTAATGTTAGAGTGATCATATGTTCTGGTTTTCCCAGGAGAGTTTTGGTTTAAACCTGGTAGCTCAGCATAATAATTAACAGTGCTCTAGTTTAGATAATAAATTATGTGGTTACTCTGCCTAATGCTCTCACTTCCCTTCTTATTTGGCCAAAATTCTGTAGACAATTGTTGTAAACATAACCTTGTACAGACAGTTGACCCTTAAACAATGTGGCAGATAAGAGTGCAGACTTCTTGCGCAGTCAAAAATTCATGTATAACTTTTGACTCCTCCAAAACTGAACTACTAATAGCCTACTGTTAACTGGAAGCCTTACTAATAACACAAACAGTCAACACGTATTTTGTGTGTTATTTGTATTGTATAACGTATTCTTGCAATTAAGCTAGAGAAGAGAAAATGTCATTCAGAAAATCATGAAAAAGGGAAAATATACTTACTATTCATTAAGTTTAAGTGGATCATCATAAAGGTCTTTATCCTTATTGTCGTCAGGTTAAGTAAGCTGAGGAGGAGGATAAGGAGGAGTTGGTCTTGGTATCTGAGAGGTGGAAGAGGCAGAAGAAAATCTCTGTACCAGTGGACCCATTTGAAATTCATTTACATGGTCAACTGAACTTTACAACTGCCTTGTTCCTCTTCCCCATAATCAATGCTATGCCAAAAGCCCCAAGTCAGGTTAAATTCAACTCTGCAAATGTCTTACATCTGCATCTGCATCTGCATCTCAGTGTGGCTGGAATTAAATAGAATACCATGCTGTCAGACCTCATGTTAAATTTGTGACCTCTAACTTTTTGCTGTCGAATAATTATACTATATTACCCCAGTTAATTTATTCATCCACTCTCCTAGGTGATCAGTTTATATGTTTAGTTTTTTTCCTCCGTGAACTTTTAAAACTTCTTAACCTATCTGCATACTGAGCTGATGATCTCGTCTTGTATTTCTCTAAGAAAAGGGAAGCAATCAGAAAATAACTTCCTCAAACTTCCACTCCATGGGGAACCTGCATAGCACCAAACCCTCCACCTGGGCACCAGCTCCCACCCAACCCCGGCTATTTGACTCTTCTCTTTTTTTCATATCCCAGACACAATCTACCTACAAATATTGTCAGTTCTATCTTCAAAATAACCAAAATAATCTCTCTATATTTACTGCTTCTACCTTAATCCAAGCCACTGACTTCTCTCAACTAGACAATTGCTTTTGCCGAATAACTGCTTCTGACCCAGAAGTCCTTGCCTATTTGCAGCAGAGTTGTTAAATGATATTGTTAGGATATAAACTACATCATGTAATTCTTCTTTTCAAATCCTCCTTGTGGTGACCCATCTCATTAGAATAAAGACAAAATTCAACAATGACTTACAAAGGTCTATAAATGTCTGGCCTCCTTCCCCATCCCGACTGTTTTTTGCATTGGCTGTTTCCTGCCCTACAAATGTCTTCTTACCTACTCTCAACCCCCACCCCACACTGTCACCAGGACTTAACTCAACAGAACACTTTCTCCATGAGGACTCTCTAGTCCACTCTGGTCCAAATGGAAGGACTCCAACCCAAGCCAGGCTCTCCAATCCCTAGTCCCTACCTTGTTTTTCTCCTTAGGATCTCTTGTCTCTTTTTTTTTATAACCACTTCTTTTATTTAGAGAATTAATATATAGTTACATATTTTACGTATATACATATTCCATTTTTCTGGAATTTTATCCATGACTTTCTAAAAATTCATTGGGAAAAAAACATTATTTTTGGCCAGGCGCGGTGACTCATGACTGTAATGCCAGCACTTTGGGAGGCCGAGGCAGGTGGATCAAGAGGTCAGGAGATGGAGACCATCCTGGCTAACATGGTGAAACCCCTTACCTACTAAAAATACAAAAAATTAACCAGGTGTGGTGGCACGCTCCTGTAATCCCAGCTACTCAGAAGGTTGAGGCAGGAGAATAGCCTGAACCTGGGAGGTAGAGGTTGCAGTGAGCTGAGATCACACAACTGCACCCCAGCATGGGTGACAGAGTGAGACTCCATCTCAAAGAAAAAAAAAAAAAACCATGTTATTTTTATGAATGCAAAATCTGATGGCGTGGTGGTGAGAGACATGGCTGGAAAACTCCCTTTCTTGGTTAGTATCGGTAATATCTTAGACAAATTGTATGGACATTTTGATGTTCAGTTTCCTTATTATTTTAATGAAGAAAAGACTAAAATTGCACTTTATCTTTTCTTTATTATTTGAGGGTTAAATACAAATGTTCATAAAATACTTATAAAACAAGATTATAATTGTTTTATACAATTATACAATTAAAACAAGATTAAATTGATAATAAATTTCTTTAATTAGCTGTTATTATTCCCAGAATTAGATTGGCTGCTAATAAATTGAATGATAAGTTCAGCCTATATTATATTTCAACCTTCATCAGGTCTTCACATCCTTTCTGTGAGGTTATCTGATGATGAGTGTAATGGATAAGTCTAAAATTGTTAGGAAATTGAGGCTTAGCACATTTTTAATTTCACTTTTATTATGGCCCGTGTTGAAATGCAAAATTTCTGTAGGTTTGATGTTTGCTAAAGGCACTGGGAAAAACACACACACACACACACACACACACACACACACACACATATTCCTTATATGACTAATTCAAACACCTTTATTTTAAAACTCTAAGTCAGCAACAATAAGAATTTTAGGTGGACCCAGTTACAGTTCTCATAATGCTTGGTTGTTCACTTCATCTGAATTTTCAGCAAAGAAAAAGCCAAGTTTAAAGTGATGAAATATTTAACTCAGAAAGAGTAGTTGTTTGAGCATCTCTGGATTTTTATAAAGCTGGATTCCAAAAGAATGACAGAAAACATGGCTTTATTTAATGGTTTCTACATAAGAAAACAATAGTATTACAACATTAAGCCTAAAAGAAACCTGTATTATTTCGTATACTTTCTAATTGGGTGAAATCTAAACTTCTTTGAAATAAAACTTTTATGACAATGCAGGGATGTTAGTAGGTCATTAAGTTTCTCTTGCAGAGAAAAATGAATAATAAAGATTGTTAAAATATTCACCATTATATAAAGATAGAGTGAAAAAGGCTTTCCCTTAAATTGTAGAATAAAATCTTTCTGTCCATTAGTGTCTACAATTACAAACATAACTATGCAGTCTTACACACATAAAAACATATTTGTTTTAAATGTTACCTTCAAAATGTCTTATAGTTAGGGTTTGGGAAATGAAAACACTTACATGTATGCATGCACACACACACAAACACACAACGCACACAAAAGATTGGTGATGAACCACATTTAAAATAAAACATTCTTGCTGATGAAAAGTGTTTTAAAGAGTAAGTCATTATTGGCTTTATCTCTGAAAAGCTCTATTCCATTGCAGTTAATTACTTCTCACTATAGGAGGAGTATTAGAATTGGAAACAGCCTTCAACTCCCACCATCTAAATACCAGTATAATGTACACCCACCCTTCTGCCAGAACTGATTGTTGCAAAAGGAATAATTTGAACCAGCAATACTTAAGTAAGAAGAACACACACCAATCTGGCCTTCTTTGTGAATTGCTTAAAACAATAGATTCTTGGCAGAATAACCTACAAAAGTTGCTCTTTACAGCAAGGATTAGTATTAGCCAATATTTCTTCTTAATTTCTTCAGGATAACCGAAGGGTGGAAATAATGTGAGGATAGGTCAACACTCCAACAGTCTTCAAATTGGCAATTAATATTTTGTGAAATGCCTGCTTTTAATTATCAATATCCATATTGGCCAGTTAACAGGTAAAATTCCTTAACTTCTCAAGGAATGCATGCAGACTTAAATCAGCAATTTCTGTTAATAATTTCTCCTTTGGAAAACCTATACCATATCAAGTGAAGCCTCTCCGCTGTCCCCATCTTGCAAACAGACTTGATTGCTATCATGTCTTGTAAGCAGTTGAAAAGCTATAACCGTCAAACCATGCACAACATCATAACTCTGCTTCAACAAATTGGAGGCAAACCAAACTACTACATGCAGTCAGCCTGCTCAGAATTCTCTTCTTCAGATGACATGGACTTTTTCACTTTCTGAGGCATGAGCAGCACCAGCCTGGAAAGGCATTGGGAAACATAATTGCACACGAAGCGTGTGCAGGGTAATGAAGCGAACGGCCCTGATGCACAAACATTGTGACCGTGCAGGAGCAAATCTCACAGGGAAATGAAAAGACCTTCAAAAGGAAAACTGAGCCAGTCCTGTGACCTGGCTTTCCTCTTACCCTGGTTTGAAAACTAGCATCAAGGGAGATAATCTCAAAGGCAATAGGTGATGACAACTCAAAATAGCTGGCTGAGTATAGTGACAGCAAGTGCCAATATATAATTCCCCACCCCTTTCACCACTACCATGCCTGAAGTTCCAGATTCTCTGCTAATGACCAATTCGTTTAAGTTAGGAACAACCCCTCCTTTCAAACAAAATCTAATCCTGGGACAGTTTAATGAGATTATCAGCCATATATCCTTTATTTGAATTTATTTTATTTTATCAGATTGCTTTCTTTCTAATATCTACTTGAAATTTACAGAAACAAGAAAAGAGGAATTTTTAATGAAGGAAAGAGAGAGAAAAGGTCATTTGTAACCAAGAAAACTATGAGAACAACTTTAATGTCTCTTCAAAGCTTTGGGCTTTGTAAATCAGAAGACAAAAATTAGAATGTGGGCTTCAGACCCTGAAGGATTGGATGCGGAGAAGCAGCCAGAGGGCTGAACACCAAGATCGCCAAGAGTTTTGCTGAAGACTTCCATTGCTCTCTAACTTATACTTCGGTACTTGTGCAATGAGAAAATGTGCCAACTATCTCAGTTTATTAATGAAATAGTTATTTTTCTTGGAATAGAATTTAACAAAAATTCATGGTATTTCACATTCGCCCATGTCTATTTTGAAATCTGGCATTGTTTATCCTCTTTCCTAGGCTTCTTAAAATTCACCCACCCCAAACAGACACACATTCCCACTTGATCCAGTTAAGGATATAGAAAACAGATTACTGTAATTCTTTGCTTCTGAAACTCAGACACATGCATCTTCTAGAAAGTATATTAATCTACCAAGGGTGAAAAAATACAGGCCAGGCATGGTGGCTCATGCCTATAATCCCAGCACCATGGGAGGCTGAGGCAGGCGGATCACTTGAGGTCAGGAGTTCAAGACCAGCCTGGCCAAGATGGTGAAACCCTGTCTCTACTAAAAATACAAAAAATAGCCAGGTGTGGTGGCGTGCGCCTGTAGTCTCAGTTACTCAGGAAGCTGAGGCAGGAGAATCGCTTGAGGCTGGGAGGCGGAGGTGGCAGTGAGCCGAGATCATGCCACTGCACTCCAGCCTGGGTGACAGAGTGAGACTCTGTCTCAAATATATATATACGTATATATTATATATATGTATATGTATATTACATATATTATGTGTATGTATATTATATATACATTTATACTACATATATGTATATATTACATATATACATATATATTACATATATATGTATATATATGTAATATATACGTAATATATATATTTCCTCTTTTTTGCAAGTAATGCAAAACAACATTTTTACATTAAAAGAGATATAGATCTATTTTAGATAGGTTTCAAAATTTACGCTGTTCTAAACACGTCCAAGAAATTTCCTGCTTCTGTGAATCACTATCATTTACATCTCTAGACCCTCTGTGTGTATTTTTTTTCTGTTTTAAATGTATGTTTGTGGGAAAGTTTTTAAAGCTCTTTGAATAGCATTCTTTTGGAACTAGTTCTGCCACTTAATAGTTATGTGAACATAGCACATTTCTTCTCTAGTCTAAATCTATTTCTTCATCTGGAAATTAAAGACATGGAAATAATACCCTCTCAGTTCCTTTGTGGAGACAGAATTGTAATATTATATGACTACTTTACATCATCAGTTATGATTGAAAGTGCTGGAGCTCTCAGAGCCACATTTCATGACCCTTGTTTGACAGGAACTTTGCTAACAGATGCAGGGAGGGACAGCCTTTGGAATTCCTTGAGGTAATGTTATGTTATACCAAAAATATCTACTAGGGTTTTACAGAAATGCCAAACATTTTCGTAGAGTCTTTGGAATTCCTGTAGAAGGGTTTTACATAGGAGCCATCATTTTTAGTGTACAAATTTTCTTGTGATTTCATCATGGAACATTTTAGTCTTCCAAATATATTTTTGAGAAACAACTTTGAGAGAGAATTTTTTTTTCATAAGATAAAGAGCCCTCATTAAGAAGTGTGAAAATTTTCTTAATTTCAATAGAAGAATAATATTCTAAAGTCTCAATATAGATATGTGAGAATATAGAAAATACTTTTCATTTTGGGACAGGTCATTTATAAAAGGTAATTTATTTGACAATTTCACCATTTTCAATGCCTAAAAAAGATAAGTTTGGCATGATGCACCACTATCATTTTGTTGCTTTAAAAAATACATTGCTAATTAGACCTTGGAAACAACATTTTTAGAGTTTGTTTTGCAGAGAAACACAGATACTCCTTAAGGTGACATGAACACTTGGTAGCAGAATAGAAATAATAGTAATCAATATATTGTTGAGTCTGGACACTCCATGACCCTTAAACTACTAAAGGACAGTGTTAATGACATCATGGTCAAAGATTCTCATCTACTGTAAACAGGCCAGTTAGCTCAGTAAAGCTCTACACCAGGGCAGATATGATCTTTAAATGGTGTGTGAAAGAAAACCTCACAACTCAGAATGAGTTATGAGAAAGTGTGTTCATCACATTCTAGTCAGGAAAAACAACTTTTCACCCTAAGATAAAAACAAAGCAAAATAAGACAAAGCAAACTCTTGCGGGAAGTCAGGGACCCCAAATGGAGGGACCAGCTGAAGCCATGGCAGAAGAACGTGGATTGTGAAGATTTCATGGACATTTATTAGTTCCCCAAATTAATGCTTTTGTAATTTCCTATGCCTGTCTTTACTGCAGTCTCTAAACATAAGTTGTAAAGATTTCATGGACACTTATCACTTCCCTAATCAATACCCTTGTGATTTCCTATGCCTGTCTTTAATTTAAGCTCTTAATCCTGTCAGTTGAGGAGGATGTATATCATCTCAGGACCCTGTAATAATTGCGTTAACTACACAAATTGTACACCATGTGTGTTTGAGCAATATGAAATGTGGGCACCCTGAAAAAAGAACAGGATAACAGCAATTGTTCGGGGAATAAGAGAGATAACCTTAAACTCTGATCGCCGGTGAGCCGGGCAGAACAGAGCCATATTTCTCTTCTTTCAAAAGCAAATGGGAGAAATATCGCTGAATTCTTTTTCTCAGCATGGGATATCCCTGAGAAAGAGAATGCGCACCTAGGGGTAGGTCTCTGAACTGGCCCCCCCGCCCGGGGCGTACCTGTCTCTTATGGTTGAGACTGCAGGGGTGAAATAAACTCCAGTCTCCCATAGCGCTCCCAGGCTTATTAGGAAGAGGAAATTCCCACTTAATAAATTTTGGTCAGACTAGTTGATCTCAAAACCCTGTCTCCTGATAAGATGTTATCAATGACAATGGTGCCCAAAACTTCATTAGCAATTTTAATTTCCCCTGTGGTCCTGTAATCTCACCCTGCCTCCACTTGCCTTGTGATACTCTATTACCCTGTTAAGTACTTGATGTCTGTCACCCACACCTATTCGTATACTCCTTCCCCTTTTGAAAGTCCCTAATAAAAACTTGCTGGTTTTTGTGGCCTGTGGGGCATCACGGATCCTACCAACGTGTGATGTCTCCCCCGGACTCCCAGCTTTAAAATTTCTCTCTTTTGTACTCTCTCCCTTTATTTCTCAAGCCAGCCGACACTTAGGAAAATAGAAAAGAACCTACGTGATTATCGGGGCAGGTCTCCCGATAGCAAACAATATTTACATTACTTGTAATGGCAAAAATCGCAATTTCTTTTGCACAAACCTAATATAAAGTGTTGTGCTTTCCAGCTCTAGTTCCTCTCAAATGAATGAAACATTGGTGGGATTGTTAATTTAAGGCATCAGTTTGATTGAGGTGCCCAGGTATTTAGTCAAACATTATTTCTGGGTGAGTCTGTGCAGGCATTTCTGGATGAGATTAACAGTTGAATTGGTAGACTAATTAGAGTAGATGGCCCTCCTCAGTGTAGGTGGGACTCATCCAATCCATTGATGGCCTGAAGAGGGTAAAAGGCTGAGTAAGAAAGAATTCTTTTTCTCTGACATTCTTTAGCTGTGACATCAGTCTTCTCCTGCCTTAGGAGTTGGACTCGAACTCAGACTTGGTTTGAAACTTTCACTATAATTTCTTTTGGTTCTCAGGGCTTCAGACTCAGTCTAGATCCACAATATTTGCTCTCTTAGGCCTCCAGCTTTCCAACTGCAGATCTTGAACTTCTCAGCCTTCATAAGATTATAAGCCAATTCCTTCTGGTGACTATCTATCTATTTGCCTATATTAATAGTCCTGTTTCTTTGGAGAACTCAGAATAATACACTTGGATCTTACTTGTAAGTTGCTGATTCCCTAACAGAAATAAACTTTATCTGTGCATTTTGCAGTGGTGATATCTAAAGATACATCCGTTGTGCATATGATAACCATGAGAGAATATTGCTAGGTTTAACAATGCAAAGATTAATTTATAAACTTAGTGACTTTGTTGATTTTCTATTATAGTTTCTCTTATTCCTCAGTTTCTTTAAATACATTTTGTGAATTTTGTTTGTTGTCTAATGGTAAGCCAGTCTTTCTGAAACAGACTTTCTTGCAAACCTTTTTTACAATTACGTGTCTTTTCTTTTGGCCTAAAAGCTTTTCTACCTAAGTCTTTCTTTGTTAGATATATTGCTAATTTTGAGGAAGGAAGTGAAAGAAAATGTGGAAATCAGAATAGACAATAAAAAGAGAGCATGTAAATTCAGCTATAGAAGTTAGCAGACATAAAATTTAAAAATATATTACCAATATAAAAAAATGACAAAATGGGGGATGTAACTATAGAATTGGAAGCTATTTTTAAAAGTACCAAATAGTATTCCTATAATTAAAAAAAAACTAATGCTTAGGAAAGTGTGTAACAAAAATGTGAGTAAAAATGAAAAGTTATAGCATACATAAAATTGGAGTCACCACAAGAGAAGAACATGAGAATGGGGCAAAAATTATATTTTAAAAAGTAATGATATAGAATTTTTCAAAACTGATTACAGACCTTGGGCCACAGGTTCAAAAACTTACAAACTTTGAACCAATTTAAATAAATTATGCACATTTACATCATAGTAAAATTACTAAAAACCAAGAAAAAAGAAAAATCTTAAAAGCAACCAAAGGGAAATAATGAATTATTCTCAAAAGCAAAAATACCCGTTGATATCTAGCTTTTCAATGGAAATAATGAAAGACAGAAAACACTGAAATGTCTTCTTTAAGGGTTGAAAAAATATAACTAATAAATCAGAATACTATTTCCAACACGAAATATTTATTTTAAAAGGATAGCAAAGTAGACATATTTTCAGAAAAACTGAAAAGTTTTTAGCTCTCTATAGTCATGCACTTTCTGTGTCAGCAATAGACCACATGTATGATGGTGATCCATGAGATTATAATGGGATCTATGTAATGTAAAACAAAGCATTATAACCTCATGGGATCACCGTCATGCATGTGGTATCATACATGTGATATGTTTAGCTACACGAATACAGTCGTCCTTCAGTATACTCAGGATTGGTTCTAGGACCTCCACCTATACCCCTATCCCCACATTCTCAAGTCCTCCAGTGGACCCTGCAGAACCCATATGTAGGAAAAGGAAAAGCTGGCCTTGCCTATACACGGGTTTTACATCCCGGGAAGCACTATAGTTTCAATCTGAGTTTTGCTGAAAAAAAAATATGCATATAAGTGGACCTGTCCAGTTCAAACCTATGTTGTTCAAGGGTCAATTGTGTTTACCATGGTGTTAAAATTGGCTCCAGCATTCAGTACAATAACATGCTATACAAGTTTTTTATCCTAGGAGGAATAGGCTGTGCTGTATAACCTAGGTGTATAATAGTCTATACCACTGAAATTTGTACAAGATGCTCTGATGTTCTCACGACTATGATATCACCTAAACATACATTTCTCAGAATGTTCCCATTATTATGTGACACATGAGTGTATATATAAACACTGCATTCAACAATTGCAAAATGCATTATTTTCAAGTGTACATGGAACATGTACCAAAGTAGGTCACTATATGCTGGGCCATAAAGCAATTCCCTACAAGTTTCAAAGGATTTGATAATGAAATTAAAGAGAGTATGTTCTGACAAAAATGAAATTAAACTGGAAATAAAAACCACAAAAACAGAAATATAAGTAATAAAATTGAACTTTAAATGTTAAATATTACATTTGGAAATCATCCATATGTCAAAAAAATCACATGAAAATTAGAAAATATTTTGGACTTTCATAATGTATGTAATATTGTCATAAAATATAATGACAATGCATAAAGTCGTCTTTGTTCTAGTAATGTGAGTGATATAAATTAAGGTAATTTACTGAATTAATAAAGGAGAAAAACATATGATCATCTGGTTAGGTGCAGAAAAGTATTGACAAAGTCAATATCTGTCTTTTAAAAAATGTCTTGGAAAACTGGTAATAAAGGGAATTTCATTACTCTGATAAAGAACATTATGTCAGTTTGTTATTCCAGCCTAACATTATCTCAAAACTCAATGACTAAAAATACATATTTATTTCATTTTTGATACTTTGGATTGGCCCATGTCGAATGGATTTGCAACTAACAAATAGAAAATAAAATATATAAATAAGATTTTTTAAAATAGCACCAAACATATTTAATGCCTATAAATAAATCAAATGAAAGATGTACAAAATCTCAACAAAGAAAATTACAAGACAAATATTACTGAAAGAATAGAAAAGTGCAAACAAATGCAATGATCTACCATGTTTATGGGTAGAAAGAATTATCACTTAAACATATCAACAACGTCCCTCCCAATAGTAAATACAATACAATATCGCTCAAAATCTCTGCAAGTCTGCAAGTGTGTATGTGTGTGTGTGTGTGTGTGCGCGTGTGAATGTATATTAAAAACTGATTCAAAAATGTTTCTGGAAATTCAAGAGGCAAGAATAGCAAAGAAAATTGAGAAGAATGAATTTGGAGAACGTACACTACCAAATATCAAGTTTCGTTATAAAACTAAAGTAAAACTGTGTGGTATTGACACAATCAAACAAATAGCATAGTGGGAAAGCAGGAGGAATACAAAATGATACATTCATAGAAACAAACACACCATTATAACAAAAGTATCAGAACAATGCAGTAATGAAAGGGTCATATTTTCAGTATATGATGCTGGATGAATTGGGTGCCTATATGGGGAAAAATAGAACTTGAAATTTTCATTAGATGATGCTGGGTCAATTGGATATCTAAATGAAAGAAAAATTGAATTAAATGTTTTGTCATGTCTTACACCATATTTAAAAATTATGTGTAGATGGATTGAAGATTCGAGATGAATTGAAGATCTAAATGTGAAAGGTAAAACAGTAAAGTATCCTCTCACCTTCAAATTGGGGACTGTGTTCATTGTTACAATGTGGATGAGTCGCTTTATAAATTTGACTGTGAGAAGTCAGATAGGACAATGTATACTCTGCGATTTCATTTACAGTATGTCCTTCTTAGTCTCATTGATAGATTCTTGGAAACGGAGACCATAAGCAAAGCAACATATAATAAAACCAATATTACCATAGCCTGATTAATATAAAAAAGAGTTAAGTTCCTACAGCATATTTCTCATCTGGAAAACATCACCAAACTCCTCAATAAAGACCCAAACACTTCTAACATTTAACATTGAAATAAATGTGAGCTATACATCCATTTAAGAAAGGGGAAAAGGCCGGGCGCGGTGGCTCACGCCTGTAATCCCAGCACTTTGGGAGGCGGAGGCGGGCAGATCACAAGGTCAGGAGATCGAGACCATCCTGGCTAACACGGTGAAACCTCGTCTCTACTAAAAAATACAAAAAATTAGCCGGGCGTGGTGGCGGGCGCTTGTAGCCCCAGCTACTCAGGAGGCTGAGGCAGGAGGATGGCATGAACTCGGGAGGTAGAGCTTGCAGTGAGCGGAGATCACGCCACTGCACTCCAACCTGGGCAACAGAGCGAGACTCCGTCTCAGAAAAAAAGAAAGAAAAAAAAAAGGGGAAGAAAAACAAGTAAGATAATTACTAGCCCAATTTTTGGTGGGTCATTGAGTGATGGCAGTCATAGTAGTGGTGGGTTATGTTAAGGAATAAATGTTTGCAAAGTGAAAATTCTAAGGAGCACTCCCTACCTCCACGCAGTTCAAAAACAAGCATTAACACATATGGCAGACTTGCTGAGTGCTTTCAGACCACATCATTGATTGTTATGCATTTGTATGGTAATAGTATAAACATTTTTATTTTGCAATAATTTGTATGCATTCATTCATTCATTCCTTTTTCAACCTGCTTATTCCAAGGTCTCGGGTGACAAGAGCCTATTCTTGCAGCTCAGGAACAAGGCACAAACTAACACTGGACAGGACGTCATTCCAACATAGGTCACACTCAAACACACACCCACACTCACTCAGACTGCGACAATTTAGACAGGCCAATTCACCTAATGTGTGGATCTTTGTGATGTGGAAGAACCCAGGGTACCCAGAGAAAACCCACACAGACATGGGGAGAACATGCAAACTCCACACAGAGTGGCCCCAGGAATCATTTTTTCCTCATCAGTGTTACAAGGAAACAATGTTGAATGAAACAACTTTATTCGAGAACCTGCTATATACAGAGATTCCCCCATAAAGTAAAATGAATCAGTGATGCTGGAAGTCACACAGTAGCTACCTTGGAGGGCTAATTATGTGAATTTGTATGAGGTGTCTTCTGTAGTGCTGGTTGTGTCTGTAATGTCGTTTACAATAGCCTAAAAAAGCTACCAATGCCCATGAATAAATTGAATAAAATATGTGAAAAGCTTCTCCATGGAGAACTACAATATTAAAAAACTAGAAAAATGAAAAAAGAATGCATGGATAAGTGACGTGCCATTTTCATGAGCTGGAAGACGCATTTCTGTACATATGGCATCTGTACCCTTAAAATAATAAATGCAAAGCAATCACAGTCAAGGGATGCCATCTTATATTTCAACATAAAGCGTATGTACTTTGTGCTTCAATAAAAATGGCACAAACAAGAAATAAAACACAAAATGAATTGTAATTACTTAGAAAAAAAGAAATATGTTGTTGTTGTAGCATATTCTTGTTCTTTCATGGTTTGGATGATGAGAATGTAAGACTGTCTAAATAATATGGTGCTAATACATTCCATTGCTCATGTCAAATTTCTCACCTTCTCATATGGCATGAGTGCACACACATTTCGGACCTTTATATCTATGACATTTTGGGAAATGGCTTTACCATGCCACAGCAATATTTTACAAGTGAACTTGATTTGGAAAGAATCACTGGCCTGAAATGTATTTGTTCTCTATTAGAACTGTTGGCAATCTTCTCAGTGACAGTACATCACAATCATATCCACGTGCATCAGTGTTCTGATGCCCATTGTAACGTACTTCACTATCACATGAGACAGGGCATAAAGGAAAGTTGGAATCAAAGTACTGTGTTCTACTTTTTTATTTCCAGTTAAAATCTGTGACCGAGCATAGCACATAGCAGGTCCAGTAATTTATGAATGTAAAATTATTAAAGAAGAGAAAAGCTATCCTACTTGTGTAATAATTTAATAGTTTGTTATAAGGCTGCACAGTATTTTATGACATTACTGAACAGATGATTTGTGAGTCTTTAGAGATAAATGAATCTGGCTTCTACTTGACACAGATTTCCCCTGACATGTGGCTTTCTAAATGCTGTTTGAACACCTCTAGAAATGGAAAATCCATTATGGAGCAGTTTATTAAATTTTATAGATTTCTTTTAAATTATTAGAAGACTTTTATGCTAATCTAAAGTATCTCTTCTTGTGATTGATCTTTTAAACAATTCTTTCTTTTGGTGCACACAGAATAAAAGTTTAATTTCAGGCTATATGTCACATACTCACTTTTTTTTTTTTTTTTTTTGAAACGGAGTTTCGCTCTTGTTGCCCAAGCTGGAGTGCAATGGCGAGATCTTGGCTCACTGTAACCTCTGCCTCCCAGGTTCAAGCAATTCTTCTGCCTCAGCCTTTCAAGTAGCTGGGATTACAGGCACCCGCCACCACGCCTGGGTAATTTTTTTTTTTGTATTTTTAGTAGAGACGGGGTTTCTCCATTGTTGGTCAGGCTGGTCTCGAACTCCTGACCTCAGGTGATCCACTGCCTCAACCTCCCAAAGTGCTGGGATTACAGGTATGAGCCACCGCATCTGGCCTAGTCACATATATTTTTATATTGTTTATGATATTTTTTGGTCTTTTAGATAAAATCGAGCTGAAATTCATATATTTTGAGCTAGGTAACATAGTGTGTTCAATGTACTGAGTTCAATAAAAATAAACTTGTATTTTGATTTTTCATAAATAAATCGATAATCGATTTCTATTCTAGACCTTCTTTACATATGTCTTCTTTATCCAAAAGTGTGGGATCATCAACTCAGTTACTAAAGCCAGAAATTCTTGACTCCTCTTCCTCGAACTCTCCACATTGAACTTATCAGCAGATTCTGCAGGTTGTACCTAACAGGTCTATCTGACCTCACTTTTGATCTCTCTATTCCATTTTTCAGACAGAACTAGCAGTCTTTTAAAGTTAAAAAATCATGATATTTTGTAGTACGCAGCCTTCTAAGGCAGACCACAGCAATCTCCATCTCCTGATAGTCATGTTATTGTGCAATTCTCTTCTCCTGAAAGTTTCATAGATATATTGACATCTAATGCATAGAATATGGATACCATTTCTGAGCTTATGTTGCAAAAGACTGTTACTTCAGTCTTGTTTGCTCTGTTTCTTTCTGGCTCTTCTCCATTACTCCCTCTGATGAGGGAAGCTGCCATGCTGCACATTGCCTTATGGAGAGGTACATGCAGCAAGGAACTGAGGATGGCACCCAGCCAACAGCCAGTGAGGACCTGAGGCCCTCTGTTCAACAGTCTACAAAGTGCTGAATCCTGCCAACAACCACGTAAGTGATCGTGGAAATGGATCTCAAGTCACGCCTTTAGATACCTATATTCCCAGCCAACACATTGCAGTCTTCTGAAAGACCCTGAGCCAGGGGTTCTCAGTAAGCTGCAACTAGATTCCTGAACTATAAAAAACATAAGATGTTAAATGTTGTCTTAAGCCTCTAATTTTGTAGTCATTTTGGACACAGAAATAGATAACCAATGCATACTCCTTTGCATTAGTAAAAAATACAATACAGTACAAAAATCCCTTTGGTTAACAATGCAATCAGTAGCCCACTACCTACTGATCCATCCTCCCCTTGTGCTTCTCCATTGCCTACAATGCTCTGGTCAGACTAGGCTTCTTTTAGTTCTTGGAGCAAGTAAAGTTCTTGGCCACTTAAGGCTTTTGTTCATGTTGATGTCTCTACTGGTGTGCTTTAAAAAAGTATTTTATTCATACACAATTTTACATATTACATATTTACGGCATACATGTGATATTTTGATACATGCATACAATCTGTAATGTTCAAATCAGGGTATTTAAGATATTTATCACCTTGAACATTTATCATTTTTTTGTTGAGAACATTTCAAAATTTCTATATACTTTGAAATATACAATATTTTGTTGTTAACTGTAGTCATCCTCTGGGCTATCAAACATTAGAACTTATTTCTTCTATGTAACTGCATTTTTATACCTATTAACCAACCTGTCTTCATTCCTCCTCTCCAGTCTTCTTTGGTATTAGTAGAGAGCAGAATGATAGTTACCAGAGACTATCATTCTACCATTCTCTCATTCTTCCATGAAATCTATGTTTTTAGCTCCCACATAGTAAGAATATGTGATACTTGTCTTCCTGTGTCTGGCTTATTTCACTTACCGTAATAATCTTCAGTTCCATCCGTGTTGCTGCGAACAACAGGATTACATTCTTTTCTATGGCTGAATAGTATTCCCTTGTGTATATATCTGTTTATCCTTTTATTCATTGATGGACACTTAGGCTGATTTTCTCTCTTCTCATGGCTGGCTTCTCATCACCCTTTGGTCCTCCTGTATCCTCTATGTAATAAAGCTCTTCCCCAATATCTCGATAGATACTTTAGTCCTTTGTTATGTTCAGAGCACTTTTCTAGCTTGATATAATTTCAATTATGAGGCTTTTTCCTTTTTTCTTGTTCTGCTGAAAAGAAACTCTGAGGCCTGGTCCAGCCAGGATTCCAGCCAAGGTCTTGGGCACCTGAAGCCCTGTATTCCCTCTGTGCCATGGCTGCTGACAACATTGGATTGTCCTTGTTTGTAATACTCTGTAAATTAATGCATTTGTTATCAGATTTTCATTGTAGTATTAGAGGATGCAACCTGAATATTTAAAAAGTTTCAATAGTATTTAGAATAACAATCAATAAAGAGTTACAACAAAGACCCAAGTCAAAATCAGTGCCATATGCTAGCCCTTTCATTCTCATTATGGAACTTAGTTCTGTTCATATATATTTGTAGAGTTTTTTTTCCGTCTAAGATTACATTATGAAGAGATAATTGAGACAGTTTTATTTTTTGTAATCCAAAATGTACCTTACAATTAAAATTTAAAAATTGCTCAGAATATTAAATTGGATTCTTAGCTGATAAATGAATACAGCATATTTTTCTCCTTCATCAGCCATCATGTCCAGCCTGTGGGACACTTGAAGCCATTTAAAATGCATTGGTATGAACTTTTAGAAAATGTTTTCATAGTTGTATATTAAGGGGAGAGTCATCTGAGATGAATAAATATTGAGAAAAGTATCAGGGAGTAGATGTATTTTAGTACTATACTACCCCTTTTTTAAAACAGTTGTGAAAACCTCTCGGACTAAGTAAATGTCATATCAATAACATTAACATCCCTGGAATATTTTCATAGAGGAACTCACAGAAATCCTTGGAAATAGATGGATGCATTGGTCTCCGTTTCGATGACACTGACTAGCATTAAGGATAAGATTCTATCACTTAAGAATTTACTATATTGAGTATCTAAGAGCCCATTGCCACTTTCAGTGTGATTTATCAGCATGATTCAAACTATATAAAATGAATTCATTCTTCAGTTGGTCAATTTTATTTGCCCGATTTATTGAATGGTTCCACCAACTACGAGGAAGGACAGTCAGTTCTTTCTTCTTTTTGAAAATATCTGAGCTTTCCCTTTCTCCTTCCTTCTGCTGCTTGCCTCAGGGCCATTTCATGCTGAAAAGCTTTGGATTGATTTCTGTGCTCACTGGTGCTTCCATTTACCATCTGTTGGCTGAAGCATTTTTATATTTAGAAACAGAGGAAGGATAGCCCGTGATAAATTGGAGAGGTTTGAATATATAGCAACTATCAAACATTTTATATGAACAAATAGTTATTCCTAATACATGGAGAGTTGTAATAAGACGTGAGATTTTAAGATCATGGGATAGCTGAAAAAGCACTGAAGCAAAGGGAAAACCAATGACTCAAAGAATGTGTAAAGAATGTTAGCATACACTGGAGTTTTTAAAACTAGAGTTTTTTTTTAAAAAAAAACTTTACTGATCATCTTAAAAACTGTTAACTTGTCAAAAAGTTTATTATTGGTGGAGGCAAATGTGTGCATTAAACCTGACTGAAAAATATTGTAACCCTGTCTCGTGTCTTGATCAGTTTATTGCTGCCTTGAGAGCATGAAGAGCTTCTTAGTGGAGTATTAAAATTCACCTGTATTAAGAGAAGGCAATAAAATGTTTTAATTTAATTGTGTAAATGCTTTGTAATTCATGAGTTGTGTAGATTAATCCTTTTAAAAGCATATTGGAAAGTAAGCATCTTAGAATAATGTGAAGGTATCATTCTGGGGTCCGAACAACTCCAAAAGAAGAACTTGTAGCATCTTTTGTTATTTAAGTTACTCTCTGAGGTTTTCACACATACACACACACACACACTCTCTCTCTCTCTCACACACACACACATTTGAACAACCAGTGAAAAGCTCATTCATTATTCTGTCTGTCTGGATTTTTTTGGCATTCTCTTTCCCTTAGACTCCCCTCGCTTCTTCCGATGTTTCACCTTATTTTTCTGCGCTTCCCTTCTGGTTGTCCTGTGATTCTGTGCACCTCCTTTTGGTGGACTCTGGCCAATGTCAACCATTGTTCCCATGATGTTTACTACCTCAGTTAAATCAAGCTGCAGCTGAGCTCTGCTTCCAAGATTTCTTTTCCCATAGCAGTAACTGCTCCCACAAAGATTACATTTACCTAATATGTCAGCATCTGGAAAATCTGTGGAGGTTACAGCTTATGATCCACAGTTAGAGCTCTGACATCAGCAAGTGCATGAGGCAGTGAAGAGGAAGGAACTCAGGACATCAAAAACAATACCCATGGGAAGCATTTGACCCACCCTGTCTCTGTGTCCCCTAAAGGGATTCAGAAAAAAAAAATTCCTTAAGATTTAATCTTTAGAAGAGGAGGATCAGAATAGAATTATGAGAATTTAGAACCAAAGAGGACCTTAGAGATTATATGATTTATATGCTCCTTATCCTAGTTTAATGATGAGAACGCGGATAATGAAGACAAGAACAAACAAACTTGGCAACTTTTAATTTTCTGGATTTTTTATATAGACACAATTTGAAACTTGAATAAAGTTAGTTTTTTGTTTACTGACCACTGCACTTATAAACTGGAAAAACTGTGTGTGTGTTTGTGTGTGTGTGATTGTGTATACGTGTGTGGTATATATACAAATATTTTTGTTAGCATAGATTTTGAAAATCTTTATCTACTTATGTAGCAAAATTAAGATTGTTTTTGTAGGCTTGACTATAGAATAATAGACATATTATCATGCAATTTGTTCATAAGATTAATACATAACCATACAAGAATATATTATGCTGTAACTCATAGTTGACATAGATTTACATTGTATAGGTACTTAATGATATAGTTATGAATTTAGCTTTGCAATATTCTTAGACATTTGGAAGCCAATACATATTCTCTACCCCAGGTCTCAAGCATTGTTATATGCCCTCAGAAAATCAGGGTGCTTAGGCAGTGTGATTGTATTGCCTAGTAAGTAAAATAGTCTTGAATGTAATATATTGGAAAGAGATCTGAACTAAGAAAGAGAATTGATTTCATGTTTGCCACCAACTAAATATATGTCCTCTGGAAGGCCACTTTTCCTATGTGGACCTCATCTGAAAAATAACAGAATTAAACCAATCATCTTTATATCAATTCCAACTCTAAGATACTAAGAGACTATTTTGAAAGAAAAAAAAAAAAAAAGGATATTCCAGTCTCATTTTTCAACGGACAAGCTTGCTTAGTCAACTCGAACTAAACAGAATATTGAATTGAAATAGGATTTGCAGTTTCTACTATATATCTCTTTTTAAAAATTAGTGAGTTTTAAGGCTCAGATAAAAATATCATAAACTCCCTTTAAGAACATCTAGTTTTCATTTATTTTGAGATTTTCTAATATGATTGATAAATATCTTGCGATATAGACATATACTATGTATATATACACGCACACACATATGTGCATGTATATATATACACACACGTGTTTTTGTATATATATGTATAGTATATGTATACATCTTGAGATACATATGCTATACATCTTGAGATACATGCATATACTATACATCTTGAGATATATACATATACTATACATATATACACACACGTGTATATATACACGCACATGTGTATATATGTATATACACATGTGTGTGTATATGTGTATAGTATATATACACACGTGTGTATATATATATGTATAGTATATGTATATATCTCAAGATATATATCTTGAGATATATACATATACTATACATATATATATACACACATATGTGTGAATTAGGCTGTCATTTCATTGTACTTTTATTTTTATTTTGTACTATGGTTGATAAATATCTTGAGATATATATATTATATATATATATGAACTTAGGCAGTCATCTCATTATTGTACTTTTATTTTTTTTTGTGCTATCTACTTTTATTTTTTTTCTTTACAAAAGTTTAAAATGTGCATAGTATCTGGATAAAAGCCACTGTAAGTTCTATTTTCCCTGAGAAAGGGACTGCCCAACTACCCCTATAAATGCCAAGTAGAGCACCCCATATTAGCAGCTGATATGCTTCCTATGCAAGCCTTGGGGGCCTGGCTATATGATGACAGGGGTTTTCACCTGGGGAATACGCCTGTTATATATAACATATTAAAAGTAGATAGTTTTTAAAAGGCCCTGATATGGGATGGAACATGGAGTGTTCCCAACACTAACAGCAGCCCAGGAAGAGAGGTAGTCAGCAGGGAGATGTGTGAAGGAGGGGTTTGGGAAAGAAGACTGGACCCAGGCAGTCTTAAAAGACATGATATAGATTTATCAACTTAAATTAACAATAATGAAATGACTGCCTGAGTTCTAATATCTCTACATATCTCTCAAGATATTTATCAATCATATTAGAAAGTCTCAAAATAAGTGAAAACTAGATGTTCTTAAAGGTAGTTTATGATATTTTTACTGGGGCAATGTTGAGATAAGTTAATCAAAATAAAGATCAACAAAGGACCTTCTTCCTTTAGCTCAACCCCTGGTAAGAACCCAAATTCTTTTTCACCAGAGAGGGTAAAATGGTTTGGGGGTAGAAAAAAAAAGATTCCTGGGACCAGAACATAAAATATAAAAGTTGATAGGATTATGAAAGTTAACATATTTAAACACACTTTGTATAAAGTAGTTGTATCTCCATCACCTAAATGTTTTCTGGGAATAAATATTGTATATGATTAGAGGATGTTCCCCCTAGGGCATGGTAAGCGCTGTAGTTAAGGGGGCCTCTAGCAGGCACCTGTTACTTAGGTCACGGCAAGTGCTATGGTTAAGGGGGCCTCTTCTATGTGGGCACCCCATGTTGTGATGTTCCCTTGGAGGAGCCTTATCAAATTTGGTGTCTCAGCTTTTCCTCATGGGTCTTATAGATGCTAATAAAACATTAAGTTAGTTAAAAAAACAAATGGAGACAAAATGGAGAGTCAAAGGATTCATCCCAGGGAGGTGAAAATCTTTAAATGGTTATTTTTTTAAATAAGGTAAATGAAAAAGAACACATTGAGAGGGATAAAACTAAAACGTTAAAAAAAAGGGGGGAGGGAAGTCATGGGACTCATCTCAGAAGGGTAGAAAATCTTTACTTGGTTACTAGGAAACCGAATGAATGAAAGGAAAATTGATGGGATTAAAACAAAAGTCTTAATACAACACTACTTAAGGTTGGGTGGACCAAAGAGGGTCCTTGCTGGTCCCCCAACATTAAAAGCGTACAAGCCAGTTTTCTCTATTTACTTCTGATTAGAAGAAGTTCTTAATAATAATCAGAAGGCAAAGACTGGAATGAGAAAGCTGACCAACAATTGCTTGGGGCAATGTTGAGATAAGTTCATCAAAATAAAGATCAACAAAAGGACCTTCTTTGTTTGGCTCAACCCCCCTGGTCAGATCCCAAATTCTTTTTCGCCGGAGGGGATAAAATGGTTTGGGGGTAGAAAAATTTAAAAAAAGATTCCTGAGACCAGAACATAAAATGTAAATGTTGATAGGATTATGAAAATTAAAATATTGAAACATGCTTTGTATAAAGTAGTTGCGTCTCCATCACCTAAATGTTTTCCAGGAATAAATACTGTATCTGACTGAGGGATGTTCTCCATAGGAAGGCCCATAAATCTACCCTCCCAGCAACTTTCTTTTCTTGAGGCTTTATGTATTATTGTGTTTCTTTCATTTTTTGAACTTATATTTACAAGTGGGAGTGACGTGCCACAAAACGATTGCAAACTCTGTTCACGGGTGGATTTTCCTAGAAGGTGATCTGGATTGGCTGTCCTGCTAGGGAACCCCAAGGAGCCTGTTAAACTAGTTGGTTTCTTCAAAGAGAAATTTTTTCATTTCCTTTATACAAGTTATAATTCTAGTTGCCAATTGGTAGATCTGTGTGTAAAGAGATCTAGTGTGGTCTTGCCATTCCCTGTGTAGACTTTAATTGTTCTCAGTATGTCAACTTACTCTTGTCAGAGGCATTCAAACCAGAGTCACTCCATCCTGAATAGGGGCTGGATAAAATAAAGCTAATACCTACTGGGCTGCATTCCTAGGTGGTTAGGCATTCTTATTCACAGGATGAGATAGGAGGTTGGCACAAGATGCAGATCACGAAGACCCTGCTGACAAAACATGTTGCAGTAAAGAAGCCAGCCAAAACCCACCAAAACCAAGATGGCAACAAAAGTGATCTATGGTTGTAGTCACTGCTCATTATATGCTAATTATACTGCATTAGCATGCTAAAAGACACTCCCACCAGCACCATGAGAGTTTACAAATGCCTTGGCAATGCCCAGAAGTTATCCTATATGGTCAAAAAGGGGAGGAACCCTCAGTTCTGGGAAATCCCTGCCCCTTTCCCAGAACACTCATGAGTACTCCACCTCTTGTTTAGCATATAATCAAGAAATAACTATAAATATATTCAGTCAAAGAGCCCCTGCCACTGCTCCACCTGTGAAGTAGCCCTTCTTTTATTCCTTTACTTTCTTAATAAATTTGCTTTCACTTTACTCTATGGACTCACCCCAAAATCTTTCTTGCGTGAGGTCCCAGAACCCTCTCTTGGGGTCTGGATTGGGACACCTTTCCGGTAACACTCTCAACTATAATTGCCGTCCACTTTTATCTACTTCTCTACAATATAAATATCTAATTTCTGCCAGGGTTCAGTTTAGTCTTTTTACTAGTGGATCATTTTTGGAGAAGGAATTTGGGAGCTAAACTGCATCTCATGTAGTCTCTCAACCAACACTTATATTTTCAGTCAACAACCCCACTTTAAAAGGTATCAATGCCTCCAAGTTTTGAGCATTTCTTGGGGCCTATAGCACAAATAATACTGTTTTGAGGTTCTGTTATTGCAAACATTGCTTTTTCACCATATTTTGTTAGTTGTTAGATGTCACTAATCCACCAGCTCTCCAGTTTCCAAAATACTCTTGCTCTTACTTTTTCTGCCTCCTTTTTATCCTCCTTATAAATTTGTCATTTACAATTTTTTTTTTTTTACTGTCATTTATGTGGAATTTTGGGGGGAAATAGAAATAAACAAAGTTTCAATTCACCATCACTTGCAGCTATCATTCTTTAATGTAATGCAAAGATCTCCTTTATTGGAACTTCAAAAAAATATTTTAAAAAGTATGTAATGTGGCCAGGCATTGTGGCTTATACCTGTAATCCCAGCAATTTGAGAGGCCAAGGCTGGCGGATCACTTGAGGCCAGGAGTTCAAGACCAGCCTGGCCAACATGGTAAAACCCTGTCGTTACTAAATATAAAAAAATTAGCCAAGCATGGTGGTGTGCATCTGTAATCCAAGCTACTTGGGAGGCTGAGGCACGAGAATTGCTTGAACCTCAGAGGTGGTGGTTTCAGTGAGCGGTGATCATGCCACTGCACTCCAGCCTGGGTGACAGAACAAGGCTTGGTCTCAAAAAAAAAAAAAAAGAAAAAGAAAAAAGAAGTAGATGAAAGGATGAATGAATGAAAATAAGCCTACTTTATGTAATACAATCTGATAAACACTTAGTATAAGTGTCTACAAATATACACAGAAGATGTATGCAGTTGCTTTAAAGTAATAGATCATTTCTATATTTCTAACGTGTGCTTAAAGCTAAATACAGATTTATACAAATGCTAGCGTCTAAGAATGGATAATGCTCCAATATGCAACTGTGTTTTCCATAGCTAACTGGGTACAAATTACCATAGTTCATGAAGAAAATATTTTATTGGCATGTGCCATGTACTAGGCTATTTGCTGAGAATACATTGTTGAATTAAATATAGGTCCTGCCCTCAAAAAATAGTTCATGCTTTCTGTGATGTAGTGTGATATATAAATTCTGTTGACATTTGAAAAACAGAAAACTACTCATTTAACTGCTTTCTCAAAGAATATGTCTTCAATATTTAAACAACAAAATTTACTCTAATAGTAATTGCATCCTGTGTCAAATTGTTGAATCCCTGTAGATGACATAGTATCTGGATTAAAATTCACTGACACGAGCTAAGGACCTACTATGTGTTAGACTTTGAGGTGCTTTTGCCTACCTTATTTAATCATCTAAGCAATCAGTTTCTGTAAATAGAATTATTTCTTTCAGGCAGAAGAAATGAAATCCCAGGTTATTAAAAAGAATGACTACATTATGTTGTGGGAGCAAAGAGTAAACTGCAAAGAAGAAAACTACAAAATTTCAGTGGCTTTAAACAAAAAAATAATTCCTCATGTATACAAAATGATTAATGAGTTTGCCTTTCTCACTCAGGGTCCTTGAGTTTACTCTCTAGAACATTGCTGATTATGGTAGAAGAAAGCAATAACCTGCTTGACCTTATCCTATAGTTACTTTAACCTATAACCATAGAATACAACTGGTTATATGACTTATCCTAATTTTAAGGGGTCAGTGATCCCCTTCTTCCCGCCTATAAATAAATGTAAACCTGACATTGGTGAATAGTTGTCATGCTTAGTGGGCCTGGTGGGTACTTCCTAACCAGAGCTTAAAACAGACTGCCATATATATGGCAGGTACCTTCTGCATATACTGGCTTCATAATCAAATCCAATACTTCCCAAACACTGTCCTCAAACACTGGACCATGACTGCCTGTACTTACCAGACACAAACCTGGGATGTCATTGAGAAGGGGATTCTGGGAAACGTAGTTCCAGACCTCTTCTCTGGGATATGTAGGGAGACATAGAAGCAGGTGGGGGTAATGAAGCATTGTAGCACACTCAGGAAAATTAAACAAAACATCTTAAATTCCAACAGGAAATGTGTGGCCACACATCCCTTATGAGACCAATGTTCTATAACTGCAAGTTCAATATTATTTTTATTATGCTGGTGTTTCTTAGGCTTTATTGCAATTATAATAACACCTTACCTTGCTATTTATATCCTTTTAAATTTTTGACATTATTTTTTGCTTAGAAGCTTTTTTTTAAAAAAAAAAAATCAGTGCATGAGAAAGTAAAAGACAGCGCCAACTTAGGAAGGACCATGGTCCCAGACAGAAATAGCAGTACCCAGAACTAGAAGAGAGAATCTAGGAATACTAAGGCAGGACAGAGAGATGTATCCCTGGTCCCATGGGAATGAGAAAATTAGCAATTTGGATTAGAGAGTGAACAGTTGAAAAGCAGACACACACAGGGTTCCTGATATTCTGCCAGAATAAGAGAGCTTGAAACCACGAAGGAAAGTTCTGCCAAGGATGAGATGGGAATAGACTGACATTTGAAATTCAATGTATGAGATGATGATGGACCTGGGAGAGCCAGGCCAGGTCTGAGAAAGCAGTGCTGGTGTTGAGAAGTGGATAGATCCTTAGGATGGGGGATAGAGGTTGGGCTAAGGGACAGAGTTGGCTAGGGAGGCATGGAATTTGAAGTTAAAATTATCATGAGAGATGGTTTAGGGAAAGGTGATAAAGGAAAAGTGTGGGTTAATATTATATGGGCCTTAAGTTGTTTTTGGGGTGAGGAGTAAGAGATGGTCTTGTGACTGGGGTGTGGTGGCTGAAGCAGTGAGGACCTGGGATGCTGCTGCAGGTTAGAGAGAAAGTCTCCTACATCATATTAGAGCAGTGTTGGGTTGGGAGATCCTGCAGTAGCAGGCATCTCTGCTCTTCTGAGCTAGGACCTTGAATGGACCAGCTTCTGTTAAAACTGGGCAAGGAAAGATAACATGAATACCATTTTCTTCTTTTATTTTCTTCTTAGTGCCTCATGGTTCCCTTTCACATCAACTCCAGTCAAGGCAATAAATAAATAGTGTATAGGTAATATCTTTTAATAAGCATTAGTTTAACAACATGTGCTCTCTGATACTAAGTAAAATATTCTTTAACATTTTTGTGGTTGCAATAAATAAATGGGAAAATGTATCAAGAAGATTCTAAATTGCTCATTTTTTTACCTTTGTTTTTAGATTTTACTCCTTAATTGAAACTGATGAAAATATTCAAAAGTTTAGTCAATGGAGTGTATGAATATTATTTCAATTTATGTAATGCACAATAGAAATATGCTTAGATTATTTTTAACAAATAACATGGTAGAAAGTGCTATCAACTTTTAATCAACAGAACTCAGCTATGAATATCAGTGTGTGTGTGTGTGTGTGTGTGTGTGTGTGTGTGTGTGTGTAGGATAAGGGTATTTTCCCTGCCTTTTCTTTTCTTTTTATTTTTCTTTTGAGGAAGCAAGACTGAAATTAGCACTAAAATCTGGACCATTTACAAGGTTGCTTGGCTTTATGAAGATTGCAGATATCTAGGCCTTGGGATCCGGTGCCTTAATGCATCTTGTTTTACCCTGAGAGGCACCTCCTTTTTTAGAAATCTTGTCCTTTCAACAAAGGAAAGTCACTGAGTGGTAATTTAATCTTGAAAACTAGCTTGGATTTTCTGGCAACAAAAAAAGAGAAAAACAGTATTGGAAAAAAATAATACTTGCAACTAAAAGCTGGAGAGGAAGGGGGAAAGAACTCCTTGAAAACAATTATGACTCAGGCAGTTTCATCTGTTAAAATGCGTGGTACTAGGTGAAAGAGCTTGAGCATTGTGGGATCTTGTCACCAGCTCCAATTAGGGACCAGCCCAGAGGTCACCAAAAAGAGAAGGTAACTCACAAAAGATTTTCCTCTTTAAGAATATTTTTGTTTTTTACTGATGGAAGAATGAGTTATTTACTTGTTTTTCTAGGACTGCAATATTTTTAGAGATAAGAAAAACAGCACAATAACATTTTTATTGCTCTGGAATAAGGCATGTCACATTTTTTTCATTGGATGTAATCACGGTGTTAAGAATCTGATTGGATTGTGGTTGTTTTTGCTATTGTCACTGAATGTCATATTGGCAACATTTAAAAGCCAGATGTGTCAGGAAGTGATGTGGAAGGGAACTACTCAAAACAAATGTGCGCAGCTGACTTTTAAAATATTTATGCTTTTTTAAACAGAAAGATTATACTTTTCATTTGGATGCTTCTTAAATGATTTATTTTTTGTAATTTACTCAGAAGTAGTGTATTAGTCTGCTGAGGCTGCTATAACAAAATACCACAGATGGGGTGGTGTAAACAACAGGAATTTATTTTCTCACAGCTCTGGAGGTTGGAAGTCCAAGATGAAGATTTAGGCCATTAAGTTTTGGTGAAGTGTCTCTTCCTAGCTTGCAGGTGGCCATCTCATTATATGCGCATGTGACTTCCCTGTAGAGAAAGGGAAACCTCTCTCTCCTTTTCCTATAAGGCCACCAGTCCTATTAGGCCCCATTCTTATGATGTCATTTAACCATAATTAATTATTTTCTAAACACCCTATTTCCAAATACAATCACATAAGGGGTTAAGGCTTCAAATACCAATTTTGGGAGGACATAATTTAATCCAAAGCAAGCAGCTTACACTAAAAGTGTTAGTGTCATAATAAAGACAGGGGTAAGATGTGAAAAATGGTGACTATTCTTAGGGTTCTAGGCATTCTTTTCAGAGTAGCCCTTTCCATTTACACACACACACACACACACACACACACACACACACATACACACACACATTTAGAGAGAAAGACAGAGTAGATTGTTGCCAATGATGGACTATAAAAGTTGACTTCTTTCTTGAAAATGCATTCGTATGAAAATCTGAAAGTGACTCCAAAGATAGCATTAGAATTTGCATTGCATGGCTATTGTTAAGCTTAAGATATACAACACCTTACATTTAGGTTTCATTTACTATTTTTTAAATCTCTCTCCAGGCGAAATATTTTGTGTGATCCTTGCAATTCTTCTGATAGGAAATCTGTCCTTAGGCCTTGGCTGTGTGGCTGAGGGAACTGAGTAATAGCATAGTAGAGACAGCAGTAAATACACTGTAAAATTAGAAGTTCCAGAGAGAAGCTCCAGCTCTTCACCTGCAGGAGGTTAAATTAGTAATCTGGGATATGGGACTCTCTCTCAAACATGAGGGTGTTGTATTGAATGAAATTCCAAGGCTTCTCCTTGTTTTAAAGTTCTGTGTTTCTATGAAACACTAAGAAAATGAAGAGATTTGCTTTTAGCCACACAGTGAATTAATAAAAGTTATGAATTTAAAACTATGTTTTTCTGACTTGCAGCTCATGGAATTTTGCAGAAATATCAAAGCTCTAGCGTCAAGGTTCCTCACCCTAATTCTCTTGACATCATTGGAGTCTTATGTTTCGCTTAACTTCAATGGTTAAAACACAGAAAGGACATCTCCCTTTAAGGCTTAGTAGGAGAAAATACCTGTTTTCTGTTCTATAGAGAGTTGTGTCTTTTCTTAGAAGAGAAAAAAATGATGACTGCAGATGTTTAAGAGGGCGGCTATAAATCCAGTGAGCTATAAACAAGAATTGTGATGAGAACAAAACCCAGTGCCCTTATAGGGAAACCCAGACATGCAAAGATTTGTACATGCGCCTTGGGCTATGGTTGAGTGTTTTAAAGCTGCTTGTGGTGGTGCTAAGAGTTTGTCTGTAAAATGAGACATGAATGATATCTGGCAGAGCTGAAGCTCAAAGAACAATCTGAGGCCGCTTGTGTTTACACTTGCACAATGATAGTTGTAAGCAGATCTTTTTAAACAAGGCAGAACAATTTAGAAGGATTAAGAGATCTAAACTAAGCAGAGTGTGTGCCACAATTTTCTTCCTTTCTAAAGCTTCTTGAAATTAAGCTCCCCATGGTGATAAACCTAGAAGAAAGGGATTTTGAGAGTTCCTTTTAAGAAATTTGCTCCCTATGGGATCTTGTTGCTTGTTCCTTGAGTTTATAATGTCACTTCTTTTGTTCCATGGGGCTAATCCATTTTGGTTATTTTCCATGAGGTAGCAAATAGTTTCAATGAGGTGGCTCCCTGAGGCTAAGGTAAAAGGGCACATAGATTTTCAGTCTCATTCTTTGTTTACATATGTTCAGAATATAATGGAAAATGTCCTTCAGTTCATAAATCATCCTTGTTTTGTCTCCATTCCAAGATAAATTTAGTTTAGGAGAAGTTGCAATACCATTCTCTGTCACTTTTGATTTATGTTAGAATGAAAGAAAAACTCCAATGGTGGATCCCTTCTCTACTGCTGTCCTGGGACTTCATTTAGTATTAGGGTTGCCTTTCCAGTGAAACCACATAATTAGTCCTTTGGCTACTATATTGAACAACAATCTCAATTTCTCACATTCACCCAATGTGGGGGAGAAACTTCAGCATAATACCTTTTGCTGCTTGGAAAGAGCACATATGTTTTGATACATCAAATTGGAAGTCACTCAGAGGAGAGTCATAAGTCCATGACTAAGCTATATATCCAGATGTTTCATCACTGAGTACTTTACCCTGAATAAGAGCATGGCTCAGAATATTACTATATATAAAAACATAGGACTGATTAGCAGGTTCTTGTGGACAGGGAATTCTATATATTTATACATATATAATATACCTTATACTAACCATATAATTACACTCCTATAATACAAGTGATAAATTAATATATTATATATAATAGAAACAATAAAATTAGATTATTGTCATAATATTCATACAATTATGTAGATCTCATTCAATGAACTGTTTTTTGAGTAATTTTATTAATTTAGCTCTCATGTTGACACTGCTAAAGATACAAAAGAAGGGTATGACAGTCCCCGATTCATCCAGAACTCTTAAAATGAAAGTGTTATATATGGTTCCACCAGGCTAGAGGGATATAATACAGCTAAATCGCTTGAATAATTTTTTTTTTTTTGAGACAGGGTCTTGCTCTGTTGCTAGGCTGGAGTACAGCAGTGACATTACAGCTCACTGCAGCCTCAAACTCCTAGGCTCAAGCAATTAGGCTCAAGCGATTCTCCCACCTCAGCCTCCCAAGTAGCTGGGACTGCAGGCACATGCCACCACGCCCAGCAAATCTGAGTAATTTTCATCAAGAAAAGAATAAATTTGCGATTTACTTTTTCAATGTGATTACTTTTTAAGATTGTCAATATAAATTGATGTATAACATTTTACTGCCCCAATAGCTTTCTCTCTCTCTCCCTACCTTACCCGACATCCCTGCATCTTTCTTTTCATTTCTTTTCTTCTTTTTTTTATTGATAATGTTCTAGGCAACCTCTGGTGTTATGCGGAGTTAGGTAGGGCAGGTAGGCTTCAATTGCTTCTGCCTCACCACATCAGTCCCCCTAAGTAGTTCAGAGACCTTTCTGTATGTTCTTTGTTACTGCCCTTCCTAACATGAATGCTCAGCTCAACTTTACTACAGTGAGTACAGTTGCCTTCTTCTATCATATTGATATGGAAGGGAAGTGCTGGGAAGGGAAGAGTGTGGTCCCTTTAAATGATACAGAACAGGGAAGGGAAGGGCATGGTCCCTGGCTGGGGCTCCATCTCCCAGGCCTGTGCCCACAGACCTAGGTGAGGACAGGTATTTTTGTTTTCCAGTCCAGATATTTCATTTCCCAAGACCACTCTGACCTGCCACGCCACCCATCTTGTGCCTATGAAAACTCTGGAGACCCTAGCAGGCAGGCACACAAGTGGCTGGACATCAAGAGGAGCGGATCGGTGGAAGAAGATACAGGTAGCTGGACGTCGAGAGCAGCACATCAGTGGAGGAACAGATGGGCAGTTGGATGTGGAGAGGAGCGCATCAACAGGCACCGATACACTGGCAGGCCACCGACCAGCAGAAGAACAATGCAGAGTTTGACTTGGGGCAGTAGGAGGAGAGCCCAGTGCCATGTGGCACTGAGAAGAATGTATATACTGTTGATTTGGGGTAGACAGTTCTGTAGACATCTACTGGTTTCACTTGATCCAGTGCTGAGTTCAAGTCCTGAATATCCTTGTTAATTTTCTGTCTGGGTGATCTGTCTAATACTGACAGTGGAGTGTTAAAGTCTCCCACTATTATTGTGTGGGAATCTAAGTCTCTTTGTAGGTTTCTAAGAACTTGTTTTATGAACTGGGTGTCCTGAGATATCCTGAGATATCTTGTATTGTGTGCGTGTATATTCAGAATAGTTAGCTCTTCTTGTTGAATTGTTCCCTTTACCATTATGTAATGCCCTTCTTTGTCTTTTTTGATCTTTGTTGGTTTAAAGTCTGTTTCTTCAGAGACCAAGATTGCAAGCCAAGCTTTTTTATTTGCTTTCCATTTGCTTGGTAAATTTTCCTCCATCCTTTTATTTTGAGCCTGTGTGTGTCATTGCACATAAGATGGGTCTCCTGAATACAGCACACCGTGGGTCTTGACTCCTTATCCAATTTGCCAGGCTGTATCTTTTAATTGGGTCATTTAGCCCATTTACACTTAAGGTTAGTATTGTTATGTGTGAGTTTGATCCTCTCATCATGATGCTATTTGGCTATTTTGCACACTAGTTGATGCAGTCTCTTCATAGTGTCATTGGTCTTTATATATTGATGTGTTTGTGAATGGCTGGTACTGGATTTTCCTTTCCACATTTAGTGCTTCTTTCAGAAGCCCTTGCAGGGCAGGCCTGGTGGTAATGAAATCCCACAGCATTTGCTTGTCTGGAAAGAATTTTATTTCTCCTTTGCTTATGAAGCTTAGTTTGGCTGGATATGAAGTTCTGGGCTGAAAATTCTTTTCTTTAAGAATTTTGAATATTGGTCCCCAATCTCTTTTGGCTTGTAGAGTTTCTGCTGAGAGGTCCACTGTTAGTCTGATGGGCTTCCCTTTGTAAGTGACCTGGCCTTTCTCTCTGGCTGTCCTTAATAGTTTGTCCTTCATTTCGACCTTGGAGAATCTGATGATTATGTGTCTTGCGGTTGACTTTCTCATGGAGTATCTTAATAGTGTTCTTTGTATTTCCTGAATTTGCATGTTGGCCTGTCTTGCTAGGCTAGGGAAGTTCTCCTGGATAATATCCTGAAGCGTGTTTTCCAGCTTGTTTCCATTCTCCTCATCTCCTTCTGGTACTCCAATCAATTGTAGGTTCAGTCTTTTCATTGAAGTCCCTTATTTCTGGGAGGCTTTATTCATTCCTTTTCATTCTTTTTCTTGTATGCATACCTTATTTCAGTAAGGTGGTCTTCAAACTCTGATATCCTCTCTTCTGCTTGGTTGATTCAGCTATTGATACTTGGGTATGTTTCAGGAAGTTCTTGTGCTGTGTTTTTCAGCTCCATCAGGTCATTTATGTTCCTCTGTAAACTGGCTATTCTAGTTAGCAATTCCTCTAACCTCTTATCAAGGTTCTTAGCTTCTTTGCATTGGGTTAGAACATGCTCCTTTAGCTCATCACAGTTTTTTATTACCCATCTTCTGAAGCCTACTTCTGACAGTTCATCCATCTGTTCTTCCATTCAGGCACCCTTGATGGAGAGATGTTGTGATCATTTGGAGTAGAAGAGGTCCTCTGGCCTTTTGAGTTCTCAGCATTTTTTTCTTTGATTCTTTCTTATCTTTGTGAGTTTGTCTAGCTTTGGTTTTGAGTCTACTGACCCATGGATGGGGTTTTTGTGGGGGCCTTTTGTTGTTGTTGATGCCATTGTTGCTGCTTTCTGCTTGTTTGTTTTTATTTCAATAGTCAGGTCCCTGATTTGTAGGGCTGCTGCAGTTTGCTGGGGATTTGCTTCAGGCCTTATTCATCTGATTCACGTTCCCCATGTGGCTCTTAGGTGGGCCACCGCACCACACTGTTCTTCCTTCTCTTCATGGGTCATGCCAGACTTCTAGTCAATTTTGATGAGAGAAACTGGATACCTTGGTTGCCAGTGAAGGATTCACATGCATATTATGGTATTTTTCGATGGGAGTCTCTGAACACAGCTGCTTCTAGTCTGTCATCTTGGCCTCACCAATATTGCTGATTTTCATTTAGCTGTAAAAATAACATCATTTCCTCTAATTTTAAGAAAGGACAATGGGGAAAAAGTATTTTGAATCTATCCCATGTGTTCCCATTATAAATGTTCTGATGGTTAATACCAAGTGTTAACTTGATTGGATTGAAGGATACAAAGTATTGATCCTGGGTGTGTCTTTGAGGGTGTTGCCAAAAGAGATTAACATTTGAGTCAGTGGGCTGGGGAAGGCAGATCCATCCTTAATCTGGTAGGCACAATCTAATCAGCCACCAACAAATATAAAAGCAGGCAGAAAAATGTGAAAAGGAGAGACTGGCCTAGCCTCCCAGCCTACATCTTTCTCCCATGCTGGATGCTTCCTGCCCTCGAACATAGGACTCCAGGTTCTTCAGTTTGGGACTTGGACTGGCTCTCCTTGCTCCTCAGATTGCAGACAGCCTACTGTGGGACCTTTTGCTCATGTAAGTTAATACTTAATAAACTCCCCTTTATATATATATATACACACACATATATATACACACAGAGGCATATATACATATACACACATATATACATATACATATATACACACATATGCATATACATATATACACACATATACATATACATATACACACACATATACATATACATCTACACACACACACATAGGATATATATATATATAGAACATATGTGTATATATAGGATATATATATAGATATATATAACATATGTATATATAGGATATATATATAGATATATATAACATATGTATATGTAGGATATATATCCTATTCTATCCCTCTAGAGAACATATATATATATAATATATATATATATAATATATATATGAAAAACAAACAAGGAAAAAGCAACAACAATGGCATCAACAACAACAAAAAGGCCCCCACAAAATCCCCATCCAAGGGTCAGCAGCCTCAAAGACCAAAACTGGACAAACTCACAAAGATGAGAAAGAATCAAAGAAAAAATGCTGAAAACCCAAAAGACCAGAGGGCCTCTTCTCCTCCAAATGGTCGCAACATCTCTCCATCAAGGGTGCAGAACTGAATGGAGGATCAGATGGATGAATACCAAAATCTGTATTTGTCAGGGTTCTCTAGAGGGATAGAACTAATAGGACACCCCTCTATAGAACCCTGACAAATACAGATCTTGGTCCCGGGAGGCATTCTAGACAAATAGAATATTAAAGATGGAGTTCTTTTGTTGGTTTTGGGGTTTCTGGAGTTGGCTGCTTGATATGATTAGAGCCCAAAATGCTAAGGACTCTACTTCTAACAGTATGGAGAATACTGATAGTCATTGGCATGAACTATTTAGAGAGTTTTGCAAAATAAATGCATTTGTCACTCTTGATTCACTGCTTATGAGAGGTGAGGAGTTTAGTTACACAATACCTTTGATCATATGTGGAGAACCAAGGAACGTAATGAAGCTGGTTGGTTGCTCCTAAGTTCAGTGGACAAAGTGATAAAAGAAAATGATGAACTCAAGGATTCTGTCTCCCAATTTCAGAAGCAGATACTGAGCCTCAAATCTACTAAGATTGCCCTGAGTATCTCCTGTAGAGAAAGAGTTCAAACTGTGGAAAAACAGTCACAAGCTCTTATCATGCGAGTGGCTGACTTGCAAGGAAAAGTGCATGCGCAGCCTTGCCAGGTGTCTACTGTTAAAATGAGGGCATTGATTAGAAGAGAATGGGACCTTGAAACTTGAAACATTCGTGAATGTGTAGGAGGACCCTGATGAAGCTGGGGACACTGAGTTTGTAAACTCTGATGACCCTTTTCTATTTGCCAGAAGGAACAGCTTCCCCATCCCCAGTAGTGGCAATATCCACTCCCCTCCCCGACCCATGCTACCATCATCCTTTCCACCTTTGTCTGAGGAGGTAAACCCTGTGTTGCCTGAGGCAACAGTAATGGCCTCCCCTGAGGCAGTTGCCAGGCAAGATAATGTTGATTATCCTCAGGAGCCACCCCCAACACCCTTGTTTGCTTCTAGACCTATAACTAGACTAAAGTCCTGGCAGGCCCCTAGAGGTGAGGTTGAGAGTGTGACCAATGAGGAGGTGTGTGCTATACTCAAAAAGAACTGTTTATCTAATTTATATGAACAGAAATCAGGGGAACAGTTATGAGAATGGGTATTAAAGGCATGGGATAATAGCAGAAAGAACATAGAGTTGGATCAGGCTGAATTTATTGATTTTGGCCCTCTAGTTGGGACTCTGTTTTTAATTTTGCAGCTCAGGGAGTTAAGAAAAGGTTCTCAATAGTTTATTTGCTTGGTAAGCTGAAATACGGATTAAAAGATGGCCCACTAGGAGTGAGCTGGAAATGCCTGATATCCCTTGGTTTAATGTCAAGGAAGGGACCCAAAGGCTTAGGAAGATTGGGATGGTGGAGTGGATTCGTCACTTTAGACTTACTCATCCCAGCTGGGAGGGTCCAGAAGACATACCCTTGACCAAGGCATTTAGAAATAGATTTATGAGGGCAGCACCTGCATCTTTGAAGAGGACTGTAATTGCTCTTCTCTGTATGTGAGATCTAACGGTGGGAACTGCAGTCACTCAACTACAGAATGTAAATACAATGGGAATAATTGGATTCCGAGGTGGCAAGGGCCAAGTGACGGCACTCAGCCATCAAAGGAAGGTGCATGTGGCTACTGTAATGGACAGCAGAGGCAAAGCAGTAATCAGAATAGTCTGACTTGTGTAGAGCTCTGGCATTGGCTAATTAATCACAGTGTTCCTGGAAGTGAAATTTATAGGAAGCCTACTGCATTCCTACTTAATTTATACAAGCAAAAAACTGCTAAGTGAAATTTACAAAAGACTAATTTGAATTATAAAAACAGTGTCATGGCTCCTCAGTCAATTTCCAGACTTGAGTCAGTTTACAGACCTAGAACCCCTTGAATGAAGGGGAGGCAGGGTTTCCTCTAAATTACTGACAATTTGTGCAGTGAATCTCTCTCCCATCCTTCCCTTCATAGACCTCTGGCCTTTTAGCAGGCTAAAGTGCACTGGGGAAAGGGAAATAGTCAGACACTTGGGGGTGCTACTGGACACTGGCTCAGAGCTGATGTTGATTCCAAGGGACCCAAAGCATCATTGTGGTTCTCCAGTTAGAGTAGGGGTTTATGGAAGTCAGGTAATTAATGGAGTTTTAGCTCAGGTCTGATGTACAGTACATCCAGTTGGTCCCTGGACTCATCCTCTGGTCATTTCTCCAGTGGCAGAATGCATAATTGGCATAGACATACTTAGCAGCTGGCAGAACCCCCACATTGGCTTCCTGACTGGTAAGGTGAGGGCTATCGTGGTAGGAAAGGCCAAATGGAAGCCATTAGAGCTGCCTCTACTTAGAAAAATAGTACGTCAAAAACAACGTCACATTCATGAAGGGATTGTGAAGATTAGTGCCACCATCTAGGACTTCGAAGATTCGGGGGTGGTGATTTCCACCACATCCACATTCGACTCTCCCAATTGGCCTGTGCAGAAGACAGATGGATTTTGGAGAATAACAGTGGATTATTGTAAGCTTAACCAAGTGGTCACTCAAATTGCAGCTGCTGTACCAGATGTAGTTTCATTGCTTGAGCAAATTAACACATCTCCTGGTACCTGGTATGCAGCCTTTGACTTGGAAAATGCCTTTTTTCTCCATTCCTGTCCATAAGGCCCACCAGAAGCAATTTGCCTTCAGCTGGTAAGGCCAGCAATATACCTTTACTACCTCAGTGGTATATCAACTCTCCAGCTTTATTCAGAGAGACCTTGATTGCTTTTAGCTTCCACAAAGATATCACACTGGTCCATTAAATTGATGACATTATGCTGACTGAATCCAGTGAATAAGAAGAAGTAGCAAACAAATTGGACTTATTGGTGAGACATTTGCATGCCAGAGGACAGGAAATAAATCCAACTAAAATTCAGGGAACTTCTACCTCAGTAAAATTTCTAGGGGTCCAGTGGTGTGGGGCTTGTTGAGATATTCCTTCTAAGGTGAAGGATAAGTTGCTACTTTTGGTCCCTCCTACAACCAAGAAAGAGGCACAACACCTAGTGGGCCTATTTGGATTTTGGAGGCAACACATTCTTCATTTGGGTGTGTTACTCTGGCCCATTTATTGAGTGACCCAAAAGGCTGCCAGTTTTGAGTGGGGTCCAGAACAGGAGAAAGCTCTGCAGCAGGTCCAGGCTGCTGTGCAAGCTGCTCTTCCACTTGGGCCATATGACCCAGCAGATCCAATGTTGCTTAAGGCTTCAGTGGCAGATAAGGACGCTATTTGAACATTTGGCAGGCCCCCATAGGTGAATCACAGAGGAGGCCTCAAGGATTTTGGGGCAAGTCCCTGCCATCTTCTGCAGATAACTACTCTCCTTTTGAGAGACAGCTCTTGGCCTGTTACTGGGCTTTGGTGGAAACTGAATGTTTGACTATGAGTCATCAAGTTACCATGCAACCTGAACTGCCTATCATGAACTGGGTGCTTTCTGACCCATCTAGCCATAAAGTGGGTCATGGGCAGTAGCATCCCATCATCAAATGGAAGTGGCCTATACGTGATCGGGCTCGAGCAAGTCCTGAAGGCACAAGTAAGTTATATAAGGAAGTGGCTCAAATGCCCATGGTCTCCACTCCTGCCACCCTGCCTTCTCTCCCCCAGCCTGCACTGATGGCCTCATGGAGAGTTCCCTAAGATCAGTTGACAGAGGAAGAGAAGACTAGGGCCTGGTTCACAGATAGTTCTGCTTGACATGCAGGCACCACCCAAAAGTAGACAGCTGCGGCACTATATCCCCCTTCTAGGACATCCCTGAAGGACAGCAGTGAAGGGAAATCATCCCAGTGGTCAGAACTTCAAGCAGTGCATTTGGCTGCTGTGCACTTTGCACAGAAGGAGAAATGTCCAGATGTGTGATTATATGGTGATTCTTGGGCTGTAGTCAATGGTTTGTCTGGATGGTCAGGAACTTGCAAGAAGGATGGTTGAAGATTGTTGACAAATTTGGGAAAGAGGTATGTGGATGGACTTTTTTGAGTGGTCAGAAACCATGAAGATATTTGTATCCCATGTGAGTGCTCACCAACAGGTGACCTCAGCAGAGGAGGTTTTAAACAATCAAGTGGATACGATGACTCGTTCTGTGGACACCACTAAGCCTCCTTCCCCAGCCACCCCTGTCATTGCCCAGTGGGCCCATGAACAAAGTTGCCATGGTGGCAGGGATGAGGTTACTCATGGGCTCAGCAATATGGACTTCCAGTCACCAAGGCTGACCTGGCTATGGCCACTGCTGAGTGCCCAGTTTGCCAGCAGCAGAGACCAACACTGAGCCCTTGATATGGCACCATTCCTGAAGATGATCAGCCAGCTACCTGGTGGCAGGTGGATTATATTGGACGTCTTCCATCATGGAAAGGGCAGAGGTTGGTCATCACTGGAATAGAAACTTACTCTGGATATGGGTTTGCCTATCCTGCATGCAATGCTTCTGCCAAGACTACCATCCATGGACTCATGGAATGCCTTATCCACTGTCACAGTATTCCACACAGCATTGCCTCTGACCAAGGCACTCACTTTACAGCTAAAGAAGTGTGGCAGTGGGCTCATGCTCATGGAATTCACTGGTTTTACCATGTTCCCCATCATCCTGAAGCAGCTGGATTGATAGGACAGTGGAATGGCTTTTTGAAGTCATAGTTACAACGCCAACTAGGTAACAATACTTTGCAGGGCTGGGGTAAAGTTCTCCAGAATACCATATATGCTCTGAGTCAGTGTCCAACGTATCATACTATCAAACTGTTTCTCCCCTAGCCAGGATTCACAAGTCCAGGCATCAAAAGGTGGAAGTGGAAGTGGCACCACTCACCATCACCCCTACTGGTCCGCTAGCAAAATGTTTGCTTCCTGTTCCTGTGACGTTACATTATGCTGGCCCAGAGGTCTTTGTTCCAGAGGGAGGAACACTGCCACCAGGAGACACAACAAGGATTCCATTAAATTGGAAGTTAAGATTGCCACCTGGACACTTTGGGCTTCTCCTATCTTCAAGTCAACAGGCCAAGATGAGAGTTACAGTGTTGGCTGGGGTGACTGACCCAGAGTATTAAGATGAAATCAGTCTACTACTCCACAACAGAGATAAGGAAGACTATGCATGGGACACAGGAGATTCATTAGGGTGTCCCTTAGTATTACCATGTCCTGTGATTAAGGTTAATGAGAAACTACAACAGCCCAATCCAGGCAGTACTACAAATGGCCCAGATCCCTCAGGAATAAAGGTTTGAGTCACTCCACCTGGTGAAAAACCACAACCTGCTCAGGTGCTTGCTGAAGGCAAAGGGAATACAGAATGGGAAGTAGAAGAAGGTAGTCATCAATACCAGCTATGACCACGTGACCAGCTGAGAAATGGGGCCTTTAATTGTTATGAGTATTTCCTCCTCCTTTTGCTAAAAATATGTTTGTGCATGTATACACTTGTACTAAGAAAATATCTTTATTTTTTTCTTTTCTTTTATCATGTGATATGAGATCCATTGACTTCATATCAGCCTTTAAATATTGTTAAGTTTATGTAATAGCATTTGAGTTGGGGATTGGTGTGTTTCCGGCTGTACAAAGGATAGTTGTATTATGTTAGGCATAATTATGACCTTATTGTTGTCTTCATTTGAAGATTATGTATGATCTCAGGAGATGTGTATGGGTTCAAGTTTACAAGGGGTGGACTTGTGATGGCTAATACCGAGTGTCAACTTGATTAGATTGGAGGCTACAAAGTATTCATCTTGGGTGTGTCTGTGAGGATGTTGATAAAAGAGACTAACATTTGAGTCAGTGGGCTGGGAAAGGCAGATCCACCCTTAGTGTGGTGGGCACAATCTAATCAGCTGCCATCAAACACAAAAGCAGGCAGAAAAACATGAAAAGGAGAGACTGACCTAGCCTCCTAGCCTATGTCTTTCTCCTGTGCTGGATGCTTCCTGCTGTCAAACACAGGACTCCAAATTCCTGTTTGGGGACTTGGACTGTTTCTCTTTGCTCCTCAGCTTGCAGACAGCCTATTGTAGGACCTTGTGATTGCGTAAGTTAATATTTAATAAATTCCCCTATATATATGTATACATATATATGCATATAGTGTATATATACACATATATATGTGTATATATACACAAATATATATATGTGTGTGTGTGTGTATATTTTTATATATATACATTTCGTATTAGTTCTGTTCCTCTAGAGAACCCTGACTAATACAAAAGTATTGCTTATAAGAGTTCTTTAGGTCTAGCCCAAGTGTGATTTTTTATGGGTTTACTGTCAAAATTTCTGAGTCACTTAAAAAAAGAATGTTCTCAGGTCAAAAGCAGAGACATTATTTTTGTAAGCTTTATTAATTGCTTTAAATGATTCAATGTTTTATTTTGCTTCACATTTGTGATTTTACCTTACTGTGCAAGTTTTAAAAAATGTTTTTCCAGGAATTTTGAAGTATTTTTCTTTTTATTGCATTATTTGCCTATGTCATATTTTTAAGTGTTTTTCCAAATGTTCATGCATTCCATAAAGGGGAATTCCCCTTTCATTCCCAGATAACTCTATAATTCTATCTGGGAATCCTGTTTTTTTTTTTTTTTCTCTCTCTCTCTCTAATATGCACTGGTTGCTCTTTAGTCCAGATATACTGATGTTTTAGTATTTCCTTTATTGCTCTTCAAGTTCAGATCCACTGTTTTTGAATTCTATATTTTTCCCTTCCTTAGTTTATTACCTTATTTGTGGGAATATATTCTCAAGTTACTTCTTAGGAAGATATAAATGGAGATAAACTCTCTACTTACATGTCTGAAAATATCTGATTTTACCACCTTCATTGGTAGTTTGATTGGGGAGACATTACTTGGTTTTATCAGTCTAGATGTTTTTATGCTGCTTCAACAAACAGCTCACAAATCTCAATTATTTAACATAAAACTTTATTTTTTAGTAAAGATACATGTCTAGTGCAGATTGGAAATGGAGCTCTGCTCATTATGGTTCAATTCAGTGGGTTTGGATCTCAACAAATGATTCTGCAATTACCATGGCAGAGAAAAGGAAATACAGTATACTGACTCGGAAAATTCCATTTGAAAGTGACACATTTATCTCATTTATTCTTTATTGGCCAAACAACTCACAGGGCCACCTTTATCAAGGCAGGTAAAAGGGAGGATGACACATCATGCACCTTCTACCTTGAAGTGATAGATGTGGCTATCACTCATACTTAACTGGCCAACACTACGTTTCCACATTTAATATTAAAGAGGACAAGGAAGTGTAATTCGCCTGCCTAGCTAGGAGAGGAGAATTAGATCACTTGTGAGTAGTCACTGCACTACAAATTGATTAAAAATAAGTTCATCTTTGATTTTCAAGGCATTATTCTATTGCGTTGTATCATCCAGTAAACTTTGAGTGCCGTTCTTTTGTATGTGATCTGTTTTACCCAGATAGGGTAAGATTTCAGGATTGTCTTTTTATCTCTGGTGTTGTGAAACTTGTGATATGACTCAGTGTGAATGTTTTAAAATTTATTTTACTTGGCATTAAGTAGGACTTTTAAGACAGAAAGCTTGCATCCTTCAATTCTGAATAAATCCTTGAATTATATCTTTGATGATTTTCTCTCCTCATTTCTTTATTCTCTCATTCTAGAACTCATACTAGCTTATGTAAAGAAGAAATAGAGCTCTGAAAATCTTATATGTGAGATCAGAAAACTGTGACAGCAGAAATTCCTGTAAACTCAGGTGAATGATGAAGCAAAAAAGATATCTGTCTCACAGTTAGTTAAGTGCCATGAAGAAGAAGTAAATGAATCAGGAGGCAGTATACCATATAGCTTTCTTAGCAAATTCTGTGACTCCATCTTCTCAACATCTCTCTCATCAAAATATTTTAATCCTAATTTTTCTATAATGGGCACAAAAACTGATAAATTATTTTTAAACATAGAAAATAGAAGAAATAAGTTCCATTACTGTATTGAAAATTATTGACATAAAATGAGAATGATACATGTTACATTTTAAGTAATTACTTATAAATATATGATCTAAGAATCATATTACATTATGTATTACCTATACCCTGTGTCAATTAAGATTATCTCAAGTGTAAGTAAAACCAAGCAATAATGGCAGTAGATTAAAGTAAAAAGAAAATTATTATATGCTTAATAAGAAGTCCAGAAGTGGAGGGGCCTAGAATTGTTTTGGAAGTTTTGCCATAATATCAAAGAACACAGCTCCTTATAGTGTTTCATTTCACCATTATGAGGCTTATGTCTCTAGTGGATATGAAACATTTATTGTAATGATATTATTTGTATGGGTGCTAGCAATTAGGTGACTTAAAATGACTAATATATTTTCTAGAGGTCAAAATTATAAACTTATGCCTGGGATCTTCACCTTAAACAAATAAATGAGCCAATTTTGCTGGGACATATATTATTCCAGACCAACTGAAGCCTAATTAAATACAATGCTTTGTCAGTACTTAGTTCTAAGATGTGTTTGGAGGCCGGGCACGGTGGCTCACACCTGTAATCCCAGCACTTTGGGAAGCCAAGGCTGGCGGATCACGAGGTCAGGAGATAGAGACCATCCTGGCTAACACGTGAAACCCCGTCTCTACTAACAATACAAAAACAAAATTAGCCGGGCGTGGTGGCGGACACCTGAAGTCCCAGCTACTCGGGAGGCTGAGGCGGGAGAATGGCATGAACCCAGGAGGCGGAGCTGGCAGTGAGCCGAGATGGTGCCACTGCACTCCAGCCTGGGTGACAGAGCGAGACTCCATCTCAAATAAATAAATAAATAAATAAATAAATAAAAGATGTGTGTGGGAAACAGCAATTTCCTTCCTCTTCATCCCCCTTTTACTAGGGACCAGTTGTAAGGTCTTCCTCAGCACCAGTAAGGGAATGCCATTTATCCCTTTGGGATCCAAGAGTTTGGATAAATGCTAACCCAAAGGTGACAGGTTCTGTCCTAAACATCAAATGCCTTGAAGAAAGTCCAGTTTCACTGTGTTCCAGGAATCAATGCCAAGAACAGAAGCCAAGTACAGTTGGATTGACATGAAAGAAATTCTATTCTTAGGGTGACTTAGCAGCAAGAGTCAAGATCCATAGAACCTGGAATAGAATAAAGTGCCAGAGATAGGGTGGCAAAAGTTACAGAATACATCTGCCAAGAAAAAAGAGACTGTCTTTCATTTTTGTAAGGAATCATTTTCCCCACTTTTGCTTCTATTTGTTTAACAACAAAATGAACGTAATGGTCCTTTAGCCTTTAATTTTAGAACTAAAAGAAGATAAATTAAGCCATAAGACAAAACCAGATTAAGAATCACCACAGTGGAAAGGGATAATCAGAAGGTTAAATAATATGTTCTTTGCACTTAAGGGCAATACTTTGTTTTATTAATGTATTTATATCTATTTCTATCCCAAAGTATGTTGTATTGTGCCCATTTCCCTTTTACCAGGTACATGTGTGGACTTTTTGAGTGGTATTACCAAAGACTAGTTTATTAAAATGTTACTTAAGATGTTGGCAGTATTTTAGAAATCTGAAACCTATTTCAGAATATAAAGTTGTCAAAGGAGCACTAAGTAAGATGAAGGAACATGGATTTTTTTTACCTGCTTTTGTTATGAACTGGTTATGTATATTTTGGCAACTGTGTACACTCCCTAGCCCTTTTCAGCTGTAATGTGATGGCTTTGGACCAGATGGCTCTAAACTCTTTCCAGTTCCAACAGCAATGAATATGCTTAGGCTTCCTCTTGGTTCACATTCCACCAGGCAACATGGGCGTGCAGCACATTTAACTTTCCTCTTCAGCCTGGCATAAGCCATAGCTTTTGGGGAAGAATGAAAGCAGCTAGTTTTTACCCCACTCCTTCCTTCTTACTTCATATGTTTTCATTCCTAGAATAATTTCATGCATTTCTAAATTTTGCTTCAACAAGTCACGGCCAGCACTTCACCTGAAACAGCAGAGAGCACCCCACAGTAAACAAAAATCACATCTATACCCACCTGCTTATGCTGCAGCTGGCTGTTACCTGCAAATGTCATCTTCTGTCATGTAGGTTGAACCACACAGCCCAATATAAAACCAGCTGACAGAAGTGCGTAGGACCATAACAGCAAAGCCAAAAAATCCCACCCAACACTTTCCCAGATGAGAAGAAACCAGCATAAGAATTCTGCCTCTGTGAAAAACCTCAATGTTGTGACACCATCAAAGGTTCACTCTAGCTCCCCAGTAAGTTTCTAGCCAAAATGGAGGCACAGAGGTGACAGATAGAGAGTTCAAAGCATGGATTGCAGGGAATCGCAACAAGATCCAGGGCAAGGTTGAAAATCAACACAAAGAAACTTCTAAAGCAATCCAGGAAATAAAAGAAGAGATAAACACTTAAAAAAAAATCAATCAGAGCTACTGGAACTGAAAACCTCACTTAGGGAATTTCAAAATATAATTGAAAGCTTTATCAGTGGACTAGACCAAGCAGAAGAGCTTGAAAATCAGTCTTTCAAACTAAACCAAACAAAAATAAAGAAAAAAGAATTTTAAAAAATGAACCAAGTCTTCGAGAAAAATGGGTTTATGTAAGGTGACCAAATCTATAAGTTACTGGTATTCCTGAGAGAGAAGCACCGAAAAGTAAACAACCCAGAAAATATACTTGAGGGAATAATTCAAGAAAATTTCCCTAAGCTGGCTAGAGGGGTAGACATGCAAATACAAGAAATCCAGAGAACAACTGTGAGTTACTATACAAAATGAACATCATCAAGACCTGTAGTCACCAGGCTAAGATCAGTCCTAAAAAAAAAATTCTTAAAGGCAGCTAAAAAAATGGTAAGATCACATACAAGGCCATCCAATCAGGCTAACAGCATACCTCTCAGCAGAAACCCTATAAGCCAGAAGAGACCGAGGACCTATTTTCAGCATTCTCAAAGAAAAGGAGCTTCAACGAATAATTTCATACCCCACCAAAGCTTCATAAGTGGATAAATGAATTCTTTTTTAGACAAGTAATCAATAAGGAAATTCATTACAACTCAACTAGCCTTACAAGAGAGTCGTAAGGGAGTTCTAAACATGGAGAGAAAAGACTTATGCCTGTTTCCACAAATCACACCTAACTACCTAGGCCTTTTAAAGCATCTACACAATACAAACTACAAAACAACCAGCTAACAACTTCATGATAGAATAAAAACCTCACTTATCAATATTAACTTTGAACATAAATGATCTTAATGCCCCATTTAAAAGGCACAGAGGGTCAAGTTGAATAATAAAACAAGATGTATCTGTCTACCATCTTCAAGGAGTACATCTCTCACATAATGAAATCTATAGACTCAAAGGGTTAGAGAAAGATCTATCATACAAACAGAAAACAAACAATAAGCAGGAGCCACTATTCTTATATCAGATAAAATAGACTTTAAACAAACAACAGTAACAAAGAACAAAATATTATCAAAAATGTTCAATCTAACAAGATGAGTTAACTATCTGAAATATATATGCACCTAACATCGGAGCACCCAGATACACAAAACAAGTTCTTCCAGAGCTACAAAAAGACTTGGAGAGCCACACAGGAATAGTGGGGGACTTCAATACTCCACTGATAGTGTTAGATCACTTAGACAGAAAACTAAAAAAGCTATTCTGGGCTTGCATTTTACACTTGAACAATTGGACCTATTAAACATCTACAGAACACTCCACCCATCAACCATAGAATGTACCTTCTTTTCATCTGTTCATGGAACGTATTCTAAGATTGATGATATGCTCAACCAAGAAGGAAGTGTCAAATCAAAAAAAAAATCATACCAACCATACTTTCAGACCACAGTGAAATAAAAATACAAATCAATACCAAGAAGATCTCTTAAAACCACACAGTTACATGGAAATTGAACAACTTGTTCCTGCTCCTGGATGACTTTTGGGCAAGCAATGAAGTTAAGGCAGCAATTAAAAACAATCTTTAAAATAAATGAAAACACAGACACAACATACCAAAATCTCTGGAATGCAGCTAAAATATTAAGAGGAAAGCTTATAATACTAAATGTCTACATCAAGAAGTTAGATCTCGAATTAGCAATCTAACATCACAGCTGGAGGAACTTAAAAAAAGAACAAACTAACCCTAAAGGTATTAGCGAAAACAAATAACTGAAATGAGATCAGAACTGAAAAAAGTTGAAACCCCAAAATCCATACAAAACATCAATGAAACCAAAAGCTGCTTATTTGAAAGGATAAACAAGATTGATAGACAGCTAGCTAGATTAATTAAGAAAAGTAGAGAGAGGATCCAAATAAGCATAATCAAAAAGAACAAAGGTGACATTACAACCAAGCCCACGGAAATAAAAAAATATTCCCAGAGACTATTATGAACACCTCTATGCACACAAACTAGAAAATCTAGAGGAAATGGACAAATTTCTGGAAATATACAACCTTCCAAGACTGAGGCAGGGAGAAATTGAAACTCTGAACAGACCAATATAAAGTTACAAAATTGAATCAATAGTTTAAAAAAAAAAACCTTCCAATCAAAAAGAGCCCTAGACCAGATGGATTTCAGCTGAATTCTACCAGATTTACAAAGAACAGGTAGCAATCCTACTGAAACTATTCCAAAAAACCGAGGAAGAGAGACTTCTCCCCAACTTATTCAGTGAAGCCAGAATCACATTGATACCAAAATCGGGCAAAGACAAAACAAAAAAGAGAAAGGCACAGGCCAGTAGTCCCTGATTAACATAGATGAAAAATCTTCAAGAAAATACTAGCTGACTAAATCCTGCAGCACATCAAAAGTTAATTCATTGTGATGAAGTAGGCTTGATTCCTCAGAGCTGGTTCAATATGTGCAAATAAATAAATGTGATTCACCACACAAACAGAATTTTAAAAAAATATTATCATGTAAATAGATGTAAGAAAACTTTTGATAAAATCCAATACCACTTTATGATAAAAACCCTCAACAAATTAGGCATCATAGGAACATACCTCAAAATAGTAAGAGCTTGTATAACATTCCACAACCAACATCATAGTGAAAGGGCAAAAGATGGAAGAATTTTATGTAAGAATTGGAACAAGTCAAAGATACTTGCTCTTTCCAGTCATATTCAACAGAGTACTGGAAGTCCTTGCCAGATCGTTCAGGCAAAAGATAGAAAAAAAGGTACCCTGATAGAAAAAGTAGAAGTCAAAAGATCTCTCTTCACTGATGACATAATTCTATATCTAGAAAATCCCAAATACTCCACTAAAAGACCTCTAGAACTGATAAATGACTTCAGTAGGGTTTTAGGATCCAAAGTAAATGCAGAAAAATCAGTAGCATTTCTATACACCAATAATGCTCAACCTTAGAGCCAAATCGATAACACAATTTCATTTACAATAGCCACACACTCACCCAAAATAAAATACCTAGGAATACATATAATCAAGGTGGTGGAAAATCTTTACAAGGGAAACTACAAACACTGCTGAAGGAAATCATAGATGATACAAACAAATGGAAAAACATCTCATACTCATTAATTGGAAGAATCATTATGGTTAAAATGGCCATACTGCCCAAAGCAATCTACAGATTCAAGGCTATTTCCATCAAACTACCAATATCATTTTTCACAGAATTGGAAAAAAATTTTCTAAAATTCATATGGAACCAAAAAAGAGCCCAAATAGCCAAAGCAATTCTAAGAAAGAAAAACAAAGATGGAGGCATCACACTACCTGACTTCAAAAAATAGTTTATGGTTACAGTAACCCAAACAGCATGGTATTGGTACAAAAACAGACACATAGACCAATGAACATAATAAGAACCCATAAGTGAAGCCACACACCTACAAGCATCTGATCTTCAATGATTTTGACAATAACAGGCAATAGGAAAAGAACTCTCTTTGAATAAGTAGTGCTGGAAAAACTGTCTAGCCATATGCAAAGAATAAAGCTTGACTCCCGTATTTCACAATATATAAAAATTAATACAAGATAAATTAGAGACTTAACTATAAAACCAAAAACTATAAAATCCTAGAAAAGAATTTAGAAAAAACCATTCTGGGCACTGGTCTTGGCATTCATGACTAACACCCCAGAAGCAATTGCAACAAAAACAAAAATAGACAAGTGGGACCTAATTAAACTAAAGAACTTCTGCACATCAAAAGAAACTATCAACAGAGTAAAAAAACAACCTACAGAATGGGAGAAAATATTTGTAAACTATGCATCCAGCAATGGTCTTATATAAAAAACCTATAAGGAACTTAAATAAATAAGCAAAAAACAAACAGTCTCATTAAAAAATAAACAAAAGAGATGAACAGACACATCTCGAAAGAAGACATACATGTGGCCAGGAAATATATAAAATAATTCTCAACAGCTCTAGTCATCAGAGGAAGACAATCAAAACCACAATGTGATACCTACCATCTCACAGCAGTCTGAGTGGCTACTATTAAAAAGTCAAAAAATAGCACATGTTGGTCAAGCTGTGGAGACAAGGAATTGCTCATACACTCTTGGTGGAAATGTAAATTAATTCAGCCACTGTGGAAAGCAGTTTGGAGTTTTCTCACTGTGGAAAGCAGTTTGGAGTTTTCTCAAAGAACTTAAAACAGAACTTAAAACCATTCAACCTAGCAATCCCATTACTGGGTATATGCTCAAAGGAAAATAAATGTTCTACCAGAAAAACACACGTCTCAGATGTTCATTGTAACACTATTCACAATAGCAAAGACATACAATTAACCTAGGTTCCCATCACCATTGGGCCGGATAAATGTGGTACATATATATCATGGAATACTGCACTGCCATATAAAAGAATGATATTATTTTTTGCAGCAACATGGATGCAGCTGGAGACCATCATCCTGAGCAAATTAATGCAGGGACAGAAAACCATACACTGCATGTTCTCACTTATAAATGGGAACTAAGCATTGAGTACAGATGAACATAAAGATGGGAACAACAGATTCTTGGGGCTATTTGAGGGGAGGGTGGGGGGAGGGTGAGTGTTGAAAAGCTATCTATCAGTCGCCATGCTCACTGCCTGCGTGATGGGATCACTCATACAGCAAACCTCAGTGACATGCAATTTGCCCATGTAACAAACCTGAACATGTACTCCCTAAAACTAAAATGAGTTGAAAAAAAATTTAAGATAGTTCTGAGAAATTCCCAGCAAACCTTTGGCTTGCTTGTTGGGTTTGTGAGTCTACACCCACTTTCTTTTTTACCTCTTTTACTTATTTCCCCTTTCTTCTCCAGAATGGTTTAGATGAACATATTCTGTCATATTCTATTTGCTTTTTCTTCAGTATTATACAACTTTTACACACATTAGACTGCATACCAAAGATATGTAAATATAGATTCTTCAACTATACACTTGTTCCATCATGTCCCAAATAAACCCATTTCTAAAAGCATTAACAAACTGGAATTTATCTGGAAGAGCTAATACAGATGGTTCTCTATTTTTCAAGTACAGTGAATTTTCTCTGGCAGTGAGGAATGGGAACATCCAACATCTGAGCTCATGGTGGCTCAGGCCACATGGAAGCTGCTGCCATGTTGCCTTGTCATCTGCAGCTTGGCATCACTTAATGGGTTCTTCATTTCTCTCTCATTTTGTGGGCACACTTCAGCAGTAGCTCAAGACACTCAACAGTTTGTATTCTACATTCATTTATAATTGATCTTTGTAAAACAAATATAAGAAATTTAAGACCAGCTAATTGGCTGGTCTTAAAATGGGGAGATTATTCTGGATGATTCTGCTGGGCCCAATATAATCAGAAGGATCCTTAAAAGTGAAAGAGGGAAGCAAAAGAAAAATCAGAGTTATGCAAAGTGAATAGGATTTGACCTGCTGTTGCTGGCTTTAAAAATGGAGGAAGGCACCATGATCAAAGGAATACAGCAGCCTCTAGATGCAGAAAAAGAGAAGGAATCACATTCTCTTCTAGGACTTCCAGGAAGAATGCAGTCCTGCCAACAGTTTCTTTTTAGCCTAGTGATATCCAAGCCAGACTTCTGACCTGCAGAACTAGAAGATAATAAACATGTGTTATTCCAAGCCACTAAATTTGTGGTGATTTTTCACCACTGCAATGAAAAACTAAAATAGCATCATATGATTAGTGTCAATGAGAGGTTAAAACCAGCCAAAAGATGGAGAGACAATGTATGAGTACTTTTTTGAACTTAAAAGCACTATTGAAATAGAAGTCCATTCTTTACTGTAAAAAAGTAAAAACAACAAAAAGGATAATAATACTTAGTACTTATCTCATAAAGTTGTAATAAACATTAAGTATTCCCCTTTCTCTTGAATATAAAACAAATATATAATAGGTCAGGTGTGTGTATGTTTATATATATAAATATATAATATATAAAAATATGTTTATAAATATATAAAAATATATGTTTATAAATATATAAAAATATATGTTTATAAATATATAAAAATATATGTCTATAAATATATAAAAATATATGTCTATAAATATATAAAAATATATGTTTATAAATATATAAAAATATATATAAATACATATAAAATATATAATATTTATGAATATATAAATATATAAATAAACAAGTATATACAGATATATAATTCAGTATTCAATTAGGAAAGCAGAAAAATTCCACATAAATATAATATTGAACACTAATTACACAGGTAAGGGAAGAACTGGGAAGCCAAACAGGAAATGCTGAGACACTCTAGAGATTAACAAGAGCGGGAAGTCACCAGTACCCCCAGGGCTAGAAGGGCAACAGAAGGAAGTGGCATTCCCAAACCCCAGATTCTGGTCATCCCACGGAGGCCATACCCTCCATGGGTGCTGGTGTGTGGTGCAGACTGTGTACCAAGCAAGAGCTGGAGTTTGAAAGGAGATGCTGCTGTCCAAGAGAAAGAGAAGGAGAATTGTCCTGTCTTCATCTTTCCTTCCATCATCTAATCTCACATCAGTGCCACCCGTTGGTTGAATCCAGCAAGAAACCAGCTGAAGTAAGTGCCTGGGAAGTGTAGCCCTCCTGTCAAGAAAATGTGGCACATATACACCATGGAATACTATGCAGCCATAAAAAATGATGAGTTCATGTCCTTTGTAGGGACATGGATGAAATTGGAAAGCATCATTCTCAGTAAACTATCACAAGAACAAAAAACCAAACACCGCATATTCTCACTCATAGGTGGGAATTGAACAATGAGATCACATGGACACAGGAAGGGGAATATCACACTCTGGGGACTGTTGTGGGGTGGGGGGACGGGGGAGGGATAGCATCGGGAGATATACCTAATGCTAGATGACGAGTTAGTGGGTGCAGCGCACGAGCATGGCACATGTATACATATGTAACTAACCTGCACAATGTGCACATGTACCCTAAAACTTAAAGTATAATTAAAAAAAAAAAAAGAAAAGAAAATTGCACCAGGAACAAAAAAAAAATAAGAAAAAAATAAAAAAATAAAAAATAAAAAGGCACATCAGTTTAGAAAAAAAAAAAAAGAGGGAATAGGGAGTTACTGTTTAACATGTACAGAGTTTTAGTACAGGATGATGAAAAACCCTGGAGATGTATAGTGGCGATGATCAATGTGAATGTACTCAATGCCTCTGAACTGTACACTTAACCATGCTTAAAATGGTACTTTTTATGTTATGTATATTTTACCACAATAAAAATCAATTAAAAAAAAAACCAAAGGGAAGCAGGGGAAAGGAGAGAAATAAGAGAGAAAGAAAAAAAGTGGGTACAAAAATAGTCCTTACATATTGCCTTGTTGTGAGGATTAAACTATCTGAATTGTGTGAAGCACTAATATGGCACTCATTAGCGTGTATTCAGTTGATGTTTGCTATTGTTATTATTGCCTTAGCTCTAATTACACAATTAAAGTAATGAAAGTGATGCTTAAAACTTCTCACATAACCTAGGATTGTAAACCATTCTAAATGCTTTCCAATCTATTATAGTTTCCTCTAGAGGGACATTATCATGTGCTGAGCTTTATTAGGCAACAAAACATTGCTGAAGGGTACACCAGAGACAACTTGATGAACGAGATACAAAGCTAGCGTAATGTGACAAGTGCAAACAAATCTTCCCCTCACTCAGCTCTATCATCTTGCTTTGATCACATGTTGGTGAACTCTACAAATAACTTTTAAATTATCTTTTGAGAAAATTTAATAATCGTGCTTGGGCTGTCTCCTGAGTTTATTTAAGAAACTTATCTACTATATTGTCAGCATGGAAAACTTAATATCTTGCCAACTAAAATATACTTGTAAGTCATTGGTAAAGTGTTTAATTTCTGTCTTGTTGCATGTCTGTGTTTGGTGTTTGCAGTTAAAAAGACTCCTACATAGTCTTTAATTTCATTTCACTTTTCATCCTTTTAAGACATCTACATCATGTCTGAGATTCTAGCTTATTTTAGGTCATGGAAAAATTCCTGTATGTGTATACTGAACAGACTCTCATGTTTATCCTTCTGTATTTTTGCTGAGCTCTAGAACCATATTTAGTTACTCAGTGGGGATTTCTACTCAGTTTTCCAACAGTAAATCATGCTTACAAGGCAACACATCATTGTTAAGCACAAATCTTCTGCTTTTGACCATGGCACATGTTTGCCTATGTAACAAACCTGCACATTCTGCACATGTATCCTGGAACGTAAAGTAAAAAGAAAAATCTTCTGCTTTTGCTCCTGTAATTTATATCTTGGTGAATGAAATCATCTTCCCCCTCCTAAAATCAGAAAGAGTCATAATAATGTCCCCCACTCACTTCCTCTTTTTCTTTCTCCTGACCCCATCCAAACAGTCAGTACATTGTGAATCCACCTTGTTCAAAAGTCTCCAATCTACTTCATCTTCTCATTTCCACAACCACTGTCTTAGTTCACTCTCATGCCACCCGTTACCCAGCAGACTCCCTAAGATATTGATCTTATCTCCTTGCTTCCAACATGACCCTTTTCCCATCTAGTCTCTAGTGTACAATTAGAATATTTTCACACACACACAATTACAACTTTTCCAAATTTAGAAGTATTTGCTTGTTTCCTATGGTTTCTAGTTAAATTTCAAAATATTAGGCTAATATGCAATGCTGATGAAATTTGTCATTGATGAACTCTATAGCATTATATCCTGTATGTACGATTTATAGCAACAATATGAAATTACTTTTATTACTCTAAGTAGCATCCCTTCCTCAAGAATGTCTTTTCTGCAAGAGCTATCTTACTTAGATGCTTTTTTTCCTTGAATATTCCTATCACTGCAATCATCAGACAGTGCTTTCTTAGTTTTTACATGTGTGCATCTTACTTATTTGACTATAAGCTATTTAGAGGCAAATACCATGGTTCTAGATGTTTCTATTGCAAGTACCTCAAACTATGGTATCCAATATGGTAGTCACTAGTCACATGTCTGTTGAGAACTTGAAATGTGGCTGGCCCAAGTTGAAAGGTGATATAAGGGCAAACTACCCACCAGATTTTGAAGACCCAATATGCAAAATTAAAAAATATATTATTTTTATATTTGATTGCATGTTAAAATAATATTTGGGGCATATTAGATTAATGTTATTGCTAAAATTAATTTCATCTGTTCTTACTTTTTTATGGCTCCTACAAAATTTAAATGACATACGTGGCTGACATTTGTGATTCTCATTAAATGTCTATGAGATGGCACTGTCACAGAATAGAACAGGATCAAGAAGCATTCACAAGTGAAAACAGGCCTTTGAAGGAACACTCTGGAAAAAGTCTAGGCATTTAAACAAGATCGAGAGTGCAAACTAAAGTAGAAAAGAAAAAGAAAAATAGACCACATACTCAGCTTTGCAGTTGAGATTGAGTCGTCTAGGAAGGAGCAGCTAGAAGTCCACATAAGATTTTTTTTTCTTTTTTTTTTTGAGACAGAGTTTCGCTCTTGTTGCCCAGGCTGGAGTGCAATGGCACAATCTCGGCTCACTGCAACCTCAGCCTCCCGGGTTGAAGCGATTCTTCCACCTCAGCCACCCAAGTAGCTGGGACTACAGGTGCCCACCAACACGCCCAGCTAATTTTTGTATTTTTAGTAGGGCCAGGGTTTCACCATGTTGGCCAGGTTGGTCTTGAACTCCTGACCTCGGGTGATCTGCCTGCCTCAGCCTCCCGAAGTGCTGGCATTACAGGCGTGAGCCACCGCGCCCACCCACATAAGTTGTTTTAAGCTTATTTGTCCTGGAGATGAATCTGAATTTTGATTCTGAATCTTGTGTGTATGGGAAAGATTTTTGAAACAGGTGAATATGAGCTACTTAAACATGGAAGAGTGATACATAAATTGTTCTGGAGCCACTTAAAGACTCTTAAAAAATAGCTGCCAAATAAATTTTTTGAAAAACAATACAACCACAATGACAAATAGAAGGGGGTAGCAGATAATAGTAATAACATTTTGGAAAAAGAAATCAGAGAGATAAGTAGTTAATAAGCAATGTGTAAGTAGAAGAATATCTCAAAGATATTAATATTCCAAGAGGGAAAACAAAACATGAACCAAGAAATGTGTCTTATGAAGCACTTCATAAAATATGAAGAAACTCTTGGAATTTCTTGAACCTGAGAGGCGGAGGTTGCAGTGAGCTGGGATTGTGCCATTGCACTCCAGCCTGGGCAACAGAGCAAGACTCCATCTAAAAAAAATAAATAAATCAATAAATAAAAGCTCTTGATGTTAAAAATATGCTGATATAAATGAAAAACTGAGTGGAAGAAATGGAAGATAACATTGAAGATAGCTAGAAATCAGAGCAAACAGAGACAGAAAACAGAAAAGAAGATAAGAAAATTAGATGATTTGCTTAGGAGAGCCTAATAATAGGAGTAACAGAATGAAAAAGTTGAGAAAACAGAGATAAGAAAATTATCATAGAAATATATTTTTAAAATATATTCATTACTAAAGAACGTGAGTTTTAAGCCAGGGGTGGTGGCACACTCCTATAATTCCAGCATTTTGGGAAGCTGAGGTGGGGGAATTGCTCGAGGCCAGGAGTTTGAGACCAGCCTGGGCAACAATGTGACACTCCATTTCTACAAAATATTAAAAAAAATTAATTGGGCTCAGTGGGACACACCTGTAGTCTCAGCTACTCAGGAGGCTGAGGAGGGAGGATCTCCTGAGTCCAGCAGTTTGAGGTTTCAGTGAGCTGTGATTGTGCCACTGCACTCTAGCCTGGGTAACAGAAAGAAATCCTGTCTCTAAAAATAAAAAATAAAATTTTTTTCTAATTAATAGGGTCCCAAATGTCTTACACAATAAATGCAAATAGACCCAGACCAAGAAACATAATTAAAATTTTAGAATAGTGGAGGCAAAGAGAAGCCTCTAGAAGCTTCTAGAGAGAGTTTTATGCAAAGAGTAAAATATCAGAAGGCCATCACACTTCTATTAATAGAACACTGGAACCCTGAAGACACAGGCGACATATTTTCACCTTCTTAGCACAAATAATCTACAACAAAACTGTTAAGCCAAATATCTAGTGTGGGTTTATGGATAAGATAATTTAAGAACTAAAAAAAAAAATATTGTCTATGATCCTTTTACCTTTCTCAGGAGGTTGTGTTCTGCTAAAGTCAAGAAGAAAACCAAGAAACAGGAAACCATGAGATGTAGCAGAAGAGGGAGGCAAAGTAAAATCCTAGGAAGATGCAACAAAAGTATCAAGACCACAGCAAGCCTAGATCAACCAGTCCAAGTCTGAAGGCCTGAGGACCAGGAGCACTGATGATGTAAGTCCCAGTCCAAGAGCAGAAGCCTGATGTCCCAGTTCACATAGTCCACAGAGAGCAAATTCTCCCTCCTCTGCCTTTTTGTTTTATTCCAGCCACTCAACAGATTAGATGATGCCCATCCACACTGTGGAGGGCAATCTGCCTTACTCAGTCTGCTAATTCAAGTCCTAATCTTACCTGGAAACATCCTTGCAGACACACTCAGAAATAATGTTTTAACATCTGGGCACCCCATGACCCATTTAAGTTGATGCATATTTTTAACCATCACAGATTCAATTACAAAGTAATCCATTAAAAGAGTTTAATATGTATGCTTCTGGAGAGGACAAAAATAATGAAAATATTAAGCATCTACTCTTTCTCATAACCTGTCTTACAGAACTCTTTGAGTTTTAAAAAATGACTTAACATGTATGAGTAAATATGACTAATTAACAAAATGTGTATGTATGCAAGTCCAGAAGCACTGCACAGTTAGAGCATATAGATAGTTAAATGAGGACAAAAAAATCTGTAAACAAAGTCCAGTTTATAATACATACCAGTTCATGAAAAATCAAGCAGTCTCAACATGGTGCTAGAAAGCTCATTTTCTGATTTTAGGAAGAACCATGGTTCCACACTCAAACTTCAGCTGGTTGGGTTTAAAACATCTTTTTCAGTTTTGTTTACACATTATCAATAAGTAAATGTGGCTTACATGAAACTTTACAGAGTTTATAATTTGTACAAATTTTGATACACAGTATATGTGAAATATGTCTTCACAATAGCAAGGTAGACCTATATATAAGCCTGCTGTAAGGCACCTATTATCAAATAATAGTAGGAAACATTACTGAAGATTTTGGAGGTGTGTGGCATTGCCATCAACCACTGATTTATGTATTTTCTCATTCAGTAATCCCATGAAATAGAGTGAGCTGTGTGTATCATTGATAGGAAGTTAAAGCTCAAGAAATAAAATAATTTGCCCAAAGTCCTGCACCTGCTTTTGATCCCTGAGCTGTAAAGACTCTTCTAAATGGGTGGTGATTGTTTCATAGTAATCATTTTAAGAGGTGTTACATTTACTTCGCTGATACTGCTACTATTGTTAAATCATAAAAAAGTGTAACAATTTACATTCGGAAACGTTGTTCCCATCATTCTTGAATATTTTCAGCTGGCAGATATTTCGGTCTTTGAGAATGGATTTGATTTTTCTTTAATAGACAAAATTCAATTGGAGTGAAGCCTGATAAACTAAATTAATAATTAACTTGAGAAATGTTTTCTTTTTTGGTCAAAAGCTGCATTTGTGAATAAAAGGTATGTTTTGTAATTAGTAACTTTGCTAGGAAGGCATTTCTCAAAGAACTCCAAATATGTGGTATGTAGATGATGTCATGAAAGTGTGTACAGCTTTGCATAGCAATATTCTGAATGACATTTGAATGCATTTCTCTCCCTCTCTCTCTTTCTCTCTCTCTCTAATTTATCTATCTATTCATTCATCCCTCTGTACTTGTTAAAAATTCCATGCATTTAGGAGTACATGTGCCATCATACTCATCAAGAACTTGCATTAGGGAAATTTATGTATATTTCTGGAGGACACGTCTTTTCTTCCCAGTCTCGGTCATACTTGCTTTGCCTTGCATTCCCTAGCACTCTGTGTTTGTGTTGTACCATGTCCATAAATGCTTACTGCTGTGAAGGGATCCACTATGAAAGGCATAAAAACATTCTACATTTTTGCACTAAAAATACTAAAAAATATTTGGAAATACTTGGAAATGGATTGTTGTTGTCCCTCCTTTTTCGTAAACATACCTAAAAAGAGTGAGGTTGCATCCCAGAGGGTATTTCTCAGAAGCTGGGTCTTCTGCTTGCTTATAGGGTCCAAAGTTCTCCTTGAAAGAGAAATGACTGCTACACTGTCACTTTCTAAAGAAGAGTCTTAGTTTTAAAATTTCTTGGTCACTTTTGTTCAGAGTTTGGTTTACTGAGCTGTAGAGTACCTGTAGAGCATACATTTTGTTTTAGCCTATTAGATGGTTAATATTGAGTGTCAACTTGATTGGACTGAAGGATACACAGTATTGATCCTGGGTGTGTCTGGAGGGTGTTGCCAAAATACATTAACATTTGAGTCAGTGGGCTGGGGAAAGCCGTTTCACCCTTAATCTGGTGGGAACAAGATAATCAGCTGCCAAGGAATATAAAGCAGGCAGAAAAAGGTGAAAAGGGGAGACTGGCCTAGCCTCCCAGCCTACATCTTTCTCCGGTGCTGGATGCTTCCTGCCTTCCAACATCACACTCCAAGTTCTTCAGTTCTGGGACTTGGACTGGCTCTCCTTGCTCCTCAGCTTGCAGACAGCCTATTGTGGGACCTGTGATTGTGTAAGTTAATTCTTAATAAACTCCCCTTTATATGTGTATCTATCCTATTAGTTTTGTCCCTCTAGAGAACCCTAATACAGGCTGTTAATTAATTTTATTGAATTTCTCCATAAAACAATGATTTTAAAGAACAAACCTGAATGAATATTAAATCCTAAAGTCCTCATTATTTGAATACAATAAATTATTTTACTTTGTTGGTTAAATGAGATCTAGCTAAAGCTTAATCACACTATTTAAGGAAAGAAGAGACGTGCGACCAAGAAGTCAGAAATACTTCCTGGAAATTGCTTCTTTTGATTTTGCCATTTCATCATGCAGCATGGTGACAGGTTCCTGGGCCTATTGCTGTGACAGCATGATCACGAGGCAGCATGTGCACTTGGCTCACTGTGACAATCATCCTAAGCCAATTATCCGCACATGATGAAATGCTCATCCTCAACGCTATTTCAATAGTGATTCAGAACCTATCTACTCATTTCCTAGTGCTCTCTTTCTATCCTGGTTTTCCTTTCGTCAGAAGTGATGTAAATAAAATACTTTGAGGTTTCTGGAAAGGAGAAAGGAGTTTATGTTAATATCCTTCTAATTTTCAGCCCTTAGTGCAGAATTCCAAATTATGGCTGAAACTTTGGGAGGTCAGCTAGATGCCTGCTTTGTGTTTTTATTACTCCCTTCCGGACGTACGTGCTTATTTCAGAGATATTTTGTAATCTCTGCTCTTACTCAGAAACTAAGTGGCAAGGAAGCAACCTTAACCATAGAACCCTTTAATAGCAAGAGAAAAGATTTTGCTAGAAAGACTAATCATTTAATAAAGGTAATTATCTCTGGTATCTATTAACTTCAGTAGTCTGAATTCTAGTTTATACCTCAGAATTAAAGTTTACACCTCATGATTAGACTCTGCATGATTCCTCATTCACTGAGAATGGCTCTCCAGAGAACATTGCCTGGCTAGAATAATGAAGCTTTCTATCCTCAAATACCAGAGATAAAAAAGCACAAGGAAAAAGACAGATATATCTCATACACAGGTGAACTATTCTATGTAAAAGATAAGTTGAAATTTTCTACCCAGCTTTCATTTCCAAGTCCTGGTAGAGACAGAAGTATTTGACCTGGCTGAAAAGCAAGCTGACTTAAGGGGTATGATTATGTCGTACTTTGAACAATGTGGCTTAAACCATTATTGGAAGTTGGTACAAATAAACCTCATAATTTGAGAAAGATTGGAAAATATAAGGCCTTCGACAAAATGCTCACGCAGAGAACTTTTCCATCTTGTACTTCTCCTTAACTGCTTCTACTCTTGCCTTGTCCCTGTCTTCTATCACAAAGGGATCATGATCTGTAATTGATATGCTAACTTTTGGATGGCAGCAAAGGCTTAATGAATTATTCCTTCTGGACAGTTTTTGAAGGTCAACGTTCTTCAGGATCTTAAGCTAAAAGATGAGTCAGGGGACATGTAAGCACCGCTGAGAATATTCTTGGTCAGAATTTTTAGAGAAAATATGTCCCATGTCAGAAACACAAGGACACACATTACATGTCTCCCCTTTGCTTTCAGAGGAAGGAATATTTCCTCTGCTTCTCTTTGTTTTCAGACACAACCTGCACTTTATAGCCATTCTCTTAGGAACAAAGAATATATAAAGGAAATAAAGCACACGGTCTCTTTGCTTTCGGAAAGCTATTTGTGAAAGTTATTTGCATATATTTTTCTCTTCAGGAGAGTTTAGAAATCACTGGAGAATTGCTTTGTGCTTTAATGGACAGTGGAGGGATTTAGTAATCAGAGAGATGGGGCACTGAATCCCAGCCCAACAGCTAACTGGCTTTGTGATTGGTCTCAGTTTGAATGTCCTCATCCATAATAAAAGGATGATAGAGATCCTAACAAGGTCCTTCTGAGCACCTGCCAGCAGACAGCCTTTGGACTGGAACGGAAACATCAATTCTTCCCTGGGTCTAAAGTCTGCAGGCCTAACACGTAGATTTTTAGACTTGCTAATCCCCTCCATAATTGCATAAGGCCATTCCTAAAATAAATCTTTCTCGCTCTCTCTCCCTCTCTCTCTTTCTCTGTCTCTCCACACACACACAAACACACACACACACATGCATGCATGGACACACACACTCACATCCTATTGGTCTGTTTCTTCAGAGACCCCTAAGTAACACAGATTTTGGAAGCAAGACCACTGATATTTGATAGATCTTAATTAAACTCTCATTTTGTCACATTTGTAATGTCTGAGAAGGATGATGGCTATCTTTTTTCCTTTATTCATTTTTACATCCTCAGTTTATGTCAGAAAGGTGACAAAACTGGATGAACACCTGAACTCAAATAAGTCTTAGGAGTCAATAATGAAGTATAAGAATAATTTATTGGGCGCCTACCAGATACCTGACTTCCTACTTGTTGACCCAGAAATTATATTGATTTATACGCATATCAATATATATGAATCAATATCATTCAAAATGAATGATTCAATTGTCCATTCACTCACTGATAAGCTCAACAAACATTAAATGAGTCACAATTATGTATCAGTGTGTTACTTGCAGAGGATGCATGAATAATTCTCTAGTGGAAAGATGCATACATAAATCATTACGATAATCCTCGCAATTAACATTTGATGAGTTCTTACTAAGTGCTGTGCTCTTTGCTAATCCTTTTACATGAATTATGTTATTTACACCTCAGAATGACTTTACGAGACAGGTGCTATTATTATATCAATTTTACAAATGAGTAAATAGGACACAGATGAAGGAACTTGTTTAAGGTCAAGTAGCTGGTTAGTATTTACAGCAGAGGCTCTGAAGCCTCTTAGACACTTTGATCTCAGCTGGGGGATAAAGGACATATGAGCAGTTTGAAGCCTATGAGTATGAATCAAGTTTCACAGATGAGATCATCTTTGAGCTTGGAGGGTGGGAGAAAATAAAGAAGGACAGATTCATAGGACCCGGGCCAGAAATGGCTTTATTTTTTACACCATCATGTGGAAGGAAACGATAGTTAAACTTTTCTTCTTTTTTAATCTTTTTTGAGACAGAGTCTCGCTCTGTCTCCCAGGCTGGAGTGCAGTGGTGCGATCTCTGCTCACTGCAACCCCTGCCTCCCAGGTTCAAGCAATTCTCCTGCCTCAGCCTCCTGAGTAGCTGGGACTACAGGTGCATGCCACCACGCCTGGCTAATTTTTTGTATTTTTAGTAGAGACAGGATTTCACCATGTTAGCCAGGATGGTCTTGATCTCCTGATCTTGTGATCCACCCACCTCGGCCTCCCAAAGTGCTGGGATTACAGGGGTGAGCCACTGCACCCGGCTGACATTTAAACTTTTTTAAAAGGCAAATTATATAATCTGATTTGGATTTTAGAAAAATAACTCGTAGCTGGAGAGAAGGAAGATTGGAAGAGAATTAGATCAGAGACAGGGAGATAGGTGATAGAATGCACAGTTATCTGGGTAAAATTGATGAGAGACTGAGGTAAAGTGGCAGGCTGGGTGGAGGGATGAGATATGTCACAAGGAGGGCTGAGTGGCTCGGTTAATGTATTGGTTTGGAGGCTTGCAGGAGAGTGAGAAATCTTGGATGACAATCACCATCCACCACCAACATATTTCTATTCCGGTTGACTAGGGTGGCGATGATGCCATTCTCTGTAATAGTGACCAGGGACAGTGCATAATCTGCTAGTGGGCAGGGGGCTGGGAGGATGGCTTCTGTCCCATGTTAAGTTTAAGCAGCCCATGCATACTGAGGAGGAGAGTCCATTAGTCTGAATATAGAGATCTAGACCTCAGAAGGAAGGCTGGGGCTGAGATATCAATGTAGGGATTATCAGCATTCAGGAGGTGGCTGAGGCATTTAGAAGGTATGAGGCCAGGGAGAGTGTGGACAGAGAGGAAAGAAGATGCTCAAGGTCAGAACCACGGTGAACTTTAATAGTTAAATCCAGAAAGGTAGAGGAGGCCACAAAGGAGACAAATAAGAAGTGAGGGAGGCCTTGTAACTTATTTTTTAAAAAGTTTTTTTGAATGGCTATGCAAACTAAAATGCAGTTACAGTTAGCCTTTCATATCCATGGGTCTGTGGATTCAGCTAACACTGGATGGAAAATATTTGGAAAAGAGAAAATTCCAAAAACCAAAACTTGGATTTGCCTTGTATCAAATACTATATATATTTATATTTATATAGTATATATATTTATATTTATATATTATATATATTTATATTTATATATTTTATATATATATATATATATATATTTTTTTTTTTTTTTTTTTTTTCTGAGATGGTGTCTCACTCTGTCACCCAGGCTGGAGTACAGTGGTGTGATCTCAGCTCACCGCAACCTCCGCCTCCTGGAATCAAGCGATTTTCCCACCTCAGCCTCCCGAGTAGCTGGGATTACAGGCACATGCCACCACGCCTGGCTAATTTTTGTATTTTTAGTAGAGACAGGGTTTCGCCATGTTGGGCAGGCTGGTCTCGAACTCCTGACTTCAGGAGATCCAATTGGCCTACCTCGGCTTCTCAAAGTGCTGAAATTACAGATGTGAGCCACCATGCCCAGCCTCAAATACTGCTTTGAATCCATATGAAGAAAGTAATATGTAGGCATTGTGTTAGGTACTATAAGTAATCTAGAGATGATTTAAAGTATACAGGAGGGTGTGTAGAGGTTACATGCAAATCCTATACCATTTTATATAAGGTACTTGATCATCTGTGGATTTCAGTATACTCAGTGGGTCCTGGAACCAGTCCCTCATGGATATAGAGTGGTAACAAAACAGAAAGTAGGTTCAGAGAAAGATGTCAACAATTTCTGAAATATGGAAGTAGATGAAATTCAGAGGAAAAGTGAATGGAATAACATCCCTACCATGAGAGTGATACTGAACTTTTTCTTCTGTATTCGAACTCTATTTACATATTTAAAAGGGTAATATATAGCTTTGGCCACTTTAGTTTTTTGCTTTTTTCTTTCTCATGATTCTTAACCATGTGAATGATGATGTATATGACTGCATTTTTTGTTATTTATAATGATTTATTCATAAAACATCTTATAGTGCATGGCCAGTTGTCTCCCAAATTTAATTTTTTAAATTTCTACACGTACAACTGTGCTTTTTTGTTACAGTGGAGAGGTCTTTGAGCTGACATCTTTTCATCAAAAGGTTATAGATTCTTCTCACACTTCGCAGTTTCAATTGACAAAAGAATTGCTTTTTTTTTTCATAGCATTTTCCCAACTGCTCAGGATATTGGAATGGCTACATGTATAAAACAAATGACTCTTCTGACATTGGACATTGAATGGCTCCACTTTCTCACACATTCTTGGACTATGCAGTGTTTTTCCTGTGCAGGGCCTGTGACCTACAGATGGCCATGGCAGATTCAATAAAATGAAAAAAGCTAAACAAAACACAAAGATGCTCATTATTACATTATTCTACGTTTTCCTTTTTCTTCTCATGGGATTGTTTGACAATGGCTAAATTTAGTGGTTGGCATTCAGCATAAATGATTGGTGGTACAGGATCTCGCTATACAGAACTCTATTTCAGCAGAATTGATTTCTAAAATGCTGTTCACTTATACGCAGGGGAATCATAAATTTTAGCACAGTGTTGATCTATATATACTTCCCAGTGGAAAAGGTCTCCTTTGGCAGTAGAAAGACTTGAAGTAAAAATTACTTAGAAAAGTTCTGGATTTGAGAATGGAGATATGAAATAAAATAATATTTTTATTAAATTTTTTAAAAGTTTATTATTTATTTTTTAGAGACATCATCTTGCTCTGTTGCCTAAGCTCGAGTATAGTGGTACAATCATAGTTCACTGTAACCCCCTCCTGGGCTCACATGATCCTCCTGCTTCAGCCACCAGCACATGCTACCATGCCCCGCCAAAATAATATTTTAATCAAATAGATGGTAAATTATAATCTTAGGAAGTGTGATAATTCTAGTACTCAAATATCTTTCACTATTAATATTATTTGAATAATCCTAGGTTAGATCATTATAACATATACTTGGAAAGCAAATAATAATGCTGATTCGTTGTAAAATAAATGCAAATACATTTTGTGTTAAAGAAAGCTGATATCTTCAAAAAAGCCAGTCCTGATATTCTTTGATTTTCTTTTGGCTTCTGTTTTGAGAAATGGTAAAATATTAGAGCATTAATGTCAGACTTGCCTGACACAATATTTTCTTCTTGTTTCGAATGGTCAACTACTAACATCATGGTGTTCCCTTGGTTTTGAGATGCTTTTCACAGCTAATAGGTGTGATGAGAAAGAATCATAATAATACTCCGTGATCTGGAGAAGCATTAAGAGGGCAGCGGGGCGGGGGGGTAATGTAGTGGATAAGGTCAAGGGCTTCAGTATTAAATAGACAGGGCTTCAGGTCCTAAGTTTTACTGTGTGATCCTGGGCAGGCTTTGTTTTTTGTTTTTTTAAAAATTTCAAAGCCTTGATTTCTTCATCTGCAAAATGCTGATGTAGTATTTCAAACACTAAGGTCTACCACCTTAGAAAAATCCGCTGTAAGTGGCAATTTGGGTCAAAACAAACATGTCACGTTAATGGAATCGTGTTTATCAAGCTGATTGGGAGAAGGCATTTTGGAGTCCCTAGGGCAGGACTGTGGTAGGGATGTAGGGATGCACATGGCCTATTGTGGGAGATACTGGGGTTTGGTATGCAGAGTGGGGTAGAATTTGTCCAAGACAACCCACAGTTGTTTGGTGGTGGGTACAGAGTTGACAGCAGAGCCCTGGTTGAAGGAAAGCCAGCTGTTAAGTAAGAAGCCCTTGTCTTTTCCAATGGCCACATAAGTACAGGAATGACAGGGTAAGTAAAGATGTTAGTACCTGGGAGAATGGTAAACAGGATATGGAATGTGGATAAATGGTTTGGAACTAACAGGGTGATGAAAGCAACTACCTCATACATAACATGAAAGAAGCATGTGAGGTGTCTACAGCTGTGAGCTTGGCCAATAGAACTTATAAACTATACACTTGTGTATTATTAGCATTATGATTTTTGAGCAATGGGTTGGAAAAATGTAGCCTCAGGGCCGACCTCCTGAGATTATGACTTGTGTAAAAGCACAAGACTTTGTGTTTAGAAGGAACTGGTGCTTGGTTTGAGGCTTCTTTGACATTTTTAATATTTTTTGAACAAGGAGCTTGCACGCTTATTTTGCATTGAGCCCTAGACATTTTGTAGGCAGTCCTGTGTAGCATGTCTATCACAGACATGTGGTTTTGACTCAGTCACCCCACCTCCCTGCCTGTGGGACATTTGACGATGTCTGAGTTGTTTTTGATTGTCACAGCTGGTGTATGCTCCTGGCATCTATTTCATAGAGCTCAGAGATGCTATAATTGGACTGAACATGGTGGGTCACACCTGTAATCCCAGCATTTTGGGAGGCCAAGGTGGGTAGATCACTTGAAGTCAGGAGTCCGAGACCAGCCTGGTCAACATGGTGAAACCCTGTCTCTACTAAAAATACAAAAATTAGCCAGGTGTAGAGGCACATGCCTGTAATCCTAGCTACTCTGGAACCTCAGGCAGGAGAATAGCTTGAACCCAGGAGGTGGAGGCTGTAGTGAGCCAAGATCATGACACTGCACTCTAGCCTGGGCAACAGAGTGAGACTTCATCTCAAAAAAAAAAAAAAAATGCTGTAAACATCCTATAATGCACAAGTGACAGCCCCGTAATAATTACTTGAATTTTTTTTTTTTTTTCTTTTTTTGAGATGGAGTCTCGCTCTTTCGCCCAGGCTGGAGTGCAGTGACGCGATCTCGGTTCACTGCAAGCTCCGCCCCCCGGGTTCACGCCATTCTCCTGTCTCAGCCTCCCGAGTAGCTGGGACTACAGGCGCCCTCCACTACACCCAACTAATTTTTTGTATTTTTAGTAGAGACGGGGTTTCACCGTGTTAGCCAGGATGGTCCTGATCTCGACCTCGTGATCCACCTGCCTCGGCCTCCCAAAGTGCTGGGATTACAGGCATGAGCCACTGCGCCCAGCCAAGAATTACTTGATTTTAACTATCAATAGTGCCAAGGTGGAGAAACCCTTATTTAGAATATTTTAATAAAAACAAATCCGTCTGTGGATCCTTGGACAACATTATTGTTAGCAAATCTGGGAAGGTGCAAGGTTGACTGGTAAACTCTGGAGGAATTAAGCTCCATCTAGTTCTGTGTTGCACATTTGGCATGGCATTCCTGCTAATGGGAGGATGTATTTTTATAACTGAGTCAAGGTATCATAAAGTTGAACCTAATGGATGCCAGAGGAGACTCATTTGACTTGGCAGCTATAAATAGCTCACCAGCAGCACCTGTGTAACTCTTATAAGCCTTATTTTTAAAATCTGGCAATGAAAAGATGGATTCTGGCTGAATGGTCACAAAAGCTTCTTTTCTAAGTGTCAAATCACACTCCTTGCTGTAGTTCACTTCTGGGTCAGTTTCCTATTAGCTCAGAAAAAAAAAAAAACCATCTCATTCCCTTACATGCATAGGTTAGAACAATGCACTGTTTAAGGCAGGGTTTTCCTAAAGAGTTTTGGAATAAATGCTTTACCATATAAACAGGGCCCTATCAGCTATTTACTCTGTTGTCGTGTTCATTTGTTTTTGTGGGTTATAAGGATTGAGCTAAACAGCCTTGTGCCCTAGAGATTATTTTACATGGACCAACATTGCGGGTTTCCTTCCTATGTAGGCAGGGCTGCTTCAGTCACAGGAAAACTATTTTATGGCCCCAGATCTATCACCTGTATCTAAGGGTCATGTCAGAAATGTGGGCAAGTATGACCAAGGATGTAAAAGGAAAACAGGTGATGGCAAATGGACAGACTCATTAACATAACTGGAAAAATAACTCAAAATGCATAACGTCATTACTGTGGGACAATCCCAGTCCATTTGTGCAAGAAAGCCAGCAGGGTTGTTTTAAATTTACATTTTAGACCATGGAGTTTTCTTTTATGTTTCTTCCCACGTGGCATCAACACTCCTTATCGCTTGTCTGGAAAGACTTGAGGATTAACTGCTAATAAATTACATTATCTCCAAAGTAAATTTAAGTGTAGTCATGGATTCTAAGTCTCGTTTCTCTGCTTTCAAATTGTTTACATATTGGTTGTCTGAACTTTGTAATCCCATTCGAATTTTAAAAAGTGATTTTCATGATTTATTACAATGACTGCATTTTAAATACATCCTAGAACTCAAGACCGCAGAGAAAGTTATACAACCTGGAGTTTCTCAGGCTCTTCAACATCTGAAATGTTTAACATGAGAGAGATTGTACACATCAGGATCTCTTATCCCTGATAAAATCTTAGAATGTCTACTCTTTACATATAGCACAAACTAAAAAAAAGACTAAATCAATCCCATTAAAGAGTGATTTTAATAAATAGGTTGGTGCAAAAGTGGTTGCGATTTTTGCCATTACTTTAAAAAACAAAACAAACAAACAAACAAACAAAAAAAAAATGACAAAAACCGCAATTACTTTTGCACCAACCTAATATTACTGAGGTTTAATTTTTTCTATGTGGACAAGGGAAAGTTTGTTTCTGGAGAATTTTTACATGTTTGCAATCTTTTAGTAGTATTTTTTACCCTAAAGGTATGTAAACAATAACTTTATAGTTGATTATGCTTTTCAGAGTTAAGTATAACTCAATCATTCTGATCTAGGGAGACTATTCTTAAGAATTGTTTTCGGCTGGGCGTGGTGGCTCAGGCCTGTAATCCCAGCACTTTGGGAGGCTGAAGTGGGCGGATCACGAGGTCAGGAGCTCAGGACCATCCTGGCCAACATGGTGAAACCCCGTCTCTACTAAAAATACAAAAATTAGCTGGGCGTAGTGGAGGGTGCCTGTAGTTCCAGCTACTCGGGAGGCTGAGGCAAGAGAATTGCTTGAACCCAGGAGGTAGAGGATGCAGTGAGCCGAGATTGCACCACTGCACTCCAGCCCCGGTGACAGTGCGAGACTCTGTCTCAAAAAAAAAAATTGTTTTCACAATGTATCAAAACATAATTTTAAAATAAAACTGGAGGAATAATTTGCATAATTTTTTCCATAGAAGAAAAGGAATAAGAAAAGGTATCTATTTTCTAAGATGTGCTATAGATTGAATTGTGATCCCCCCGGGTTCATATGTTGAAGTCCTAAACTCCAGTACCTCAGAATGTGACTGCATTTGGATATAAGGTCTTTACAGAAGGGATTGAGTAAAAATGATTGTTAAGTTGGGCCTGAAGCCTAGAGTGCATTTATAAGAAGAGAAGATTAGGACACAGACACACACAGAGGGAATGGCATGTGAGGAGACACAGGAGAAGAAGGCCATCTGCAAAATAAGAAGAGAGGCTTGGGACAGATCCTTCTCTCTTGGCTTTTGGAAGAAACCAACCCTGTTGCCACCTCAATCTTGGACTTCTAGCCACTAGAAATGTGAGAAAATAAGTATGTGTTGCTCCAGCTCCCATTCTGTGGAATTTTGTTATCGCAACCCTAGGAAACTAATACATCATACAACTATTTTTTGGCATGGAACATGGATTTTGTTTACCTTTGATTTTTTAGCATTGATAGCTGTATCTTGAAAATAACAGATGTTCAAAAAATGTTTCTGTTTTTGCATTGAGCTATCTGGATTGAGAGGAGGATTTATTTATCCTTTGTAGCACAGACCCCCTGAAGTCCATCAAAAGTTCATATGTCAACTTCTAGAGCAATGTAATTCAGAACTACATGTCCCACCCAGCCTCCTTGCATCTAAGTGGGCCACTTCATCATGTCTCCTTATCAGAGAATGACAGGGAATGATTGCCAAGTGGCTTTTTTTTGGCCAAGCATGGAAGGAGCACATGCACCTTCTTCATTCTCTTTTCCTTTCTGCCTCCTGGATGTGAATGCCCAAGGCAATCCGGTACTGAAGATTCTGAAGCCGCCTGAATCCCTAAGAGCATGAACAGAACAGAAGCACTTCCTCACCCCATGTAACCTTCTTGATGAGGCATCTCTAAGGGACTGTTACTTAAATGGGAAATAACCTCTCCTGCGTTTAACAACTGAGATGCTATGGCTCATTTGTAGAGCAGATAACATTACCCTAAGCTGTATAGATGTGGTTATATGCAGCATGTGCTACTAAAATAAAAACCTAAAATATATGGCAGTGGCTTGGCAGTCAGGCAGCAACCAAAGAGGAAACACGCTGCACAAAGAACCACTTTTCTTTTTTTTTTTTTTGAGATGGAGTCTCCCCTTGTTGCCCAGGCTGGAGTGCAGTGGGGAGGTCTTGGCTCATTGCAACCTCCGCCTCCAGGGTTCAAGCGATTCTCCTGACTCAGCCCCCGAGCAGTTGGGACTACAGGCGCCCGCCACAACACCTGGCTGATTTTTGTATTTTTAGTAGACATGAGGCTCTACCATGTTGGCCAGGCTGGTCTTAAACTCCTGACCTTAGGTGATCCACCCGCCTTGGCCTTCCAAAGTGCTGGGATTACAGGCGTAAGCCACCACATCTGGCCAGAACCACATTTTTTATGGCAAAACATTTGGTAAAATTTTGCTTGTAATACGTTGAAAGACTGACTACCTGTTTACTAAGCCTGTAGGGGGAAAAGTTTGGAAAAAGTCAGATATTAATAGCTTATGTTGGTTGTCATTTGCTGAGGTGAGCAAGTTATTACAAGGAAAGAGATGAGCTCAGGCAATAATTGGTGTGATTGAGAGCTTACAGAGATGAGAATAAAACAGTGCAGGAATTGAGGCCTCTTGGGGTTGGAAAAGCTTCCATTGCCAAAATGAGAAGACCTAAGGCCTAAAAAGCTTTCAGTCTCAAAGGCCCATTAAGACTCAGCACTGTGTCAAAGGCCGCATAAAATGTGGATTTTCTCATCCATCTGATTGTTATAGTAGCAGTGTAGTCAACATGATCTTGAAATGGAGAGCTATCGCAGTGAAACCAAGGAGTAGACCTGGTGTGAGGACAGTATCTACAAAGAACTTGGGGTATTATTCTTGATACATGGATGCAAAGAATTCACGGTAGGGTAGCCAGATTTAGCAAATACAAATATAGGACACTTGGTTAAATGTGGATTTCAGGTAAACAACAAATAATGTTTTAGTATAGGTATGTCCCTTTTAATCTATTCTATAGTAAATATAGTATACAATATGTGGGGCAAACTAACGCTAAAACATTATTTGTGGTTTATCTGAAATTCAAATTAAACTGTGGGCACTCTGTTTTATCTGGCATCCACAATTCATGGGCCATGAAGATTTTGAAGGGAGCTATATTACAAAGAAGCCATAAGCCCAGTACTCTGAGTATTAAAATCTTTAAATAACACTTGGGTCCACTCCCGAAATTTCAGAAGAAACAAGTGAGCATGGAAATCTGAGGAGCCTGCTATGAGGGCATGACTTCCTAATGTCTACTTCAGATGTGGCATGGAGAATAACATTTAAGGAAGAAATTTCCAGAAGGCAGAGTTACGGGCTATGGAGAACAATGAACAAGGATATTTCTCCTAGAAGTAGAATTAGGATCTACTCAAATACTCCCAGTGCTAGGACATTTGCACCTTCTTGTGTTTTTCCATGATTTCTGTGTATGTTGCTACTGAATCTCCTATTTTCCTTGTCATGGATGATGATTTTTCTCGCACCGATCCTTGCTCTGTTGTTTTATATTGACTGTGAGCAAATGCATAAAAGTTGATGATAACATAATTTATTATTTTCTGGTTTATGAAGAACCCTATCTGGATTGGAGGACAGAGATCCTAGACTTTGAGCTGGATGCTGTAATGGGATAACACTTAATGTAGTTCCCTAGAGAGAAGTATAAGAGTTCTGTATGTGGGAGGGAGTCCACACATAGACACTGAGAGGCTACAAGGGCTGAATATTCCAGCAATCTGCCTCTCAAGTCAGTTTTTTTCCCTTTGCATAGGAAAGGGTCAGCAAATTTTTCGGTCAAGTTCCAAAAAGTAAATATTTGACACTTTGCAGGCCAAGAGGTAAAATAGGGGACATTATGTAGGTACTTTAATAACAACCATTTAAAACTGTAAAACACATTCTTGGCTGGCAGGCCATATAAAAATAGGCAGGAGGCTGGATCTGACCCAAGCCTGTAGTTTTTGATTCTTGGTACTGAGCTGTTGGTAGGAAGCAGCTTCCTAGCTAGGGACTTTTTTTTTGCCCAGGCTTCTTTGCATTTTTTTGGGATCATGTGACTAGTTCTTACCAATGAAACGTGAGCAGAGTAAGTCACCTTTAACATGAAAGTGTGCCATTTTCACATTTTCTTTCCTGTCTTATCACCTGACTTTAATGCATAGTCAGCCTAGAAAGTCAACAATTAAAAATGCAAAATAGAGACCGAGTGCGGTGGCTCACACCTGTAATCCCAGCAATTTGGGAGGCCAGGGCGGGCGGATCATGAGGTCACGAGATCGAGACCATCCTGGCTAACACGGTGAAACCCCGTCTCTACTAAAAATACAAATAAAATTAGCCGGGTGTGGTGGCGGGCGCCTGTAATCCCAGCTACTCGGGAGGCTGAGGCAGGAGAATGGCGTGAACCTGGGAGGCGGAGCTTGCGGTGAGCCGAGATCGCGCCACTGCACTCCAGCCTGGGGGACAGGGCGAGACTCGGTCTCAAAAAAAAAAAAAATGCAAAATAGAAATCAGCTGGCTCCCTAAGGAGAGGCTAAAGCAGATGTCTACAACTCCAAGGACACATGCATTGGTCTATTATGTGAAAAAGTAATCCATTTCTATTACATTAAGCCAATGGATTCTTGAGTTTGATTTATTACTGCAGCTAGTGTTATAAAGCACTGCTCATTTCATTGATATGTTTTAAGATTGCTAAAGCATATTTAAATGCAGCGCCCCTCCAGAAGCCTAGCATTCTTGTCTATTAAACACTTGTCTTTCTTTTGTTAATTTTGACAGATCAAATGTTCATTCTTTTTCACTAATATATTGGATCCACTTTTATTACAGTAAGTCCCTATTACATTTTAGTTGGCTTTTACTCATTTAGTTTTCCAAATCTACACACAAATTATAAAGTTATATCTTTAGAAATATTATTAAGTTAATGCAAAAAATGCCTACTATTAAAGGAGATGTTCATGCACTGTGCAAACTTTTGAAGCTTTATCAAGTTATCTGTTTATATTTGTTATATATGTTCATTTTGTCACCCAACCAGTGAGAAATTGGCTGCTTTATGATATCATCATATGATCTGAATAGATAGTATGAAGATATGTGAACAGCAAGATTATTTTCTTTTAACTTTTTAATTCACATACTTGTGTAGTCATTAATTGTGGGAAGGGGAGGACTCTTACTGAAACATATATTATTTCCTACCTCTCTTTTCCTCTACTAATGAGAGATAAAATCTGAGGTCCTTTAATCAAATATTTTCATAAAAAATTATTTAAATCAAAATATTTTAATATTAAAATTTTTATTCAAGTATTTATTAAAATGACTAGAAATTATTGAATCTTAGAAGAGGTACAGATTAGACGCAGAAGAAAAAAGAATGAGGAAGCAAAGAAAACTGAGATGCTCTCAGAGCAACTCAGTATATTTGATGTCACCAAACAAAACAGATCAGATAAGTAAAGATGTCTTAAGGCTCATTCGGTGCACATGGGGAGGAAAGATTCACAAAACGGTCTGTCTTTCTCAGCATGTCCCCTAAACTAGAAGTAGTTTCCTGGTACCCTCTGGCCGCTAAAATTAACTTTCCCTTTGCAAAATCAGTTTGCCACGTATGAAATTTTAAAAGGCAATGTAAAGTTGTTGTGGACTTTAAAAAATGTATAACATATTTGAATGATGACACCGTATAGAATAAATTCAAGTGGATGTGATGTTTCTGGTTTGATGTTAGAAATATTTTATCGTCTGTGAAAGTTATAAAGGATTAGCTCTAGAAATAAGTATCATTAATATGGGTCAATAAGTCTTCCACAATTATAAAAATATTTGTTGATATAATAGATGTGACCCAGACTTCTATGAATTACATATATCAGATAAATAATAAATAATATGCTCCTCAAATGGTAAACAAATGCAAACAAAATTCCAGCTGATTGCTACCTCACCAGCTCCTCTATTTGCCTGTGGCTTTAGTTTCTCAGGTTTATTGGAGCCCAGCTTGCTGGGGGACACCCCAGCTCAGGTGTCTTCTTTCTATTGTCTGCTAATTCCAATAGCATTTGTCCATGAGCCTTCAGACTTCTCAAATTTTGTCATTGTCTTATCCTCTTCTATTCTTTCCATTTTTGTGGATGTATGACTTTTTTTGGGGAAAAATGTTTTGTTTTCATATTTGTCAAATCTTAGGAGAATGTGAAACTTGATATTGATCAAATCTATCATGCCTGTTTGTAAGTTCAGTGTTTTCTTTGATAGTAGGGTAAACACAGCTTGATATTGGTGAAAACTGGGTTTTAAATATGTGTGATAGTTTCCTCAGAGGGAAACATCTACATTTTATCAAAACAATAACAGTCCTCTTAGGAACAAACACTCTCTGACCACCAACCATCAGTGCCTAAATTACTCATGTCTTTAAAATAGCACAAGAAATGGTCAATAGAATCTACCTTGGTTTGTTATAAATAGCTGGAATCTTATATTAGGAATTAAATCTCATTCTCCTGGAGTCTTAATCTTGTACTAATTTACTCTAGGCTAGGAACGCACTTTTGTTTTTCTCCTAAGAGGAAAAATATAAAAATATAATTAGTTTGTTCTTGGATATGTTGGATTTAATGGACTCAGAGAACTTATTCTCCACAGAGCCAGATAAACATATTTGGCTTTGTAGGCCTTATGATCTCTGCCACAATCACTCACCTTTGTCACTCAAAAAGAGTCATAAACAATAGGCAAACAAACAGGACAGCTGGGTGAATTGCTTTAGCCTAATGGGTAAGACTCCAGGAAGACCATGGATGTATTTTAAATGAGGTTTTTCAGTAGTTCACATAACAATGACAAAAAACGCAACAAATTGTTGTTATCCTGATCATCACTGCAATCTACCAAGCAAACACCAGTTGACTGAAAAATAATTTTTAGCTAATTAGAAATTTCTTTATACCCAAGAGTTTCCCCCAGAGCTACTAAAACACAGGCAGTTATGTGAATCATGTGTTATAAGAGGGGGCTTAAAGGCATGGTTAGACATGGTTAGCGAAAGTCAAAATGAGAGATAATAGTTTATATTGACGTTTCCTTTGTTTTTGTTTTTATTTCATCTTTTCAAGTTTGTGTAGCTCTATGGGATAGTATATGATGATCATCTTCAATCTTTAGCATGTGTAAGAAATATCTACAGGACTTGTTGGGTGCCACTACAAGAAACTCTGAATTGATAGGTCTGGTTTGGTGCCCGAAAATTTGTATTTTGAAGTTTTCAGGTGCACTCTTTCAGTAAAATCACCCAAGGAAATCTTTGCCCTGTATGTACTTGACCAGATTATATGCTCCATGTTAGATTTTAGAATAGTGATGTTTTGTATTATATTTGTAGACTTATGACCTATGTTTTTCTTCTGCTGCTAACCTAACTGGGAAGACCAACTATCATTTTAAGATAGAGTCAGAGGGCCGCGCGTAGTGGCTCACGCCTGTAATCCCAGAACTTTGGGAGGCCGAGGCAAGTGGATCACCTGAGGTCGAGAGTTCGAGAATAGCCTGACCATGTGGTGAAACCTTGTCTCTACTAAAAATACAAAAATTAGCCGGGCATGGTGGCATGCATCTGTAGTCCCAGCTACTCAGGAAGCTGAGACAGGGGAATTGCTTGAACCTGGGAGGTGGAGGTTGCAGTGAACCAAGATCACACCACGGCACTCCAGCCTGGCCACAGAGCAACAAAGCAAGATCTGTCTCAAAAAAAAAAAAAAAAGAATCAGAGAAAAAATAAAAAAGTGCATGCTTTGTAATACCTGTAGATTTATGGCAACTGGTAGAATGGAGGATAGAAAATTGCATAATATTGGATTGTGCAATTGCATAATTAATCTCAGGAAACAGCAGTAATTCTTGTTTTATTACAAACATCATGTGGTTTTAAAAATTATCTTCAATGTGATTTTATATATTACATTTTTAGAAAAATATTTTTGGTCTTTTTGTGAGCATAATAGTATGCATGTTAGGGAAATAAGCTGAAAAGAGTGAAAGTAAGTATTCCACTTGTTCTTTTTTATTTTTTTCCTTAATGATTCTCTTGAATAAGTTAGGCATTCAAATCGGTTTCTTGGAAGTTCAGAGTTCTTTCTTGAAAAGTTTATCTTTCCTCTTTGCCTTTTCTCTTGCTAACTTTGACTAAGATTTAAAATTGAGCAAAAAACCACTGGATTCTTTGTAGCCTGTTTCTGCGTACAGGGTTCGTCACTCTCTTATCTCTTTAGCTTTGCTTTGACATTCCCCTTGTGAGCAAAATCATTAAAAAGCAAGAGAACCTTTTGGACTTTCCTTTCGGATGGTTTCTGATAACTCTGACCATTTTAATATATATTTTGGCTAACCTGTAGTAAGTACATGGTATTTACTATTACTACTGTTACTACTGATATCATTGGTCTATATTTATGGAATTCACCTCTTTTTCCCTTTTGGAATACTGGAATATATTTGCTTTCCTCCAATTTTCCAGAACCTTTTCAATCTCCACATTTTCACAAATACCTGAATCAAATCATGTACTATTTATTCTAAGCATGCAACTTAACACTTGTTTAAGGCAACCTAGGTGTTTGCGTATCCATTGCTCATGAATCTTGAGTTTAAATGATGTTCGTTTCTATTCCTATCTGCAGATCATTCTTACCAGATGGTTCACAAGAAAAATTACTTTATATCCATCAGTGTTGCATAACTACACACAATGATAAAAAATATTCTTTGTGTGACTCTGCTCAATGAGAAATATTTACCATATTTTGATGATCTTAGTATATGTAGAGTAGTTTGTATTAGCCTTTGCTACCCATATTCTACATATTTCCCTTTAAATAATTCCTAGAATTTATTTTCTTGTTGTATTTCAAATTTTAGTAAGTTTGGTAAGTTCTTTAAACGTATTAACTAATTTAATTCTCACAAAACCCTAAAATGTAGATAAGAAACTGTGGATAAGATTATGCTCCCTACATTTTAGATGAAAAAATTGAGGCACCAAGAGGTGGAGTAACTTGGCAGTATCACCCAGTGGCTAAATTTCAGAAGGAGGTGGGATTCAAACTCAGGCAGCTGGATTGCAAAACTGAAACTCCTAACTGCCCTTTTACCTTGTTTCTATAACTTCATTGTAGAGACACCATTTAAAAAAACTATTATCCCTTAATTGGGGATTGACAGTGTCTGTAATTACAGTTAGGATTATATTATTTTAAATGTATTCTTTGGACCGTCTTATCTTTCAGAATTTCATGCTTTGAAATTGTTTTTTTCCTGAATATTTTACAACCAGCCTTCCCAAAGATGGCAACCTGTTTTGGGTCATTTCTTCCTTCTAGTTTCTTGTTATTACAAACAATAAGGTGATATAGCCTTTTTCTCTCTAAGTCCCCACAATCATATTCTGTCCAGGAATCAATCAATTACTCCCTATTGATGAAAATTATATACACTGATATAATCATTCTAATGTCTCCTCTTTCCCTCTCTAAAATAGAATTGGAAAAGTCAAGAAGTATTTAATCCTTCTGTATTTAGTTGAAAGAGAGTTTGTGCAAATAAACTGAAGTTGAGATTCCTTCCTTACAATTCTGGTCCATTTTTGTAACAGTTTGTAAGTGTAAAGAATGCATCACTTATTTCTTTTAGCCGGCTGGAAATCCAAAGTGAAGTCTGTTATCATTTCTCTTTCTCCTTTTTGTCTGTACATATTATACTCTTATTTCTTCTTAACCCCTATGCTCCATGCAATTCTATACAGGAGTGGTTGGTAAAACCAATGCCCCTTGGGTAAATAGTCTTTAGAAAAAATTCCCTTTAGACACAAGATATAGTCTACAGCTTGTGGCTTTCAGTAAAATGTAATCTCCCAGGTATTCATCCTGCACAATCATACAAAAACTATGCTAATATTTTAAAACATTATTTCATTTAGTTCTTACAATCACATGAATTAGAGATAATACTGATTTACAGTTGGGGAAACTGATGTAACTATTTTACAGTGGCAGGTAGAGGGCTCTGTCAAGTTGTCTGGCTCTGAATCTCTCTCTCTCTCTTTTTTTTGTAAATAAAGTTTTTGTTCCCCCAGCTTAAAGTAAAATAAAAATGGTATATATTTATGGTATGCAGCATGATTGATATACATATATTATAAAATGATTACCACAATCAAATATATTCGTCACCTCTCCCAGTTATCATTTTTCAATGAGAAATTTCAGATCTACTCTCTTAGCAAATTTCAAGTATACAATACGGTACTATTAACAGTCACCATGCTGTACATTAGATTTCTATAACTTATTTATCCTGTCTAACAAACTTTGTACTCTTTGGCCAACATCTCACCATCTCCCCCTCACCCAGGCCCTGACAACCACTTTTTAAGATTTCACGTATATATGAGATTATGGAATATTTGTCTTTCTGTGTCTGATTTATTTACTTAGCATAATGTCCTCCAGCTTCATCCATGTTGCACATGACAGAACTTCCTTATTTCTTGAAGGCTGAATAATATTCTATTGCAGAGAGGTAGATAATCACATTTTGTTTCTGCAACCATTAATGAATACTTAGGTCGATTCCATATCATGACTATTGTGACTAATGCTGCAATGAGCATGAAATGTACGTATCTCTTTGAGATACTGGTTTCATTTCCTTTGGATACGTACTCAGAAGTAAGGCTGCTGGATATTGTGGCAGTTTCATTTTTAATTTTGGGGGGAACCTCCATACTGTTTTCCATAATGGTTGCAACAATTTACATTTCCACCAAAAGCATATCAGAGTTTCGTTTTTTGCACATCCTGGCCAACACTTACCTATTTTCTTTTTGGTAATAGCCATCAGTTGTGCATTTGCCTGGTGATGAGTGATGTTGAACATTTTATCATAAACCTGTTGTCCTGGTGCTTGAGCTGTCTCATATAAATAATAGGCTTTATTTAAAATTTGAGTCGTATAAAGTGGATGATAACTTTTAAATGTGTCTGCTCTATTTATTGCTAATAATTTGATATTTGGTCAAGGTAACTTTGACTTGAATTACTAAAAATTTGCCTGATGACTTTATTGATTTTGTGTTGTTTTATTTTCCAGCTAGTTTCAAAAACTGATGGCATGCAAAACAGTGATAAATTTGGCTATTTAAGTACTGTGCCAAAGTTGATGTGTTGGCTTATTTGTTGTTGGAGTAAATCAAAGACTAGAAAATATATTAAAATTGCTCTACCTACTTGCCGTGCAAATTATCATAATGATACAAATGACTTGGGAAATATTATATAAAACATTGTCTGAAAGTTAGTAGGCTATTCGCTCTCAAATTTATTTTCTACTCTTCCTCCGCTCTGTATTCATGAGACCCTAATTTACCATAATCCCTTGCCTTTTAACTTTCAGGGAAATGTTAGGGGGCCTGCCTTTTATCATTATGGAAGACTGAATATAAAATTCTGCATTGTCAGTCTTTTACTTTCTGGATGTTAAAGATGTTATTCATAGTTTTCAGTACTGTCTGCTGAAAAGTATGCAAATATATTCATGTTTGTTCATCTGAAGGTAATGTGTCATTGTTCCTCTGGCCACTTTTTACATTTATTCTTTATCATTGTTTTTAGTAATTTGATAACAAGCCTTGGTGGTCTCTTCCTTTCTTCTTTTCTTTCCTCCTTATTTATTTTTTCTGTGTGCAGGATAAACATGCATGCACACAGAAAAATGACTTCAGATTTGCATAGTTGTATCTTATTTATTTTTTCTGTGTGCATGTATGTTTACTCTGCTTGGTGTTTGTTGAGGTTCTCGGAAGTGTGGGTTGATAGTTTTCATCAAATTAGAAAAGTTTTGGCCAATATTTCTTTAGATATTTTTTCTGGTTCCTGATCCTTTCAGGGATTTTTGTTACACAGATGTTAGACCTTATTAATGTTCCAGAAGTCACTGAGACTCAATGACATATTATTAGGCTTTTCTCTGTATTTCAATTTGAATATATTCTACTACTATTTCCATTTCTTAAAATTTCTGCTCTTCTTTTCTCCTCTCCTCTCTTCTTCTTCTTATGTTTGTTCTCCTTTACTGGAGTTCTTAAATGTATGTTATAAACGCTGTTTTGACATGCTTGACTGCTAATTACGTTGTCTCTGACTTTGTTTTTAAATGTAGCTTTTTGTATTATTCAGATATTTCAAGACCAACAGATGAGGAGACAATTGCAATTGAAAAGATAGATTATTATACTCAGAGTTCCCAAAAGGGGGTGGAACCAGGGTTTGTCTGGAGGCAGAAGGAGCAAGGGGAAAATGTGGGCAATAACTTTTATTGTGGTTTTCATGGGAAGGAGTGGAAGAGGCTGTATAAACGGGTTTAGAATTGGCTAGCTTGAATAATTTCAGGGTGCTGCAAAACATGAGTTATCCCTAGTTACCTGGCACCTGACCTGGGGTCGTTAAGGCAGAGGAACAGTGGTCCTAAGTGACAGAGACTGTGAATACCCGGTTTAAAAGGCAGTTGGAGTGTTGGCTGTGGATTGGTTATTTTGCATATAAAAGGCATGCTTACAGAGAGTACTGTACTGTTTCTAGAACTGGCCAACTCTGGGAGGAGCAGTCCCTCACAGTCAGCAAGGCCTCAAGATGTCAAAGCATCAAATACGGAAACTAGAAAATGTAGTTATTACCAGATCTTTTTTTTTTCTTTTTTGAGACAGTGTCACTCTGTTGCCCACACTGGAGTGCAGTGGCACAATCTTGGCTCACTGCAACCTCTACCTCCTGAGTTCAAGCTCTTCTCCTGCCTCAACCTCCAGAGTAATTGTGATTACAGGTGCCTTCCACCACACCAGGCTAATTTTTGTATTTTTAGTAGAGACGAGGTTTCACCATGTTGATCAGGTGGTTCTACAATTTCTGACCTCAAATAATGCACCCTCCTCGGCCTCCCAAAGTGCTGGGATTACAGGCATGAGCCACTGCACCCAGCTATAAGATCTTTATGTCTGTTTATACTGATTGATTTTTCTCTTTGTTGTGAATAACATACCCTTGCTTCTAAGAATGTTTAGTATTTTTTGATTGGATGTTGGGCATTGTGAAGTTAAATTGTTGAGTGTCTGGATTCTGCTGTATTTCTTTACAGAGTGTAAAATTGGTGTTGGTATGCAGTTAAGTTACTTTCAGATTAGTTTGATCACCTTGATGTGTGTTTTTAAGTTTTGCTAAAGTGGATCTAGAAGAGATTCACTCCAAGGATATTTCAGCCCTCCTACTAAGGTACAAATTTAGTTTTCCTTATGGAATTATTTTTGTCTTATTATTAATGAATATCATGAATGCTTATAAGGTACCAAGAAGTGGACTAAAATATGCAACAGAACATGAAAAAGGTACAGCCTATATCATTTTCTCATAGAACTGTTAAGTGGAGATAGGCATATAAATAAACTAAATATGTGACCAACAGTGGCATATGAAAAGTGAGATACTGTACAAAGTTTTGACCAACAGTAAAATATGTACATGCAAAAATATTTAAATTACACTGTATTCAGTAAGGTAGGCCCTGAAAAAGTCTGTTAGGGCTTCATAAAATTGTATGTGCTTTAGCATTTGAGCATCTATTGTGTACTGCCAGCCTAGCATTGTGCTAAGTCATAGAGATACAATGGTAAAGAAAACACATCCCTGGCTACAAGGAGCTTATCATCTTATGAGGTACAAAGACAAGTAATAGTGCTTCTAGAAGAATAAGTCATTTGTGTCGTGAAACTGTATATGTGTAAGCCAGTCATTAGGCACCATGGAGACCTTCTAAGATGAAGCTGTATAAACTAAAAACAAATGATTATTATAATTTTGTCTGGCAAAGGAATAAGAAGATTGGGAAAGTGCTTAGAAGTGATTCATAGTAGAGGAAAAATCACACCTAAAAACTTAGAGCCCCGAGAATAGTGAACATTTATGGAATGAAAGTTATAGTAGTTTGTTTCTGGTAGGACCTGCTAGTCAGGAGTAATGAAATATGGCACAGAGCAAGACAAAATAGGCAGGAAGTGGTCAGCCAATGGAGAGTTTGCCATGAAATATGAAAGAGTCTGTATCTTATCTTGAGAAGAGTGGGATCCTTCCAATGGTTTTCAGCACCGGAGATTATGGACATGAAGCTCAGGAGAGAGGCCTGAAATGGTGGCTCATGCCGAGGCTTGAAGGATTAATGTATTAGTTCATTAGGGCTGCAATAATAAAGTAGCACAAATTGGGTGGTTTAAATAATAGAAAAACAACAAAAATAGTTCTAGAGGCTAGAAGTCTGAGATCAAGGCGTCATCAGAACTGGTTTCTTCTGAGGGAGACTCTGTTCCATTCCTCTCTCCTTGGCTTGTAGATGGCCATCATCTTTCTATGTCTTCACATCATTGTCCCTCTCTACTTGTCTATGTCCGTGTTTCCTTTTCTTGTGAGAATACTGGTCATGCTGGATTAAGGCCCACTTTAATGACCTCATTTTAACTTGATTACCTCCACAAAGACTATTCCAGAATAAGGTTATGTTCTGAGGTATTAGGGGTTACGACTTCAACATATGAATTTTGAGTGGACACAATTCAACCCATAGCACCCCCGTGTAAGAGCTGGGAAGGGAAAGTGGCTAAGTTGTGCAAATGTGCACATTGGTTGGAGATGATTAACTTCTGGCATGTAGATTCAACACCCAAGAAGTGAAATACAATGGATAAAAATGGCTAGAAGATAAAGTTGACAGTGGCAATAACAATATGGATTAGACTTGGCAAAGTTATGAAGCAGGAAAAGTGGGTATTGAGGCATCCTCTACTTTGATGTTAGGAAATTATTTTTTAATTTTCCACTGATTTTAATTTATAAATTCTCTGATTAAAAATTTGTTATAGTCTTACCTTTCTAGGGCTTGGTTACTAGGCTATAGTACAAGTTACTATACACTATATGTAAAGAGTATTAGATTGTATTTTTGTCTTGTTACCAGATAAAGTAATGGTCATTTAAAGCTATTTCTTCCAGCCATGAAGTCAGGGTATGATTAAACAAAATTCCATAAATAACTTGATCACTATGAAATGAAATCTGTCTTCTTATGTTTGGCATTCAATTGACTACATCAGATGTTGTTTCGAAAGTCTTTTCTCAACAACAGTAAAATACACAGCCTGATATTCCCATTGAGAATAGACCAAATTCTTTTGACCTAAAACTAGAACTAGTGAGAAAGTTGTATAAAAAATTACACCCATGTTAAAATGGATACATTGCTCTTACCTCTAAATAGACAAATACTGGAAGCATTACAAATGAAGTAATGTTTTAATATTTCACAGCTCAAAAATTAAGTGCTAATGTATTTTTCCCCTGAATTTGTTGAAAACTATTTTTATTGCTTGTGGTACTCCTGAGAAAACGAAGGTTCTGGATTTTGATTCAAGATTCTAATGTGTATATTTTCTATGTCTTTGGCTTCATTGTGTTTTTTCATAGCTGACCCAGCTTTCTGCAGAAAACAGGGCAGTCAATATATTTGGAGCCTTGACTCTCTAAACTTTAACCACACAAGAAGAGACAGACTCTCTCTATTTGTTACAGTTCCTAAATACTCTAGCTTAGGACTGATATTCACCCTTGACCAATCAACTGTATCTAGGCCCGGAATCTTGGGGAAGGGCCCTGCCATCTTGGGTCAGGTGATGACTAGACTAATCCGTTATGGTCAGGGTAACAGAGAATTAATCAAGTACATTGAAGCTCACAGGAAGCACATATGTAGGTGCAAAGAGTTAGGTGGAACACGAGGACAGAAGTAAACTCCAGAGAAAAGGAAGTGCTGGCCAGGCGGGGCGGCTCACACCTGTAATCCCAGCACTTTCGGAGGCCGAGGTGGGCGGATCACCTGAGGTCCGGAGTTCAAGACCAGCCTGACAAACACGGAGAAACCCCGTCTCTACTAAAAATACAAAATTAGCCGAGCGTGTTGGTGCATGCCTGTAATCCCAGATACTTGGGAGGCTGAGGCAGGAGAATCAACCTGAACCTGGGAAGCGGAGGTTACAGTGAGCTGAGATCGCGCCATTACACTCCAGCCTGGGCAACAAAAGCTAAAATCTGTCTCAAAAAAAAAAAAAAAAAGAAAAAAGAAAAAAAAAAGAAAGTGCTGAGTAGATATCCTTCCAAGTAGGTGTTTCACAATGTTGTTTCTTTACATAATGCTGAAATTAAGTATTTATTCTTAATTCATGTATTCTGTAAACCTTTTTGAGTATCTCTGTGCCCAGCACTGGTCTAGGGTTTGGAAATGAGACAGCAAACAAAGCAAAGTCCATAATATCATGATGCTTACTTTCTGGTGTGGACATGGAGATGGGAGGCAAACACAGAAATGCATGAATAAAATACCTTGTCCAAGACGGTAAGAGTAACAGAGAAAAGTGAAAAGGGGAAAGGAGAGAAGAGAACTGAAGTGCAGTGTGGCTGCATTTTATATGAGTAATCAGCAAGCTTAAGTGATAAGGTAGCATTGAATAAAGGCCAGAGGAAAGGAAGGAGTGACCCATGAGGATCTCTGAAGAACATTCTGGTAGAGGGAATGGTTTATGGAAACAAACAAACAAAACTACAATAAACAAAAACTTGTTTTTCTCTAATCATGGTATATATATATATATATATATATATATGTAGATTAGCATGCTTTAGAAATTTACTTTTCTTTAAATAATATATAACTGGATATAAAACAAAGTGAAGATTTTACTAACATTAGGTTTGGTTAATCATACCTATAGTAACCCTCAAAGTAAAACACACACTCTATTGCCCTCCTTATCCCAGCATGATACTTACAAGAACAGAAAATAGTCCAATGCATGTTAACATTTGAAACTAAAACCTAAAAAAGAATGATAAATGATATAATACTCTTCCCACAATAGGAATTATATTTCTAATTTCTGAGATATCAAAAGAAGTAACATTTTAAAAAAAAGTTGTATATCCATCCCCTAACCTTCTCTTGATTTATGTTAGAGTTTACCTTAGAAACAAACCTAACTTTACCTTAGAAACAAATATAATTCACTGGCGATGTAGCCACTCTTGCCATGGCAACTACCATGTATGGCCAATTACTAAGATATGGCCCAGTGACTTTCAGGGACGTCTCTATACTGTACTCTGTTTACACCCATTACAGCATTGAGCAATATCACCACAGTCTTAATTTTTAAGAATGGAAAATGAAAAGAACATTTACTGAAGAAATTGGAGGCCAGGTATGGATACTTTAGTCATTACATTTGTTTAGTGACTGTTGGCTGAATAACATACCAGGCAATGTAAACAGAGTATTTGCATTTCCCCCAAGTTTTCTCCAAGACTACCATAGACATGGAGCCTCAGAGTCATGCTAAATAAATATGGTTTAAAAAAGACTGACAATCAAGAATATCAAACATTAAAGAGAGCCTGATTAAGATATCTTGGGAAATAAAAATGTTGGCAGCTGCTGGCAGTGATGTCTTTGTTACTATTTTCTAATTTCTTGCAAAGAAAGAGATGTCAATGTATCTGACAGATTCCTCTAGTTACTACTCAGACTGGTGAAGACAAACTGCCAAAAACTGTGGGTTCTTTCACTCCAATTAATTCTCCCTTCTCCTATCTCCCTTGTTGGAATTCTATCAAGGCACCATTTTGACCATTTTAAATTGAAGAGTCTGTCATCCACTTCTGTTACTTCTGAAGAATTTTGATTTCAAGTTCAAAACACAATTAAAATATTTACTAAGGTTAAACTAGTGTTTGAGTATCATGTGATATATATTTATTTGTTCTTGGAGTAAACATAACATTTATTTTTCCACAAACAACACTATTTTATAGATTTATTATTTCAGAACATATGATCTGAAAAAAGATTTTAAATAACTTTTGATATAAAATGATATCTTCAAACTATTTTAATTATCAATTACTAAAATGGCTTAGGAGTTCATGATTAGAATGTATAAAGAAAATAAGGCAACTTCGAGCTTATACTACATTCTACTAAATGATAACAAACTTTTGGAATTACTATTTGTTCTATATCAGATAGAGTTTTACATGTTATAAAACAAAAAAAAGTTGATCAATTTTAAAACAATCTTTCTATTTATGGTTAAGTTATATCATGACAAATTCCTTCTAATGCAGAGCTTTCTGATTTTCTTAGAAAATATGTTCCAAGGTTTTAATGCCAAAACAGCGAGTAAATAATACTCCTTAAGCAGTCAACTGGCACACAACTACCAATCCATCAAGAGTTACAGCAAAAGGAAGTAGAATAAGCCTTGGTATTTATAAAAGAAAGAGCAATCAACTCGGAGAGTAACTAGATCTGGCTCTTTCACTAATTGAAGCTGCAGAACAAGGACCAAGTCATTTGACACTAAAATTACCGCCCTCACAAATGCAACTCCAAGGTCACATCTCTATTTTTTTTTTCTTTAAGTTGAGGTCGGACAGGGTGGCAGAGACATTAGTACTTGTTCATTTTTAGTTTTCATTTATTGTGCATTTGAAGGTTATACTTCTCTGTCTCCTTTTAGTTAGGTGGAGCTGAAGTGATGTGTGTCACATCCAGGAAGAGCCATTTAATTGCTTATGTGAGACTCTAGCAATCTCTTGGAAATTGTAGAGGAAGATCATGTTACAAGGGAGTTGCCACAAGATTGAAACATTCTTGATTTCTAGGTCACCAAATGGAAACAAGTTGTCCTGGATAGTCACTGCGATTCACAGTAAACTTTCTATGAACAGGAAACAAACTGTAAAGGGATTAAGTCACTCAGATTGTGTTCTGTTTTGCTACTACAGCATGATTTAGGTTATCCTGATGAATTCAGATATTGGAACTAGAGTTAGTATGACACTATAAAAAAAATTTGAAACGTAAGGCACTGACTTAGTTGTTGGGCAATGTTCAGCTTCTAGGAATATGGCATGAGAGGCTATAAGTAAGACAAAGGACTGCATTAGTTACGGCACAGCAAGCACCATTGTTTTGGCTCTTTTTGTACCCCGAATTCAATGGAGGTAATGTGGAAAGGCCCAGGTGGATGGTGCATACGTGGTTGGTTTGTATCATACCCGAAGAACCCTAAGTTTAAGAAATCTGAACCTTCTCTGGGCTGCAAGTAATCTGTTTGAGCTTTGCCCCAGAGAGAGAGAGAGATTGTCTTTATTTTATTGGAAAGCAAACCAATCTACCTTCTGATCCGTAGGGAGATAATATATCCTCCAAAGCTGTTTGCATGCTAACATCCTTAAAAAATTTATCTGGAACAAAGCTAGCTGGTGCCTGTGCTCAGAAGACATGCAGAAATGTAAGAAACCCATGAGAATTGCCTCCCAACCCACTATTTCTGTTTCCTTGCTTAGTCTTTCCCAATGCATCTCAAATTCTACTTCTTCATGAATTTTTTTTCTGGACTCCACCAGTCAAGTACATTTTTCTCCTTTTAACCTTGCTGTATTTTGTGTTTCTCTTTTAAGACACATATTAGTTTGCACTTTTTCACTGTTTATGTAGTTCTTTATCACCGAATTCTGAGTATTGGAAGTTTCTGGATAGCAGATACTGTGTTTCATTCATCCTTACATCTCTTGTAGGAGATGATACATCTTTTACCTAACTCTCATCCTATGTTTTAGAAACTGTTTTACTAACATAATATAGCATGGAATTCTTATGAATCAGATAAGCAACAGTCCTAAGGGAGATACGGTCAAGGCATCAGAATACAACAAAAATACCTAAAATACCTTTTAAAGTATAATTTGCTATAGTCAAATGACATTCCTGAAATATTCAATAATGAGATATTTTTAGTAGAGTGCAACCTGAAGAAAATCTAGATAACTTTGTAATTATGTTATCTGTTATAACTAGTAGCATGAAAACATTTTTCTACCATTGCTGCTGCTACCACCAGCATTTACCTCGATCACTTTTTGCTGCTACTACCATTAGTTTGTTGCTACAGCGGGTTTTCAAATTACATGTTTTAAACTTTGTTATTTTATTTTGAGATGGAGTTTTGTTCTTAGCCACACCTGGCTAATTTTATATTTTTAGTAGAGGCGGCGTTTCACCATGTTGGCCAGGCTGGTCTCAAACTCCTGACATCAAATAATCTGCCCACCTCGGCCTCTCAAAGTGCTGGGATTACAGGTGTGAGCCACCGTGCCCGGCCACATGTTTTTAACTTTAAAACAGTGCAAAAGCAATATGCATTTAGTAGAAACCATACTTCGAATTTTGGATTTTGTTCTGTTTCCTGGCTAGCAATATATGGTACCATACCCTCTCATCATGCCGGCGAGCAGAGAAAGCTGCAGCTCCCACTCAACCACGCAATCACAAGGGTAAACAACCGACACTTCTTACTTGATATCTTCCTTAAGAACACTGCACCTGCTAAACCATCAACAAGTGTTGATGCCCCAGTGCCTTCTATCAGCTATTCTCAAGCCTCATCAGAATAAAGAGAAATTGATGACCCTGTCACTTCAGTATTTCCATCATCCAGCAGTTAATTTTAGTTCAATGCTTTAAACATTCTTCACGCCTGGTGTGCTTTCAGTTGTGTATATTCATGGTGAGTACTCATACAACCATTCTGTTTTTCACTTTCAGTACAGTATTCAACTAATTTAATGAGATATTCAACACCTTATTACAAAATAGGCTTTGTATGTAGATTTTGCCCAACTGCCGCCTATGTAAATGTTCTGATCACATTTAAAGGTAGGCTAGGCTAAGCTATAATGTTCTGTAGGTTACGTGTATTAAACATATTTTTGACTTACAATATTTTCAACTTGATGACAAGTTTATTGGGATGTAACACCATCGTAAGTAGATGAGCATCTGAATTCTATAGGGTGCTAGAAACTGTGCTATACACTTCATGATATTGTCTCTTTTATTATATTTTAGAATTTTATATAGGGATATATGGATTTTTATAATCCCAAAGGTCAGATGAAGAAACAGAGGCTACCAGAATAACCTGCCCAAATTCACGTAGTAAATAAGTGATAGAGTTGAGATTCAATTTTTTTTTTTTATTTAGTGCTTAAGGCTGAATTCTTAACTATTATCAAAGTGGCCTGTGTATGAGCTTATAAAGATTCACCAGTAAATACAACATCAACCAAGGAGGAAGGATTCTCCCATATTGATTACATTTTAAAACAAGTATTTGATTCTGTTCAACAAATTGAAGTGCCCTATTCTATTCTTAGGTACTGAGAAAGGAACTGCCATATGACTACAGATGGTCTTCACTCTTTTGATTCTTTCAGTAGTGTTTGTAGAATACCAATTTATAAATCAACTGTAAAAACAAAGAGAAAAAGAAATCAGTCAGTGGCTCTTAGAACAAGTCACAATTTTGTGATAATAAAGTACAGGATATAGTGGGTAGATTTTCCCAAATGTCAATCAATGTGGTGATAATTTTTAAGGATTTTAATAGTTGAACTTTAACATTCAAAATCAACATCAAAGTGATATCTTGATTGTTGCCTGTTGATCATGGGAAAGGATGGTGAAGAAGGTTATTAGAGAATATTTTTTGGTGAGTGCTATTGGGCATCTTAACTCTAGTGTTCTGATTTGTACAGTCATAACCATGGCATGCTAAACCAAGCTTTCTGGATTCATTGCCATTCACTGAACCATGATATATAGAGATAACATTTTTTAATGGAAGAAATTAGGTTCTGTCTCATGTCAAGGCATGCTATTTAAATCTGGTGACTTTTGAAGTATGAGACAGGTTTTTTTTCATTGGCTTTGGCTTTGGTTGTTTTTTTCCTTTATGAGAGTCTCACACTGCCAAGTTTTGAATTTTGCATGTTCAGGTTATTGGGGATTTTGTTTTTCTGAGTGCACGAAGAGTTCAAGTTTCTTAAAATAGGGAAAATTATTGCTCCCATTCCCCTCCCACTTAAAACATGCTTATAGTTCAACACTATTTGGTTTAGGTTAAAACTAAAAATAAGTTCTTTCAAGTTATGACTAAACAAGACAAATTTCTGCTTAAAACTGCTTCTTAAAAAGTCCTATTTGAGTGTAAAGAAAGTGGATGAAGAATGACTTTTGCTTTTGAAATTTAACCCTAACAAAAAATATCCTTTTCTGGAAAATAACTGCAACCCCAAACTACCAGTGCTTTCTAGGTGTGTGAGCAACTGTTAATATTAAAACCTGATTTTTGTTATTGATTTACTAGCCTTAGTCAGCATATCTCATTTTTAATTTTTCAGTCTTCAAAGTAGAGAGTTGCTTGATTTGCACACATTCCGGAGAAAGTACATCACCAGAATACGTTGGTCAAAGAATAGGAAATTTCATTTAAACAGGAGAAATAGAGTCAAGAGATCCACATTTAATACAGCATGATTTCTATAGTTAGTAACAATGTATTTATTATATTCTTGAGAAGTGCTAAAAGTAGATTTGAAGTGTTCTCACCAGAAAAAAGAATAGGTGAGGGAATGCATATGTTAATTAACTCAATTTATCCATTCTGCAGTGTATACCTCTCAAAATACTGTGTTGTACATGATAAATAAATACAAATGTTTTGGTAAACTTAAACAAATAAATGAGGGAAAAAAAAGAAAATATGTTATTCACACTCTGAACATGAAAAGGTAGTTTGAAAATGCTTTCTCAGAAACACTGTCATACTTTAATAAGGCTGAGCTCATAAAAACATTGTGAGGAAGATCAATCATTTTAGCTTCCTCTCAATTGTGCTTTTTAATGTTCCTTCTCTCCAAAGGTCTCTGCCGGCTGTTCCATCGCTATCCCAGGCCCTTCTTTTAGAAAGTCTTACTGAGATTTTTTTCTTCCTTAACAATGTTGCCTCTGGATATAGAATGTCTCCCAAGTTTTTCTTTCCATGATTCCCTTTCACCTACATCTCTTCACTTTCAACTTCCCCTCCAAAGAACCACTCAAATATAACTTTCTGATATTTTATTCACCATTCATTCACTCAGCACTTACCAATATATATTCAATGTCTACTCTGGGTTAGACACTACTGTAGGCATTGAGGATGTAGGAATATACGAGACGGTAGATCCCTGACTCAAATAAGTTTATATTCTTTATAAATAAGTAGCCAAATAAAAATAAAAGAGATTCACTAATTGTGATGGTTGCCTTGAAGGAGGTAACCATGGAGATGATGGGGAGTTACTAGATTTGGTGGTGGGTGATGGAGGCAGTGTATTAGACAGGAAGGTCAGAGAAGGTCTCTCTCAGATATTATTCTGCTTAGATTTAAAAATCTGATAAAAACCAGTTGCATTTAAAGTCAGGGGTGAACAAGGCTCAACCTGTTGCAAGAAATGTGTCCAGAGAATGGTCTACATGTGATCAAATTATATGAGATAGGATGAAAAAGTGGGGAGGATCCTACTTATAAAAATGTCTTAAAGCCATTGTAAGATGTTTGGATTTTGCCCTAAGAACGGTGATACGCTATTGCAAAATCAGTGGTTTGACAGTTCTAAAATAATGTTTTGACCTAACAGTGTAAAGTCAGGTGTATTTCTTTGTTGACAATGCATTGTCTTGATCAAATTAGTGGTCCTACCATGAATGAAATTTCAGGCAACATGCAAAGCTATGTCTCACACTGAAGTTATAGTGAGTCTGTTAAAAATGTTTCTTTAAATCTCATTAAGTAGGCACGTGGTTATTTTGCCTAAATGAGGGGTGGTCCCTTGATAGTTTTTCCTCCCAAACACTATATTTTGAGAAACATTTAAGAAATCTGGAACATGCATTGACTTTTCGTCAGCGATATCTGTGACCTTGACATAGCCTGAAAATTTTATATTAGCTTCCAAAAATTTTAATTAATTCATTTAGAAAATTCGATTACTAAATACCATTCTCAGCATAATGCTGTATAGGTTAGTATCAATCACATCACAGAAATGGTTGAGAATAGGGAAGTTCCTATCCTGAAGTAGTCTATACATAAATATTACTAAGAGCAAGTCTTATTAGAAGTAAGTGTTAAGCTATATTTTATGTTTCATGTTCATTATTGTTTTTGGAGTCTTTCTTTAAGCTCCAAGCAACATTATCATATATCTCATAGTATAAAATTGTTGTTTTAGTTGACCTTTCTGCAACCATTTCCCTAGTTCTTGCCCATTAATTTTGGTATAGATAAATATGATATATAGCTGGTGTAGATAAACAGGATACACAGGAGGTAGATGAAAGACCACTGGACCCAGGGCTGACTTCACAGATGTGCATCCAGGTCCTGTGTTCAGAAAGACCTCACTCTGCTGTCACCATCTTGAAAAGCTTATTTATTTTTCCCTTGAACCCATGTTTCTTCAGAGAGATTTGATCGGACAATGGATTGGACACTTCACATTTTATTTTCCACTGACCTCCAAAAATTATGTCCTTTTAGAGCAATCATGTCATGCACAGGTTATTAAAGCCATCATTTCCTCTGTTTCTTTGTAATCACCAGACCATGCAACCACTGTAAATATCAGCTGGGCATCAACAGCTTTGAAAGTTTTGAGGAATGAAATAAGCTTCCACGGTGCATTCCAGGATGGTAAACTACAAATAAAATATATATATATTTTTTGTAAATTGTAATAAAACTTTCTTAAAACTGTAAATCTTTTACAAAACTGTTTTTGCTAAATTCTTATGCTGTTAGAACCAGCCTTTCAAACTAAGGGTCGGTAGGTCAAATTCAGCCCACAATTATGATTTGTTTGACCAACATAGAAGTTTACAAAATATGAATGTGAGTGCTTTTAAATGGGGCCTGACATTCCAGAGAGCCACTGGCCTAACCATTTAATTGTTTTTTACAAGATAATTTGTTTACCCTTCCTGGTCTTTCAGAGCATTTGAATTTGCAATTCTGAGCTCTAAAGTTTAATGTCTAAAACAGTGGTTCCTAAATTTTAGCATACGTGTAAGTCACCTGGCTAGCTTGTTAAAACACATATTCCAAACTTCCTCCCTGGTATATCTGATACAGAAGGGCTGGGGTAGAACTGGAAATTTCTAGCAAATTCCCAGGTGATGCTGGTATTGCTGGTCCAGGAACCACACTTTGAAAACCACTGATCTAAAACAGTAACTGCCATTCTTGCTATTTGCTATTAACTGCAATAAGCTTCATCTACTCAGTTATAAATGAGATTATCTAAATAAAACATACATTTTAATTAGTCAAGCTAGCTAAATAAAAAGTTTAGCTATGACAGCATACATTAACTGAAACAATTAGTGAGTCAGCCAAATTTTTCTCCCTTGAATAAAAAAGATCCTGCTATTCACTAGTATTATTGCAATCCTATTTCAGTGTTCTCCACTTTTTTATGCACATGCTTTGCTTTTTCCAAAATTAGTAATACAGCCTTAAAATAACCCAGTTAAAAAAGTTGTAAAGTTGTCTCACCCTCAGTAAATATCAAAAGCAACGAGGTAATGGAACAAGATTGTTAAGGCTGTTGATGATTGATTCACATTGGACAGGCTCTTATCCTACTGTCAAAAAGTGGTAAGTGCCCTAAGCCCAAGATGCCAATGTTTTCCTAGACATTTAAGAACTCAGGAATAATCATCAGATATATGCAACTCTAAGCTGAAATAGAATACAGAGTTCAACCTGGAGTCATTTCCCTCCTCAATCACCTTTTTGAGACTTACAGTCTCAAGTCAGTCAAAGAGGATTTCTCAGTAGTCATCATCAGTCATCAAACACTCACCTTTTAGAGGATATGTGATACTGCAAACTGGTGACTAAACTGGTTTTTCTCAATATAATGTGTCCTAAACTCCCTCTTTAGGTCTGCTTTCCATTTATTTAATAACTTTTCTTGGGTAATGGAATAGGAAATGACTTTAAGAGAAATTAACATCTTAATTTTCCCTTTTTTCATTTTTTTCTTTCTGCTTCTTTGTGTGAGGAGAAAAGGGTAATTATTAGCATGCTTTAATTTAAAGCACCAGTGGAATTTTCTCTAAATCTTGCCTTTAATGGGTTCATTAATTTTACTTATTTCTCTAACTATCATCAGGCTTAACTATAATTCATTTAGTTTTTATATTCAGATCATCCATTTTCTGTAATAAAGGGAGATTGTGAGAATGTGAATAAATTAATTCCACAGTCCTATAATTATGTGCATAGCTTTTTAAACCACTAGGCTTCAAATCACTTGAGGATCTGTCTCATTTATCTTTGTCTCACACAATAGTGAACATAAAGTTGGTATTGTAGTAGACATTCAATAAATGTAGATCAAATTGAAATGACCCCCCCAACACACACATAACTTTTTGCTTTCATTTCTTCTTTATTAAAGAAGGGTAATAATAATCTACATCTCGCGGGTTTCTCCAAGTGATTGTGTAAAACAATGTACTTAAAGCTCCATGCTAGGTAATAAATGAACATTCAATCTGGGTTTGCGTTTAATTATTAGTAGGCATTTTTACTACTTTCATGATTATTATTTGTATTAATGGTTCCAAACTCCCCTATGCTAAATGCTCTAATGAAGTTTATTTTCCTGAGCAAGTTAATTGAACTGGGCTACCTTGTATTTTTGTTTCTTCTGTTCAATGTTTTGTTAATTCTTTCATATTCCTGTAGTTCAATTAGTTTGATGTTGAATCTGACATCAATAAAACATTAATCTGTGGTAGATCCTGAAGACTTGGGAATATAAAATTATAAACTGTATATTTATTATATATATATATATAAACTACAATAGATCAAAAGTATACTTGAAAAACAGGACATTCCCTCTCTTTAACAGCTAATTCTAATCCCTATTGCATGTTTTACTAATACATGTCACCTCATTAAATTTCCTTTTCTCCGAAGATTTAGTCACAAAATCATGTCAGGACAAGAATTAGAAGACCTGGGCTATTCCCTACTCTCTTTCTTTGGGTCAAATAAATCATTCAGCCTTTTCAGGATATTGGTCTCCTCAACTGTAAACCGAGTAATCTCTATCTTAGAAATAATGCTGGCCTTATGGACTTGTGAACTTTCTTTACAAGGTTGCCCAAAAGGCTGCCCAGGTTGAGCACTGCACAACTCAGTGGTGCAATTCACATAGATGCACTCGGCAGGGATGACTGCTTCTTCTCCCTCTTTTCATCCATGGAGGAGTAGGTTAAGTAACCAGATATACCACTTTTTCCTTGCATTAAGAAGTATGGCCTATTACAGAAATTATTTACGCACATTACCAAAAACAATCAAGAGAACAGAGGATATTAACCACACTTAGAGGATTTACTTTCTGTTTTTACCACTTAATCCTTAAATGGAATGGCTCTTGGGGATTCTCTAGAATTGAGGATTTACAGCCAGCCATAAAGACTGTTTAGGGCAGGATTATAAAACTAAAAAAAATCAAAAATATATTCATCTAAGAACACCTTTTTTTGAGGAAAGGGTACAACCACCCACTTTTACATGCAGAATGTCCAGTAGATAGAAGAAAGCCCTAGCTATGTTTGCAGCTTATGGCACTTCACATATAGGAGAATGTGTGGCTGTGTTATAAACCCAAATGAGCACAGCTGTTAGAAATAAGGTGCTGTCTATGGAATTCAGGACTGAGGCCAGATTTGCCGCTGTAGCACATCTTTTTTTAAGCACGTGATTCCACATTTCACTTCACCACTTGATTTCAGGGAACTCAGAAATTGCTACAGGGGAAAAAAAGCATAATCAATTCTTACTATTCACTGGAATGATGCCAATGGAAAATTAATGAGCTTTTCTGTAATTGTTGAATAGTCTCAACTGATGAATTATTGGGCCCTCTAGGACATCATCCAAAGAGATCTACATGGTCACAGAATGTTAAAACTGGTAAAAGCCTTAGTCGTCATCTTGACTGTATCTGACCCAAGTTAAGCATGCGTGCCTCTGGCTCTGGGCTCTGCCCCTTCAGTAGGGTCTGCACTGTGCCTGCTGATGCAGGAGCAGAACTGGCTCTGACACCCCGGTCTGGCCCAACTGCACACACATTGGCTGTGCTTTTTCCATCATCTGCTGGGCTCAAAGAATCAGTATGGAGGGTGAGATATGGCTTCCCTACCAGAGAAACTTGGATGGAAAACCTAAAAGTACAGAAGCATTAACAACAATTGGGGCAAGCTTTCATAGTGAGATGCAGGAAACTGAAAGGAGCCTGAAGATGCCCTCTCCTCCCTTTCTTCACGTGATAAATTTTTGAAATCTAGACATACAACATGATCTCCTGGAGACATTTGTAATGTCTAAGCAACAGACTGTTTTTCTTTGAAGGCTGTGGCCAGTTCAATAACTTCCTACCTTTTACTTGCTTTCTTTCCTTTTGTGTCTTGTTTTCCTTCTTCTTCCATGCTTGTTGCCCTGAGATTATATCTCCTCTCTCCCCTCAAAATATAACTGTGCCAGCTTCACATGAGGCTTTTTTGTTTGTTTGTTTCAGAACTTGGGCAAGACTTGTTTACAGAAGAGGAAACTGAGACTCAGAGCAATTAAATTACTTTTCCATGGTCAAAGATTGCAAAGTATATATTTTTTAAAAGTTTGTTTCTTTTGCTCTCATTATCAGCTATGATAAAGCTACCCTGTTATCAATATCCAACTGAAGCACCCCGCTTCACCACATAGCGTTCCCACACTTTGCAATTTATGCTGATTGTTCTCTCGATTGAGTAAAACAAATGCTTTTTGATTTTGCCTTTATTTGCATCTTTTCATCTCACAATTTCAGACGGAGCATGCCTTATCTCCATGTGAATTAAGTTCCCTGAGAACAAGGAGCCCATTTTGATTTTTTTGTTCCCCAGAGTTTTGAGTACAGCGAGGGCCTTCCATGAAGGTTTTATGAAGAGCTCCGCTTCAGTGAAAGAGAACTCTTCTCTCCAGTAACAGCAGGACTCTGGGGGAACCCTGCACCAACCACCAGAACCTATTAGAAATACCAAATGACAAATGTTTCTTATCCTCCAGTTCTCAGGCCTAGCGTTTGGCTCTTTATCTTTAACATCATTTCGTCTGCCCTTTAGCTTTTTTTGAGTCTTGCATTAATTATTTTATATGAAGAGTATATTCTGTCTGAAGGTCAAAACCTATAAGAGAACATGCTGCTTCCACTACAGCTTCCAGAAAACTTGTAAAACCTAGCATATAGTTAAGTGCCTTGAAGGTACACATTATTAATTAAGATTTACTACATGCGTTTGATAAAGGAAAATTTGTAAAAATTATAAGTAAAAGATGATTATAGTAGGAAAAGCAATGAATTTGAAATGAGTAGCTCGGCATTCAAATCTTAGAGTTATACCATCTGTATAACTCCCTTTCCTCTTCTATAAAATGAGGAAGGTTCCTATAGGACCCTAATCACAGGAAAGATACATAACAATGTGATTTAAATATTGTTAAGAAAAAAATATATGTCACACTTTCAAGTCAAGTCAAGCATATCTCTTTGAAATGGATAAATGAGGTAGTGCCAAGCCAAATTGCAATTTTTTTTTTTTTTTTTTTTGAGATGGAGTCGCGCTCTGTCGCCCAGTCTGCAGCGCAGTTGCACGATCTCGGCTCACTGCAAGCTCCGCCTCCCGGGTTCACGCCATTCTCCTGCCTCAGCCTCCTGAGTGGGACTGCAGGCGCCCGCCACCACGCCCGGCTAATTTTTTGTATTTTTTTTAGTAGAGACCGGGCTTCGCTGTGTTAGCCAGGATAATCTCGATCTCTGACCTTGTGATCCGCCCGCTTCGGCCTCCCAAAGTGGTGGTATTACAGGTGTGAGCCACCGCGCCCGGCCCCCCAAGCTGCAAGATTACTTTCGGGGCATTTGTCAGTTTTGAGCTGTTCCATCTCTTGAAATACATTACCTTGACCAACAGGGCATCATTCTCCCTTTTTATCCTCTTTTCTCCTTCAGGATCCTTTTCAGGATTTTTAAGTCATTCCCTACACATATATCATGGGCTCATCTCATTTTACCTTCCATAGTAAGAACTACTTCTGGGGAAAAATAATCTGTTACAGACAGTCGCAATCAAGCAATCTCATGAAGCATGACTGCCAGTGAGTCTATGACTTATTCCAAGCCCTGTTAATGAATTCCATTTTGGGTCAGTTTCAGAATTCTGTTGTTTGTGAAAAAAATGAACTAAAAGAAACTCACTTAATATGAGTGCTCTGTGAGATAACCTGGAAAGTGAGGTGATTGTATAGGAGGGGTCATTTGAGCTGGATTTATGCAGACTTGGGATTCAAGTAGATAGTTTCACTTCCTGTGTGATACCTTCTCAGAATCCTCTCCTTTAATTTATTCGATTACTGTCTCGTTTACGTTCTCATTGTCTCTGAGCAAGACTGTAGAGACACTGTCTGCCCTCAGCTCTCTGTCTCTAATATTTCCAAGGGCAGCAGCTCTGTATTGACCATCTCGGTCACTATTTTTATTTGTACTACTCCTGTATCTAAATGTCTTCATCACTGTTCCTAGCCTCTTTGAAAAACTCATCCCAGCAAAAGCCCATCATTGACACTCCATTCTAGAGTACAAATTTGTTCTAGCAAAAACTTTCAAATAAAATTGATTTCTGTGGTGTTGCCCACATGCAAATGCTTATTCTAAACTGTGGCTTTGAGCATATTTGCGTAGTTGTTTTAGCTTTTGGTGTTGCTATAATGTTTGTTCCACTGTGTTTTCACTCACTGAAGAATAATACACATGATCTTTCTTAGGGCTGATTTTTCCTACCTAAAGTATATGTTGAAATTCAATTTCATGTTAAACTTTTGGAGTTAATTTTAAGTAAATCTAAAACTGACTTGTGGTGATGGGTGAGATGGGCATCAGGAAGTAGAATAACATCGAAAATTTATCAACACAATTAATGTATACCTTTAAGGGCCTAGAATAGTAATATAAAGAGGCGTATTCAGGTTGGTTAATATGATTAATTTTTTTGTATTTCGAAATAGAAAAGAGATGAGCTCTATATTTTTTTGATTTTTAACTTTGTTCTATTTCATTATTTTCTTAAAGACAGCTGTTCTGGAAGAGGATAGTAATATAAATGTGAAAAAGTAGCACTATTAATCAGATTATTATATGACTAGAATTTCAAATTTCTGTGCATTAATGGCAGGAATTAGTAACTCTCTTTTCCTTTCAATTATTTATTCAGAATTACCATTTTGTTTTATGCCCATCACTCTCTATATTTGTTTTAATTATTTTTATAAGCTTATATCCTGTATTTTATGTTTTCTGTATATGATACTGAGCTTGTTTCAACACATAACAGTAACTTATGCTTTCTTATCTAGTGTTTCTTCTCCCTTTTTTCCATAGAAATTTCTTGACTAAGTTTATTTTTAATTATAATTCTTATTTCAGACATAAAACTTTAATTATTAGGTAATTGCAGCTTTTGCCATTACTTTTTAAAAATGGCAAAAAACGCTATTACTTTTGCACCAACCTAATGCTATAATGGAGAATAGTCATTTTAAAAAGTAGCTCAATGTTTCCATATTTTAATCTTTATTTCTCAGGTGAAAGAGTATTAACATTGGAAACCACTTTTATGTAAGCCTAATTCCTGCTTTTAGGAGTGAAGTAATATTCTACCAACATTTACATTTTCTTGTACCTTTCCAACCCCATTTCCTTCTGAAAACATACATGAAGATTTCAGTATGTTAATCCTGTTTAAGTCTCTAGGTTAAGATTGCCAAGCACAGTTGGTTTCTTCTCTTTAATGTATCTTTCTTTCTTCATTAGACTGCAGTCAACAGCTCATTTAATTAACAGGAGTAAGAGACAAAATGCAAATATTTTTAGACCTCTGTAGAAAGACAGAAAAACTCGACACCTTGTCAAATCAACGTTAGATTTTTGACGTTAGATAGGATCACCTACTTTTTAAATCTGTGTAGTTACAATAATATCTTTTGAGTTATTGGAATTAGATTTCCCTGATGAAGAAAAGCTTGAAAATTGAATTATGATACGAACATTTAGTATGGTTGAATATCATGAGGCTGAGTGAGTATTAAATAGTTTACAGAAGAAAATGTCTGGTGTTCACTCCATTAATATGGATAAAAATGGAGGAAAATGAAGCATCTGATGTTGCATCAGTATGCAATATCATTAACACCATTTATTCATTAAATATGCTATATAGCGTACATCAGTTAGGTATTTATATGTCCATTTTTTCATGTCAGAAACAACTTGTGCCACTTAACAAGAGAACTTTTCATGGTTCTGTGTTTCATCCTTGATGCCTACATTATTACTTGGTTCTGAACAGCCCTGAATAGCTAACCAATCAAGGTTAATTGAGAAAAAAGATATCACTGGCTTTAGCCTTATCATGATTTGATGCTTTAGTCACCTGTGGTTAAGTAACTTAGACACTACCAGCTTGGTCATAATAGAGTGGGCATTCCTGGTTTCATAAAATCACTTCCATGGGTAACTTTATAATATTATGATAGATGTATGAAATATATTCCTGAAAAAAAGAAATGCCCTTTCCATTACATGCATTTGGCATTGATATGTGCTTTATAAAGGTCGTTTAAGATTTGGCAGTCCTCTGACATCTCACAATAATTTTCACAATTTTTAGTACAATAGTAAAATGTTCATTCTTCTAAAAATCATTCTTAACTTGGACTGACTGAATAATTCTTTGTCATTTCTTAAATGTGCATGGAAATTCTGAAGAGTTCTATTGTTCCTCCTCAAATTTTCTGAATTAATTCAATATGAAGAAATTATATTTCCTTCAGTCATTTTTAAATTAAATTTCTGGCTTCTTGAAGTGGAAGATGGAGGTGGAATGGAGTAGAGGTGTGGTGAGGGGGAAAATACATTTAATTCAACTATTAAGAAGTCACGTTTTGTGGCAAATGGTCACCTGCAGATCTTTTATTAACACCATTTATTTATTTATTTATTTATTTGGTTACTCATTCATCAGTCATACTACACACCAGTCATATATTTTGACTGTCTATTTTCAGCACCTATTTGAGATTAAAAAGGTAAATAAGACACGGTCCTTAAGCTAAAGGAATTCACAGTCAAAAGGACTACGTCCTACCTAGATTAAATTACATTATGCTTTTTACATTGCATTATGCTTTTTAGGAAATTAATGAAAACTTTTTACTTCTTCCACAATTATTAGCAATCAAATTTTGAAAGCATGAAACTTATGCAGAGCAAGGAATCTTTCAAAATCAAAACTGAAAAGGATGAATTATAGAATCTGGAATGAGGTTTTCAAAATGTAGATGGAGCTTATTTGAAAACAGAGACATTTTCATTAGCTTTGTTAAGCAATCTATCCAATGAATAGAATCAAATGAGAACCCTTAGATTTTTAATTTAGCCTTTAGTTCCAAAGAAATTTTGTATTTATGACTTACTTTATATAAAAAAGTTTTAAACATAACCAAAAGGCATTTATGCTTAAAATATTACCAATCCCGTATATAATCTATTATTTAATGTCTTCAATTTTTTCACTTGCTCTCATAATTTTATTTCTTTTTTTCTGCAGTTTATTTTTTTTAGTTAAGTTCCAAAATATGGCCCATGCTTTGCATCTCTTGGATATTCTCTGAAGTCTTTTTAATTTATACACTTCCTCTTCCTTTTTTTTTTATCCTTGCAAATTGTTTGCCAAATAAACAGGCTCATTTGATCTGTAGAGTTTTCTTATATTCTGGACTTTGCTGACTGCATCTTGCAAAGTCGTTAATATGTGGTGTTTTTGTGTGTTTTCTGAAAATTTCTAGCAAGATATAGATGCTTGCTCAGATTCAGCTCCCCAGTTTGTGATAAGAATCCTCCTCCATAGGTGGTCATGTGTCTTCTATTGGGAAGTATATAGTGTTAGGTTGTTTCTCTTTTGTGACATTAGGAGCAATTAATAATCATTGTCTAGTTGCGTTATTTTATTAGAGTTCAACAAGATGGTGATATTTTAATTCAATCATCACTTTTCTTTTAATTAACTGGACTATTTTTATAAAGACAATCTCCCCAAAGTATTAATTTACTCTAGGTATAACTCGCAAAAGAAAGGCAGTTAAATACTTATTTTTCCTTTATTAATCAGTTAGCAGAAGAGAGAATTGGCTCTAAACCATCTTCCAAATGTGATAAACAGCTATTTTCACCTAAATATCATTAGAAACTCACAGACTTTAGCATACCTGATATATTTGAATTTATTGCAGTTTTTATTAAATTGATGCTAAATTTGGCAGTGGACCATCATTTGTTTCCTTTTACAAAATCCCAGTAGTCTCTGATAGTTTCTTTGCTTTCTGGTAAAGCAAGATTTTCTAGACATTTGTGTGCATTTCCTGTCTGAGACCTCGACCAGTTCTTTTCCTGAAAATCTCTGATTTCTTGTATAATGCAAAATGATTATAAAAGACCATGGTCTGAATACTAGTACAATTTTTAAGCGTAGACCATTTACTGTGAACATACTGGCAAACATGAATATTTCTGTTTCTTCTTCTACTGCTAGAATATACTTCTCTGTGTGCTTTACTATTGACTTGGGATTCAACGGATGGAGTAAAAGGGGTTTTACTGAAGATGACACTTGTCACTTTCAAGAGAGAGCACTTAAGAACGAGTGTAGAATTTTCCTTGGGCTATTCCAGTGCAAGGAATAGAAACTGTTCAAAATCATAACAGAACGATGAATCTGTCATCAGCTTGAGTGATTACAGAGCTCACAGCCACTCCCATTGATCCACATTCATCATACTGCACACATGAGAGTTAACCCTTTGTCTTTGAAGCCTCTGAAAAATTTGTATAATATACTACCAAAATATAATTCTGACTGGTGTAACATTTTGTTTTTACACAAAAATGAATGCTATTTCAACTTTCTGCCTTACCTTCAATCCACAGTCTAAAACTGGTGAATACAGCTAAACTTCTATACCTCACTAAAGGCAGTTCATTCTCTTTTAGAACTTTCAGGTTATTTATACTTCTTCTGACATATGGTTTTTTAAATTGTAATATAATGACTCTAAGTGCTGATCACCTTGTAAACATACCTCTGGATTGTTTTCAGTAAGTCCTGATTTGAATCGCTTTGTCCTGGTGCTAGTCTATGAGACATATTAGATTCACTGATTTTGTTTAAGTGCAAATGTATATATTCTGTCACGTACATATTCTGTAAATTATATTGTGTTGATGATTTGACTAAATAATTCCATTTTTTTGGACTATGGAGATATAATGTTATGTCATAGAATATTTTCAATGTAGGTCATTGTAGCAATAAACTTACTTTGTTCTGGAAAATATTTTGGTGATGCATAAGAATTTCAGGCTCCAGGATATCTACTACTCCTGCTATATGACTACATATAATAAAGCCCTCTTCTCTGTGACAGAGTCAACATATAAGATAATGCTGGCACAGGCCAGGTACTTACTGGATATTTATTACATGAAAGAATAATTGTGGCTGCTATAGCTGGATCTTCTTTGAGCTCTTAGTTGATTTCTTTTGTCAGGAAAAATAGATTCATAATGTTAATATTTTATATACATTTACTTGAAAATTTCTGTTAGAGTCAGAATAAGTGCAAAAAATTGTGCTTGATTTATACTTTTTTTTGAAAGTATAGTAGGGTGCTACTGGTGTTCCACCTAGATCCCCTTCACAGGCTAGTATGCACATCCCCCCACTGCTAGAAGTGTTGGCTGCATATCCCCCAAATTTAACCCCTTTCCCACATGGGAAGTGCTTGGTAAATAGTTATACTCCAATGCCACCACCATGCAAATGACTGCCCATAGTAAATGACTTACTGATATGGGGTACAAAGGCCAACCCCCTTGCCTCAAGGTGGGCCAACTCTGTGGTGTGATTTTTCTCCAGAGCACCCTGTGAATCAGGCCAAGGTTAAACTTCACCTGAGACCTCATCCTTGCTCAGCTCTTTGTCTTCCTTATATTGTTTCTCTCACTCCCTTATGTTTTTTTTTTCCTTTTCATGATGAGCAATCCATCAATACAACATATGTATCCAAAAATTCCTGTTTTAGGCTCTGTTTCTAGAACATCTGATCTAAAACAGCTGGTTCAAGGAGTGGCCTTAAAAAGCAGTCTCAAAGGATAGATTTTGGAGTTGAATTTATCACTGGCTACATGACAGTGAGTACCACATTGCTGAAGGTAGGTGGAGAATCTGTGAATCACAGTTCCCTGGAATCCTGCAGCAATTAAATTGTTAAGATTTTTCATTCACAATGAACTGAGTGTATAAGTCTGTTCTCACACTGCTAATAAAGACATACCCAATACTGGGTAATTTATAAAAGAAAGAGATTTAATTGACTCACAGTTCCACGTGGCTGGGGAGGCCTTACAATCAGGATGGAAGGTGAATAAGGAGCAAAGTCACGTCTTACATGGTGGCAGGCAAGAGAGCTTATGCAGGGGAACTCTCATGTATGAAACCATCAGATCTTGTGGGACTTATTTACTACCACAATAACGGTACGGGGGAAAGTGCCCCCATGATTCAATTTCTCCACATGGCCCTGCCCTTGACACATGGGGATTATTACAATTCAAGATGAGATTTCAGTGGGGACACAACCAAACCATAATATTCCACCCCTGGCCCCTCCCAAATGTCATGTCCTCACATTTCAAAACCAATCACACTTTCCCACCTGTCCTCCAAAGTCTTAACTCCTTTCAGTATTAGCTCAAAAGTCCACATCCAAAGTCTCATCTGAGACAAGGTAAGTCCCTTCCTCTTATGAGCCTGTAAAATCAAAAGCAAGTTAGTTACTTTCTAGATGCAATGAGGGTACAGGCATTGGGTAAATACACCTGTTCCAAATGGGAGAAATTGGCCAAAACAGAGGGTCTACAGGCCCCATGCAAGTCCAAAATCCAACAGGGAAGTCAAATCTTAAAGCTCCAAAATGACCCCCTTTGACCCCATGTCTCACATCCAGGTCATGCTGATGCAAGAGGTAGGCTCCCAAGGCCTTGGGCAGCTCTGCCTCTGTGGCTTTGGAGGGTATAGCCCTTTTCCTGGCTAGTGTCATGGGCTGGCATCAAGTGTTTGCAGGTTTTTCCAGGCTCAAGGTACAAGCTGTTGGTGGATCTACAATTCTGGGATCTGGAGGATGGTGGCCTTCTTCTTACAATTCCACAAGGCGGTGCCCCAGTGGGGACTCTGTGTTGGGGCTCCAACCCCACATTTCCCTTCCACACTGCCTTAGCAGAGGTTCTGCAAGAGGGTTCTGCCCTTGCAGCAAACTTCAGCCTGGATATCCAGGAGTTTCCATATGTCTTCTGAAATCTAGGCAGAGGTTCCCAAATCTCAATTCTTGATTTCTGGGCACCCACAGGCTCTTGCATCCTCTGAAGCAATGTGCTGAACTCTATATTGGCCCATTTTAGACACTGCTGGAGCTGAAGCATCTGGCATACAGCGCACCATATCCTGAGGCTGCATAGAGTAGGAGGGCCTTGGGCCTGGCCCAGGAAACCATTTTTCACCCCTAGACCTCCAGGCATTTGATGGAAGAGGCTGCTGCAAAGGTCTCTGACATGCCCTGGAGACATTTTCCCCATTGTCTTGGGGATTAACATTTGGCTCCTCGTTACTTACGCAAATCTTTGCAGCAAGCTTGAATTTCTCTCCAGAAAATGGGATTTTTTTTCTACCTCATGGTCAGGCTGCAAATTTTCCAAACTTTTACACTCTGCTTCTTCTTGAAAGCTTTGCCGCTTAGAAATTTCTTCCCCCAATACCCTAAATCATCTCTCTCAAGTTCAAAGTTCCACAGATCTCTAGGGCAGGGGCAAAATGCTGCCAGTCTCTTTGCATAGCAAGAGTGTCCTTTACTCCAGTTCCCAGCAAGTTTCTTATCTCCATCTGAGTCCACTTCGGCCTGGATTTCATTTTACATATCACTATCAGCATTTTGGTCATAGACATTCAACAAGTCTCTAGGAAGTTCCAAACTTTCCCACATCTTCCTGTCTTCTGAACCCTCCAAGTATCTAGAAAGTTCCAAACTTTTCCACAGTTTTCCATTTTTTTTTTCTGAGCCCTCCAAACTGTTCCAACCTCTGTCACCCATTTTCAAAGTCACTTTCACATTTTTGGGTATCTTTACAGCTGCACCCCACTCTACTGGTACCAATTTACTGTATTAGTCTCTTCTCATGCTGCTAATAAGGACATACCCGAGACTGGGTAATGTATAAAGGAAAGAGGTTTAAGTGATTCACAGTTCCACATGGCTGGGGAGGTCTCACATTCATGGCAGAAGGCGAATGAGGAGCAAAGTCACATCTTACGTGGATGCAGACAACAGAGCTTGTGCAGGGAGACTCCTATTTATAAAACCATCAGATCCTGTGAGACTTCTTCACAACCACAGGAAGAGTATGAGCAAAATTGCCCCCATGATTCAGTTATCTCCACCTGGCCCTGCCCTTGACATGTAGAGATTATTACAATTCAAGGTGAGATTTGGGTGGGGACACAGGCAAACCATATCACTGAGATAAAATGCAGGTGGAAAAGAGGCACTGGCTTGGGCAATATGTGGTGTTTGAGAGATAGAGGGAAATGGTAACTAAAAGACTAAGATATTGAGTATTGTTCATGATTTGAGAAGTGAAAATAACTGGCCCTAAGGAGATCAAACACAAATTCAGAAAGACATGTGAATGTCAGAGTCTCACTGGCAGTACTTTAAAAGCCTGAGAAATGACCAATTTAAAAACTAGGTTTATTGCCTAATGATAAGAGTAGAACTTAAGAGATAACTGAATAATCAGATTATCAAAATGCTGCCAAAGTAAAGCCTCTCATAAGGAATAAGTGGGGACTTGAAACTTGGGTGGGAAGTGCTCTTAAAACTTTTGAATTTCTAGATTCTTGTAAACCCCCTGAACCTGAACAAGCATCCCCCTCCTCTCTGTTGAAAGACATAACCTCTCCAGATCCCACTTGCTTGAAGACATCTAAGAGCTCTCAAATGTGTCAGTTGCCTTACAAGACAATGCTTGCTGTCTTAGTCCATTTGGGCTGATGTAACAACAAGATACTATAGACTGGGTGATTTATAAACAGCATACATTATTTTCTACCGGTCTGGAGGATGGGAAGTCCAAGATCAAGGTGCCTGCAGATTCAGTGTCTTGTAAGGGTCTTCTCCTCCATAAACAACCAACTTCTCACTCTGCAATCACATGCAGAAGGGCTGAGGGATCTCTTGTAGTCCTTAGGAACACTGTTCCAACCCATTTATTATGTGATATGAAAGGTCATTTGCTGTAAGTGGGATCCAGAGAAAGATATTTCTTGGCAGCTATTATAAGCAGTCTTGCCCATACAGCCTTATCATCCTGTAGAGCTCGTGATACTAGAAGTATCAGTGGTTTAAAACAAAACAAAAAGATACCATGTGCAGTCTGAAAAATATCTAAAGGAGCCATGCAATGAAAATTCCTAGTGTCCTGCAGCAAGGTTATGCCATCTGTAGTAGGGAACCATGCACGCTAAAAAAGCAGTTTCTGGTATGCACCGAGCTCTGCTCCAGACAGAGCATGCAACTGTAGAACAGTAAGTGGCCCTGTCTCTAAAACTGACCAACATGAGCTGGATACGCTCAGAGCCCTTAAGTTATGAGTTTGGGTACATAGTGGGAGGAAAGATGATTTTCAATGATTAAGAGTTGGTGACTTCCAAAGTTAAAATAACATAGAAATCTCTCATTCTCTCTACTCTGCTAATAGGTATAGAAGCATGCCATGTTTTCATTTAAAGCATCAGCAGAAGGCAAGAAAGAAAGAATACTTTGTATTGATTGATTGATTATTTGGGTCAATGCCGCTTGACAGATTCTGAAGAACAAGAGGCGAGAATGTTTTAATCTACCGTGCTTTGTATATTAGGGAGAACAAAAATGAATTCTTATATGTATATGATATTTGAAGTTCTAGTGAGAGAAGTAGACTTTTTTGAAAGTGTGATGTTGTAGAATGAAAGGAGGACATTGTTGGAAATAATTTATGCAAAGAAAAAGAAGCAATAGTTCTAAACTCAATATGATATTAAACTCCATACTTATTCTATAACACTTCCAAAACAGTAAGGATAATTTTGCAATGGTCTTCAACCGATTTTCAGTTTTTTTATCCAAAGGAATATAGACTGGGTGATAAGCATCTCTCAATCTAAGGAAGATAGTAAATGATATGAACTCCTCTGAGAAGACTTTGGTACCAAAAAGAATATTCAAGATTAATTTGCTTCCCTTTCCTACTGGGGAGGATCCAGTAAGTAAGAATAGCAGCGTATATTAAAAAATAAAAAGACTGACTCATAATAATAGTTTTCCCCAAGCCACGACATCAATAACTATCTTTGCCCCTTCAGCATGTGTTCTGAAGGTAGAGGGATTGAAGTACTCTAGGTGGGCTCCAGACTTAAATGAACAAATGATATGCATGTCATCTCTGATACTCTGCAAAACTTGTGATTCCATGATCCTATGAGCTGTATGCCTTTACAGTCTCTTGGTGATCACTAAAAGGGACCAACTCTTTTTTTTTTTTTTTTTTTTTGAGACGGAGTCTCACTCAGTCGCCCAGGCTGGAGTGCAGTGGCTCGATCTCGCTCACTGTAAGCTCCGCCTCCTGGGTTCACACCATTCTCCTGCCTCAGTCTCCCGAGTAGCTGGGATTACAGGCACCCACCACCACGCCCAGCTAATTTTTTGTATTTTTTTTTTAGTAGAGACAGGGTTTCACCATGTTAGCCAGGACCAACTCTTTATTTAACACTTTGAGAGTGAATATTGGAAGTTTTTGTATATACAATTTTATTTTGGGTTGCCTGAGACACATCTCAGTGCTTCTAATGAAGACAAGAACTTGAATGAATGTACCATGAAAACTGAGGACTATTGAACAACAGATGTGAAATTGCAAGGTGTATTAATTTGCATTGTGTGACGATCACACAGATGTGTTTCTTGTTTATATTCAGTCCATTAAGATCTGTTTAGTTAATTTATTCTCTTTGTTTAAAAGGGAAAAAAGCAAATGAATGTGGTAAATAGACCATTAAAACCAAAAATGAAAAAATGCCTTCAATAGTTATCTATTTAATTTGGTAATTAGATCACATAGTTAATTTAAATGTTTAAAAAAGAAGCAATGACTAAAAACATGTACTGATCTCCAATAAAGTAGCCCCTTTATTGTTTGTTTGTTTTCAAAAAAACAAACAGGTTTGAATTTAATTCACTCAACCACTAAGGTAGAAAACAACGGAAACATAGAAGAGCACATAACACTATAATTAATCACAATACTTTCTAGAATATTTAATTCCTATTCCTTCATAGCTAATTATACATTATTCAATGAATCCATTTTAAATTATGTTTCCAGGTAAAAATACGTATTGCATGGTATGTTAAAATTATGTATTTCCCAATATAATAAAATCTTTTATAAGTTTATATCAGAAGTCATCACACTATGCTTCTGAGGGCTAGACACATCTTTTTTTGTAAATAAAGTTTTATTGGAACATTGCCATGCTCATTTGTTCTATACTGTCTATTGCTGCTTTCATGCTACAGCAGCATGGTTGATTAGTTGCAACCAAGACCTTATGGCCTACAAAGCCTAAGGTATTTACCATCTTTCTCTTGACAGAAAAAGTTTGTCAACCCCTAATCCAATACATAAAATAAGGTAATAGAGAATATATTTTATTAGCTACATTATATATTACTGCTTTTTATCTTAAATTAGCAAGGCAGTAGCTGTTTTAGACATCTCTCTCTCTCTCTCCCTCTCCTTCTCTCCTCTGCTAATAGGTATGGAAGCATGCCATATTTCACTTAAAGCTTCAGCAGAAGGCGAAAAAGAAAAAAATATTTTGTACTGATTGATTTTATTTGGGTCAAAGCCTCTTGACAGATTCTGGAGAAGAGGATTCTAATAATAGCCAAGATTACCGCTTTCTGGTGCTGAGACCTGTTTGCCAGTCTAACAAAGGTAGCCAAAAGGACTTAGAAGGGGACTCTCTATGGTGTTGTAGAGTCCTCAAGCTGCAAGTTACCTTGAATCTACTCTCAGGGTAGCCTTCAAGTGACAATAACACAATTTGTTTCTATTCTTTAAAATGAATTAAAAACTTGACCCATGAAAATAATTTATTTGCATAATTTGAAATAATTATGTTTATATATTTTATAATTATAAATATATAAGATAAATTTTGTAATATATAAACATAAATTATATAATCACTGATTATAAAAATAACTATTTTTATTTTTAGAAAGATGAACAAATAAGGTTTTTCTTCTCGGACTCTTAGACTATGGCAACATGTTAGAAATACAACCTGCAGAAACTTTGAGCAGGTTGTGTGTGTGCGTCTGTGTGTGTTTTGGCACCAACCATAAAGTGGATCCTTTGCATGGGGATACAACAAAGAAATCTTTAATTGGGTGGTGTGAGCTGTGGTGGTTAAATAAACTTGTCTGGCCAGAAAGAGTTGTTTAGGAGGGAATTCCAGGAAAAGTCACAACTGGGAAGGTCAACCAGTTCTGTGGGTGGGTCATTACATTCAGGAATTCAGTCAGTATGTGTGAGGTCAGAATCCTGGGAGGTCTGTCCATGCAGGAAAAGGAAGCCAACAAGTAGGTTTGAACAGGCAGGATATTGGCCCTGGGTGCCACATGGGAAGGAAGAGTAAAATTATACATTCAGCCATTGGTTTCTCATCACATGGTTCAAGCCTCAGGGCAGGAATCCAGCGTACAGAGGGCAGAGGGTACTGGGCAGTGACAAGTTTTTGGTCTAAAGGGAATATAAGGACATTTGACCCGAACCATCAAGAACTTAAAGAATTATGGAAAATAGAGGAATGAGCAAAGACAAAGATATCTCAAGCCTGAAGGAAAGAGATATTTGAGGGAAATTGTGTCTGTTTTCAAGTCCTAGTAGAATCCCTTGCAATGTCCCTCCTCCCTGGAAGGCAAGAGGAGATTCTGCTCCCAGAACAGGCCTTGGAGTTGTGGCTAGTCTAAGCTTTCAAGTTCACCAAAAGACACAAAACAAGACAGAGTCTGATATTCAATGGGGTTTCCCTTAGAGATATCAAACTCCTGTGAGTTACACAATCTAATCCACTCAATTTGGGAAAGAGAGAGAGTAATGGGAATACTTCTTAGACAAATGTCAAAATATACTTATTGAATTAAGAAGTAGTAGCCAAAATGTTCTATTATGAAATATTTTGTCTTCTCAGGTCAGAGTCAGAAATCATGAAACTCCCATGATGAGTTTAACTTGTCAGTCTGATTTGTATCTCCTGTGTTCTGGCTTTTAATTCCTTCTTATTGTCTCTATTTCACACCACATTCTGATTTCAGCATTTCTGACACCAGTATGCTAACCCCCAGTTTTTTCCAGGAATTCAGTTTGATATGTCTTCTCAACCTATGGCATATTCTGGCTCCAATTAACCTGCTTTAGTGCTTCAGCAAGAGGGGCTTAAATCCCTCCCATGTGAAAAATGATGACGATGCTATTTTTTACGTTACTATATTCTGCTTTTCCAAAATCCATCCAGCCAGATTATGTCCTGATAGCATGTTAACGCTGGTTTGCATGGGGGACTCTTTCAGAGTAAGGGTGCCAAGATTTTTTTTTATTGAATTATGATGATAATCAAAGGCTTTTAGTAACTATTAGATTAACTTGTATAATAACAGCAAATCATAACAAGACAGTGTCATGAACTCTAGCTTTCAATTCTGAAGTTTAGACAAGTGTGTACTTGTATGTGTGTGTATACCTTTATTTGTACTTCTGAGAATTTACGTAATTTATTTACTACTCATTCTCTAAGTCATTTGAAGAAAATAAGTTACCATCTAAAGAATGGAAATTTAAAGACAAACACCCTAAAATGAGAAATTAACAAGGTGATGTTAGTATTGACTTATAAACTCATGCTTCAAGTTGAAAGACAAACCATTGAACTTCATATATTTATATCAGTTCTCTTAGCCTTCATCAGTTCTCACAGCCTTTTAAAATGCTAGGTAAACATATATGCTTGCTATCTTTCAGGTTTATGTTTGGTTTGTCAAAGCATACACTAAATAATTTTATTCTGCATAAAATCAGAAAGATACTATTTTTAAAAATAAAGATTGATACATGCGAAAAATTGCATGGAAATTAGAGACAATGTGAAATGTAATTGAATAGCAGATTAGTTGGAATAGTTATAAGAGAAAATACAAACTGTGATAGTTAGGGAAGAGACGTAAGAAGTAAAGTAGCTTGGATGGTTCTTCCTTACAGTATAGACATTGAAAAACATTTTCAAAGCTTAAGTAAGAAAACAACTCAATAAAATTGAGAAAAGAGAGATGAAAATATCATGGAGGGATGACTGTTCACTTTTGGCTTAACTATAGTAAGACTCTACACCTAAACTTTTCATAAGCATAAACAAAATTTGGCCAAAAAATCTAGAATTCATTAAGTTATTGATAGCTACCTGATACTAGTTCATAAAGTAAGGGATTAATTTCTAATTTATAGGCTTTAACTGTGTTTTGCCATATGTACTTACAGCCAACTGGTGGTTCCTAGAATGATTTCAGATGGTATATTAATAAACATTTCAAAAAATGTATTTAAGTATTAAATATGTATTTTAAAAATATAACTGTCACAAAAAATGATCTGTTAGGTAGTTGCCCAAAGTTTGTTTGTTTTTTTCCCTTGGCTGTATGTATATAAGTTAAAAAAAAGAGAGTAAGTTAAAAATGAAATATTAATATATAATAAAATGTGATATAAAGATTCGGTCAAATATACGAAAGTGATGTAAAATTAACATCTTCAAAACCCCAACATAGAATGCCAATAAGGCTAGACCTTTCAGGGACTGAAGTGTTCCCATTCACCATTAGGCTACTTCCCTCATAGTTAAGGTATTTGGGAAATCAAACTGAACATGAAAAAGTTGATTAGCAAGCAGAAACTCAACAGCAAGGCATCTGGCTAGTTTTGATAACTATATCAGCAAGGTCATATAAAAATCTGGGATCCACTTGAGAACAATGTAGTCGAGTTCTATGATGTTGGAGATACTATATAAATACATTTTACGATATTCAGTAGCTCCCTGTATTATCAGGAGATGGTCTTTATAGGCTTAATTTTTAGGAAGGTCCAGAGAGCCGGCTCCTGAAAAATTAACATGACACCCTTGAAGAAAACAATGTTTATGTTGACTTCTGAGGAAGACAAGCGTCCTGGGAAAACAGGCACTCAGCCTGTGGGAGGTGTCAGCAGAAAATGTATCCCCAACAGGAAATACCAGGCTTTAATCAATGGAAAGGTGCTTTTATTGAGTACAAAATAAGGTCATATTCCATTTCTGCTCTCATTTCTCAGCCCGCTCTTTCCTAGTATGTAAAATAACTTACAGAGTTGCTTGGAACATTAAACAAAATAATGTCATATGGCAAGCACTCAATAATAACATTATGATTACTTGTCCTGAGAAGCTGGTCATATGTTGTGTGTATGTTTGAGAATGGTGATTGCGAAATTGAAGAAACCATTTTACTTGGAGGGACCTGTGGGGAATGTGGGCAGCCTTAAGCATAGATCTGAAATCACTCAAGGGAAAACATTCCTTCTACTTTGGCACTCTGGCAGCAACAGCTGCTGTGGTAAGCACTGAGGTCCTGGAAGCAACAAGGCTGAAGTGGCCGTGAGGAGTAGACAGGAGTGGGATGAAGAACACCTTGAGCTTCCAGGGAGTTTCTGGGGAGAGAAAGAATGAATGATTTTAAGTCCCAAAGTAGGGCCTTGAGAGCAGCATAACATGGTGCTGAGCTGATAGACTCTGAAGTTCAGCAGGATCAGTACTAATTGTGTGGCCTTGGACAAGTTATTTAACCTTTTGAAATCTGTTATCTTGTCTGTAATGTAACGAGGATGGTGATGGGAATGACTGTCTCAGAACACTGCTGTGAGGATTAAATAAGAAATCTGGGTGAAGTGCCCAGCTCAGTAAAAACACTCAGTAAATACTGGCTCAGAAGGAAAAAATAAAACAAAATGTAAAACAAACAAAAATAAAGCATTGTTATCTCCAAGGCTGTAGTGTAGAGAAACAAAAGAATGCATTTTTATAACTGAATGCATTTGTCCCAAGTCTTGACATTCTGCACACAGTGGATCCATAGTCACATATAAAATGCATGTGTCTTTCTTTTTTCCTACTGAAGCCATAGGCCCCTTTAGATTTTGGCACTTACTGTGAAAGCCAAACAGCAGGAATTTCTTGGCCACATTTAAGGTGATTGATCTTTTATTTTCAGAATATCTTTTGTCAGAATGTCGGTGAGTTGCATCTCTGCACGTAACCTTGAAATAAAGATGAGCAGCTTTTCTTCTCCACACTTAAAGTGTCCTTTATTTCCAGGGAACTAGCGACATGCTAATATCTCTGAAAATATCTTCCTTAAACTATTTGATAAGATGCTTCACAGAAATAGAAAACAAGGGGACTGAGTACCAGTTGCTCTAGAGAGTCACAGCCTTGAAGTTATGAGCCCCTAGGGAAAGGCCACTGGGAAAGTGCTGAGCAGACTAAGGAAATACTTCAATCAGAGCAGAATACCAAGATAGTTGCCTATGGGTTAGATTTAAAAGATTAGTGGAATATACCTCACTGTTCACAGGAAGGAAGGCTATCACTGAGGGTCTTCCTATACTGGAATCCTCATGGAACAAAGAAATAACATTGAAATGTTGACATCCAGGCTTGTATACAATAATTTTAAGATTTTCTGCCTCTATTTCTAGATTCTTGAGTATTTAGTTATGGTATTCCCAATGCAAAAATTAATCCTCAGGCTATGAAGGACAAATCTGGCTTCAAAAGTACTAAGGCATCAAGAAAAAAAGAGAATTAAGTCAACTAAAAGAAGGCTAATGCCTGAATGTATCAATCGAATTGGTTTTATTATGATTGCTTTGGTCCATGTAACATGAAATATTTACACAAATTGGAAAAGCTTGCATAGGTCCTTTTATTTGCATTTGTCAGCTCTATTGTCCTTCTGAACTCACTATGCAAAGAGAAAATTCCTTTTAAGCATTGAGAGGATGATGAAGGCATGCTTTCTAGTTCTACTCCTTCTCCCATTCATTCATGACATATTAAATGAGAGATAATGCTCAGGCTAAATACATAAAAGGAAATTGGTCAGTCTGCTCCAAAAAAGAAAAAAAAAGTTTGAGATCTAGAGAAAACAGGAGAGAGAGAGAGAGAGAGAGAGAGAGAGAGTGTGAGCTTAAGAAACATCTATCTGAATTCTGAAAAGGGAGAGATTAACAACTAGAAAGGTGTGAGTGACTTCCTGGAGGTCTTGGAAGGCAGTTTGGTGGCTATGGATGAGAGCAGAGTCCAGCTTCAGATGGCTGTTGTTCAAATCAGACTCAACTGTTTGCTAATCATGCAATGTTGGTCAAGTTACTTAGTATTCTGGGTCCTAATATTCTTACTTGTCAAAAAGTGGTAATAATACAACCTACTTCAATGCCCGGATATATTAATAAATTACAAAGTGGAAAGCACTTAAAACACTACGTTACATTTAGTCAACTCTACGTAAGTAGAGTTTCACAGTAAGTGCCAAAATCTGAAGGTACCTAAGTCAATAGGCCTGCCCTGAACTCAGGCAGGTTCCATTAATTTACATGGAAAAGTATGCAAATAAATTAGGTTTTGTGTTCTTGTTGTCCTTGTGTGTTCCCTCATGAACTTGTTTTCTGACACTACAATGCTAAGATTACGGTATTGACTATCATCTCTTCCCCATCTTGTGTACATTTGTAAAGATGCATGTTAGTCTTGGCTGCCAGCCATACCATCTGGTCCTAGTGGTTAAGGGAACAGAGAGGTAACTGAGGAGATAATTTTTTTTAAAGTGTTCATGAATTAGATATGTAAGAACTAGTTCCTTCTGAATCAAATTATGAAAGTTAGTATGTTTGGAATAAAAATAGCTAAGGATGTTTAAATATGGACATTTCTGAAGTAATCCTTTTAACTCTGTCCTTCACCTAAAGTAACAAAATGGAATGCTGAGACTAATTTAATTTTGATAGCCTGAATTTCTATGCTGTTTTAAATATAGTTTAATCACATAGCTTGTTTAGGAGGACATCTGTGGTTTAATGGGAAGTTGATTGGAATTGGAATTAGAATAATGCTTTCCAAACCGTTGTCTGTAGGAAACAGGTCCCGCAAGATGTTTGCAAGTGTTCTATGAAAAGAGATTTCTTCAGCAAAATAAGTAGGAAAATGTTGAATTAGCAGATCTCATTTCAGAACCCAACTTTGCCATTTATAGGTTATGTAACTTTGAAGGAGCCGCAAGTTTTCTGAACTCCACTTGTAATATCTCACAAGTTTGTTTGGCTTTTTTTTTTTTGGTGGAATAAATAAGATCATGTACATGAAAGACCTGAGAAATGTGTCCTTGATATATGTCAATGGACTCAGCTTCAGCATTCCAATGAAATGGGCCTGAAATTGGGCGCTGTTTTTCATGTGGTTATCATTCAAGTTTAGAGAGAAAGTAATGCCTGTAGGATATGGAAAAATTATCAGGTTATTAGAAAGAGTTCCATCTGCTACTTCTGACTTGGATATAAATAGAAAAACTGCTAATCCTAAAAAGGTTTTTTTTTTTAAAATGCTTGTTTTAAGGGCATATTTTCTCTTTAATGCTTTTTTTCTATTAAAAAACCCTTATGTATCTGTTTTACCAACCGGTAAAGCAAACCAAAAAATACAGAAAAACCAAACATCAGAAGAAAAAAATAATCTCACGCTTTATGATGTTAAACCATCAGTCAAGAATACATGCGATTTTAAAAACAGTGAATGTACTTAAAGCTATGAATAGTTATGAAAAATAGTGATTGAAATATTACTATGGGCTTAGAAAAAAAACTATGAAAAATAGTGGTTGAAAAACTAGTATTATTCAAAAAGCAAAACAGCTAATACCATGTTGGAAGATATGTGAAACAAGCAGAAGTCTCACATGCTGCTGGTGATGATATAAAGAGGTACAACCATTCTGGAAAACTATTTGGAAGTATACACTAAAGCTGGACATAGGCATACCCCATGACCCACAATTCTAGAAACACGTGTTTTCCAAAAGACAGGCACTAGAATCTTAATGGCAGTGCTATTTGTAATAGCCCCAAAGTGAGAAACTGTTTAAATGACCATGAAATGTATAGTGGCCAAATAAATGGTTGTCTATTCACACAATGGAATATTATGAGCAAGAGAATGAATAATCTACAACTTTAAGCAACAATGCAAATGCATCTCACAGACATAATTTGAATACAAACTCCAGACATAAAAGGGTGTGTAGTATTTAATTTTATTTGTGTAAAACAGGAAAATCTAGCTATGTTAGAAGTTAGGATAGTGATTACCTGAGAAAGGCAGTAACTAGAATAAAAGGCAATAGGCCTGCCCTGAACTGAGATGCAGGTTCTATTTCTTGATCTGGTACTGGTTACATGGATGTTTGTAAAAATGTATTGAGCTATAAACATAAGTTATGTGTACTTTTCGGTGGCATATTTCACTCTGGTAAAAAGATAAACGACCGGGTGCTGTGGATCATGCTTGTAATCCCAGCACTTTAGGAGGCTGAGACAGGCAGATCATGAGGTCAGGAGATCAAGACAATCCTGGCTAACACAGTGAAACCCCATCTCTACTAAAAACACAAAAAATTAGCTGGGCGTGGTGGCGGGCACCTGTAGTCTCAGCTACTCAGGAGGCTGAGGCAGGAGAACGGTGTGAACCCGGGAAGCGGATCTTGCAGTGAGCCGAGATCGCGCCACTGCACTCCAGCCTGGGCGACAGAGCAAGACTCACTCCGTCTCAACAACAAAAAAAAAAAGATAAACGAATAAAAAATCTAGCCCCTAAACAGAGTGTTTCCAGCTTCAAAACTGAAAATTATCTCTAGGTGTTTCCTGAGACATTCAGAGACTGATTTCTGTTTTGTATTAGTTGCTTTTTTTTTCTTTCTTTTTACACAACATTAGGCTTGTCCTGCTGCGGTATAATGTTCTATATTTGTTATTGTCTAATGAACTCTTTCTATCCTTAAGTTATTTTAAGTGCTCATCAAGCACCAACTAGTAAGAGCCTGAAGACCAGTCTGTGTAACAGACCATTTTTAAGTAGTGCCATAGCTGTCCTTGCTGCAAAAGCTCTCCTATCTCCAGTCACTATACGAAGACAAAGAAATAACAATACAGAAATTATCGCTGTATCAAATGCAGCTAAGTCAAATCCAGAGAGTTTAAATATACAAACAAATAACTGGATCTTTGTAATTGGTGCTGACAAGATATTTCAGCAAGCAGAGGAAGAATTCTAAAAATTTATAGTTTTTCGAAGTGAAATTTAAAGAATTTAACAGTTAATAAATTATTCTGCAAAATGAAAGGGATCTGCAATTGGGCATCAACTGTGTATTTCAGTAAAACTATAGGTTTATAAACACATTTTTAAAAATAAGCATACTTCTGGGGGTTTTCTCCTCTTCTTCCTCCTCACCTTCCAAAACATTAGGGCTTTTCTGCTATCTTCTTTTTTGCCTATTTTCGTATCTCACAGCTCACTTAGATGATGTAAACTTGCAACATAAAATCAGGAAGAATATGTGAGTAGCACTGACTTCATTAAAATGTATTTGCCATGAAAATTACAGGTTAGAAATTGGAGAAATAAAGAGAGGATTATAATTTCCAACTTTATAGTCTTTTAGGAAAATGAGAATGATTGCTTTTTCTTCAGTAGTGGTGTGTGCTAGCTGCTAAATTAAATTTAAATAAACTTAAATATTGCTAACACTGAAAATGTCTAAATAAAACTTTATAATATTAATAAGTTAAAATAAATAGCGCACATCACTACATGAGGAAGAATACATTTATAGTAGCATCCTTCTAATATGCAAGATTAAACTGTCTGGTAGGTTAGACTATCCAATAATTTAATAACATTGTGTTTTTAGGTTTTAGATCATGAAAAGAGAGTTCGTGATCATGAAAATATAAATGGGTTAACCCATTTATACCTAGTGTTCCATTATTGGAACACTAAGCCTGTGGGAGTTATTTATATCCTACTGCTCAAGGTCATCACCAAGGTCTGATTGCAAAAATTTAAAAAATTGCAACCTCAGGCCTAAATGGGATAGCCAAGTGCCTTAAATTTGCCTTCAGCTAATGATGGGTTCATGGCAAGACCTTGCACTTGGGATGTTACTTTTGAAATTAAAAAAATGTGATCAAGGAAAAAATATAAAAAGAAGACAAGAAAAACTTCTTTAAAAACATGATAACAATAAATAATCTGGATCAAAGTATGATTTAGATGAGAGGTTGTCTACTAAATCATCAGTGAACAAATATTCCATATTCAATTATACTTTTTATAGTATGTTGTTATTATTGTTGTACTTTTAGTAGTGAATTATGCTTCAATAGTTTGAATAGTTGTATCCACAAAAATAATTACCAAGGTATATGCAAGAACTTATGTACAATTATATTCCTCATGGTATCATTTTAACAAAATAGAAAAAGCTTTAAAGACTGCTTTCTAAAACTATTTGCATAAGAATTGGGTTAACAGTGTTGAAATTGAGTATTGTCCCAATTCTCTGAATAACCCGTATATCCTCTCTCTACCTCTATCTCTCATACACACACACGTTAAAACCACCTATAGCCAAAGACTGAGATGAATCTAAATCAAGTTTTTAATAAGAATTAACTATGAATGATGAAATTACAAATAGTTGTTTCAATATTCTGAGATTTTCTGAAATGCTTTTTTTGCCTTCTGTGAATATGTATTCCTTTTGTAATCAGAAAAATATTTTTTAGATGTTTACTCCTTTAAGTCTTTGTTTTAATGGTGTCTTATAGTTTTTCCCTAGTATATTGCCTAAAATTGTGAATCCTCTTCCCAATCTACAGACTTTAAATTTCCCTTCTCTGCTTTATTTTTTTCAGTACTTAATACTATCTAACAAACATATTATACATTATATTTATTTATTGTATTTATTGTTTGTTATCCCTTATATATATAAAATATATACAAATATAATGTATAATATATGTTATTAAGTACTGAAAAACATATATATATGTTTTGAAGGCCAGAATTATTTCCTGTTTTATTCATTGGATATCCCTAACACCTAAAATGAGCCCTAGTATATAGCATGAGCTCAATAAGTATTTATTAGTTGAATAAAGGAATTACTTTTCTATATATATATATCTCTCTGACATATGTATAATAATAAGCCTACTTCTTATGCTAAGCAATGGACATTGTAAAGGAATTAAGGTCTCATCCTCATGAAGGAGAGATTAAAAATTCAATGTTTGCAGTGAAATTATCAAGATCAAATGAAATATTGAACATGTCTTTTCCTTGTGAATTTAATACCATCTAGAAATGTCAATTCCTCTGATAAGGACTTTTATATTATAGCTTTTACTAATGTTGAGAACCGAGTATGTTCCCGTACCATGGTGTGAGGGTATTTAACTTTTGGAGAAAGGCAAAATACTCAGAGTAGAGAGAGCTGAGTGATCTTTGTGGAGAATACAAACATATTTTTGATGCTGTGGAAACTCAATTCTAAGAAAATTTGGCTTTCCAATGTTTGGACAATTCTTCAATTCCCAGTTATAATTGTATGGAGACTAAAAGGGTGGCAGCCTTGTAGCAGCTTCTACAAAGCCTGGCTGGTACCCCAGATACTGTTGAGTTCCATTTGAAACCTGGCAGGAAAATTAAACTCCAGTTCTTTCATCCCTTTCTCCTGCTGCTTGTTTGCTTTGGAGCTTTGAACCACACTCCTTAATAAGTGTTAACAAGAACTTTGAAAAGGAACAAGTAGCAAAGAGAAAAACAACAAGAGTAAAGAAGAAAAGTAAAACAAAAAGGAGAAACAGAATGGAAAGCAAAACAGAAAGGAGCAATTCCAAAATCTTTGAAGTGATTACACTTGATATGGTTGTATATGACAATCTGGTTCATTACCAAAACATGGAAATGGCATCCTCCAAAATTTTATCATTTCCTTTAAACTAAATTTCTCCAATGTGCAAGTTACTGAAAGTGAAGTCACATCATAACCAAATTGTAATAAACCAGATTTAACTACTGAATAGTAGATTTATCCTGGTTGTTAGTATCATTGAAATGACTGGACTGCCAACATCATCATCTTTATTTTCTTAAAAACTAGACTTGATGTTTGAATAACCTGATGTTAGTGATTAAAAAATTAAAAGCAGCAAAAAACTCAATTTGTTTTATGTGGATATCATTTGAATGAACAGTTACTAGAAAACACATGTCCTTAGTTTATTAAAATACTGCTTAGTATCCTAAATAATGATTTACTAAAAAGTTGTTACATGACCTTAAAGAGGGTAAACAATTATATAACGAACTAAATTAATTCTAGTGCATAATTTGTGCGCCAGACACCAACAGTTAAAATAGGGCTAAAAAGATGATTTAAAAGTCATTTACTTCTAACTTTTTATTTATTTATTTTTAATTGACATACAATAACTACATATTTATGAAGTACATAGTAAAGTCTTGATATGTATAATGTATAGTGATCAGATCACGGTAATTAGTATATCCATCATCTAAAACATTTATCATTTCTTTGTGTTGGGAATATTCAATATCTTCCTTCTAGCTATCTAAAACTATAATTAATGTTAACCATAGTCATCTTACAGTGGTACAGCTCGTTAGAACATATTCCTCCTATCTACCTGTAATTTTGTATCCTTTGACATGTCTAATTGGTTAATCAATTAAAATAATATTTATTGATCATCTCCAAACACAATTCTAGAGCCTGGGATGTACATCAATCAACTGCTTAGTGGAAGAGTTTTACATAATACACAACCCTGAATCCAAGTGAGTCAGAAGAGCATTTATGTCTTGCTCATGGATCTGTGAGCTGTCTGTAGGTCTGCTGAGCTTCTCTGGGTTAGGTTGGGTTTGGATGGGTACAATTCAGGCACTGGGTATAATTCAGATCTGCTGTACCTGTTTATTACCCTAAGAACATGGCCCAAGAAACAGAGACTGCCTTGGACATGCTCTTTTCATGGAGGAAAGCCTGTATTTAAAAGTGGCACACTGTCATTTCTTCCCACATTCCATTCACCAGAACAAGTCTCAGAGCCCAAGCCAACATATGAGGAGCAGTAAAGTGTACTCTTCCCGGGGGAAGGAGCAGGACATATTTGCTGAACAATAATTTTTTTGTTTTTTGAGACAGAGTCTCGCTCTGTCACCCAGACTGGAGTGCAGTGGCGTGATCTCGGCTCCCTGCAAGCTCCGCCTCCTGGGTTCACACGGTTCTCCTGCCTCAGCCTTCCGAGTAGCTTGGACTACAGGCGCCCACGACCACGCCCAGCTAATTTTTTGTATTTTTAGTAGAGACGGGGTTTCACCGTGTTAGCCAGGATGGTCTCGATCTCCTGACCTCGTGATCTGCCCACCTTGGCTTCCCAAAGTGCTGGGTTTACAAGCATGGGCCACCAATAATTTTTTTAAAAAAATCTATCAAGGGCCAGGCACGGTGGCCTGGGCAACAGAGCAAGACTCCGTCTCAAAAAAAAAAAAAAAAAAAAAAAAACAAACAAACAAACAAAAAACTATCAAAAGTATAGTAATGAACGAAACAGAAAAATATACTTGCACTTGGGAGAGAAAAATAATAGTAAAATAATAAAATAAAAATGCATAGATGTATATTAGAACACAAAATTTTAAATAAAGTGCTGAGTATAGCACTCATTGAAAAGGTGAGCTTTGAGTAAAGACTTAATTGTAATGATGGATTTAGCTGTGAGAATATTAGTAAGAAAATTATTTCAGGGTGAAGGACTAATCTTTGCTAAAGACCTCAACTGAGGATGTGCCTAGCATGTCAGAGATAGAACAAGGAGCAACAGTGGCTGGAATGACCTGAACGACAAGTACTGGGTGAAGTCAGAGACGTAATGGAGAAAGGAGCCCGAGGCACCGATTATGAGTCCCTCAAGGACATAGTAAGGACTTTTTGACTTTCACTCTGAGTGAATTAGGAAGCCACTGAGGTAGAGAACTTAGGCTTAAAGATACATAATTTAGAATTATCAGTGCCTAAATGGCATTTAAACTCATGGGAGAAGACAAAATCACCAAGGAGCTAGTGTACATCATGAAAACTGAAGAAGACTAAGGACACGGTAGTAGTGTCCCCAATATTCACAAAAAATGATTGTCTTGTAGGATGTTCCCTTCACTCGTGCCTACTCAACAAGAATTAAAACATTGCAAATTCTAAGTGGTTTTCCCATCAATTCACTCTTCTAATTCAGGAAATGTCTGCCTAGCTGCACAATCTATCTATTATAGCGAATTAGCTCTTGTCCATTCTGATTAGTAGAACTGTGCTTATTGGCTCCTAAGCAACTTCAACCTCACCCTGATCTGGGCATTCCTATCAATGTCTATTGGGCCTCTCTTTTTATGGTACCAATATACAAAAAAGTGATAAGTATTTTTGGAAGAACAATAGATGCGTACTCTCTTTTTTAGAATTATTAATATTTTCTGAATGCTTTAATTTTATAAGAGTAAAAGAGATTCTCCTTTTAGAATATGGCTTTTTATCTTAGGCAGATTTTGTAAAACACTCAAAATAATATTAGTTACTACCCATGAAAATAACTAATATGTAGATTCAATTCTTCTATCTGCATTTTCTTTCACTATTTAAAATAAAACTTTTAACAGCTTTATTAGCTATGATTTTAAAATCATTCCTGTTTTAGCCTTAAGTGGTCAGCTTATCCAGTATACACTATTTAGGTACCTGAAGGCCTTAAACTGTCCCTTAATTTTCTTTTTTATGACAATATGTAATTATGTAAGGGGAGATTCATTTCTGAGATGCCCCCTTATATTCTAGGTAAATTTACTCTTCATCAGTCCATGGAATCCCTCCTAAATTCATTAATTCTACAAAGCATGCCCCAAAGCTCATCTCTCTTGCTATTGTTATGAGCATAGTTTCCTCCTTTCAAGGTTTATATCATTTTTCATTTCATTAACCAGATAATTCTCTATTTTTAATAATAATAAAGTAAAAAAATACTTTTTTTTTTTTTTCTGCTGACACCCGGCACTTTATTAGTGGGGAAACTCGCCTTGGTTTGGCAGAGACTGGGATGGACAGGACCAGCGCCCATCTCGAGGGGGTATTTTCTGCAAGATCAGGTGTTCCTCCTTGCAGGTTTAGAGGAAACACCCTCATAGATGAAAACCCCCCAGAGAGCAGCGCTGCAACTGCCAAGCAGTCGGGGTAGGAGGGGCGCCCTAGGCACATCTGGGCCCTTGAGACAGCAGGGCTTCGATGTCAGGCTCGATGTCAATGGTCTGGAAGCGGCAGCTATACCTGCATACAGGCACACCGTCAGGGCCCACCAGGAACTTCTCAAAGAAGTTCCAGGCAACATCGTTGCGACACACCGGAGACCAGGTGATGAGCTTGGGGTCGGTCATGAGCTCAGTGGCGTCGTCCCTGGGGGCTGGCCGGCGTCCCGCAGAAAGGCGGAGAGAGGGTGCGCCCCCGCACCGTTCACCTCGCACTTCTCCAAGAGCATGAAGCTGGGCTCGAACCCACCACCAGGTTGGACGTACTTGAGGGAATTCAGAATCTCTTCGTTCTTGGCGTTCTCCTGATGCCCAGACTGGTTGCACGGGAAGCCAAGCACCACCAGGCCCCGGGGCCGAGGCGCCGCTGCGGCTCGTTCATCTGGGTGTAGTCCCGGACCGTGGTGCCTCCGAGGGACGCCACATTCTCGATAAGTAGTCCCTTGCCCCGCAGGGAGCCCAGGCTCACAGGCTCCCCGCCGGCCAGCGGGCGCGCGCGGAAAAGGCTTACACCGACTGGGCAGCCGCCGCCGCTAGCCCAGCAGCACACAGGGCGCAACTGTCCGAGAAGCTAGGGGAGCGCCCCGAACAAACACTGTCAAAAAAAATACTTTGAATAACAAAAATAATAGTAATAGCATTTATTAAAATCTTGTTGTATCCTAGAATTATCCTAAGTGCTTTATGTTTAACTCCATTAATCGTCACAAAGTATTTTCATTTTAGGAGTGAACTAATCACAGAGAGATGAGAAACTTTCTCATGGTTAATTAACTCAAATGAATTAGGTAAACAACTAGTAGGTGGCCATTCTGAGATATCATTTTAGGCAACCCACTTTAGAGGGTGTACTCTTTACCATTAAGTAATTTTCTTTGGTGTTTCCACAATATCCAGAGAGAGAAAGGTGCCACTAGATTGCTTAAACATTTACTGGATGCTCTCTTCATAGTCTAACACATTCCAGCATTCATTTAATCATCATCCATCCATATTTATTCATCATCTACTAATGACAAACATAATTCGTGGTACTCGTGATTCAATGATGGGTTAAACAGAATTATCTTACCTTCTTGGAGATTACGCTTTACATTTACAGTGGCTATTTAGAAGAGCGGTCACTGTTCTAAGTACTAGATATCTCGTTTAATCCTTACCAGCAAACTTACAAGGTAATAGATACAATTATCTTCACTTACAGTGAAAAGAGCAATACTCGGCTATATGAAGCGCCTTGCTCAAAATTTCAGAGTTGCTCTATCATATGTCAGTTAATACATTTGATTTCATTCAACATTCAGCTAATATTAATTGATCACATTTTGTTTTCAAGGCACAATTATAATCACCCTGTGCTACTACACAGTATTATGGTAGAATAGAAAGAGATATTACTGAGTCTGCAGATCTGAGAGTACTTAACAATGAACCTGATGGGAGTTTAACAGGTGAATTTAATTCCAGCACAGAGGGGACAGTCCGCTAGAAGTATATTTAATTCAAAAAAAAAAAAAAAAAAAAGGCGGGGGAAACAGATGTAGTTGCATGAAAGAAAATAAAGTGTAATAAAAATAGTGTGGTTGGGGCATAAGGTGACTTTGAGGTGACAGAAGGGTACAAGTAGATAAAGGTCAAAAGACAGTTTGACTGTGAGGCTATGATCCGGAATTTGGACTTGTCCTGTTAATAACAGGTTCATCTCTGAATGCTTGAAAGCAGAGGCATTATCCCAGTATCTGTGGACTTAGCAAGATAGCTCTGACAGTGTTATCAAAAATTACAAAATTTTATATGAGAATTCATAAAATGAAGTCTACGTCTCTTTAAAATATTAATTTGTGAGGGTTTTTTTGTGGGGGAGGTGTTCTCTCCTACTCTGAAAGTTCAAAAGTATTCTAATCTGTATCATAGCCTTGAATATATCAGTCAGTGCGACAGAACTGAGTATACGCGTTCAGGAATTTTTTGTAGTTACTCATTTATCCTGGTATTTATAACACTCATTAAATTTGAACCCAGCTCTTTTTGCAAATTCTAGTAGCTATACAATCGTAAATACAAGCATGTGAGGTTCCAGTGGTGATTTGCTTTTCAAGACATTTGAAAACTGCTTTTTATTTTTTTAAATTTTACCATGGTACATTATACAGCAGTAACTAAACATAGATCTGAAACTGGCACACAGAGGAAACTCTAAAAATAAATCTGTACCTGAGATAAGAAAGTGCTCTGGGTCTCTGCAAACACTCTCACTTTAGAGAGTGTAGTCTTAATCACCTTCAAGGTAAAAGAGATATAATAAAGTACCCAACCGTCTTCTAATAAAAACAAATATTTATATTCTATAGTACCTGAAACTGTATTAAATACCATTTTATGCATTACTTTGTATATGGCAACATATTTTAGCAATATTAAAGAATATAACATGAGCGATATGATTACTTAAACAGCATTTTCTTTAAAAACCATTTGTAAAATGAAATTGATTTTGAAGTTATCAAATAAAGAATTCTCATTTTTGAATGAGAAACTGAAGCCTCTTGAAGTAAAAACTCCCTTAAATTCACAAGTGCACTCGGATTTTCTGCATCCAACTTCACCACCCTTGCAGGCACATGACAACTTGTGAAACAGGCAGGCCCCAGGATGAAAGTCTCGAATTCATAGACAAATCTGAGAATCCTACAAATCCACTAGTTTTCTCAAGGTCAAGCGGTTAATGAGTGGCTCTACCATGAGTTTGTTTTGATGCCTGAAAGGGAGTAGTATTATCGTAAAATAACTGCATATTTTATCAAGAACTTTATAAAAAAGATATTATGATTCACAACTGGATTTTATGGAATAATTTTGGTTTTCAACAAATACCATGTTTACCAATATGTGGTAATATTTAAAAGGCAGAACCCTGGCATGGCCAGCTGAAGTCTGCAGGGCCTCCATTGGCTTTTGCTTGACCTTTTCCTTTACATATTCTATAATGTGACTCAGATAAGGCACAAAGAAATAATAAAATCCGGGTCAAATCAGATATTCCAAAAACTAAATAATTTTTGTCAACTAAGCATTTTTTGTAGTGACTTACCTTAATAAAATATTTTAGTTTTTCTATCTTAGTACATGTATCCAAGATAAAAAACACAATTTAAGTTTTCTTTTAAGATCAGAGGACTTCATTGGTCTAAGGTTATTTTTATTTTTTCCTTTCTATAATACTTTCAAGTATCACAGTTGGAGAGATGCTATCTATTGGGCTGGAGAGTGTGATGTGTCCATTTCATACTATTGGCAATGGAACTGATTTTTGATTGATAATTTTGGTACATAATTTTCAATTCCGTGTTGTATTCTGAAAGACACATTCTCTGAAACATCTTATATATAATCTGTATTTATATATGCCAAGAGTAAGGTTGTTTTATTAATTTTTTTTATTTTTTTATTTTTGAGACAGAGTCTCGCTCTGTCGCCGAGGCTGGAGCGCAGTGGCATAATCTCGGCTCACTGTAACCGCCTCCTCCTGGGTTCACACCATTCTCTTGCCTCAGCCTCCAGAGTAGTTGGGACTACAGGCGCCCGCCACCATGCCCGTCTATTTTTTTTTTTGTATTTGTAGTGGAGACGGGGTTTCACTGTGTTAGCCAGGATGGTCTCGATCTCCTGACCTTGTGATCCGCCTGCCTCGGCCTCCCAAAGTGAAGTTAAAAATAATTAGAAAACATACAATGTTTTCTGATGAAGTAGGAACGGTTAACTAACTTTTCACTATATTGCCAATAAAAATCCTATACTTCTTGGTGGCTTAAGCATTTCATCAGTTTTTTAGAGTTAAAGTATTTGGAACATAATTTTAGTGGTAGAATTTCTTTCTATAACTTTTGAATCATAGATTAACAAATACCTACCAAGAACTGAGAAGAAAAATGAGGAAATGTAATTCTAAACTATTTTACTCATTACTAATATTTTTTAATAATATGTAAACAGGTAACAATATAACTTGAACTATATAATTGTTTGAAAATATTTTTCTTATGCTTTAATTTCAATTTATTTTGCAGACTTTTTACTGGGTGTCTAGTAAGTTCTAGATGTTGTAATAGGTAGCAAAGACAAGACATAAGTAAGACATGCCCTTTTCCATTAAAAAGACTATTAGAGGAGACAGTTAAATCACTATCATCTGTACCATAGAATTTGTTAAGTTCATGATTGGGGTGAACAAGTTCTAGAATAGCACTATACGATAGGATACCAATGCCAGGAGAGCCACAAATATGAGCCACATATGTAATTTAAAATTTTCTACTAGTCACATTGAACAGATAAGAATTAACAGAGGAAATTGACTTTAGTGATATATTTCATTTAAGGAATAGATAAAAAATATTTTCATTGCTATATGTAACTAATATAAAAATGATCAATGAGACTGATATGGTTTAGCTGTGTCCCCACCCAAATCCCAATTTGAATTTTAACTCCCACAATTCCCATGTGTCATAGGGGGGAACCAGTAGGAGGTAACTGAATCATGGGGGCAGGTCTTTCTTGTGCTATTCTCATGATAGTGAATATGTCTCATGAGATCTGATGGTTTTGAAAAGAGGAGTTACCCTGCATAAGTTCTCTCTCTCTCTCTCTCTCTCTCTCTCTCTCTCTCTTTGCCTGCTGCCATCCATGTAGTATATGACTTGCTCCTCCCTTGCCTTCTGCCATGACTGTGAGGCTTCCCCGCCCATGTGGAACTGTAAGTCCATCAAACCTCTTTCTTTTGTAAATTGTCCAGTCTCAGGTATGTCTTTATCAGCAGCATGAAAACAAACTAATACAGAGATGTTTTACATTCTGTTTCTCTATTGAGTCTTTGAAATTCAGCATACATTTTTCACTTATAGCATAGTCTCAATTTGGGCCACCCACAGTTCAAGTGCTCCATGACCACATGTAGCTAGTAGCTACTGTATTGGACAATGAGGTCTAGATCAACAAAAGGGCTGATTACTAGCACTTGAAAAAAATCAAAGAAGCCTCTCTGAGGCAGGGACTCCTGAACCAAGACAGGGAATGTGCAAAGCTTTGAGAAGTGTAGTGTGAGGAGCCTCAAGTCATACAGTGATATGGTTTGGCTATGTCCTTACCCAAATCTCATCTTGAATTGTAGCTCCCATAATCCCCAAGTGTTGTGGGAAGGACAAAGTGAGAGGTAATTGAATCATGGGGGTGGGTTTTCCCATGCTGTTCTTGTGATAGTGAGTAAGTCTTATGAGATCGGATGGTTTTTTCGAGGGAAGTTCCCCTGCACATGCTGTCTTGCTTGCTGCCATGTAAGACATGACTTTGCTCCTCCTTTGCCTTCCACTATGATTCTGAGGCCTCCCCAGCCATGTGGAACTATGAGTCCATTAAACCTCTTTTTCTTTATAAATTATACAGTCTCAGGTATTTCTTCACAGCAGTATGAAAATGGATTAATACATACAATATGCCTAGAGTGAAGGAACAGGAGAGGAGGGGGAGACCAGCAGGAAACAGACTTGAGAGAACTTCATTACTACTCTGCACCTATATAGCCACTGTCCAATAATTTCTCAGCCCTGTAACAGACCTATGGCACTAAATCTCAACAACCTGGTCCTATTAGGAAAGAAAAAAGTTTAATTAAATTCCTTCTTTGTGTCAGGAAAAAAAAATCATTGAGTAAATGTCACTCTTAAGCAAAAATGCCATATGTTTTCATTTTGAGGCTGTTGTGGAAACCATCAGCCCAGTCCCTTTTCTTCCTAGCTGTTTCTTACTTTGAAAGGCAAATTTGCAAATAACTGGGAAACCTAAAGGATTAGCTCATGTTTTTCTTGGCCTCCTGAGATTTTGCTTTTCAGATGCCCATACTACATGCTTGAATTCCGTGCTGGCAGAAGATGGTAAAATATTTGGATTCATTTGGAGGAATGGAAGAAAAACTGTTGAGAATATTGGATGCCTTTAGTTTCTTTTACATGACATTCTTTCACACAAACGTTAGGACAAGCAACTCCTAATTGCTTAACACACAGTATTTACTTAAATATAGACTACTGGGAAGGGACAGAGTGCCCCAGAGAGAAATCATTCATTTTTCCGTGGAATACCTACCCTTTGTATACTTATCCAATTGAAGAAGTACATAGCAATAGTCCATGATCCCTAGAAATTTTGCCCAGCAACTTGCACCCAGGAATATTGCTAAGTTTGTTTTGTAAGTATTTAGTTTGGTTTTGTTTTCTTTTAATTTTTCAAATAGAAAAGAGGTATGAGACCAAGTAACTTTTCCTACTTTTTTGTTAAAAAAAAAAAACCATAATTTTTCCCATCAAATGAATTTGAGAGAATGTCACGTGAAAAATAACTACGTTTCCTTTGCTTATCTTGTTTTAAGCTCTTCTTTTCATATTTGCAATGCAAGTGTGTACTATATACAATATATATTTTATATATGTGTAAATTTGTGAAGCTAAGTACACATTTACTTTTCTTCTTCTATTTTTATTCTTAAAGTGAGTTTCTTCAACACTCCATTTTTACAACAATTTCTCTCTTAGCATTTATCCTCTGTTTCTCTCAAACCACACCTAACAGATGTGGCCAACTCTTATATGGAGTTTGTTTCCTTTTGCTTCTGTACAAAATCACCACAAACATAGTGTTTTTAAAAAAACACCAATTTATTATCTTGCTGGTCTGGAGGTCAGATGTCCTAAAACCAAGTAGTCTCCAAGGGCTGTGTTTCTGCTGGATGCTCTACCAGAGATTTCTTTCCCTTGCCTCTTCCACCTTTTGGAGCCCAACTGCTTGTGGCCAAGTCTTGTATCTTCAAGGCCAGGGGTACAGCATCTTTCAATCTCTCTATCACATCTGCTTCTCTTTTCATAGCTCCTCTCACTGGCTCCTGTCTTTCCCGGTAAAGACCCTTGCAAGGACATTTTTCTTCCTGGATAATACCAGATAATCTTCCCATGCTGTGATCTACAAATTAATCGCCCCTGCAAATTTCCTTTTTTTCATGTACAGTAGTATATTCACAGGTTGTGGAAATCTTTGGGAAGGAGGAAATTATTCTTCCTATCGGTGTTGACTCTCAGCCTCTATCTCTAGTCTCCTTTAATTTCCCAACTGCCTGTGTGTGCACACGCACATCAAACACAACAGGCTCAAAGACGAATGCCTCTCCCACAAAACTGATTGCTTTGATTCCATTGCTACGTCACGGATACACCACCTAAGTAAAGAGTTATCAAGCTAGAGAAGGATTGTCCTAAACAGGGCATTTTCATCCCCACTTGCACTAAAGCTAAAACCTTTCTTTAATGTACCTCTTAAAAACTTTAAACTGTATATTCTCTACTTTATTTCTACTATGAATACCTTTTTCCTGGTTTAGGTATGGTTTATTCTCATTTGAACTGCTACAATAGCCTGTGCTCTCTGTCTCCAAACCTGCTCCCTTAAAAATTTGTATTCTCTATGGCTTGATCTAAAATGCAAATTTGATATTTTCCTAGTGTCAAGTCTTTTAATATCTCTTCACTGCCTATATCATACACATTACTTTCCATTGTACACGAAGCCCTCCCTGATCTTGTCTCTAATTATTTTTCAACCTTATGTTTTAGGCCTTGCAGGACTTCCACATTGCAGGACTCATTTTCCTGCTTGTGATTCACTTTGCACTTGCACTCACTATGTTCCTTGATCTGTGTTTCTCCCATTGTAAATCTGGTCATGCCTTGGTAATAATATCTTTGCACTGTGTTGTAATTATCTGTGTATGTGTTTTTCTAAACTGTAAGCTTTTAGAAGACATTTCTTATTTGGTTTTACATCCCCATCATTTGGCCACGTCCTTAGCACAATGTATATTTGTAGTAATAAACACTGTTCTTTGGGTTTTGTAAATTCATGAGCAGAAGGCATTTAACCCTTTTAAATTATAAAGGTGGATTAATTTAAATATTCTTGGAGGTTGAATAATTTGTGAGACTTTTGGTTTCATGTATTCTGTTTGGGAGATGCAGGAAAGTTGAAGGAAAGTATAGAATTTTGTAATAAAGCAAGAATTTATCCTGGCCACCTGTAGAAAGCATGTGAGCTTTTGGCGAAAGAAATATGTAAACATACATTAAATACAATATGCTTATCTACAACTTCCCTGCGCATGAAATGTAGGTCATGTTGGTTTCTCTGTCTCTGACTCTCTTTCTCTCTTAAACACACACACACACACATACACACAAAACACTATGCTTGACAGACATCATAAGTCACTTTTCCCATCAATGGCTTGTTTCGGGGTGGTTTCAGGGATAGGACTGTTTTTAAAAGATCCTTTTACACTCTTTTTCACCCTTTCTTCTGCCTCACCCTGGATTTAACCTAACCACAACCTAAACAGTTTTCAATGGCAGCTCTGCTTCCATCCATCACATATGCTGCTTTTTTTTTTCTTTTTGAAGTGTTAATTTGGCATATGAGATTTAAACACAACTAGTTCATTTTGAGGAGTCTGAAATGTCCTACTAACTTTCACTGGTTACATTTTGGTAGAGAACCCACACAAGTTCTGAAGCAATTATCCCTGAAATTTAGTTTTGTTCAAGGTTGCTTAACATAGAGAGTAAAGAAGAAAAGATTAGTCACTGATTGAAATCGTATGAAATAATTTTTATCTCAAGCAGTTCCTGCTCTTTGTATATATATGTGTATGTGTGGGTACAATCTTGCTGTGTGTATATTTGTTTATACCCAGAACACACATGAGAATGTTCTAAAGACAAAAAAGACGTTGGAATGCCTTTCCTAAAATTCAGTATTTGCACTAATATCACTGCATGCACTAAAATAAGATCTATCCTATGGAAAGTTCTTTACTGCAAATGGCTACTGTGAAAACAGTGAACATTTGTATTCCCTTAGCTACCCAGTAGATCGACTTTCTATCTTGGGAAGATAAGTATGCACCATCCTTTACCCAGGGCTGCCAAGATGTGGCCATGTGTCCCTGTGTCTGCCAATCAGATACCCCACTCAGGACTTGAGAAAGTGGCACAAAAATACAAAGACAGACAAATCGCTTGAGAAAGGGGCAGCCAAGATCCCAAAGTGCTAGAGAGAGTTTCCAGTGATTGGGATTTTCTAAGCAGATAGTTTTTAAGGGAAAATCATGGCTATGTTCCCAAACACTCATCTCTCTTCATTTCTGTCATATTCTGAACCTAGTGCTACAGACTTTCATTCATTTCTGGAGCCATCAGATTGCCTTCTTGCAAACAGCCTCTACCTATTAATTTACTAGAATTGACTTGTGTCATTTGCAGTGAAGAACACTGACTAATTTGGTTAGGAGTTGGTGAGAAAAGAATACTGAGAAGAGAGGTGTCTTAGGAAAAGTTACCTCAGAAGCAAACTTCAAGGCAAGAATATGAGTAGCAGTGGTTTATTTGTAAGGTGACTTCAGTAATCATTGATAGGGAAGTGGGCAGGTGAGGCAGAAGGAAAGGATGTCATGAACAGTCTGCGGGTGAGGGTAACATAATTAATTCTGTTGGAGAAGAGCACCTGATGGGTACACAAGCTGATGTATTTATCCTCAAAGATCCATTTTTCATGGGCTGAGAATACTTCCTGGAGATGTTAGTTCCCCAGTGTTTCCATTCCATCTAGTGCACAGATTGAGGCAAGACTCCTGGCCTGAGAGCCACAAATGCTTGCAGTAGGACACTTTCTGCCCATGAGGTAAGAGTGAGTAATAAAGGCTTGTACAGAGAGCACTAACACTGTGGTGGCTATTGTGATGTTTCAACTTGCCTTTTTATACAATCAAACACAAATACAGGTGTTGCTGTGAAGGAATTCTGTAGTTGTAATAAAGATCCTAATGCATTGTCTTTAAGCAAGAGGGATTATTCTGGATAATGTGAGTGGGCCTAAGTGAATGAGTTGCAAAGCCTTAAAAGCAGGGTTGATGTTTCTAAGAGAGAGAGAGAGAGAGATAGAGTAATTGAAAGAGAAAGAAAAAGAAGAAATTTCTCTTGAGGACAATTTCAACCTGTTCTCAGGGAGTTCCATCCTGTTTGTGATCTTGCTTTCTTGTGGATGATAGCTTCAACCATAGCCACAGGTTCAAAACTGTGCCTTCCTGAATGTCTGCTCTATGGATTTAGGACTTTATTCCAGTCCCCACAACCATGCCATCCATCTATCTATCTATCTAATCTATCTATCTATCTATCATCTATCCATCTATCCATCTATCTATCTATCATCTATCATCTGTCCATCCATCCATCTATCAAGAGAGATATAATTCTAATACCTGTACAATCTTAAATGTTCTGCACCTCCGGTTGAACTCTGACTGGTGTAGATAATTTTGGTATTTGGAAGTAGGTGCTGCCATAACAAACACACACAAATATGGAGTTGGCTTTGAAACCAAGTGGATGGAGGCTGGAAGAAGTCTGAGAAAAATTTTGAAAGATCTGATGATAGAGAATGCCTAAATTGTCTTCAACCGATTGTGAGTCAAAATATGAACTTTATGAGCCTTTCTGGTAAGGGCTCAGAATGAAGTGAGGGGCATGTTATTGGAAACAGGAAGAATGGAGATGCTTGTTAGGTAATGGCAGAAAATGTAGTGGAATTGTCTCCTGTGAGAATAGTGGAAAATAGAATTTCCTCTGGCTGGTAGCAGAAGCGATTCAAGGTACTGGAAAGATTTGATGCACTATTGCTGATTCAAAGATGGAGAGGCCCATATACAAGAACCAGAGAGTAGTAGCTTTGCATTAGTTTTCTAGGGCTGCCATAAAAAATGACAGACTGGCCAGGTGTGGTGGCTCACGCCTGTAATCCCAGCACTTTGGGAGGCTGAGGCAGGTGGATCACTTCAGGTCAGGAGTTCGAGACCAACCTGGCCAAGATGATGAAACCCTGTCTCTACTAAAAATACAAAAGTTAGCCAAGCAAGGTGGTGAGTGCCTGTAATCCCAGCTACTCAGGAGGCTAAGGCAGGAGAATCACTTGAACCCAAGAGGCAGAGTTTGCAGTGAGCCAAGATTATGCCATTGTACTTCATACTTCAGCCTGGGTAACAAGAGTGAAACTCCAACTAAAAAAAAAAAAAAAAAAAAAAAAAACTGACTGAGTAGCTCAAACAACAGAAGTTTATTTTCTCACAGTTCTGAAGGCCAGAAGTCTGAGATCATGATGTCAGCAGAGGTAGTTTCTTCCAAGATCTCTCTCCTTGGCTTATAGGTCATCTTCTCCCTGTATCTTTACATGATCTTTCCTATGTACATGCCTGTGTCTACGTTTCCTCTTCTTTTAAAGATACCAATTATATTGGATCAGGTCCTTTCATATGACCTCATTTTACCTTATTTCCCTTTTCGAAGATTCTCTCTCTAAATACAGTCATATTCTGAGATACTCTGAGTTAGAATTTCAACATACAAATTGTGGTGGAACACAGCTCAGGTCATAACAAATTTCTAGCTGCTGAGAGAAGTTCCTAGCCAACAGCAGGCAAGATAACGGGGCTGTCAATTCTACAACTGCAAGGAACTGGACTCTATCCCAACAAGCTGAATAATCTCCGAGGAGGCTCTTTCTCATAGCCTCCAGATAAATGTCCAACTTGGCTGATACCTTAATTTTGGCACTTGCTGGTCTTCTGAATTATAGAAATGTGAGATTTTTTTTAAAAGCCTCTAGGTGAGTAGTAATAATGTGTTATGTAGTGATAGTAAACTAATGCAAACAACATGTACTAGTGGCCAGTCACAATTTCTTAAAAACCAAACCAAAACAAACAAGAAAGAACAAAACAAGAAACCTGGCCCTAGGATGCTCTGATCAAACAATCTATAGTCTCTACCACCGCAGTTGATCCCAACATCTTAATTTTCCTCTTCCTGTCATCCATTCTAGATTTCTTTATCTTTGGACAGACATCTCTTTGTCTAATCTTCTTGACAAAGGATTAAAAAGGAAATCCAAATACAAATAAATAGGAACAGAGGACCTGACACCCATACCACACCTACCTCAGATGCACTGACTTCTCTCCCTTTGCTAAGATTTTTATCCACTGTGGAGCTGGAAAGGGGCTTGGAGATTGGACGTTTCTAAGTGATCTGATGGAAAAGAAAAGATCCAGCTCTGGGTGGACATTTCATTACATTGTCACCTGGTAGTCCATGCTCTGGTGCACCATCTCTAGCAGGACCCAACAGCATAAGGAGCTTCTTTCAAAATGTGACTAGTTCTTTGCCAAAGATGGTATGACTTTGTTTCAATTCCTAGTTCTGTGCTGTGGTTTTTTTTGCTATGGTTCTCCAGAGACTAGACATAATGTTTTATCTACCAAAAAGACCTCCGACCTCCTGTACTATGTGATCTGCAAGTCATTTGTACAAAGAGGCAGAGCTACTTTTACCATAACTAAAACTGCTGAAGAATCTACCTTGCTATGGGCCACACTGAAAACTGTCAGCCTTCTAAGTCACTTATTACATGGAACAAAAGCAATATTCCCAGTGTAATATGCATTGTTTCCAAAATCCAAAGAGACCAACTGAGATTATCAGCACCCTGCTTCTCACCACCTATGATGGACTGAAGTACAAATGAAGAGGTAATGCATTCATTTTGTAATAGTTCTTTACATGAATTATATGGGCTAAATTACACTAATAAAGATTGTAAAATTAATTAGCAGTTTTTGGTAGCCACATACGCTCTGAAGGAAGAAAATAGACACTATTAAATAAGGTGGCAGAGTAAAAGCCAAAAGCCATTCTTTGCAGCATTTCAAGAGACTCACATTTCTTTCATGTGCAAAATGTGTTGAAGAGAAAAATGTGTTGAAAATCAGGTTCAAGATTTTAAAGGAAGAGAGGTAGAGCCAAAAGGAGACTAAATTCATATTTCTGTCAAATTCTTTATACTGAGTTCAGGGCCCTATTGGGGAGGAGTGGAATATTAAGCCTGGATGGAGACATTCGGGAGGATGAACTAAGAATTTCAATCCCTATGAGCCAGCAGCAATAAACACCCTCCCTCCATCATGACGAAAAGAGCATCTTCCCATTGCTTGAAACTGTGCAAAGGATTCACCCAAGATCGATGACTTCTAAGATGATGCTTGTCTTTCTTACTTTCTACCCCTACTTCCCCTAATTGCCTCTGAACCAATTACGTAGGACAAATCTCTGCATGACTTAATCAGGAAAATCATGTTCCTACTAGGAGAAGAAAGGGAATGTTCAACATAGAGTGATAGGCCTGACTAATATGTACTGATTATAACCAGGAAAACCTGCCTGGGAGTGGATCTTAAGGGTCTTAACTATGGAGAACAGAATATGAGCCTGGAGAAGAGTGACTATATTCATATAGGTACTATAGGTTGGTGCAAAAATAATTGCGGTTTTGGACTGTGAATTTCAAATTATTATAACTAGACTCAAACACATCTTTATAAATCAAAATAGGAACCATTATGATCAGCACATTTTTGCCAAGAAATAAGTCTGTTTATTCCTATAACATAAAAATCAGTGCTTCAGGATTTGAAGTCTTGGAAAGCATTTTCTGCATCCTGTTCATTGTGGAAATGTTTTCCCTGCAAAAAGTTGTCAAGATGCTTGAAAAAGTGTCAGTCAGTCGGCGAGAAGTCAGGTGAATACGGCAGAAGAGGCAAAACTTCGTAGCCCAATTTGTTCAACTTTTGAAGGGTTGGTTGTGCAACGTGTAGTCAGGCATTGTTGTGGAGAATTGGGCCCTTTCTGTTGACCAATGCTGGCTGCAGGAGCTGTAGTTTGTGGTGCATCCCGTTGATTTGCTGAGCATACTTCTCAGATGTTATGGTTTCACTATGATTCAGAAAGCTGTAGAGGATCAGACTGGCAGCAGATCAACAAACAGGGACCATGACCTTCGTTTGGTATAAGTTTGGCTTTGGGAAGTGCTTTGGAGCTTTTTCTCAGTTTAACCACTGAGCTGGTGTAGCTAATTGTCATATAAAATCCACTTTTCATGGCATGTCACAATCTGATTGAGAAATGGTTCATTGTTGTTGAGTAGAATAAGAGAAGAGGGTGCTTCAAAATAACTTTTTTTTATTTTTTATTTTTGCTCAGCTCATGAGGGACCCACTTATTGTGCTTTCTCACCTTTCCAATTTGCTTCAAATGCCGAATGACTATGGAATGGTTCACTATGAGTTCTTTGGCAACTCTCAGCTGGTTACTGTCAACTTCCGATGGCCGGCCACCATGCTCCTTATCTTCAAGGCTCTCCTCTCCTATGCAAAACTTCTTGAACCACCACTGCATTGTATATTCGTTAGCAGTTCCTGGGCCAAATGCATTAATGTTGCAAGTTGTCTCTACTGCTTTAAGACCCATTTTGAACTCAAATAGGAAAATCTCTTGAATTTGCTTTTTGTCTGACATCATTTCCATAGTTTAATTAATATAAAATAAACAGCAAGAAATAAGTCATTCACAAAACAAAAACTAAAGCCAGAAATGCACATTAAAATGATATATAACATAACCACATTTATTTAAGAATGTATTCCAATATCAAATGGCAAATTTCAAGAATACAAAAACCACAATTATGTTTGCACCAACCTAATACCTTAGCATGTTTGGGCTGCTACAACAGAGTACAAGAGACTGGGTAATTTATAAATAATAGGGATTTATTGCTCACAGTTCTGGAGGCTAGGAAGTTCAAGATCAAGGTGTCAGAAGATTCAGTGAAATGAATTTTCTGGTGAAAGCTCCCTGCTTCATGGAGGGAGTGTGTCCTCACATGGCACAAGGAGCAAACAGGCTTCCTCACACCTTTTAAAATAAGGGCACTAATCTCACATATGAGGGCTCCTAATATGATCCTAATTACCTCCCAAAGGCCCCCTCTTAATACCATTACCCTGGGGGATTAGATTTTAACACAGGAATTTTGGTAGGACATGAATATTCAGACCATAGAGGCTGCAATCAAGAAAACAAAAAACACTTATCCATTGTATCTACAGAAATTTATCTCATGTGTATATGTGTGTGTGTGTATTTTCTCAGAATCTGCAAGTCCACCTTTCTAAATGATTATAAATCTTTTGAGGCCCAGGACACAATTGTGGGTAACTTGGAGCTTACGCTCTACAATTTCAATAAATATGTGCTAAATAAATGATGTAGGAATGATATAGGAAGAAAGCAGTACACCACTGGAAATTACTATGATAACCATGTAAATGATTCTGATTTGTACCAGTTATGCCTGAAAGTAGATGTTTTGCATTATGAGCTAGTTCTAAAAGACTCTCAGATGATTCTTAAAAGGATGATTGCACTTAATTTCACTTATAGTTTTGATTGGTGATGACAAAGTTTTCATTAAAGTTGTAAATTTCCACTCATTGCAGGAATGTCAGATGATCAAAAAGAGTGGGTACCAACTGAGCTATATACAAGCAAAGTGTCACTGTTTGTTAAAAAAAAAAAAAGAAAAAAGAAAAATATTTCTTGATTCTAGAGAATAATTGACAGCTCGGAAAAAATCCACTCGGCCAGTTAGCTTTCCTCATTCTGCAAACATTAAATAGCATATTTTTATTACAAACTTGACAGCCAGGCCTTAAGAATAAGCTCTGAAATGCCTGCGATTACATGTGTAGGCAGGGACTGCTATGACTGGCTGGGTTTCAGATTTGAGTGTTTGTTTAGACAGAGCAAGACCAAAAGGTGTTAGATCAGACCTAATCTCCACCAGACAGCTCGGAGGGGGGCTACAGATTTCTTCATTTGGTTTCACCATTGAGTCTACGTCCCGTGGAAGCCATGTTATTCACCTTCACAGACCTCCCACCCATGAAAATAGGGACAGCCATTCCAAGAAAACAAGAACTAGAATTGCCACCCATGGAATAAAGCACATTTAGTGATGGTTGGGAGCAGCACTGTTTTTCTAAATTAACAAGCAGAAGGAAGCAAAGCGTGCTACTTTCTTGGCTTGGCTTATTTCTCACTTATTTATACACCTGAATCTCCACTGAAACAACACACTATTAGCTGAACAGAATCACCCTTTAGCCAGTGAGAGAAATTAGAAAACACACTTCATTGTAAGAGGTTTTATTTATTTATTACAACATGGCCAGAGGATAAGTATAAACATAACACAAACTGTTAATTTTAATTTTAATTTTAAAACATGTTAGAGATTTCATGTGATCTGAATTCTTTCTCGGTCACTTCCGTCTTGGTCCCTACCACCAACCTTGCCCTTACTCCCAGCCCTTCAAGCAGCTTCTTAAGGGAAATTGACAAGAGAAAAACATATTTTTGAATAGGCTAAATTTGAAGTGTTCATTAAAACAAGTAGCTGATTGTAGGCTTCCACATCTCTTGAAATGTTTTATGGCCGGTGTATGTCATTTAAAAAACCTTCCTTTTTCCAAAAAAAAAAAAAAGAAAGAAAAGAAAATTATAGGATCAAATTAAACGCTCCCATTTCTGCTGTAGAGCTTGTGATGTCGTCAAGATCCATTTCATTTTTATGCCCCTATAACCTAGTTAAAGTACATTTTCTCTGTCTCTCCTCTCCGAGTCTGTTTATACCTGACTCCAGAATTATTTCTATCAGGGAGATACAAGGTCATTTTTTATACTATTAAAATAAACAGTTCTCCAGTTTTATACAAGACCTCTTTCAAATATAGAACTTACGGGTTCTCTCTGTCAGATAATTTAAATGAATGTTTGAGACCTTTGGCTGGCTTTTTCTTTTATCATTCAAATATTGAAATTCTCAAAATACCGCTCTGATTTTAAATAAGGAGGGACCTCACCCTCTTTAATTAGGAGTGACATAATCGGCACTGTCATAGATGATAGAAAAATGAATTAAAATTTTTTAAAGCCAATAAACTAAAACATTTTATTAGGTTTAATATAAATCTGATAGATTTAATTTTTATTCTTAAGCCTTTGAAATAGTATAAAAACAAATTTTAGCTACCACAATGGATTCATTTTGTTAATACCTCTTTGCCATGAACCAAAGTCAGACATAGTTGATTAGAAATGAAGACATTTTCATAGATCTTTGGTCTTTCAAGTTTCTTAGTAGCAGTACCTCAATATTTTAAAGGAGAATTCTCCACATTAACTTAAAAAATACTTAAGGCAATTTTTGAATTAATTTTATTTTTTCTACAAATAAAGTTAGTTTTTAAAATAAAAACAAGAAAATTCATTAATTTTGTAATTTTCCTGTACAAATTTAGAAATAATCTCTCATAAATAAGATAATTGACTAAAAATTTATTTTCTAAATTCTACAGTGTTACAGCTATCATTTGAATGTCTGTGTCCCTTCCAAAATTCATAATGAGACTTAATCTCCTAATGCAGTAGTACTAAGTTATGGGTCATTTAGAAGGTGGTTAGGCCATGAGGGCTCTGCACGCATATATGGATAGGTTTAGTGCCTATGAAAGGGCTGGAGAGAGCTAGCTAGCCCCTTTTTGTACTCTTATTCTTCCATCGCTTCTGCCATGTGAGGACATATTATCTGGCCCTTCTGCTTACTTCCACCACATGAGAATAAGCAAGAGGTGCCATATTGGAAGCAGAAAGTGGGCCTCATTCAGACACTAAACTTACTGACATCTTTTTTTTTTTTTTTTTTTTTTTTTTTTGTTGAACCAGTCACTTGAGCCTGGCTTGAGTGCACTGTACTCTGTCGCTCAGGCTGGAGTGCAGTGACACTATCTCAGCTCACTGCAACCTCCGTCCCCTGGGTTCAAGCAATTCTCCCATCTCAGTCTCCCAAGTAGCTGGGACTACAGGCATGTGTCACCACTCCCGGTGGATTTTTTTGTATTTTTAGTAGAGATGGGGTTTCACCATGTTGGGCAGGCTGGTCTCGAACTCCTGACCTCAGGTGATCTGCCTGCCTCTGCCTCCCAAAGTGCTAGGATTGCAGGTGTGAGTCACTGTGCCAGGCCCCTGCTGACATCTTGATCTTGGGCCTTCAGCTTCAAAAACTGTGAGAAATAAATTTCTGTTTTTTATAAATTACTCTGTCTAAGGTATTTTGTTATCGGAGCAGAAATAGACTAAGATAATTATTGTAGGAAATTAGGTGCCCTCATTATACAATGACATAAAATGGTTGAGGAACTAATTTTATGTTCAATGATAATTTTTTTATTAATTGAACTTATTGAATTTTTTTCCCATTTAGGTAAAACTATACCATTTAAAAATTCTTTTTATGTCTGTCATAGAAACAAATAGAAGGGTTCATTTACTCTAAATGGGAAGTCAATAAAGAAAGAATTTCACTTCTGGAAGTGTGCCAGTTAGAGAAAATTTGGGACTAGCCAGTTTAACAAAGAGTCTGGACTATCCTTTGTCCTTTGCTGTGCAAAGTTTCGTGCGGGAAACATACATTCAGTAGCATAGTCTAAGACATCCAAAAGTATAACGAGAACTTTGAAAGTATAAAATAATGAAGTTGACAAAGGGGAGCAGATAATTTTTTCGTCATGAACAACTATGCCAGGAGCCAAGATACTAATGCCAGAAGCCCCAGGGAATGCCTAGGCATTTGAACATCATGCCTAATTGAGCACTTTTCCCCTTGGATCACATACATTAAGATTAAGTTACTAGAGAGATAGGACCTCCTAACATTTTATAACGATGGTGACAATAGCATTCCTGTAGCTCCATGTTCTGAGAGTAGAAATGTTTTTAAAATTGTTAATCAAGCCATTCTTTTGGTTTATAAGAATTCAAATTAATGCTAAAATAGCTAAATCATAGTGGATTTTAGGAAATGGTTTTAATCACTGCCAAAAGAAACTCTGGAGATTATAGGGAAGAAGGATTTCATGTTAAATGTCAACTCATTGAAATCCTGCAATTTAAATGAGTCATTTCTACACCTTGCACTGAGAATGTCTTTCTCCCTTTCATTTAGGATTACCTAACTAGTCTATTTTTACTCAAAATTCTTATTAAGTTTTTTCTGAGAAATCTCCAAACTGCTTTCCACAGTAGCTGAACTAATCCAAACTGCTTTCCACAGTAGCTGAACTAATTTGCATTCCCACCAATAGCATACACGTGTTTCCTTTTTTCCATAGCCTTGCCAGCATCTATTATTTTTAAACTTAATAATAACCATTCTGAGTGGTGTGAGATGGTATCTCATTGCAGTTCTTTTTTTTTTTTGAGATGGAGTCTTTCTCTGTTGCCCAGGCTGGGTGCAGTGGTGTGATCTCGGCTCACCACAAACTCCGTCTCCCAGGTTCAAGTGATTCTCCTGCCTCAGCCTCCCGAGTAACTGGGACTACAGGCACACACCACCATGCCCGGCTAATTTTTGTATTTTTAGTAGAGACGGGGTTTCACTATGTTGGCCAAGCTGGTCTCAAACTTCTAACCTCATGACCCGCCCCCGTTGGCTCATTGTAGTTTTAATCCAGCAATCCAACTACTGAGTATATACTCGGAGGGAAATAATTCATTCTATCAAAAAGACTCATATACATTCATCACAGAGCTATTCACAATAGCAAACACATGGAATCAATGTAGGTGCCCGTCAGTGTTGGATTGGATCAAGAAAATGTGGGGCATATACACCCTGGAATACCACACAGCCATAAACATCAATGAAATCTTGTCCTTTGCAGCAATATGGATGCGGGTAGAGGCCATTAAATTAAGTGAATTAATGCAAAACCAGAAAAGCAAATACTGTATGTTCTCACTTACAAGTAGGGGCTAAGTATTAAAAACACATAGACATAAAGATGGGAACAGTAGACACTGGGAATTACTAGAGGGGGGAGGAGAGAGGGAGGAATGGACTGAAAAACTACCTATTGAGTACTATGCTCACCATCTGGGTGAGGTGACAGAACCATTCGTATCCCAAACCTCATCATCATGTAATATAAACACAACCTTGCACATGTACCCCTGAATCCGAAACAAAAAAAATTACAATGTGTAAGATGAAAAGAATTCTCTTTTTTTTTTTTTTTGACCTGGAGTCTGATTCTGTCACCCAGGCTGGAGGACAGTGACGCCATCTTGGCTCACTGCAACCTTCACCTCCTGGGTTCAAGCGAATCCTCCTGAGTAGCTGGGACTATAGGTGCCCGCCACCATGCCCGGCTAATTTTTGTATTTTTAGTAGAGACGGGGTTTCACCATGTTGGCCAGGCTGGTCTGCAACTCCTGACCTCAGGTGATCTGCCTGTCTTGGCCTCCCAAAGTGCTGGGATTACGGGAGTGAGCCACCACACATGGGCAAATTCTTACAGATTTTTTTTTTAATCCAAAAGAAAGAAATTAATTTCTAAGATTAAGTAAATTTGAGAAGGTTGGTACACGTTCATCAGCTGATTAAAATTTAACCATAACATGTTCACTTAAGAGTCTCTAAAATGAGATACTGGATTTACCCGGGAATTAGTTTGCCCCACTATTAGTCTTATTTGTACTTCTCTCTGGCCTGACCTTGGTTGTCTTTGCATTGGTGGAGCCTGGGTTGAGTGATTACAGAGGGTGTGAAGAAGGGGCTACTTTCTCAGCACTCCACGTCACTACAACCTTTCAGATGCACACGTCCCTTTTGACCTAAGTAGCTTTCCTCAGGACAAGGGGTCAGAAGAGTGACAGACTTTTAACCCGAATATACCCAGGAGGTCTACATAGTGTCCTTTTCATTACAGTATTCAGGCCAGTATATTTTCTGCTTGTTTGTTCATTGTTCGTTTATTTTAAACAGAGTGTTTTCCTGCAGGTAGTAAGGAAAATATATTTTCCAACTTCATTAAAATCAATACTTACTGGTTCACCACTTAGTTGCAATGTCTTAACTCTTACAACTTAGCGGTGAGTTCTTAATGGATTTAGGCATGACGTCACTAACCAAGTTCTAGTGTCTAGACTATTTACAGTGTAGTTTCTATTTATTAGCTTTCTTTCCTGGACTACATAATTGAGTCACCAAATGATTTTTATACATGGCATCACGTTAGGTATGATAACCCCATATTTGTGATGAGGTGGGGAAATCTTGTTAATACCTTTCATCAGAATTCCTTTTATAAAAAGCTAGTGTATTTGCTCAGGGAAAAATACAAAGAAAATAACTACAGTCCCTTGACAAGTGATTGAGAGTGGAAGATGAGATCTTCAGGGACCTGGAAGTGGGTGGAAATGTTCTAAGTGAGATGTTAAAGTAATATACCTGTCAATCTAGAAAAAGGAGTGAGGAAGAGGGTTGTGGAGCTAGGTAGATGGTAGAGAGCTGTATGGAATTTAAAATAACTCCACCCATCGTCTGCTGTATGTTGAGTGAAGTTACCAAACTGAGAAATGCATGTCATTAGTAGATGTGAGTGTTTAAGAGTGATGTGTGTTTGAAGGTGTGTATATGAACCAGTGACGGGGCTGGGTACATATCTGTACTCGTGGAGGGCAAAAGTCCACACAGACAGGAAAACACACAGTCAGAAGAAAGCCTGAGGACCTGTCTCAGCAGCTCCCAGAGACTGTGAGGAGGGCTCTGTATAGTCACAGCCTGAAATTGTGTTTCAGGTCAGGTTTAACCAGATCTCCAAGGATCAGAAGGATTCAAGATAATGTATGTGTCCCTTGGGGCAGATAAATATATGAAAAATGGTTTCTAGGAAAGAACAGGATGGGGAGTCAACTGTTGGTTCTGGCTTTTCTCCTGATTAAGGAGAAGGAACTCCATTTAAACTATAAAATGAGGGTGGGAGGAGAGAGGATCAGAAAAAATTACTAGTGGGTACTAGGCTTACTACCTGGGTGACAAAATAATCTGCAACAAACCTTTGTGACATGAGTTATTGATAGAAAAAACTGGCACATGTACTCCTGAACATAAAAGTTTAAAAAAAAAAAACAACTATAAAACGAGAAGCGTTTTGGGACTAGATTAAGCCAAAATATTCTTCCCCTACTCTGGAACCAGGAAGATATTCTCTGTATTATCTCCTATTAGCAATATAATTTTCTCTTTTATATGTCGATATTTATTCCATCTGAATTTTCCTTTTGGATGTGGTGTGAGAAAGGGACTCAAATTTATTTTTTTCTTATAATGAACTGCTTTTGTTAATATCATTTAAAACTACTCCATCTTTTCCCTTATGGGTTGTGATGCCAACTCTATGCTTTCTGTCTGACCACATATTAGTTGAAATTTTATTCCCTATGAATCTTCTCATGATTTCTTTGTAGATTTATAGCTATTATTTCTTTCTCCTTTAAAAAATTAGTAGGAGGGAAGTCTCAGGATATTTAAATGGTGATGCATGTGACTAATATACGATCATTGAACTTTTCCAATGACATTGCAATTCTCTAAATATTAAATCCTCTAAATGTTAAAATTAAACTCAGACCTATAATGCCTGAGTAGGGGGCACCCACGTAACTGAGTCAGTTATATGTGTGTATTAATGCATCACTTTAAGAAACATTTATTGAGTGCCTGTGATATGCCAGGCACTGGCTGTCTAAGAATATGGAAATGAATAGGACTGATGGTTGTCATTTGCATCGCTATTGGTTTATTGTCTATCAAACAGCTTTGCCATGTAAGGCTCTATGCTAAGCAATCATTTTCATTAGATATTAGCTGGGTCTGGAACAAAAGAAATAAAATGAAATAATGTACCTAGAGATGTCAGATATTATGGGATCACCAGAGTTTTTCAATTGAAGGATTACATTAACTTGTGACAACCTACAACTTGTAAGATATGAATTTTGCTATCTGCTAAGTAAGCTAACCACTAAGCTGTCATACTCTAAAGAGAAAATCAGCACTCATACCTATAAAGTATATGAGAATTTATTGTTGAGGAAATATTTTATTTCTTATGTTTTGCTAAAACATATGAAATAATTTTAATTTTTAATTACTAATTTTTAATAAGACAACAAATGTCTCATTTATAGGTTAGTCCCTTTGGCTATCTACCCAAAGCAAAATCAAGAACTGTTGATTAAATAAAAAGCAATACTTCAGAACTAAAATAAATGTCACAGGCCATACACTAAAATTCATTGACTTCAGCCATAATAGACCTCGTGAATCCTTGCTTTGTTTGTATATATTTTTACTTCTGTAACACATTCTATAAATGTAGTCATCTAAATGTCCAGCTCACCACAGATTAGAAGCATAAAATAGAAGTGTAAAGTTATAAAAACAGCATCAGTAACTAGAGGAAGATAACCAATAATAGGAGAGAGTTATACCGGACAGCATGAAAGGTGACTGGGAATGCAGAATTCAAAACACAAAAGAGCATGGTAAAGTATAATCATGCATTTAACATTATAGCTAATGATCCCTGGCCCCTTTTCTATAATAATGGTTGTTGATGATAGTGCCCTTCATGCTTAAAAAATGTAAATTTAGGATAAGTATCTCTGGTTAAAAAGACAGATATGGCCTGGCGCAGTGGCTCATGCCTATAATCCCAGCACTTTGGGAGGCTGAGGCGGGCAGATCACGAGGTCAGGAGATGGAGAACATCCTGGCTAACACGGTGAAACCCTGTCTCTACTAAAAATACAAAAAAAAAAAAAAAAAAAATAGCAGGGCATGATGGCAGGCACCTGTAGTCCAAGCTACTAGGGAGGCTGAGGAAGGAGAATGGCGTGAACCCGGGAGGCGGAGCTTGCAGTGAGCCGAGATGGCGCCACTGCACTCCAGCCTGGGAGACAGATCAAGACTCCATCTCAAAAACAACAACAACAACAACAAGAACGACAGATACATTTGTTTTGTGTTTTGGAATGATTTATTCCAAAAAAATTTAGTTTTGAAGGGAAGAGTTTTGTATACATTATATGATACATATACCATATGTATAACATAAGTAATAGATTTATATATAATGCATATAACATATATGTTATATATAATATATATTTTTACATATATTCAGGTTCATCTCATTGAACCTGCCATCGTCAGGCATTGTGATGGATTTTCAAAAAGGTTATTTCATTAATTTTGATATGTACAGGGTAGAGTATATGTTATTGTTTATACGCTTACAGATAAAACTGTTTCAGTAATTCACTTCAAATCACACCACCAGATAGTGACTGAACTGCAATTGGAATCAGTTCCAATTACCAATTAATTAATTTTATTGGTAATTACCAATTACCGATAAAAATGGCCATTTTTATTGTAAGCGATGCAGTCTAGAACATTGGCTAGGACTGCTTTCAAGTCAGAGGACCTTGATTTTGAATCTCAAGTTTGGCATTACCTATTTGGCCATAAGAAATGACTTAGACTTGTGCACATGTACCCTAAAACTTAAAGTATAATAATAAAAAAAAAAAAGAAAGAAAGAAATGACTTAGACTTTCTGTGACAGAGCTTCCTCACCTGTAAAATAGGAATGGTAATACCCAATTTAAATAGTCATGAAGATTTGATGAGATAAAGTATGTAAGTAAACACTTTGCATAATGATTAGCACTTTGTAATCACTCGACAAAGGAAAATATTCCATGACTCTTAATTGGAGAAACTTCTATCATTAGAGAATGCAAGATTTAAAGATAGCTTAGTCTCTCAGAATTCAGAATAAATTAAGTCATATTTCGATTATAATTAATCTACAGCAAGTAGTAAATACTCATCTTGTTGTAATAGTTGGCCATTGAATAAACTTAAGACGTTTTTCTGAGTCATCTGTTTTCTCAATCTTTAACAGTGTAATCCTTTTATCTCTAAACTCAGGAAACCATTCTTCAAAGTCTTACTATTTATTGTCAGAGAAAGCATATGTTTGTTAAGAGATCAGTATAAAGCTATCCCAGCTAATTGAGAGGAAAAAAATCAAGTCATATATCATAAGTGGCATTATGTAAATAACATCTTATAGGCTAATTAGAAATAATTAGTTTTTAAATATTGGAGTTCACATTAAATTTATATTTTTTTTGTTAAATAATAGATGCCTACAAGTCAAACTGACTTTCTAACAATTAATATAAAAATAGATTTCCAATATTCTTCCTTTATTGTTCCATGCTGTTTTCCATTCTCTAGAAAGAACCTAGAGTGATCTCTTAAAGTACATGATAGTTCATTTGTCTTTCTATTTAAAACCCTCTGATGGCTTCCCATTACATGTAAAATAAGGCCTCATCTTCTTAAGGGCCCACAAGGTACTATATGATCTGGTTCTTGTCTCTGAATTCTTCTTCCTTCCATCCTCTTCCTTGCTTACTCTGTAGCTAACAAAGCATGTTCTTAACAATCCTTGAACATGTCCAGCTCATTTAAAACTCCACATCTTTTACCATGAGTGATATGATTTGGCTGTGTCCTCACCCAAATCTCATCTTGAATTGCAGTTCCCATAAGCTGCACGTTTCTGGAAGGACCCGGTGGGAGGTGATTGAATCATGGGGGCTGTTACCCTCATGCTATTCTTGTGATAGTAGGTGAGTTCTCGTGAAATCTGATAGTTTTACAAAGGACTTTTCTCCCCTTCACTCTGTACTTCTCCTTGCTGCTGCCATGTGAAGAAGGGTGTTTACTTCCCCTTCCACCATGAGTGTAAGTTTCCTGAGGCTTCCCAAGCATGCTGAACTGTGAGTCAATTAAACCTCTTTCCTTTATAAATTACTCAGTCTTGGGTATCTATTAGTAGCATGAGAATGGACTAATACAATGAGTGCTTTTCCTTACATTGCCAGCTTCTCATTCAGCTCATTATTTCCTTTTCTACTCAAATGTCTCATGATCCTTCAGGGGACTTGCCTGACACCTTCTCTTTCACCATTCTGTGTGTGTAAAAATACATACAAGGGGCCGGGAACAGTGGCTCACACCTGTAATCCCAGCACGTTGGGAGGCTTGGGTGGGTGGATCACGTGGTGAGGACTTTGAGACCAGCCTGGCCAACATAGTGAAACCCCATCTCTACTAAAAATACCAAAAATTACCTGGGTGTGGTGGTGGGTACCTGTAATCCCAGCTACTTGGGAGGCTGAGGCAGGAGAATCACTTGAACTCGGGAGGCAGAGGTTGCAGTGAGCCGAGATCATGCCACTGCACTCCAGGCCAGGTGACAGTACAAGACTCTGTCTAAAAAAAAAAAAAAAAAATACACACAAGGATATTTCAACGAGTGTTGAGTATGATAAACTTAGCAGCTTTTATCTCCCATTTCTGCCCAAAATTATTTTCTGTAGTACTTCCCTTCACCATCTGTTGATGGCATCTTAGGTATAACCTATAACTTTTGGTCAATTCCAGGTGTCAGTTCTATAATTACCATCCTTGACTTCATTTTATCTGTTCTGTTCTTTTGGCATTCCTATTGAGCTACAGAATACATTGTTATAGATATATAGAATACATAGCCACAGATACATAGACTTTCAGTATCTACTATTCATAGTATTTTTAAACCATCAGTCCTTGCTTCATCTAGAACCATTATTTTATTCATCCTATCCATAAATTTTTTCCAACATACATCTATATTTATATCTATACCTAATCTATGCATTTGTTTAAATTCAACATGGTGTGTGTGTGTGTGTGTGTGTGTCTGTGTGTGTGTGTGAATATATCTTCATTATCCCTAATGGATCCTTTTTTATGGCAATTTGCTTTTGTTTCATAAATTCAACATTAGCTTAATTAATTTCACTTGTTTTAAAGTCTTCTTCTGAGTGCTTTAGTATTATTTCCTTGTGTGTGAGTACTTTGGTTTGTTATTTGTTTATGTGGTCTTCATGCTTCTCAGATAATTTGGAATCATTGACCTTGAGCTTATCTTTGCGTTCACAATTCCTTAACAACTGCTTACTGCTGTTTACTGCAGAGTTCACCAAAGTGAGTGAGAAAAAAATTACTTCTAGAGCTCTTGTTCCTCACTTTTTCAGTAAGATGAGAAATTGTTGGAACAATAGCTTTACATCTGGTCTTCTTTATCTTCTCTCAGCTTTGCCTGGTTTAGACCTTTCACTGGGTGGTCCTTGTCAGTTACCTCTCTCTCACCCCAGCTTCCACCACCTCAAGATATAGAGATTTTTGAGATAATCCCACTTTATTTGGCATTGTTTTCCACAGGCTTGATCACCTGCCATTTTTCTCTTTGAATCTCATCTTCTTCAACATTACATTATGAGTATAGGGTTAAGAAGCTATATAGTGGCCAGGTGCGGTGGCTCACGCCTGTAATCCCAGCACTTTGGGAGGCCGAGGCGGGCAGATCACGAGGTCAGGAGATCAAGACCATCCTGGTTAACACGGTGAAACCCTGTCTCTACTAAAAATACAAAAAATTAGCCGGGCGTGGTGGCGGGCGCCTGTAGTCCCAGCTACTCGGGAGGCTGAGGCAGGAGAATGGCGTGAACCCGGGAGGCGGAGCTTGCAGTGAGCCGAGATTGCGCCACTGCACTCCAGCCTGGGCGACAGAGCGAGACTCCGTCTCAAAAAAAAAAAAAAAAAAAAAACAGAAGCAATATAGTGTAAAGAATCCAAGTTTATTTTGGGATAGATAAGGAATATAAAATACTTAATAATTAGAGAATATAGCCAGAGCTATAAAGATATCTGAGCTAAAAATAACATTTCTTTGTTTCTTTCTTTAGACTGAGAAAACGTGGTCCTTTTGTCGGTAAAAGAGTTTGGTATAACAACATCAATGCATGCGGGAATTGTTCCTTTCTGCCTAAAGTACAGTTTTGGGTAAGTTATTCAGTGTTTACTGGATGTCTACTCTGGTTAGAATATTGTCATAGTAGAAGAAAAAAAATCTCTTATTAGAAATCAACTTAGAGCCTAAGAACATTGGATCTTTAAACAATTGGTTTAAGCAAGTTCTTTAGGAGAAAAACAGTGTCTTTCATCTACAAATGTTAATTTCAATTCCACCTTTATATGATCTGAGGGAACAGATAATGGCAACATTAAAAGAGAATGTTCTTTAGGTTTTACTTAAGCAAATGCTGATAGAAAAGATTTAAGTAAATAGGAAATGACTTGACCATTAGCATGATTGTATTTTAAATAGCCGTTAGTTTTAGAGAGCACTCACCAATAAATAGCAAAACGTACCCCTGTAATTTATAAATTCTCTGTCTTTCCTCTGGTGAAGTATAAAACTCACTTTTGTTCCCTTATTTCAGTGCTTTACAGAGTTAATAAAATAATGACCTTCCCCACCCTTCATTTTAAGATCATAACTAGTGTAGAAGTTTCCATTGAAATTGTTAGATTTTTCTTTTTTTTCAGTTCACTGGATATGATCTTTGGCCTGGTTTTGATGTTACTCATTTGTTTTTGGATCAACTTTTACCATGTGGCTGAGATTTTTTGTGTTGTTGTAATAATACTAAGTTACATCACTGCTCTTCTGAAAAGTAGAACTGAATGAAAATTAAACCTTAAAAAACACTATGTTTGAGCAATGTTAAACATCTGCCTTGAACTTACAAGGGCAGGGCAGGGCAGGGCACAGCTTTTTTTTTGTAACTTAAGTCCTGAGTTGATCTGGTTTTTAAATAACTATCAGCTCTAAAATACAAGTGTCCGGGCATGTAAATGCAATTAATTTTATTTTAGTTTATAGCTAGAATTTTTAAAAAGTTAAATCTCTTAAGAGAATTTTTAACTTCTTAGAGGAACATATTAGGGCTTAGCATGATGTTTAATTGTCCTGTTTAAATATTCTGTCTTTAGTCAGCCTTTGGGCAAATTACATGTTATCATTTTCCCAGACAATACTTAACTCAATCATTTGCACTCTTATTTAAAAATGTGAATGAATTACTGACATATCATTGACACCTTGCTTTTATATGGGAAATTTGACTGAAAATGTAGGTGTTGCCATGAAACGGGCATTATTGTGGCAAAAATGAAGTTTTCCCATAAACTTAAGACCCTCTTCACCTTATTTTCTCCACCTCCCAAGGAGTGAAAAGTTGTTAGTTTTGCTATCACTATATAAATTTTAATCAGGGCCTGTTTGTTAGTATTAAATGGAATTCACATCAAATATAAACTGGTCTTTTGGTTTAATAGTTAAGAGTTTATTTTTACTATTTAGTTTAATAGTTAATTTTTTTCTTTACATTGAAACAAAACATCATTTCCAAGTTGAAAGTATATAGAAAGAGACATGTGGTTTACCTAAAACAAAAACTCTTTTTTTTTTTTTTTTTTTTTGAGACAGGGTCTCACTCTGCCACTCAGGCTGGAGTGCAGTGGTGCAATCACAACTCACTGCAGCCTCAACTTCCCAGGCTCAAGGGATGCTCCCATCTCAGCCTCCCAGGTAGCTGGGACTACTGGAACACACTACCATGCCCAGCTACTTTTCAATTTTTTTGTAGAGACAGGTTCTCCCTATGTTACCCAGGCTTACTTTTTTAAGAATCTTTTATTGAATGTCTACTATGTAAAATATAATATGGAACTAATGGGGGAAAGTTAAAAAAAAATACTGTGTATTAGAGAATCTTGAAATCAAGGGAAATTTTAAATTGACAATACTGATTACTTTTTGGCAAAAATGTCAAAGTTTTATGGTCTTACAAAAAGATATGATTGACTAGGAGGCCAAAGTAGTCAGTGGAAATAGCAATGAGTTTTGAAACCAACAACAAAAGAAAATGACCAGTGAAAGTAACCAAGCCAAAAAAAATTGAAGTTAAAGTAGTTTTCTCATGGTGCACACCCATGAAATAGCTTTGTCATGATTTTATATTGGCAAGTGTTTCATCAAGATCATAATGAGGTAAGAGGATAGACACTGCTTGAGAACTGCACTGATATTATCAGCCATTTTCCCTTTTAAATAGTCTAGTTTTGGAAAGTAATATTAGAAAACTTATAAATCCTCAGTTTAATATTTTAGTAAATATTTGTCAATTACAGAATTTTAGAAAATGACTTGAAAGGATTTATTTTTGTTTACAAATTACTCCTTTTCAAATAACAAAATTGAGACAGTGAAATGCTTTGCATTATATTTCCATGACAGCTCCATGAGATAGATAGGCAAGTTTATCATCCATATTTTACAGTTGGAAAAACTGAAACAGGTAAGTTAAGCAACATGACCAAGATGGCACAACTCGGGAGGGTGAAGTAGGGAAAAGAACAGCACAACCTCTCTGAGACAATCCTCTGTACCATGTCTATACTGCGTACCAGTGCCTGAGTTCATCGCAGGAGGAAGACGTGGGCAAGTAGGGCAGTTGATCTGTTGGGGGAAGGAGGAAGAAAGGGATTGTTTGTTTGATCTAGGGGCAAACTAATGTAAATTGGCATAAGATCATGGAGGGAGTGGAATGCTTATGGTAAAAATTTTGAATCTAATTTTGTAGGCAAGGAAAAGGCAGGCTTAGGCTATCTCTGAGCCGACAGAATAGCTTTATTCTAGGTTTGGAACTAGGTGTCTGGTAGTTGAGAATAAATTAATATTGGTCAATAGAGGCTTTATCCAGAAATAAGCAATTATTTCTTTATTGAATAATTCTACAAACAGTCGTCAGATTTACTTTGTAAAATCATATGTCCTTGAAGGCTATACATGAATTGATTTTTATTTGAAATTGTTAAAGAGAATATGCCTACTTGAAAAAGCTTATCAGCTGCCATTTTTTGTTCCAAAATAACAAATTAAAAATTTACATTGAAGTTTTGTCTTGTTTGCAAACCTCTCAGCTAGGGTTCTACGCAAAATAAATAGAAAGGAACAAGTTACTGAAGCCTTCACTAAACAGTAATTGAAAAATATTTATGGCATTTGAAAGATGTTTTAAAATGTATTTTGTAGCTCAAAGTGCCATAAATTAGAAATATGAAAATAAAGAAAATAGAATGGTATGTAGAAAGTAAAGAGCATAAGCTTTTATTTTTAATTTATTTTATTTTAATTTATTTTATTTTATTTTTTTGAGATGGAGTCTCACTCTGTCACATAGGCTGGAGTACAGTGGCGTGATCTCGGCTCATTGCAACCTCCGCCTCAGCCTCCCAAGTAGCTGGGACTACAGGTGCGTGCCACCATGCGTGGCTAATTTTTTTTTTTTTTTGTAGTTTTAGTAAAGACAGACAGGGTTTCACTGTATTAGCCAGGATGGTCTCTATCTCCTGACCTCGTGATCCTCCTGCCTCGACCTCCGAAAGTGCTGGGATTATAGGCATGAGCCACCGCACCCGGCCAGCTTTTATTTTCTGTATTTACGTTTCTCTTTAAACAATAAATTCATTACCCTTTGTTACTTGGAAGGCTATATATTTTATATTTCCAGTGAAATAAATAATTACATTTAATATCAAATAACAATTTTTCTCCAAAAAGATTTAAATCTAGCTTACCACCTAAATTTAATATAAAGGAACTTATAAACACAGTTTGATCAAATCATAGCTAGAAAACTAGGGAAATAATGGAGGAATTCTAAAATCTCTAGTGTTAATATGCTTGTATTCATGATTTCAAGTACTTATATGAATGTTTGAATGAGAAAACTTATGCAATTGCCCCAATTCCACGTACTAATGTCAAGTTATTTTTAATATTTTGCTTACATTTGTTTAAATTGTTAAATATTTGAAAATGAAAATATTTTATTATATTATAAAGATAGTATGCAATTATGAACAATATTCAAGTAATGTGAAAAAGTATAACATATAAGATTAATTAATGAAATCTTCATACTCATAGATAAGCACTCAGTTTTTTGATGAACAATTTCCGACATCTTTTTCTGCATAAAGAGAAATAAGCATATAAACATGTTATATAAATAATATCACTCTATTTTTTAAACTACATTTTCATTCAACATTGTTATAAATATCAATTAAAGTATTTTCATATAAAATGTTTTGCCTTCACAATATATTATTTCAATAATCTTATATTGATAGATATCATTGCATTTTCATAATTTTGATAATATAAACAATGATGCAATTAATATATTTAACTTACCTTTGTTGTGCCAGTTCAATTATCTGTTAAGAAAAATACCCAAAATGAAATTGCTGGATCAAATAATATATACATTTTTAATTTGAATCACAATATATTTAACATTTATAAATGTTCAAAAAACTCACATAAAAAGTAACAAGTTTTTTGTTTGTTTTTTTGTTTTATTATTATACTTTAAGTTTTAGGGTACATGTGCACAACGTGCAGGTTTGTTACATATGTATACATGTGCCATGTTGGTGTGCTGCACCCATTAACTCGTCATTTAGCATTAGGTATATCTCCTAATGCTATCCCTCCCCTCTCCACCCACCCCACAACAGTCCCCGGTGTGTGATGTTCCCCTTCCTGTGTCCATGTGTTCTCATTGTTCAATTCCCACCTATGAGCGAGAACATATGGTGTTTGGTTTTTTGTCCTTGCGATAGTTTGCTGAGAATGATGGTTTCCAGCTTCATCCATGTCCCTACAAAGGACATGAATTCATCATTTTTTATGGCTGCATAGTATTCCATGGTGTATATGTGCCACATTTTCTTAATCCAGTCTATCATTATTGGACATTTGGGTTGGTTCCAAGTCTTTGCTATTGTGAATAGTGCCGCAATGAACATACGTGTGCATGTGTCTTTACAGCAGCATGATTTATAATCCTTTGAGTATATACCCAGTAATGGGATGGCTGGGTCAAATGGTATTTCTAGTTCTAGATCCCTGAGGAATCACCACACCGACTTCCACAATGGTTGAACTAGTTTACAGTCCCACCAATGGTGTAAAAGTGTTCCTATTTCTCCACATCCTCTCCAGCACCTGTTGTTTCCTGACTTTTTAATGATTGCCATTCTAACTGGTGTGAGATGGTATCTCATTGTGGTTTTGATTTGCATTTCTCTGATGGCCAGTGATGATGAGCATTTTTTCATGTGTCTTTTGGCTGCATAAATGTCTTCTTTTGAGAAGTGTCTGTTCATATCCTTTGCCCACTTTTTGATGGGGTTGTTTGATTTTTTCTTGTAAATTTGTTTGACTTCATTGTAGATTCTGGATATTAGCCCTTTGTCTGATAAGTAGGTTGCGAAAATTTTCTCCCATTCTGTAGATTGCCTGTTCACTCTAATGGTGGTTTCTTTTGCTGTGCAGAAGCTCTTTAGTTTAATTAGATCCCATTTGTCAATTTTGGCTTTTGTTGCTATGGCTTTTGGTGTTTTAGACATGAAGTCCTTGCCCATGCCTATGTCCTGAATGGTATTGCCTAGGTTTTCTTCTAGGGTTTTTATGATTTTAGGTCTAACATGTAAGTCTTTAATCCATCAAAAAGTAACAAGTTTTAAAAACTGTTCTTTTCCAGTTTTGCAATGTGAAATATAATTAAGTTAAATTATCCTAACAAGGACTTGGAAGTGGGGTCTTTGAAATTAATGAATAATTCTATATTTATTCCTAGAAATTAACTTTGGGCAAGTATACTTTATACATTCTCCTTATTATTTTTCTTATTGCTTATTTTTTCATTATAATTCAAGTAATAAAGACCTAGATAATTTTATAATTATGTATCTATGTGGTTTCATTTTTTAAATGACATTTAAAAATTAAGAAACTTCACAGAATGCTTAACATTTGACAAATATGTTTCAAAAATGAAAACAATCTTGAGTATTCTTCTAGGTCATTTTTCCACAGATACATTTCATAATACTGTACTAAAATCAAATTTAATTTGTTAGATTTCAGTGTTTTAGGGTCTTACTTTGCAGCTGCAAATGGTAACCTCTCAGCTGCTTTGACGAATTCATGGGAGTTGGCCTGCCAAATGGTCTGATAAATCACTGTTCAGTCTGGATAAAAGCAAGGACTAAAATGTTCATTTGTAAGGATCCTGCAAAACAACTGAAACCAACTTGATTCTTGATTCTTACCAATATCTCATTTGTCCACTTCTTTTCAATTAACTCCCTGCTCAGACATGTATACCCAATTACAATTTGGTAAAGGAAAGGAGCATTATTATCTGTAGCTTCACACATTGTATACTAAACAAGATTCACCATTCATTCAGTAGGTGAGTATCCTTGAAGGCTTTATTTTACCTTGCCTTAGTTTCCTCATTCACAGAAGGCAGATCAGAGCTACTTCCTAATAATAGTTAGCATTTACTTACTTACCAATTTACTGTTTGGATTTGAGGCTAAACATTTTACTATCATTAGTTATTGTCATAAACACGATCTCCAAATAGTACGCACTCTTTAAAGTTAATGAAGATGCCAGAGTGCTTTTGTTTATGTGGATCATACCTATATATAGTTACCATACTAGAAATTAGAACATTATCTATGTATTTATTTTTGAAAGTAATTGTAATAAACTTATTATATGTTAAGTTACATATTTTCATGAACAATAGTATTATTTTAAAAATAAAAATAATGGCACATTTCATATTTGCAATTCTCTTTCTTGAGTTTCATAGAACTGGAATCTCCAACTGTTGTTGTATTTAGTTTATCAATACATTATTTTTATTAACGTATGCTAAGAAAATCCAGCCTCACACAATTATGTGGATACAAAAGAAACCAATATTTTAATTGTACTTTCGGATAATTAATTGTACTTTCGGATAATTGTGAACATTCTTCTTTAATATTTGACAAAAACTAAATAAATGATAATTTCATAAAGATTAGTTGCAGAGCATAATCTGAAACGGTATCAGTGAACATTTGATACTCTGTTACCCTATAATATTGGTTTATTTTTCGCTTTCAATGTATCATTTATTCATGCAGATTTTGGAACATCATGCATTGGTCATTTGGACAATATTAGTTCACTGAATTAGGCAGATATTCTAAATGTTGATACATTTTGTTATATAATATTAAAAAAATCAGTAATATCACCACTAATCTTACCTGAAAAGTCTTTAAGTATTGGGAAGGGGTCAAGCTCACAATAACAGATACAAATATACCAAAGTTCTAATTTTTGTTTGAAAACTTAAATTTGAATACTGTCTGTCTGTTGTTTGCATTTAAGACTCACTTCATTTCTGAGAAAATATCTATCTGCCATATATCCTAGTTTAAGTAACCGTAGTCTATCCATCAGTCATCCTTTCAAGTAATACTAGTGTTCAAGGAAGAAAACAGATGGTTTGGCTCATAAATCAAACATAAATTTATATTCCTTTAGACAACAATGATATAAGAATATGCAAAGCACTTTATATGTGTACTTCTCATTTCTTCATTTAATTACCTAATTACTTTGACACAGAATATGAGCTGAATAATATATTTTACATATGCATATATTCAGATTTATAATCTTTGATATTTTTGCCTTATTACATACTAGTGATATAAAATATGTTAAGAGCAGAATCTTACACACTTACATTAATTCTAACTCTTTACCTTTGTGGCAGTGGGAATTTACATTTCGTAAACTTCTTGAGTCTCAGTTTTGTCAACTAGGATTATTAACTATATAGGTAGATAGACAGGAAGGTAGTTAAAGATAAGATGGCCTGCATCATACAGTTAGTGTGAGGATTAAATGAATGTATACAACACTCTCAGCACAGAAAGCATTCAATATATGGTATTAAAATAACAAGATCAAGACTTACTTGCCCAGAGGCTGAACCCGTGTCTCCTTGTTCCATGTTCAAGGTTCTTTTCCATATGCTCGGACATCTTCTATAACAGTTTTCTATGCCAACAAAAACATACAAAGATGATTCGTTATTTCAGGTTACTTAATGATCTTCTGTCTACCAATGTGAGTTTTCCCTCTTCTAAATTGAGTTTGGTTTTGAGTGTAAAATTAGACCTTCCTTCATCATTTGGATCATCATATCACATTTCGCATAGGAGAGAAATGTACTTTCAAATGCCTTTTAAAGCATAATTGAAACTTGTTTTGAGTCCATCAGGCATGACACTTGTCTGTTAAGGTTTTTGCAAATAGCTCATTCAAGTTATCTACAACATAATCTCTCAGGTCAGATTCCTTTTTTTTTTTTTTTTTTTGTCTTTTTTCCCATCAGATACTCCTGTAGTTATTCTTATTGCCTTGAAGTAGTTATATCCCTTTAAACTCTCTGATATCCAAAGTTACTTCAAATTGTGTACAGTTAGACATATATAGACGTTTTAGATTGAGTTTTTCCATAGGATCTCGTTAGGGTAGATGCTTTAATTTTTCATTAGTCATAGTATAGAGAAATGTATTTTAATGGCTCCTGGTATTTAGCATAATGAAATTAAAGTAATAATGACAATAACAACTGCAACAGTATCCGTGGCAGCAACAACAACAACAACAAAAATCTGGCCCTAAATTTGCCTTTTTAATTTTTTTCTGTGACTTCTGTCCTCACTTAGAACATGTACTTAAGATTAGAATGTTGCATAGAAGAAGCCATGATCACATATGCTGAATTATATTCATTTCCAGTGGATTAATATGTTGAAGATAGGTAATTGTAACAACTATTAGTTTTGTCCTTTATCATTACAAGTTAGCCATCAAAACTTTTTCTTAAAATGATTAAGATTTTAATTTGCCATTTATAGCCAAGGGGAGTAGAGTGAGGAGGAAAAGCATTTTCCTCAGCACCTCATCTGTTGAATCAGTGTGACACTGAACATTGTCTACAATGCATCTCCAAAAATCCAAGCCAAAACAAACCTAAGTTTTCTTTTTCTTCTTCACTGTGTGGCCATTGAAAAAAGAAAAGGATATGATTGCCTTTGTTCTCCCCATTTTGTCTTCTTATGGAGGAAAATTCTGAGTCTATTTCATGAGCTCATTTTTATGTATTTAAAGGAATAATAAGATTAAGTATAGACAAAGGTATATGAGTCAACCAGTTAATGTGGGCTTGAAATGGGATGGATTTTACAACAGATAAAATTTTAAAGAAAGACAAAAACATCTTGCGCTATTGAGTCAGTGGGCACTTTCCAACATTTCACACTGATCTTTAGTATTTAATTTCTGTGTCATCAATTTTCTTTCACCACAGCCCTTCCCTTTTCTGTTTGCAGTGTCTGTCCTTTTTTTTTTTTTTTTTTTTTTTTTGTCTATGCAGACATTTGTTCTGTCTGTTTTAATATAATTGTGGCTGGAGAGAAATGAAAAATAGTTTGAGTAAGGGTTTCTTTTATATAACAAAAATTGTTATTGAATTTCTATGCATATGCTTTAACAATAAATCTTAACAACAAAAGAGAAGAAAATGTGTTTTCTTTTCTGTGAACCCTTTCTTTACAAAGAAAGATATTTCTAAAATTTCCAGAATAGTTAAAATGTTACATGATAATAATGGGAACATTTGTTATTTGACTATTCTCATATTAGATTGTTCTTTTGATCTAAAAATGGTTATTGTGGTGAAATTTACTATTATAGCTTATTAAAACTACATGCTTACTGTGACAAAAAATAAATAGCATGCATGATGTGATGTTTAGATAGGCATATTTTTAAAAGATGTCATTTACAATGTTATGTAGAATAAATAAATAATAAAGGGAATGGGATAAAATAAGAAAAATAAGTACAGAGGTTTGGGAGATAAATGAGATACAGGTTGTCCAGCTCCTCTTTTCTACTCTCCTTTACCAGACCACCCTCCTCTAACTAATTTTTTAAATTTTTATCTTAATATGAATGTCCCTTATTTACAGTCAAATATCTAAATAATGTAAAATACACCATATAAAATTAATCTCTGTCCCTCTGCAGACTTCCTCATGTATCCCACTCAGTCTTACATTAATCAAAGAATTGAAATGAAGCCTTCTGTGTCTCACTCCATACTTTCACCCAATTATCCATGCTCATGAATTATGAGCATGAATTATTAATAATAATTATGAATCATTAAGAAAATTTCCAAATTTCTATGTCAAGCTCACGTAATCTAATTTTATGCTATAATTGTCCATTTGGATAGCTAAAAGACACCACAAAACCGTAAGTCCATAATTGAACTCATGATCTTCACTCCCAAACCTAGACCCCTCCATGGCAGGATTCCCTCTCTCCATAAAACATATCACACAGGACTAACTGCCAGACATTATGTCTAATACGACTTTCTCTCCCTTACCCCTGTATCCAGTCAATTACCAGCTCTATCGACTTTATCTTCTAAATTTATCTCTAATTCTTATGCTACTCTCCATCTGTGGTGTCATTAGCATCATGTTCACTCAAGCTATTCTCATCTGATATTGGTTTCCCAAAATGTCTACCCACCTTTCTGTGATCTCTCTTTAATCCATGCTACACCTAACAGCTTGAGGGATCCTAAAATTTGAATCTGAGGATGTCATTTTTTTGCATACAAATTTTTATTGTTGTATTAGTCAAGGTTCTCTAAGGAAATAGAAACAATAGGATGGATCTATATTTAACCATCTATATCTACCTACCTACCTACCTAGAAAAAAGATATATATACAATAAATAATACATAAATCTATTAAATATATAAATTAAATACATTTATTTAACATATAAATACATATTATTTTTAAATATTTAATATTTTAATTAACTTAATAAAATTTAATTTTAATATTTAATATATAAAATATTTAATATATAAATATAAATTTATGTATATCTTATATAGAAAATATTTTAGTCAAATATCTAAATAATGTAAAATGTACCATATAAAATGAATCTCTGTCCCTTTGCAGACTTCCCCATGCATCCCACCCAGTCTTACATTAATCAAAAATTAAAATGAAGCCTTCATATATATACACACTATATATATACACAAGATATATATATACAAGATCTATCTATCTATCTATCTATCTATCTATATATATATATATATATACACACCACACAAGATCTATATATACATATATATACAAGATACATATATATATATATATATGTCTTGTAGTCTGCCATTAACCTGGAGAACCAGGAAAACTGGAAGTGTAATTCAGTCTGAGTCCAAAGGCCTGAGAATGAGGGGAGCCAATGTCCAGGGGCGGGAGAAGATGGATGTCCCAGTTCAATAAAGAGGGAGCAAATGTTCCCTCCCTCCACCTTTTTGTTCTGTTTGGGCACTTAGATTGGATGGTGCCCACCCACATTGGTTAAAGTGATCTTCTGTACCCAGTCTACTGATTCAAAGGGGAATCTTCTCTGAAATACCCTGAGAGTCACATCCAGGAATAATGTTTTACTGGCTATCTAGGTATCTCTTAGCCCAGTCAAATTAGTACATAAAATTAACCATCACAATTCCTCTTAGCATGAATACAAAAATGTTTCAAACAACTTAAAAAGATGCAAGATCTGGTGTATTTATAATTCTTCAACCTTGTTTGCACAACTCTCCACAAACTGAAATGTGTTTGTCTGTTTTGAGACAGGATCTCCCTCTGTCACTCAGGCTGGAGTGCAGGCTGGTGTGGCACGATCATGGCTCACAGTAGTTTCGCCTTCCAGACTCAAGTGATTCTTCCACCTCAGCTTCCTGAGTAGCTGGGACTACAGATGAGTGCCACCAAGCTCAGAGAATTTTTTAATTTTTTTGTAGAGATGAAGTCTCACTATATTGCCCAGACTGGTCTTGAATAAAATCTTTTAAAATCTCTTAAGAAATAGGTGAGTTTATGTTAAGTGCTTAGAATAGTGTAAAATACTTAGTATCATATAAATATTAGTTATTATTATTTAGTTTTTCTTGTAACTGTTTCTTTAACAATGAGCAGAGTACCTGGGACATAGTAGATGAATAACAAATTTTAATTTATACTACTAATAAAGGAGGATTGGTCTATGATTACAATAGTAAAAAAAAAAATTAAAGAAAGGATGGATAAAATTTTTACTTGAAAAAATCTGGAAAGACTTTGTGAATGAAATGTATGAATCACAAAGAAGGGTTTTAAGAGTTCTTGAATAGAAAGTTTGGCATTGGTCTTTGACTGAGATGATACATTCACCTGGCATGGTGGCTCACACCTGTAACCCCAGCACTTTGGGAGGCCAAGGTGGGCGGATCACCTGAGGTCAGGAGTTTGAGACCAGCCTGGCCAACAAGGCGAAACCCCGTCTCAACTAAAACTGCAAAAATTAGCCTGGTGTGGTGGCGCACACCTGTAGTCCCAGCAGGCAGGAGAATCACTTGAACCTGAAAAGAGGAGGTTGCAGTGAGCCAAGATGGCGCCACTGTGCTCCAGCATGGGTGACAGAGAAACTCTCCAAAGAAAAAAAGAAAAAGAAAAAAAAAAAGATGATACATTTAGAGGGTAACTTTGGTGTAGGGGAAAATAGCAGAGATGAGCTTGATTTGGAACTTGATGATTCTGAAATGATGATGAGGATTCCAAATGGAAATGCATGGCTGGCTTCTGAAGCTGTGGGATGTGAGGTGGTGAGAGAAAACTCAAGATTGGTGGTCGAGAGCATAGAGGTTGAATTGAAGTCATAGGAATTTGTGCTGAGGTAGAAATGCCTAAGTGACTGCAGAGACCCTTGCCTCCTTTGTTAAATGGTAATAGAATGGGAGCTGGGCACATGGAGGCGTAGCGAGACTCCATTTTCTAGCCTTTCTTCAGTTTACCATTCTACTGGCAAAACTTTTTCATGTGGCCTTTCCATGTCCTCTCTTCTATCCTGCTGACAGTTCTGGCTGTCAGTCCAGCCTAGGCCCTACATCAAAGCCCTGGGGATTGCAGAGCTACGAAATAAAACGAACATAGATTCATGGTTAAGGTACCACCTGAAAATCTTCCATGCTTCTCATGGACTTCTGCATAAGAAAGATAAATAAATCCTATCATTTTTTTAAGTTACTAAATGTGGAATCTGTTTGTTAGTAGATTTGTCTTTCCTATTAACCAATGGGAAGTATGTATTTTTAAAAATGTGTTTCCTGGCCCTAAGGTTTACTGGTGCTGTGACCTGAGATAAGTGACATAATGTCTTTGAATATATTTCCTGTAAATTGGAGCAGTGATAACTGTCAGGGTTGTTTAGAGATAACATGTGCATTACTGAAACCTGTGCCTGGCCTAGAATAGATGAGCTCTAAATTGTAGCAGTTATTATTATTGTTATCCTCCCATTTCTATATTTTCTCTTGCTTCTTGAAGGAAATGTAAACTATATACGTGGTGACATGTGCTAATGATAAACTTGCACACAAGTCTTTTTGATCATTACATGGCTTGCCATTTACATTTTGTCTTAGTCTGTTCAGGCTGCTGTAACAGAATGCCACAGACTAGGTGGCTTATAAACAACATAAATGTATTTCTGACAGTTCTGGAAGCAGGGAAGTCTAAGATCAAGATGCTGGCAGATTTGGTGTTTGGTGAGAATCCATTTTTTGGTTCATAGCTTTCTAGCTGTGTCCTCAAATGGCAGAAAGGGCAACAAAGGCAACTCTGGGGTTTCTTTTATGAGGGCACTAATCTCATTCATGAAGTCTCCGCCTCCTAATACTATCACATTGGGTATTAAGTATCAACACGTGAATTTTGGGGAGACACAAGCATTCTGCATATATATCACTTTTCAGTCAATGTTTGCCAAAGAAGCAGGATATTTAGGAGAAAAAAATATTTATGTAATATGGAAAGTTGGTTTTCCTCCTGAATTCAATATCGTCATTATCACATTTTACACTAGACATGAGCTTTTACTTAAAAACATTAATATATTACATGTTACATTTAGAATGTATTTTAGCTAATATATTAGAAAAAATACATACTATAAACAAGTAGCTTGCCTTTGCAAACTAATGAAGTTGAAATTCAGCATAGTCCATTTTCTTGTGGTTATGTTTTTATCACAATAACTTAATTTTCACATGTATAAATTGCATTGTGAATAATCATTTTTATGTAACTGCAATAAAAATGGGTAGCAGTAATTAATTGTTTATGACTTGAACTTAATGTATTTTATATTAAATTGTATTTGGGAAATTATTGAGGAAGTTTCTTAATTCATCCTTTAGTTAAATGAAGGGCATATTTTATTTTAATATATTTGAAGTATTCATATACATTTATTGAAATAGAGAGAAGACATTAATAAGATTTTTTTTTCCTCTTGGTACTAACCCCTGCTTTTTTTTTCCCCAGAAAAACAAAGATATATTTCCTCCTGACTAAAGTAGCACCATGTTAAAGGATGTAGCAATCATTACAGATATTTCTAAAGAATTCTCCTATGTGGATGGAAAATAATTTAGAAATTTTCAAGGTTAGCTTTACAATTGAATACAATCTCTCTATAATGAGTGGTCCTTTCTTTCTTGACCATTACCACTCAGACAGCTATGAATGAGGTAGTACCTTGGTTTTTGTTTAGCTTAAGTTTTGATTAAAATGCTTATGATTATGAAAAACAATTCCAAGATGAGTTTATACTTTCATGCCATTCCCAGTGGAATCTATTTACATATCTGACGAACACAGTACAAAGCTTCTACTCCAACCAGAGAATCACACTCATCCTCAAAAGATTGAAGAGTAGACCTCAACATGAAAAGCACGAAAAACATTAATAAACAATGTGCCGAACATGTGCCAGTGTTGGTAGAAATGAAGGCTGAATTTAATACAATTCCCCTGGAGTTATCAAAGATAGGAGCCAATGTATGTTAAGATTTTCTAAGTTTTAGTGATGTTTGTAAACTTCAGGCAATATTGAAAAGATAATGTATTTTAAAAGTGGCTATGGTGGCTGGGCTTGGTGGCTCATGCTTGTAATCCTAGCCCTTTGGGAGGCCGAGGTGAGCAGATCACGAGGTCAGGAGATCGAGACCATCCTGACCAACATGGTGAAACCCCGTCTCTACTAAAAATACAAAAATTAGCTGGCTGTGGCAGCCCGTGCCTGTAATCCCAGCTATTCGGGAGGCTGAGGCAGGAGAATCGCTTGAACCCAGGAGGCAGAGGTTGCGGTGAGCCGAGATCACGCCACTGCACTCCAGCCTGGTGACAGAGCTAGACGCCATCTTACAAAAAAAAAAAAAAAAAAAAAAACTGGCTATGGTGATAATAATCACAGTCATTTGAATCATTACTAAGTGTAAAGTGGTATTCGGAGAGTTTTAAATGCATTATCCCATTTAATACTCACAATAAAGCTTTGAGATCTGTAATGATATTGCCCATATTTCATAGATGAAAAAGCTAAGGCTGAGCAGTTACATGACTTACAAAATGTCCAGGCAGCTGACACTGCCAAGAATCCACACAGGTCTGTCTGATACCAACAACCATTCACTGCAATGCCTAACATGAATTCATGAACTGCCTGTTCTGTGTGTGTGTGTGTGTGTGTGTGTGTGTGTGTGTGTGTGTGTGTCTGTGTGTGTCTATGTGTCTGGTGTGTACATGCATCTGCACCCACTTTAAAGATACTACCCAGGGTATTGATTTACCGGGAGCATGATCTGGGCTGAGCCAGTATAATTTCTTTTTTGGTTTGTGCATACCCAGATTTGATGTTTTTGGAGATTGTGTCTGAGCATTTTTCTGAAGCCACAGTGCATTAAAAGATTAAACATCCATGAAGCCCAAAAGAAATCTGGAGCAAATTACAAACAAAACACCTACTACCAGCTTCTTCCAGGAGCTACCCACAAATTACCCACAAATGCACTCTCCCTCAACTTTCATGGAGTTTGTTCCATTTTTAATACATTAGAGAGAAATTAAGTTAGGAGTACAGGAAGAATAAGTTATGAACATCAAAAATAATCCTAGTGAGAATTTTAGCTTTGTAATGTTGATGTGTTAGGGATCTAGCTTCTTGTGCCTAAAAATAATTGATATTTTCATATTTTGTACTTTCCATCCTGGGGAGCAATAGACATAAATGTAACAAATACAATAATAACAGCTAATGTTTAGTAAGTGCTCTTAATTTTTTACATGGATGAATGCTTTTCATTCTGAAAGCAACCCTATGAGGTATATATTATTACTATTATCCCCTTTTTAAAGAAGGGACACATGAGGCCACACATGGCTAATTAATTTGCCTAAGCCGCCATAGCTCATAAGTAGCAGAACTGGCCTCTGAATGTAGACAAATTGGATCCATGAGTGTGGGAACTATGCTATGCTCATTATTTTGAGTGGCTTATTGGAGAGTTTACTAAAACGGTCGTATAGAAAGACTAATGAGTGAAAGAAAGAAACAGTTATCAATATCAGAACTAAAAAGAGTTTATCAATATCAGAACTAAAAAGAGTTTACCAGTATCAGGAATAAAAGGAACTCACAAATACTGAAAGAGCATTAAGAAAATATTATTAACCACTTTACTTCAATAGACTTGACAACTACATAAAAACAATAAATTCTTCAAAAACAAACGTACCATGAAAAACAATGGAAGAAATTATTTAAATGCCTCTATGTATTAATTAAATTGATTCTGTTGTTAAAACTTTTCCCATAAACTCCAGGTCTAGAGAGCTTCACTGGTAAATTCTTCCCAATACTCAGAGGAGGGAATTACACCAATTTTAGAGATTATCTCTGATAACAAATAATGACGACAACAAAGACAATGACATTTCTCAACTCTCTCTTTTTTTTTTTTTTTTGAGATAGAGTCTCTCTCTGTCATCAGGCTGGAGTGCAGTGGCGCAATCTCGGCTCACTGCAATCTCTGCCTCCTGGGTTCAAGTGATACTCCTGCCTCAGCCTCCCAAGTAGCTGGGACTACAGGCGCCCACCACCACACCCAGCTAATTTTTGTATTTTTAGTAGGGACGGGGTTTCACCATGTTGGTCAGGATGGTCTCGATCTCCTGACCTGGTGATCTGCCCCCCTCGGCCCCCCAAAGCACTGGGATTACAGGCGTGAGCCACCATGCCTGGCCACGTTTCTCAACTCTTGATGAGGACAGTATAACCTTGATATCAGCATAAAACAAGAACATTATAATATAGGGAAATTACAGATCAATTTCTCCAATGAACATAGATAAAAATATCTTAAGCACATTGCATCCAGCCACATTCAAAAATGGTAATATGTCAAGCAAGTATGTTTTAACATTTGAAAATTAGTTGTAATAATTCACTATGTTAACATAAAATTCACATGTTAACATAACAAGGGAGAAAATTCAACACACACTTACGATTAAAAAATCTTTACAAACTAGAAATAAAAGGGAAGTGATGAACAGTATCTACAGAAAACTTTGTAGCCAGCATTAACCTTATCATCCCTTATTGAAAACTTTCCACCTGAGATTGGAGAAGAAAGATTGACAATTTCTAATATCACTTTTCATCAACATTATACTAGAGAGAAACTATATAAAGATTGAAAATGAAGTAATAGTTTTAATTGATTGCAGACTATTATTGTGTACCTGGAAAATCTAATTTCAAAACTATATTAGAATTAATGAGTAAATTTAGTAAAGTATCAGAATGTAATAATAATATACAACATTTCCATTTCTATAAACCAACACTGTACAGAAAATGAAAGAGAATATTAAATACATAGATGCAAATTTTAAAATGATGCCAAAGATTTCTACAATCAATGCTATACCATCTTATTTAAATAAACTTAAGAAGACCTAAATATATCTAGAAATAGACCACATCCGTATATTTTATTGTAGATGCAAGACTCTGGAAAGTTGTCAATTATTACAAATCAATCTATAATTTTAATTCAATCCTAATCTAAACTTAATCAGCTGATTCTAAAATGTATATTAAATTGAAAAGATCAAATAATTGCCAAGAAACTCTGGAGAATTGATAACACCAATTATTAAGACCTGTTACAAATCTATAGTAAATAAGATTTGTGATATTGGGGAAAATGTCAGCAAATAGACCAATCACACAGAATACAGAGTTCAAAAACAGAAGAATTATATGCACTTATCTAATGTATGACAATTTTTTTTTTTTTTTTTTTTTTTGAGATGGAGTCTCACTCTGTCGCCCAGGCTGGAGTGCAGTGGTGCCATGTCGGCTCACTGCAAGCTCTGCCCCCCCAGGTTCACGCCATTCTCCTGCCTCAGCCTCCCGAGTAGCTGGGACTACAGGTGCCCGCCACCACGCCCGGCTAATTTTGTTTTGTATTTTTAGTAGAGACGGGGTTTCACCGTGTTAGCCAGGATGGTCTCGATCTCCTGACCTCATGATCTGCCCGCCTCAGCCTCCCAAAGTGCTGGGATTACAGGCGTGAGTCACCGCGCCCGGCCTTGAATATTTTAAAGAAAGATTTTTTTTTTTTAAAGAACATACGACATCTCATATGTGGCTCACAAAGCCTAGAATATTTACTAGTTGGTAAATACAGAAAATGTTTGCTTATCTCTGTCCTACAGTGTAAAGATCATTACTATTAAAATCAGAAAACTTTGGTTAGTATTCTAGACCTGTCACTGACTCGCCTAGCTTGACTATATGTGGCAGTGACTGGGAGGCACACTAAACCAGAACTAAGTGTATCCCCTATTCAACTTCCTCTTGATGGATCTCAAGTATTCCTGCAATCACTTTGACAACATTCTATGCCAGGTGAAGTGTGACGAAGATTAAGTGAGAGTGAAAAGACATGGCCCTCTTAACCAACTACAGTAAAAGTAACTTACTTTTGTGAATCTTTTAAAAACATGTGGTTATGTGAACCCACTTCATGGTCATGTGAACCCGCTGCTGACCCTCTCCCGGGGCGCTGGAAAGGACCTACTCAAATGAGCACCCCTGAAGTGTAAGTTTTATTTGCTTGCTGTTTCATGATCGACACACCCCACATGCATGCACATGCTTACATGTACACACACACAAACTTATTGCACAGGTATAAACAGTCGTTTTTGTGCTTACCTTTTTTTGCTGTAATGAAATGTAGACTAGGAAGTTATTATCTATAATAAGTGAATAAAAGGCTATGGCCTTTAAATTAATTATTTTATTGAGTGATTCTTTACAATCAGTCTGTAATTTGAAGTTTATTTCTAGAGTGGAGAAGTGGAATGAGAAAAGAAAAAAGGAAAATTTCCTAAAGTATCAGCTAGGCCCTGGGTTTCAATACAACACTAGCTGTGGAACTAACTGGCTGTGTGCCCAACAAAACAGAATAGGTGACTTTTAATGGCCTGAAGCTCTCTTGGAAGTGGCCATTAAGAGCAGTCAGTTTGGCAAGTCCCATTTGCCTATGTTCCTAACACTCTTTGGAACCCAGCCCATCGGAACTCTGTAAAGTATGAACATGCTGTGGTTATAAAGAAATATGGCCAAAAGTGAATCAGCTCCACAAAGAGATTATTCTAAAAGCCCAGGAATGTCTTTTTCCCCTAATGAATAAGTCAGTGGAGCAGTTGATGTGAAAGTTAAGGTAAGGTAAGCCATTCAATAAAATATGTAGTTCAAGAGGCATGTATTTCAATGCTACTTCTGTCACTATCAGCTTGGGGAAAGTTGGGCGAGTCACTTAACCTTTCTAAGCTTCAGTTTCTTTATTTTATATTTGTTATCACTAAGATCTTTCTGGCTATAAAATTCCATTTTTCATAATGTGGAATCTCTGTTAACTGTCTTTACTCATAAAGGAAAATCAAATATTGTTATTCTCTACTTACAGTCCCTGTGTGCTGTTGAAAAGTGGAGTTTCAAGGTTAAAATAACAGGTGTCTCGCAGTTTTTTAACCATTGTGGTTAAATATGTAATTGGTAAAATGAAAATTAGTATCTATTTCACAATTCGTTGAAATAAAACGAAGAAAGTCAGTAAGCGTAGCTTAGTCTCTTCTGAAACCTTTTACTTTCTACATTCACATCAGTCCTACAGGACGGGTACTGCCCTTGAGGAGGAAGCTAGCAGTTTGGGGGGTAAATTAAATTATTGGCTATGGTATTAGCAATGCAATTAAGTCACTTCTTGTGATCTGCCTTTTATCAGTATTATATGAGATACTCCTACAACCCCACATGCATGTTGATTCGTGTGCCCTTTCAACTATTTCTCTACTTGATAGGAAAAACATAAAGGTAATTGATCAACCACTTAAAATCAAAATGAATATTCAGTTGTTAATTTTATTTTTTTTCTATTCAAGTCTTCAAAAGACATTAAGAAACATGCTCTATGGTTGGTACCAAATTTTGGAGAAATCTGTTAAAAATTCAAGAGAACAATATGAAACTTTACATTTAGCCTTTTTTCATTAACATAAAATATGCTTGACTACAGTCAGTTCTGTTACAATTGACTTTTTAATGTGAATGTGAACTTACATATTAAATTAGTATAAAAATGTTGTTCTTGTCACAGTTTTATGAGTTGTTGATAATCACACATGAAGCAGAATCAGCTATTGATGTTATTTCAAGTTAAGTTAAAAGTGAGGATAGGTTAGTTCAGTATTATTTTGTGATTTTTTTTTCCTGCATATTCAGGAAAATGACCTTTCCCCTTATGTATAACAAATTGTTTTGGCAAGATTTAAGATATGATTGAAAATCTTAAAATGTGAATGAATTTGGTCTTAGAGAATACCTCTGGGGGGTCTTAGAGAATACCTCTGATTTTCAGTAAGTTAAGTTTATTACTGCTATTTTTTGATAAACTCTCAATATAAACAAACGTCTATATGAAAAGAGAAAGCATCAAAATATGTTTTATATACTTCTAAGTCTTTGCAAATCTGTGTAATATTTTTAGCAAGAACAGTTTCTGTGTAGCATGAAAACATAGCATGATGGCTTCCCTGTGTTATTTCCCATTTTGTCAGGGGAGTCAAGTAACTGCCAAGACCACATTGGTGGGCTTATGAAGGGTGATATCCCATACTCCCCACCCATAGTGAGTCATTCAATGGTGAGGTTCCTGAAGGGTGGAAAGAGTCTCAGAGTTCTGAGGCCTCTTGAAAGCAAACATACTTTGAAAGTGCAAGTCTGTTGTCCTACAGACGATCCTAAATTTGCAAGGATTCAGTGACATGTGGTTAAGACATCTTGAACTCATTATTGGAAAACTTGAAAAAAATTAGGATGGTTTCTGCCACACACTATTTTTTAAAAAAAATATGATTAAATACATGATTGCTTGTGTTTGTATAGACTTTTGCTTTTAGTCATTTTTTAAGTAGTCTAAAAGAGAAAACGTGTATTCTATTTTACCATAGGAATGTAAAATTCCTAAGGGCTCTATACTCTATGAACTTTACATGCACTGAAATTCCATCTAGAGAAATGGCGTTTAGGGGAAACTGTCAAGTGCACAAATCCTTTGCCTTTTAGTTTTTTTCATTCTGTGTATTTCTGTGTGTGTGTAATTTCTGTGTGTGTAATTTCTCTGTGTGTGTAATTTCTGCTATAAATTAGAAAGTGTGATAGTCTATATTTTTCCCATGAGTTGTTACCCTTAAGCAATAGCAGGAGAGAAATGAATTTATTTTAATTTCAAGCCATTTTAAGGTTTACTTCTCCATAGCATGGGGAAAAATGTATTAATTACTTTGGAGGATTCAGATACTTAATAGAGCAAAGGTTCATTTTGATTAAAATATATGAGAACTGGGGTAAGAAGAATTGTTCTTTTCAAATGTACACTCGGCATTTACCAAGATAGCTCATATTATGAAACATAAAATAAATCCCAATAAATTACAAGCATTCAAGTACTTTTATGTATTTAAATGTAATATGAACATATGATGTTAAAAGAAAATACATAATGTTCTCTAAACACAGTGGCATTAAATAGAATTCAGTAGCAGAGAAATACCTGAAAATTCCTCAAATATTTAAAAACTAAATTATGTACTTAAGACATCAAAAGAAAAATTGGAAAATGTTTAGAGTTGAATAAAAATGGAAATATAGTGTCTTAGTTTGCTTTGTGCTGCTGTAACAGAATACCTGAGGCCTAGGTAATTTATAATTAACAGAAATGTATTGGTTTACCATCATGAAGGCTAGGAAATCCAATGTCAAGTTGTGGGCATCTTACCAGGGCCTTTTTGCTGTGCCATGATGTGGCAGAAGACAAGAGGGTGAGAGAGAGAGAGAGAGAGAGAGCACGGAAGGGAGTCCAAACTTACCTTTTTTATAAAAAAAATCAACTCCCATAATAATAAACCTACTCCTGCATGACAACATTAATTCATTTATGAGGAAAGTGACCTCAAGGACCAATCACCACTCAAAAATCACAATGGCAACCAAATTTTAGCATGAGTTTTGGAGGGAACAAACATCCAAACCATAGCACATAGGATATCTGAATGTGGGCAAAACAACTAAAGCAGTATTTAGGGACATTTTTGCCCTAATATAAATATTTATATTATTACGTAACATAACATTCTTCACAGAGGTATAAAAAAATCTATTTTAACATTCACATGAACCAAAAAACAACCTGAATACTGAAGGCAATTCTAAGCAAAAAGAACAAAGCTGGAGGCATCAATCTAGTTAACTTCAAACTATGTTACAAGGATATAGTAACCAAAACAGCATGGTACTGGTACAAAAACAGACACCTAGGCCCGGCACCATGGCTCATGCCTGTAATCCCAGCATTTTGGGAGGCTGAGGTGGGTGGATCACCTGAGGTCAGGAGTTCAAGTCCAGCCTGACCAACATGGTGAAACCCCATCTCTACTAAAAATACAAAAATTAGTCAGGCGTGGTAGCATGTGCCAGTAATCTCAGCTACTGGGGGAGCTGAGGTAGGAGAATCACTTGAATCCAGGAGGGGGAGGTTGCAGTGAGCCGAGATTGCACCATTGCACTCTAGCCTGGGAGATAGAGTGAGACTCTGTCTCAAAAAAAAAAAAAAGCAAAAAACAAAAGAACAAAAAACAAAACAAACAAAAAAAACAGACACTTAGACCAATGGAACAGAATAGAGTGTCCAGAAAGGCTGCATACCTACAACCATCTGACATTTGACAGAGCTGACAAAAACAAGCAATGGGGAAAGGACTCCCTATTGAATAAATGGTGCTAGGATAACTGGCTAGCCATATGCAGAAGGTAGAAACTAGAACCCTTCCATACACCATATACAATAATCAACTCAAGGTGGATTAAAGACTTGAATGTAAAACCCAAAACTATAAACACCCTGGAAGACAACCTAGTCAATACCATTCTTGTTTTGGAATAGGGAAAGATTTCATGACAAAGACACTGAAGCAATTGCAACAAAAGCAAAAATTGACAAATAAGATCTAATTAGGCTAAAGAGCTTCTGCACAAAAAAAGAAACTATCAACACAGTAAACAGACAATATACAGGATGAGAGAAACTTTTTGTAAACTATGCATCTGACAAAGGTCTAATATCTATCATCTATAAAGAACTTAAATAACTTTACAAGAAAATAACAAACAACACCATTACAAAGTGGGCAAAGGACATGAACGGATGACTTTTCAAAAGAAGACATGTATGCAGCCAACAAGCATATGAAAAAAAGTTCAATATTACTGATCATTAGAGAAATGCAAATCAAAATCACAATGAGATACCATATCACACCACTCAGAATGGCTATTATTAAAAAGTCAAAAAATACCAGATGCTGGGACTGTTGCAGAGAAAAACGAATGCTTATACACTGTTGGTAGGAGTGTAAATTAGTTCAACCATTGTGGTAAGCAAGGTGATGATTCCTCAAAGAGCTAAAATCTGAACTACCATTTGACCCAGCAATCCCTTTACTGGGTATATAACCAAATGAATATAAATTGTTCTGTTATGAAGACACATGAACACGTATGTTCATGGCAACACTATTTACAATAGCAAAGACATGGAATCGGCCTAAATGCCCATCAATGGTACACTGGATAAAGAAAATATGGTACATATACGCCATGGAATACTATGCAACTATAAAAAAAAGGAACGAACTCATGTCCTTTGCAGGAACATGTATGGAGCTGGAGGCCATTATCCTTAGCAAACCAGTGCAGGAAGAGAAAACCAAATACCACATGTTCTGACTTAAATATAAGTGGGAGCTAAATGATGAGAACACGTAAACGCATAGAGGGGAACACACACTGCGGCATACCTGAGGGTGGAGGGCGGGAGAAGGGAGAGGATCAGGAAAAATAACTGATGGGTACTAGGCTTAATACCTGAGTGATGGAATATTCTGTTCAACAAACCCCTCTGACATAGGTTTGCCTATATAATAAACCTGTTCATGTACTCCTGAACCTAAAAGTTTAAAAAAGATTATGTAGAAAACCCAAAGGAATCTATAAAAAGTCTACTAGAGCTAGAGTGATTTTAACAAGATTTCAATACACAAATTCAAATGTCTTTCTATATATTAATGACAATCAACAATAAAATTTTAAAACATTATTAAAGTATAATGAAAATATCAACTGTTTAGGGAGAAATGTAACAAGAATGGTGAAGGACCTATACACTAAAAAGCTTCAATATGTTGTTGAGATTAACTGAAGAAGGTCTAAATAGATTTTTTTTTCATGTCTCGGAAGACTTAATATGTGAAGATACCAATTCTTCCCCAAATGATCAACAGGTGAAATGCAATCCCAATCAAAATCCCAGCAATTATTTTAAGGGGGAAATTGGCAATCTGATTCTAAAATTCATATGGAAAAAAACAATGGAGTTAGAATAACTAAAACAAGTCCGAAAAAGAAAAAGAAATGGAGGACTAATGCTACCTGATTTCAAGTCTTATCGTATAAATCTACATCAATAAAGGACAAGTTGGTATTGGGTTAAAGATAGATAAATACATCAGTGGAATAGAATATTGAATCCAGAATAAATCCACACATATATGGATAAAAATACCAGACAATTCAGTGGAGATGGTTTTGTTTTTACAACAAATGTTACTGGAACAAATTGATATATGTATTAGTCAGATATGGCTGCCATAACAAAGAACCACAAACAGGTGGTTTAAATAATGGAAATAAATTTCCTCAGAATTCTGGAGTATGGAAGCCCAAGATCAAGTTGCTGGGAGGATTCGTTTCTTCTGAGTGTCTCTTTTTTTGATGACAGATGACTATCTTTTACCAATGTCTTCACTTGGTTTTCCCTCTGTGTGTGCCTAGGTCCTATTCTCCAATTCCTATAAGGAAACCAGTCATATTGGATTAGGGCCCACTCTAATGGCCCCATTTTACTTGCATTATCTCTTTAAAGACACTATCTCCAGATGTAGCCACACTCTGAAGTACTTGGAATTAGGATTTATGGTGCAAGAATCTGCGAGAGAGCACAATTCAGCCCATGACAATACCCATATGTAAACAAATCTGCACACAAATCCTTGCATGCATATCTTTACAGCAGCATTATTCATAATTGCCAAAAACTGGAAAGGACCCAAATGCCCCTGAACTGGTGAATGGATAGACAGTATTTGTTGTAATCATACAATGGAATACTAGTCAGCCATAAGAAGCAATAAACTCATACACGCTGTGTTATGGCTGACCCTCGAAAACATTATGCCCAATGAAAGAAGCCAGGCACAAGAGATCACATATTTTACGATTCCATTTACACTAAATGTCCATACAAACAAATTTATACAACAGAAACTAGATTATTGGTTGCCTGAGGCTGAGGGTTGGAGCGGTAATTAATTGTAAATACAGATGAGGAATATTATTGATATGAGAGATGAAAATGTTATAAAACTAATTTATGGTGATAGTTGCATCACTTGGTAACATTCCTAAAAATCATTGAAATGCCACCTTAAATGGGTGAATTTTATGCTATGTAAAAGATACCTCACTAAAATTGTTTAAAATGCATCAATTCAAATTGGATCTTAGATCTAAAGGTAAAGCCTAATGCTATAAAACCTCTAAAAGAAAACAAAAACAGAGACTTTTGTGATCTTGGGTTAGGCATATATTTCTTGGATACAAAATCAAAGAGATGATTCAAAAAATGAATTTTGAAAAACTGAACTTCAAATAAAAATTAAAATCATCTGTCCTTTGCAGAAACTCTTAAGACAATGAAAAGACAATCTATAGAATAGAAGAAAATATTTGCAAGGAATATATCTTATAAAGGACTGATTCCAGAAAATAAAGCACAGTTAAAATGTAATATTAAGAAAATTATCAGCCAGGGTGCTTGTAGGCTTTCTTTTTTCTTTCTTTTTTTTTTTCGAGACAAGATCTCACCCTGTTGCCCAGACTGGAGTGCAGTGGCGCCATCTCGGCTCACCGCAACCTCCGCCTCCCAGGCTCAAGCGATTCTCCAGCTTCAGTCACCGGAGTAGCTTGGATTACAGGTGCGTGCCACTACCGCCTGGCTAATTTTTGTAGTTTTAGTAGAGACGGTGTTTCACCATGTTGGCCAGGCTGATCTCAAACTCCTGACCTCAAATGATCCACCTTCCTCGGCCTCCTAAAGTGCTGGGATTACAGGCGTGAGCCACCACACCCAGCCTGTATGCTTTCTTATTTGTATCCTTTCTAATATTCTTTGGGTCTCTAGGGTTTTTAGAACATTTACAATTACTACCCCTAAGGTATTCTGTAACTATTCTTTTGAAGAAATGAATTAAAGACTAAATAAAAAATTGTTAATCTGTGCTTCCAAATTGGTTGTTGAGGTCTGAAGAAGCTAGCATCAGGGAGTGATAGTGGATCTAAGGATTCTTGGAGTTGTGGGAGGACTTTGCTAGAATCCTACAGGGAAGAATTTACGAGGATATTAGGACAGTTTAGCAAGTGCAGATAAATGCAATAAACATGGGGCCAAAATATGTATATACATCGGTCATGCTTGGTCGCTAAGTAGATAGCTGGCATCAAAAAGATGTCGCCTAAAGAAATGAGAGTTTCTGTTTTTCTTTCTCCTCTCCTTTCTTTTTCCCTCCTCTCTTCCTTCTTTCTTTATTCTTTTTTTCTTGAGTGAAATATCATTTTTCTTTGTTTTTCTTGAGTGAAATATACACTACTTAAAGCAAAATAGCACATTTTGTTACATGCTAGAAAAGCATAGGAGATTACATTTATTCTCAAAGAGTAATTATTATTATTATTATTTTTTTTTTTTGAGAAAGTCTCTCCGCCTCCCAGGTTCAAGGGATTCTCCCACCTCAGCCTCCCGAGTAGCTGGGATTACAGGCGCATGCCACGACACCAAGCCAATTTTTGTATTTTTAGAAGAAATGGTCACCGCGTTGGCCAGACTGGTCTCGAACTCCTGACCTCAAGTGATCTGCCTGCCTCGGCCTCCCAAAGTGCTGGGATTACAGGCATGAGCCACTGTAATTTATTTCTTTATTCAACATGTAAAACATTCTTTTAAATACATCTCATGGAAACATTTGAATTCCTCCAGTTACAGGTATATTTACTGCATCTCTACTCTCTTTTGATAGTACTCTGAAGTACTTGGAGTTAGGATTTATGGTGCAAGAATTTGCAAGAAACCACAATTCAGCCCATGACAATATCCAGATGTAAACAAATGAACTTCAATATGTACCTCAACATATGTCCATGCATCTATATTGCAAATCTTTTCATGCAGATCTATGAAAAGTCTACTAGAGCTATAATGGCCTTTAGTTATATCTGCATGCAAATTTTTGCATTGAGATCTTCACAGCAGCATTATTCATAATTGTATTAAAAAGATTGCATTAGAAAGAATTGCGTTTTCTATTTATACAGTTGCTGATTTCTTATTTCTTTGATAAACAGGAGTTGAATTTTATACAAATCATGGCTTTTTTTGTGTAAGATATTGAGGAAATCACTGTGAATTCAAAACGGTTCATGTTCTTAAGGAGCTGGATAGTTATTAGGTAGGCAGATACTTAGATAACTACCAGTAATAAAGATTTGCAGTAGCTAGTTATTGGAACACAGAAGAGAAAGTAGCTAACTTTACCCTGGGTAGGTGATATAGTTTGGATATTGTCCCTGCCTGTCTCCTGTTGAATTATAATCCCCAGCACTAGAGGTGGGGCCTGGTGGAAGGTATTTGGGTCTTGGGGGTGGAGCCCTCATGGCTTATTGCTATCTTCATGATAGTGAGTTCTGCTGAGATCTGGTCAGTTAAAAAGGTTCCATTTGACCCAGCAATTCCATTACTGGGTATATACTCAAAGGATTATAAATCATTCTCTATAAAGACACATGCACACGTATGTTTATTGCAGCACTATTCACAATAGCAAAGACTTGGAACCAACCCAAATGCTCATCAATGATGGACTGGATAAAGAAAATGTGGCACATATACACTATGGAATACTATGCAGCCATAAAAAAGAATGGGTTCATGTCCTTTGCAGGGATATGGATGATGCTGGAAACCATCATCCTCAGTAAACTAACACAGGAACAGAAAACCAAACACCGCATGTTCTCACTCATAAGTGGGAGTTGAACCATAAGAACACATGGACATAGGGAGGGGAACATCACACACTGGAACCTGTTGGGGGGGTGTGGGGCAAGGGGAGAGAGAGCATTAGGACAAATAGCTGATGCATGTGGGGCTTGAAACCTAGATGACGGGTTGATAGGTGCAGCAAACCGCCATGGCCCATGTATACCTATGTAACAAACCTGCACATTCTGCACATGTATTCCAGAACTTAAAGTAAAAGGTAAAAAAAAAAGAACGTGACACCTTCCTCTCCATGACTGTCTTTCATGCTCCTGCTTTTGCCATGTGATGTGCCTGCTCCCCTTTGCCTTTCACCATGATTTTAAGCTTCTTGAATCCCTCACCAGAAGCCGAGCAAATGTCAGTGCCATCCTTGTGCAACTTGCAGAACCATGAGTCAATTAAATCTCTTTTCTTTATATATTACCCAGTCTCAGGTATTTTTCGTTGTTGTTTAATAAGGAAAGGATTTCACTAATTTTTGAAGCAAATAAGATTTGTGAGTTTCAAAGAAAAGGCTAACCTTCCTATATTAAATGTTTATGTCTAATGTTCCTCAATTGCAAATGCAAGTTTTGACCATTATGCAAAACAAAGTCCTGGAATTTACAACATTTTCTTGATGGTATTAACTCTTTTTTCTCTGGCATGCTATTGATAATAGATTAGATTCAAAAGATTGGCCGTATTGTTCCCAGTGTCTGGCAGTATGGAATGGTTCAGGAGCTCTAAGGTAAAACCTATAAGTGAAAAATCAATGAGATTTTCATTCTACAGATCAATAGTTTAAAATGGTACACAGGTACTCATATTTGGCAACTTTCTTCTTTATAGCAATGTAAGAATGCCTAGTAGAGTAGGGATTAGGAGAACTGGTCTTGCTTGGAAAGGTTTGAGGAGGAGAAAGTGGTTAAACAGAAAATTGAGTAATATTTTACTATATAAATGAGAGTTGAAGGAGGGCAACCAGGAGGAAAAAAAAGCATTACGAAAAACAAGGGATGATAGAGAATGAGATGTTTCAGGGACAGTTAGTGACTCAATGTGAGGAGTGTGCAGGGTATTCGATGGAACAGTGGTGCTTAATGGAGCCCCCAAAGCAGACAGAAAATAGAACAGAAATGGCCCTGCATGCCATGCTAAAGGATTTGGAATTGATCTTGTATTCACTGGAGAGCCGCAGGAGAAGTATAATAAAGGGAACAAAAGTGGACTTCAGAATGTAGTCTGTGTGGCATGAGAAGATAAATTCAGAGCACTTTCAGAAAGAAAGCAGAAAACCCTATACTACGGCTATTTTATTAATGCAGGGAAAAATTATGGTGTCCTGGCATAAGATAGCAGCAGTTGAGAATGAAGAGGAGGGGCTGGATTTGAGATATATTAAGAACATTGAATCAATAGGTTGGAATGGTTGAGCAGTGGGGGATTGAGGAATTGGTGAAGAACGTAAATGAGTCAAGGATGACTCATGGATTCCTAATTTATAAAAAATAAATATAATGGAGACATATAAAATATAAACATTCATTTGGTTTGTGTCATTTTACTGAAGAATCCTTGTTTTTAGCATACTTTTTGTATCATAGATATTCATTACCTTGATTGAAAATCGAAAGCAGAAGAAATACATAAAACATTCACAACAAAGTTGCAAGAAAATTGCTTTGAAGATACAGTTTCCTGTTATGTTGATTACTTTGTCCTAGGCTAGTGTCCTTCTTTATCTAAATTCTGAAATATTAGCTATTTTTTATCTGACTTACATTATACATCGTATTATGATGCATACATAAAACTTTAACTTTGGGAGTTTGAAATACACTGGACCATAAGTTACATGAGTTTCAGGGCTGTTTACCTCTATATTCCCAGCATTTAGCACAGGGTTTCACACATAGTAAACACTCATTCTTGTTAAATGAATGAATGAACAAATGAATGAATGAATGAAATAATTGTTCAAAAAATACCAATCAGCTGCTCAATTTGTCCAGAATCATTAAATAGCAAATTTCTTTCTGATAATAATGGCAGAAATATTTCAGTTCAATTAGGTTGACAATCATATTTGAGTTTCTGGTACCAATATACTACTCTCTGATACGCAATATAAATAATATCTGTAACCTAGTGTTCATTATCCATGAAGTATAAATAATCTTTTCAAAATTGTTTGGAAATGAACCAGTGGATATGCATTCAGAATTACTTTAGTTAAAACTCAAGACATATTAAATGTACATAGTACGTTCATGTCCTTCTTTATTTTGTCCTGTCCCCACTTTGGTTGTTGCCTGGCTGGTTCCCAAAGCAATTCCGAATTCCAGCATGCAGAATTTTATGTGAAACTTACCTAAGACAAAGGATGTTTTATTTTTTCAATGACCACTTTCTTTCATGGCTTGGCACATAAAAGATGTAGACTTTCTCACTCTATTTCTGAATAATGGATTTTAAAACCATATTAGACATCTCCAACATAATATAAACTGAGGGAGTACATGGTAGAGTATCTTAGGAATGTCCTGCCAGTAAACACAAGTAATTAATCAACCCACACATTTTTTTTTGTTAGCCTAATTTACTCCCATGAGATACAGCAGTAGTAAAATTCATTCATCCAACATTCTTTAATACTTGCCAGATAAGAAGGGCTACTTGCCCCCACTTCAGTGACAGGTTAATAGTTCTATTTTGGAAATGTTTGTCTAAATCCAAGAACTCAGGCTCAGTGCCATTTATTTATTTGGGAGATTGTTGGCAGGAAAGTACTATACCCTTACCTGGCAGGAGTAGTGCGGGTGAGGATTTTGCCTTCATTTTCATTTGTGCTTAATTCAATCTGATAGAAAATAGCTGCAGAGCACAAGTGAGAAGGAATATATACAGAATTTTCAAGGAAGAAAAATAAAATTGGTGTTAAAATTAACTTCACTTCAACATCTAAAGTGAAGTCTCATTATCCTGTGTACCTCAAGGACATATTCTCCAAACTTCTCAGCTATTTCTGAGGGGCTCTCCACTTATATTTCAACTTCCTTCTTTGTAGCCCCAGATATAGGCTTACACCTCCTGGCTTGACTGCTTCTCTGATGCTATGAACTCTACATTCAAGTTTCAAGCCAATAGAGCTCCAAACATACAATTTCTCTGTATCACATTCACAATGTTCTCTAGGCTTAAAGGGAGAAGAGTGACCTCCACCCCTCCTGCACTGGAGTATATTTCTCTCTCTTAAGACAACCCTCAATCTACCTCCTATTTAGTGATGTTTCCACATTTACTGTGCATTTCAGGTAACAGCAGCCACAGGTGGTTACATCTATCCTTGCTTTGTACTGTCTAGCTCAACTACCACCACACCTAACTGTACCATGCCATTCTACTCCAGTGGCCAGATGCCAGATGGGCACTAAGGTGTCTGGCACCATCCACAGACTGACCAGTATATGCCATAGCCTAGTGCAAGTGCAAGAGGCCAACTCAATCAGTCTGCCTTTGAATGCTAGATCTGGACACCAGAAAATCTGGACACCAAAAATCAAGATGTCCACATAAGTCATACTTTCAGGCTGCCCTGATTATTTCTCAAGTACCTCATAGCTAAAATGTAAAAGGCCTAGCTATTTTTAAAAAAATTTTAAATAGCTCTGAACCCGAGAATGCTTTAAGTTCACAGTAATATAGATGAAAGCTAAAATGTCAAAGGTACAGCTATAATAACTTAAAAGACAAGTACCTTTGTGAATCAGAAATAATCTAGAAAGAGTTTTAGAAAATATATAAATCTATGGTCATTCTTGGATCTGGCTGGAGAAGCAGGCAGAACCAGCTAAATGATAACATTGACTTTTTGATATGCCATTCTGCATACCGGTCTCACATTCAGGCTGGTAACAGGACGGGTGCAGTTGTTCCTGCCATCGCATCTCATATTCACATAGGACCGTATTAAGAATATAAAAAAACTAGAGGAGCACCTAGGTCTCCTTCGTAAGAAAATCTTTCTGGAATGCCTCCACGTAGACTTCCCTATATATCCTATTGGCCAGAATTTTGTTCTATATCCATTCTTTACCTGATCACTGGGAAGGCAGAAGGAATTGCCATAACTGGAAGAAAAAAACAACCTGTGGAATAGAATGTTTGGGAAGAATCCAGCAAAAATGCCCACCATGATACATCTTTTGCTCATACATTATGTTAAAAATGCTGATGTCAAAATTAAACACACTCAGTCCTTCTTCAAATAGAAACAACTCAAAGTTTCATCCTTGGTCAAATTCAGTATTTTGCATGATGTGTAATCCTCATCACATCTCTGCTCAGTTTTTCATGTTCTATATCAGAGGTCAGCAAAATATGGCCCTATAGCCAAATCTGGCCTGCTGCCTGTTTTTGTGTGGCCCACAAACTAATGTGTGTGTGTGTATGTGTGTTTACAATTGTTAATGTTTACATTTAAAACAAGAATAAATCATATTCTTTGTTTTTCCTTTTGTCCTGGAAATTCTAAAATATTTACCATATGGTCCTTTGCAGAAAATGTTTGCCAACTCCTGTTCAATGGGACTTTGAATGAAAAGACAAGTTTTCCACCCCAATATAACCAATATACAATGATACATCATTTTAAAAATGTAATTCTAAAAAGGGATTGTTGGGTGACACTCTTACATGAATTTTGTCCTAATATTGGTCTTTGTGAGGGTGGTGGCCAATGCTCCTTGGAATGTCCTGCCTATTCTTTTTTCCTAATGTGGCCTTACGTAAACTGAGGTCATGGAAGCATGAAATCCAAAATTTTCTAACAAGGCTTCCAAGGGTGGATCTTATTTGTTTCAGTAGAACAAAACTTGCTATTCTAATGGTCTCTCCACTTTTCCTTCTGCCTCTGAGCAAGATGAAGAAAAAAAGATGAAGCTGTTTTCCAGAGACCAGCACTTCATCCCTGAGAAAATGTCAAGATTATAGGCATGCTCTATAGAAGATAATGAGTTAATACCGGTAATTTGTTTACTCATATTTGAAACTCAGTTTCCCTATTTGAACAATGGAAATTATAATATCTTCTTCTCAAGTTTATGTATTTGATCCTTCATAAATATAGAAGAAATGTACCTGTTTTTTCTTGTTATCCTCTGTGATTTGCTTTTTCATAAATATAGGAGAAATGTCCCTATTTTTTCTTTAGTTATCCCCCATGAGAAGCTTGACAAACATCTGCACCACCCAGTGATCTATATTAAGGTAGTCTGATTCTAAAAATTCACAATTTGAGAAAAATATTCCCTCCTTCCAATTTCTCTCTGTCCATATTCACTGAGTTGGTAGAAAACCTATTATTTTAAAGTATATCATCAGATTGAATTATTCTCAGTCACTTCTAAGACAAGTTTAATCTGCCATGGCTAGAAATGTCATCTTTGTTTCATTATTGTTACCTGAGAGTATTTATACATAAGGAAACAATAAGTACCTGAAAGATATGTAATTTCGTTATAAGTACCTGAGAGGTATGAATAGCTAGATCACTAATACTTTTCAGTCATATAATTTTAGAATATTTTAAAAGGGCAAACACATATAGGGCACTTTCACATATGTTCCTTGAGTCTTGAAGGAGCTTTTACTGATATCTGTGGTATGTTTTTAAGTCATCTGCATGAATAGTTAGTACAGCAGCTTTAAGTCAGATAATTTCTTATAGTCAGAAAACAAAAAACAAACTTGCTGCAAACATAGGAATTTTAATGATAAGAGAAAAAAATATTTTTTAAAGCCTTTCTCTGACAAATCCAGGAAACATAATCTTCAAGTATCATGGATTTCTTTGAAAATATAATTATGGTAGAGCTTGTCATTTGCTGCTTTTCTAATAATTTCAACAAATTTATTTTCTATTTCATATAATTATAATTATCTCATTTTTAGTCTTGTTACAGAAATTAATTTACCTATTATATTTGATTTATATGAATTGTACATGGGAAGAAACCATCACAGAATCATAAAACTGGGGAGAGATGCTAATCTAATCCACAAAGTCTCCTATAATTTGAATGTGGTTGGACACTTCTAATTAAGCGTTGGATTGACATTCATTTTTCTCTGATTTCTATTTTCTATTTATTAATTATAATGACAATTTTCACCTTTGAAAAATGAATACTGTTAATCATATTTAGTAAAACTTCTAAAATAGAACAATGTTTGCTTTCTTGGAATTACTGCCACTTGTAACTTTTTTGTTGTATTAGACCTGTGGTAGATAATCTATTTAGGATTTTTACACTACCATATGTGAAACTGATCTTCCTTATTTTGAAGAATGGCTAAATCAGGGGAGTATTTGATTGGGGTTCCCAGAAACCAACAAGATGTGGATTCATATTCAAATGCTTCCAGGAGAATCAAGTAAGGAAGTTAAGAAAGAGAAAGAAAGGAAACAAAGGTGAGGGTTTTTTTTTGTTTGTTTTGTTTCTTTGTTTTTGTCAAATTCCCATTCTCAGCCCAATTCCACCAAGAGCTCTGAGTGTAAGTCACAATGCGGAGTATGTTACTTACAAGAGCAAGGGAGCTAGCTTGCCTTCCAGGGCCAGTCGGCTATTGGCCAAGGGGCTGCCTAGGAAGAACTGAGCACAGGTAATCTTCCAGGCATTTCTGATCCTAATAGATCTAGTAGCCCAGGAGAAGTCCTCTGAAGAATGTGGCAGAAGCCGGCTGTTAGAGGCAAACCACACAGAAGCTGGTAAATGTATCTCAGGGGATGTGGGTGAAATACCAGTGGTGTCCAATGAAGGGATAAATTCCAGAAGAGAAGGCTACACATATTTTTAGATTGACCAGTTTAAAGCGTGCATTAAATCACAAGAATTAAATTTGGCCCAGGGCAAGTAAATTTGATCACTAATTATCTTGAGTCCACTTTCTGAAGTTAATCCTTAAGATTACATGTATTATCTCCGCATTTAGCCAAATCAAATTTCCCCCAGCCCCAGAGTATATGTTAATAGAATTTTTCCAGGAAATACCAAACATAAAAGAGATGCCAAATTAAGAGTGTACAAAGCTATGGGTTTCACATGTGAAAAAGAGACTTTGAGAAATACTTTAAAAATATTGATTACCTTGGATTTTTTTTTCAGTTTGTACATTATTAGCTCAAATATCTTAGCAGTTGGTGAAGCATGGAATTTTTATGATGTCTTCCAGAAGGAACTAAATGTATTTAAGTACAGGCATTCTTTTTTTTATATATATACTTTAAGTTTTGGGATACATGTGCAGAACGTGCAGGTTTGTTACATAGGTATACACGTGCCACGGTGGTTTTCTGCACCCATCAACCCTTCATCTACATTAGGTATTTCTCCTAATGCTATCCCTCCCCTAGCCCCCCACCCCCCAATAGGCCTCACTGTGTGATGTTCCCCTCCCTGTGTTCACATGTTCTCATTGTTCAACTCCCACTTATGAGTGAGAACATGCAGTGTTTGGTTTTCTGTTCCTGTGTTATTTTGCTGAGAATGATGGTTTCCAGCTTCATCCATGTCCCTGCAAAGGACATGAACTCATTCTTTTTTATGGCTGCATAGTATCCCATGGTGTATATGTGCCACATTTTCTTTATCCAGTCCATCATTGATGGGCATTTGGGTTGGTTCCAAGTCTTTGCGATTGTGAATAGAAGCACAGACATTTTTAAGGCCTCTAAAATTAGTAGAAGAAATATTTTTAAGAAAAAATTATGTAAGAGTGATTAAATGTCAATGTACTAAATAAATATGGTTTCTGTTTTATAATCTATGATTGTGTTTTGAGGTGTTAACCACACAATTTTTTAAAAGTTGATGTTAATCAGCAAATATAAAATTTTGCCAGTATTTAATATGTAATTTTGAATTGTTGTGTTAAATGCATTGATGTATGTAAAACACTTAGTGGAGTATTGACCAGAGTGTAGTCTCATTTCATATGATTGAGTTCTCCTTGCCTTCCTATTTTAATCACATTAGCATTATTAAATAATAGCTACTTTGTTTAGAGAATCTATTGGTATTCTTCAATTAAGAAAAGCTCTTCGCTCTGTAACTCTGCCTTAAATAATGTTCGGTATTATATGTACAATAATATATATTTTCTAAAGTCTTCTGATCTATAAAATAATGTCATCAATTAGGCAATTATTTGATCATTTTTATCCAGAGTACTGTAATTCCTAAAATGAGCATATAACTGAAAGAGGATTTCTACAGAGAAAGAGTTGTTGTTTTCCTAAAACTTTGAGCTGATGTCCCTGAGCTGTCCTAGGGACATCTGATGTCCTAGCCACTACTCTGCCCCGATTCTGGCAGCTTCTGGGGGACTGGCTCCCATAACCCCCCTGCGCATCATCTTTTCTGCTGAGCCACGTCTTCTACCTGGCACCTGATCCGAGCCCCAAGGTAGTGATGCGACAGGAGCACTCAGGTTTCTGATGCTGGTTCTGTTTCTCTCTCATTTTTGTTTTGTCATTCCATTTTTTTACATCTTTTAGGATTACCTGGACTATTCCCTTTCAAATATTCTGGTAGGGCTAATTCTCTACTGACATATTTAGACACAAAAAATTGACTAATGTAGCTTCATTGGACCATTAGTTGTTGATTCTATCATGGGAATCCCACATGATACCCTGTGATCGGAGAAGGTGTGTTACCTCATAGGTGTGTTGACATCCTACTGACACTTTCCAAACTATTTCTTTTAGACCATAGAGATTTTAATTTTGATCTTCATTCTGCAACGTGAACTGATCCCTTAGAGCTAACTTTTGTCTAGAATAGAATCTCTAGTATCTTCCAAAATTCTTGAACTGTGGGACACTGAGTAGGGCTGATATACTGAACCTTTCAGATGCCAGCAAAAGCAGTGGAATAGCCAAACTGAAGAGCTAGTGGGCTTGGCTAAGAGCAAAGACATCAGGTTCGTCAAAGGGCCTGACATCTATTTTTTTTTTATCCTGTCTCAAAGCAGCTATATAAATATGAAAGGAGTGTGTGAGACAAAACAAAATTCTGCTTGGGCACAACAGCTCAAGCCTATAATTCCAACACTTTGGGAGGCCGAGGCCGGCAATCACTTGAGGTCAGGAGTTCAAGACCAGCCTGCCCAACATGGTGAAACCCCATCCCTACAAAAAATACAAAAATTAGCCAGGCCTGATGGCATGCGCCTATAATTCCAGCTACTCGGGAGGCTGAGGCAGGAGAATCACTCAGACCTGGGAGGTGGAGGTTGCTGTGAGCTGAGATCATGCCACTGCACTCCAGCCTGGGCGACAGAGTGAGACTCCAAAAAAAAAAAAAACTCTACTAGAAATAACTGATTTTATCTTTGTCATCTAAAGAGAAAACAATACTCTTGGTTAGTTATAATATATATTTATATATTATACATAATATTTATATATCATATTTTTATATATTTATATATTATAAATAATGTTTATATATTTATATATTATAAATAATATTTATATATATTTAATAAATAATGTTTATATATTTATATATTATAAATAATATTTATATATATTTATATGTATATATTTATACTTTCAGTATGTGTTAGTCATGCCAAGGACAGTTGCTTCTGCTTAGTTGCATTCTTTAGCTGGATTCAATTGTAGGTTTAGTGGATGATTTAAAATGAGCTCTAAAATAGCCCAGGGGTAGTACCAAATACACACTCAAAAGTTCCATTAATGCGTCAGATTAGGGAAGGCTTTGTAAAGCTTTCTGGAAGGTTTTAAAGCTCTGAATTATCATCTTTGTTTTAAATTATCTTGTCATGGTGCTTGGTTTACCTGTCATTTTTTTTTAACTAAAAGATATATATGATACAAATTTATCCCATATGTAAGTGTCAGTGTTTTGGGGATAACATTTAAAAGCAAGATCCATTAATAAAATCACCTTTGATTTTTGAACTGTATGTAGTTCTTTGTTCGTATGAGCAATTCACAGCTACAGTTTAGTAAAAACTTGGCTTGAGGATGTTCACTTCTGAAAAAATTACTTAAAATGTATGAAATGTTATCGCTGTAAGAACAGATGATTGGTTTCTTTAAAATTCCTAACATCAAACTGCCACAGCCAACAGAGGCCTAAGGCTTAAAGAGGCATGGCAAGTTAATGTAATGTGGTTTCCTAGATGGAATTCTACAACAGAAAAAATACATTCGATAAAAACTAAAGGAATCGAAATAAAGCATGGGCTTTAGTTAATAATAATGTTTCAATATTCATTCATTCATTGTAACAAATGTGCCATATTCATGCAAGATGTTAATATAAAAATTGTGTGTAACCATGCACATGAAAACTCTTTGTGCTATCTATGTAATTTTCTGTAAAACTAAAACTGTTCAAAAATAACCATTTTATTTTATTTTTTAAAAAATCTCACAACCTAAATCACTTTGAGATAGTCAGGTAATAAATGCCATTTTTTTTATTTTTAAAAATTATGTAATGGAATTGAGCTCATTACAAAATGCTTTTCTACATTGTAGCTGCCTCTCTTAAGATTAAAGTTTTTGCCTGTGTTTTTTAGACACAAGAAAGGATATCATAAACCCTTTTTACATTAATGATCATCTCCTTTGAGCCTCCTTTTTTTGACACCATTCTCCTCTGCTAATAGGAGTATTATTTTCTGGGGTATCTACCCATGATCTGAACCTTTCCTATTAGAAACTCCAGTGGAGATGATGGTTGCGGAAACGGCACAGTTCAATGAACAAGATTTAAATCCTGTCTTGCTCAGAACTAGTGATGTACTCTTAGTTACATTAATATACCATCTCCATGAGGTTTTATAGTCTTCACCTCTACAATGAGGCCAATAGTAACTACAACCTCATAAACATATTGTGAAGATTAAATCACATAATAGGGTTTAGAAAACTGCGTGGATCATGACAATCACACAATAAAGACTATTACTGTTTCTCCCATGTGGCAGTGTTTAGAACATCCTTGCAGTAATCCCTGCTAATTTTTTACTTTAGCATATTTTTGCTACAGAATTTACCAAGAATTTATACTCTCACATTTGGAAAATTAAATTTTCATTAGCTGTCATAAAATCAGCTCAAACATTGGCAGGTGGGTTACACAAATAATAAAAGTAACAAGAGAAAAGAAATAATATTAAGAAGAAAAAAGAATAAAAGGAAGAAGGAGGAAGTAGGAAAGATGTAATAAGCTTTTAGAGTGATCATCATTTTGCATATAAAAGGGGACTGAATGCTTTACCTACATAAGCCTGTAGAATCTTCCCAACATGCATGTGAGCTAGGCATGATTAATAGACCATTTAAAGTTGAGAATAATATGACTAAAACAGTTTCAATAACCTGTCCAAAGACCAAAGCTAATAGTTCATGGGACCAGAATTCAAACTCTACTATCCTCAACACAGAGCCACGGTCATATTGTTGGGCTCTGTGTCCATACCGAAAACTCATCTCCAATTGTAATCCCCACGTGTCGAGGGAGGGACCTGTTGGGAGGTGATTGGATTTTGGGGGCCATTTTCCCCATGCTGATCTTGTGATAGTGAGGGAGTTCTCATGAGATCTGCTGGTTTAAAAGTGGCAGTTTCCGCTGCCCTCTCTCTCTCTCTCCTGCTTCACCGTGTTAAGACATGCCTCGCTTCCCCCCTTGCCTTCCACCGTGATTGTAAGTTTCCTGAGGCCTCCCTAGCCATGAAGAACTGTGAATCAATTAAACTTTTTCTTTATAAATCTCCCAGTCTCAGGTATGTCTTTATAGCAGTGTGAAAATGGACTAATACACAAGGGCTGCCCTAACACCTTGACTCACTAAATATATCCATCTTAGAGTCTTCTATGTAGGAATACTGTCTTCATTGTAGATACCAGGCCTACAATAATACCATGGATTTTGTTACTCTGCCAGTGGAAGCAGGATCTCCTCCCCACACCTACCTTAAAATGAAATACTCGTGACACTTATACATATCATGGTGGTCTGTAACTGGAGAGATTTTCTTATAGTCAAATGTGTTTTCTAAACAGGTCAAACATTTAAGATACTAATATTGCCTCCCAAATTTTCAGCTCTTCACTGAATTTTAGCCTTGTAGTTCTTTCTCTTTCTGTTTTACATGAAGCAGGTTTGCTCTTTTATTTTCCTTTTTGCTACTGGATTTTTAAACAAAAGTCAGTAAAAGTTAACTGAGAATATTTTAACACTTTTTCTGGGAAGAGGTGCAGTCAGGCATAAGATTGTTAAAACATTTTGTAGCTTTGGCTTCACTCATTAAAATGTGTAGTATGAAGAATAAGCCTAGGGATTTTGTAATGAAATTATTTGATATATTCATGCTGTGTTTCATTATTCATAACAAAAAATATATCATCAGTGTGTCTTGAATTTTCTCTCTGATTCTCCACTTCTTTTTCCTTAAAGGAGAGAGAAGACCTCATTGCACAACCATTTCAGATGTGAATGTAGATATTAGAGTGGTACATCTGTTTCATGCATTAGGGAGCTTCTCTTGGGTCTATAAATAAGATCTCCACCGGTTCCATTAAATCCCAAAGTATGAATGGGCTTTTTTATGTCAAGTATGAACGAAATAGCATTTCCTTGGGTGTGGTAGGGAACACTGATACACTCTTGGAGCTGAACATGCTAGCAGATTTCCTATCTATGCCATTGGCTCTGATTTTTCTCCCTTTGGAACAAGAGTTAGAAGCCAAGAGTTAGATTCTCTTTTCTTCCTGGAAATTCTCTTTATAACAGAATTGAAGTGGTTATTTGCAATTTATATGGAATACAAATGTGCATGTGTGTGTGTAAATATACGTTTTATTGGTAAAACAATCTGTTGGCTAAAAGAGTTTTAATGAGCTGTTGAAGTTGGGGATTAGTGCAAAATTCTTTTTAGGCATAGAAATCATAGAAGATATTTTATTTTTCAAACATTTCTAAATGATTTTTTGGCTAAAAGATTTAAAAGGTCCCTGGAAAATAATTTTCAAAGTAGCATTAAACACATTAGAATGGGTTTGCAAATTCATTTCTCTATATTTCCTTCTCTGAATTTTTCTACATTTTGTTTCTTTATATTTTAATGGAGCTACATGATTTAAAAAGCAGAATTCAAAATATTTTGGTCTTGATTCATATTTTACTAGTTATAATGGTAAAATTTTCATTTTACTCCCTGAATAAATAAATAGTATCCAACTTAAAATATAAACTTGAAGATTATCATTAGGATTTAGATAACATTGTCTGCATTGCGAACATAATAAGCATATTTCTATGAGAAAGTTCAGAACTAATGAGATCCACTAAAGATAAAGTCATATTTACTTTCTCCTCAGCAGATAATGCTTCCTAATGAATCCAAGCTATCTATTTCTTGTTATTGCTAGATTTATGTCTTAGCAATGAGATGCATTGACTCCAGGATTCCAGGTCTCTGAGAAAGCTTTGGAAAGGGGCTTCTTGAGCTTATTGTTACTTCAAGCCACTGAATCTTACTCCCTCTTGTGGGCTCCTAGAGGTGCTAGAAAGAGTTATGCATGGTAGATATAGAAGGTATATAAATGATCATTACATTCCCAAAAGCTTCCTCTATTAAAAAAGAAAACATATTTTTCTTCCACAAAATAGGATATGTGCATTTCACACCCACCCTTCACTATTATTCAACTGATTATAACAAACCAGTATTTTACATAGAAAGTATACTTGGCTTCACTGGTTGGAGGAATTTTTGTATGCTTTGGTCTTTCCAGGTCCTTAGTACAACTGGATCTTCAGAGGATCAAAGAAAAGCTCTCATTTAGTATCATTTCACCTTTGAAAGAACATTCTATTTTTCTTTATGGTAATTCAAATCAAATAATGTTTAATTGATGTGTTATATTTCAATTCCATAGTTATATTATGTAAGGCTACGCAAATGTTGTTTTCACTGAATATTTGTGTTGTATTCTTTCTTATGTAATAGCTAATGTTTTCTTAACAAAATGACAAGTCCATATATAATAATGCCACTAAACACCTAAGGATTAAACAGCACTAGTAGTTAAAATAATGATGAATATTTGGCAGACAATAAGGGAAAAATGAAGCCACATTCTAGAAACAAATATATCTGTTTGTCATGGTGAATGCTATGAGTTTGTATTGAACTTTTCAGTGCCAAAACCAAAAGACAAATCTCTGTTCTTTAATTGAAACTGAGCTGTATTGAAGGCAATGATTAGTTAATGACCGGGTCCCCAGATGCAACTATCAATAGAGTATGAAGCAATTAAGAGAAATATCAGGATTTATAGAAAGTGTCAATATTCCATGAAATGTCACTCAATTGTATATTTCTGGGAGGTCAGACACTTAATTCCTTTCACATATGGTGCATTTTATCTGTGTTGAATTTTTAGTGCACCAGATACAAATGGAGTTAGCTTGCATTAACGTGGCTCCTTAAATATTATTACTCAGCATGACTACATGATAAAAACTAATCTTTCTTTTTACTAAGCATATGGGCTTTTTTCTATGGAAAGCAGCTGTGGCTAATTCAGTCACATCTAAGAGTAACTCCCACCTGTCAAAAGTATTTGAATCCATTTATTCTTCCATAATTAGAACATTCTATTGACTTTTTGCTATCTAAAGCAGGGCATAGTTCCGCTTTTATGAAACCTAAGTTATTAAAATTATAGTTTAATGTGTTATCATTATAATTTTGTATCCACCAAATACAAGGAAAACAATTCGAGAAAAAATAAAATTATTTCATGAAAAGCAGTTACTACTTACTTTATACAAATACAAACGTGTATTATGTTTGTGCAAGCATGTAAGTTTATGTTTGTCAATTAGCATGCAAATGAATTTCTTCAAAAATGATTTAAAAATTATTAAAATCCATAAGCACTGCCTCCATTGAACCATGCAAAATGAGGGGCAGATGTGTATGGCACAAATCTAGGGCCAGACAAGTGGCTTCCATGAGGTACTTTCAGAATTTGGGAAGTTCAATGCAAATAGATTCACTTCCCATGAGCCAGTGCCTCTTACATACATCACTGGTCCAGGGTGGATGGTTGAAAAATTCTTTATCTTTACATCTGAAGACTTGGAGTCCCGTGTCCCAAGGTCAGGGGATAGTAGAAATTCAAATGCAAATATGCATATATAAAATCTATCTTTCTCACTTATACACTTCTCAGGCAGTTATTACCCTTTGGTGAGATTTCCCAGACTGTCCTCTCACAGCTCTGTATCTCTTTCTGCCCATGAGGTTTGGGGTGGGAGTGGAGAAGGAATGAGAAAGTAGAAAACTGATATGGGATTTTAGCAGCACGGTGGGGTAATGAGTGGATGTGTATTAAAATGTCCCTCTATAAGTGAACAAGCTTCAGGTCATTTCTGCCTGACTAATGAGAGCTCAATAGGATCTCCCACAATCTCACCCCCTATTGCTGCCTTGAGACAGTACCTTGTCCTTTGTGTAGGATAATGTGTGGGCAGCTTTACCATAATAGATGTCATTCAAAGGAGGGACAACCAAAAGCTGAATGCTGCCTGCGTTGCAGTCTTGGTTTAGTTTCCTAAACCCTTCACCAGAGGAAAACAATAGTGTAAATGACTAACTTCCGTGACTAGCATAGAAGTATATTTAACAGATATGTGTTGGATGTATAGTTCATTCATATACTAATAACTGACAATAGTTCTCGAAGACCTAGAGTTTATTTATCATTATTGCAAGCCCTGTGGAGAATACAAATGAAATAAAGAACAAGCCAACAAGCCTTGATTATGGCTACAGAGTTTGACTTATACATATTGTGGCCCAGTACATTCATTTCAATCCTGAGTGTGTTTAAAAAAAAAAATCCCATGGCAATCCTACCTTTGCTTTTTTTTTTTTTTTTTGGAAAAAGAACAAACTACAACTAATAAATAGAGGAATGTCATTTCAAAAGAGTTATAATAAACCATTTCCTAATAAGATACATGAGTAATTTATTATTTTCTTTATAAGCAAAAAGAAGTTTAAATAACTGAATTTTAATTTTAAAATAGTGCCTTATAAACTTTAAAATAACTAGTAATTTTCCTCCATTCCTTTACAATATACTACAAGATGTCTAAGTAATTCACATTCATAGACAAGTCACCACTGAAGAAGTGCTATCATATAGCAATTGAGGAGTGTTAGCTATATCTCACCATTAACAATGGGGACAGTCTGATTCTACTTTAATCTACAACACATACTTATTTTTTAAATCTACATCTTTGAAATTTTATGTCAAAACTACATGGATGAACATGTATAGTTTTATACACTATAGGTTGTAGGGTTGACCAAATAATTCACAGCAAGAAAAATTGGTATTATTGAAAATAAGCTATTACTTATAATGTAAAAGCAAAAATTGCTGCAATCAATAAGTAACCACAATCAATTTAAGTTAACACGGAATGCACTGATAGCATATGATGTTTTTAAAATAGAGTAATTCCAACTATTCTTTCTACACAAAGCCTGTATGGCAGTCAGAAGTCTTAGAAGATTATGAAAATACTTAGGAACTCTTTGTAATGTATTAAATTTTGTTATGACTACAAGAATTTAGTAACCTCTAAAAGGTGGTCATAGATAGCTTTTAGTTGTGCATACAACCTATAGCCTATTGACCTGTTAATCATTTAACAATAAGGATTTAGGACATTGGGAGGGCTTCTGACCCCACTACTATTCATGCCCTGAAAACAGCCTTATGGAGGTGGCAGGATAATAATTCATGAGTCAGTGAGTGTAATTTATATGTTGGTATATGTCAGTCACAATACATTGAATTTTTTGTGACATTTTTCAGAGCAGTAACTATAAAAAAGTGAATTCTAAAGAAAACAAAAGAGTTGAAGGAAAACAAGATGTTTTATAGCTGGTGCTGGTGCAGAGCAAAACCCTCTCTGCTTGACGGTTAGCAACTGAAACACAGTTTTGATTGATACTTCTTTGGGCCATCTCTTTTATAAATGATAATGACAAACCATAACATAATTTTTAAAAAGAAAAGAGAGGAAAGGACATTTGGGCTTTCTTTCAGTAGTTAATCATGGGAAAGCTAAGGAAGGAAGCCTTCCTGGGTGGAGGGAATGATGTAGTCCATTGCCCGCTCTCTCTGGGACACCCCTCTCTCTGGGACTAGCTGAGAACAAGTAGGGACTAACTACTTTTGGCAAAACAACTGTCACAAGCCAGAAATGAAACAAAGGTCCCTACTTATAAGGAAACAGAAAGAGATGAGTGACCTAAGGCCTAAACTTCAAAGCAGTATCTTTGGAGTATTTTCTAAGGAAAATCAAGCAAGCTCTGAATAAAATGACTCATTTATTTCCTTCTCCTGTCTTTGGGATTGTCAAACGTCAATATGTTGAAGTTATGCTTACTAAAATGCAAAAATGCTGGTATTTCATTAATTGAGGCAGAATGCTCATACTTGTTCCCCAACTGATGCTATCAAGAGAGAAGGGTCGATGAGCTACACTTTGAGAAGCATTCCTGCCTCTCTCTACCCTCCTTCTTTGGGAGATCACCTCCCTCATACTTCACAGGGAAAACTGAAGAAATCAGCGTAAAGTTGCCTGAACTTCTCACTCTATAAAAATATTCACATTTGCAGCCATCCATTCTTTCTGACTGTCAGATAGGGGCAATGTGGCCTTTGTTCTGTTCCAGACTAATCTTCTCTCCTCTCTCCCACCCACTCTTATTTGCAGAGGGTCAACATGAATCTATACCCTTTCTTTCTCTCTCTCCCATTTGGTGGTTTTCCATCAGCTTTTAAACATCCATATCCTCCACCTCAACGTATCATCCCTTGATTATCCTCTGTTCATCCTTCAATCTCCCTCTATCTCTCTGTTTTCAATTGTACATTTGGAAAACATTTACCTATGCTCATTGCCTCTATTACTTTCCCATTCATCAACTCCTTATCCGCCTTTTCCTGGCTTATGCCAATGTATCCTCTAAAACTCCTCTAACAAGACCTGTTAGCTCCATGTCAGCACTGCTTTGGAAACTTTTTAGATCAAGCTTATTGAATTTCTTAAGTTTACCTCTCCCCTTTTCGTGACATATTGTTTTCTCTTTGTTTTCTTGGCATGTAAACAAACAAACAAACAAAATGGTTGTGCTTCTGTCTCTCTCAGAAGAGGCTTTCAGTTTTTTTGAGTCTCTTAGGCCAGTTGTCTTCCTGTTACACAATTATTCAACATCGAGTATCCTCTTAAACTTTTTTCACTGCTTGTTTTAAACCCTATTTCTATGTGGTCTCATTAATATAGTTATGTATATGCTAACAAGTCCCAAAGGTACATCCATTAGCTTGACTTGTTTTCTTAGTTCTAGACCTAGATGGCTACTTGTCATTCCTTACACATATATCTCACAGATACCTCAAACTTACTAAGTACAAAGTTACACTCATGATCTCTTTATAACTGTTAGTATTTGATATTTTGTTTCTTATTTTATGACCAGAAGATACCAGTTGTTCAGGCCAGAATTCTGAGAGTCATCATTTACTTCTCTATTAATATAATCCCCCCATACAAATAATAAATGCCGTTAACCTACATCATAAATATGTTTTTAATTCACTTATTTGTCTCTTATCTCTACTCACACCCACCATTGCCATCTAGGCCAACTCCATTTATTGACAGGATGAATACAACTATATTTTCATAACTGTCTATCTTACATCAATTATTGTCACCTTTCAACTTATTTTCTCTATCTTTGACCAATGACCTTACAAACGTGAAGTTTGTCATTCTCTGGTTTTAAAAAGAAGTCATGAACTCAAGTGTGCCAAGATCCAGGCCAACACATGAGTGAGTTGAGGACTGTTGAACTTGAGATTTTATGGTATCCTCTCTAAAGGGGCAGACACTACTTAACTTTGGCTGATTGTTCCCCATAGAAATACATGGTCAGTGTTTCCTGGTCATCTATTTTTTTTCAAGAGAAGAGGTACTTATTTGTTCTTTTCTAACAATAACCCACATGTAAGTATTTGTTTAATATATCATTCCCTACTGTGCTCTCAGCACCATGAAAGCTGGGGCCTCAGCTATCTTTTTCACTGCCTGGCACATAACATGCATTCAGAAAATATTTTTTTTCAACAAGTAAATGCATGAGTCAAATCAAGAGAAGAACAGAGGAGAAAGTGAGTCATAATGCCTACAATGGCCAAAATATTGGCTAACATAGCTGAATAATTTTGAAATTTTTTATTTTTTTCAGAGACAAGGTATTGTTCTGTCCCTCAGGCTGGAGTGCAATGTCACAATCATATCTCACTACAACCTCGAACTCCGGGGCTCAAGCAATCCACCCACCTAAGTCTCTGAAATACATGGGGCTACAGGAGTGAGACACCGTGCCCAGCTTTTATAGCCGAATCTCGAAAAGTGAATAGGATTTTCTCAGTTACACATTGTGAGGAAGTATATTTCAGGCTGGAAAAGAACATGTGCAAATATACAGTTGTATGCAATCATATGATCTATTAAGGGAACTCTAAGACATTTGGTGCTGATAAGATACGGTCAAGGGATGGGGTAGCTGCAGATTGAAACAGTGAAGTCCCAGAGAGCTCAAGTGGACAGTTATGCCGTATCTCAGCATTTGAACTCCATCTGACGAGTTAGAGAGCCAAAGATTCACCTTTTAGAAAAATAGTTGTATCAACATTATGAAGAATGAATTCTAGGAGAAAGAGGCCAGAAGAAGGAATGCTGGTTAAGAAACTATTACAGTTACTCATGTAGAAAATGATAAAGGAATTAGTTGAAGAAACAGCATGGAGCTGGTGGAGGTGGATTTGAGAGACAATTAGGAGTAGAATCCAAAAGCTCTACAAGCCGCCCCCTTAGCACAACGGCCACACTAGTTATTTGCTATTCTTAGATAAACATTGCATTTTGTTGCCTCTGTGTGTCTCCTCAAGCTACTCTCTACACCTGAACTGGATTTGTGTTACCCAAGAAGGGTAATAAATATGACTTTATTTGTTCTTTAAGGTTTTGATTCTCAAAGTGTGGTTTCAGAACCAACAGCAATGACCTCACCTGAGAGCTTATTAGAAATGCAGAATCTCAGGTCCCATCCAGACCCTAGTGAATCAGAAACTGCATATTGACAAAATCCTCAGGAGATTCATACCTACACTAGCCCACACTAGAATTTCACAAGCCCTGTTTAAATCTCAGCTTAAACCTCACTTAATCCAAGAAACCCTTTTTGGTTTTCCTGATCTTTCTGATTCATTAAAATAAATAAAGCTGACTAGTATTATGTTTAACAGTTTCTAGGTATCAGTTTCACTTATATCATGGTTATTTATACATGTGCCATTTGCCTTTTACTCCTTCCTAAATTATTAGCTCTAGGAGGCAGGAGCAGATCCCAATCCCATTGGTATTACCCATAGCTCCTATTCAAGACTTGACTTCTGATAGGCTTTCCCCAGAGATAGTGATGGTGACTTCTCTTGCTTCACTTGGCAGGCAAGTTGAGTCTCCAAGTCTTATGATAATGCATCATGCTGATTTCCTGACTTTCTTTGTCCATCCCTTGATAATGATCTCTTGGCTTTAGTAAAGCACTGTCCATGTTTAATTAATTAAATTCCTCTATTTGTATTTGGAAGTGTTAGAGATGCAAAATTTATTCATTTAAAAAACACAAAGGATCTAGACAATCTTACAAGGGACTTCTTAGCAGTAGTCTTCAAAATGTAATATTTTGCTGAATTTTGGTAATATTGGCTTGAAAGAAATCTCTTTCAGAGCTCACCATACTGTCAGCATGACTGAAAGGAATTAATACATTTTTCTATCATAAAAGCACTGAATTTCCTGTGGCCAATGTGATATAACCAGCACCCTTCTGAATTATTTTCCATTTGTTTTATGTTTAAAATTTAGAAGAAAATACAACGTGGTAGACTAGGCTAAATTTAACATATAATCCTGTGAAAGTTTTCCTTTTTTGGATGGCATATTGAGTTAAGGTTTTTTAAAAAGTGAGTCCCTCAAAACATCATTCTCTCTTAAGCAGCAGCGTGTACTTTGAATGGTTTGGAACTAAGTGTTTTAGATTAAAAAAAAAAGTCTTTCTTAAATAACATGCAGCTAACAGCTGGAAAAAGGGTAGTGAAGCGGTAAACTGTCCATTATGTTTAAAGAACAACTTGGCTAAAATCCTTCCTTCTCATTAAAATCACTGAGTGTGCCTTCAGAATTTATGTAACTGTACTTAGGGTTTCTGTTAAACCCATTTATTATTTTTTTTTTCATTTCTAATCTAGACTAAATAATTAATCCATGTCAATTTAGAATTCCTTACTACTTTTTAAAAGTGTATGTTAGCCTATTTTTAGTTTCCATGAGAATTAGTAATAATGAATTTTCAGAAAGTAAAAATAATGAGGCTTTCTGGAAGAAACCACTGGATGTTTTACAAGTTAGCAAGGTGTGCTTTCAGTTTAAAATCATTCCACTGTGTTTCTTGTGAGGTTTCTAAAAAATCAGATAGAACTTTAAATGACATTCAGAGTTGAGGAAAGAGGTGAGGAGAAAAGGAAGCAGCACCCATTATTATGGATTTGAGTAATTCATCGAGTGATTCAGATGTAGTAGTTCTATTACCATTTTCTTTGACATGGTCCAAAAGCAAAGGTCAAGGTCGCTACACTTGTGTCCTTTACCCAATGCCACAGTCAGTTTAGAAAACTGTGCTTTAACTTACAATGATAACATCAGAGTGGGCTTTAAATTCAGATCCACCTATAGGTTTAAGACTCATTAGATTTATCCTTGTCCGGCCGGGTGCTGTGGCTCACACCTGTAATCCCAGCACTCCAGAGGGCCAAGGCGGGTGAATCACTTGAGGTCAGGGGTTCGAGAGCAACCTGACCAATATGGTGAAAATCTGTCTCTACTAAAAATACAAAAATATTAGCCGGGCGTGGTGGTGCACACCTGTAATCCCAGCTACTTGGGAGGCTGAGGCAGGAGAATTGCTTGAACTCAGGAGGCGAAGGTTGCAGTAAGCCAAGATTACACCATTGCACTCCAGTCTGGGCGAAAACAGCAAAACTCCTCAAAAAAAAAAAAAAAGGGAAAAAAAAAAAACACCGTTTCTCAATCTTCTGTCTCCTTTATAGTTGCTCTTTGAAGATAATGGATATTTTTTCTATGCCTTCTATTTTCTATATATCTTCTTGCCCCATTCCACTCTCTGCCTCCTTAGTTTTCTCTTTTTCTTTTTCTTTTTTCTTTTTTTTTTTTTTTTTTTTTTTTGCAGTGGCTTAATCTTGGCTCACTGCAGTCTCTGCCTTCGGGGCTCAAGTGCGTCTCCTGCTTCAGCCTCCTGAGTACCTGGGATTACAGGCCCCTGCCACCATGCCTGGCTAATTTTTGTAGTTTTAGTAGAGACGGGGTTTCACCATGTTGTCCAGACTGGTCTCGAACTCCTGACCTCAGGTGATCCACCTACCTCGGCCTCCTAAAATGCTGGGATTACAGGCATGAACCACCGCACCCAGCCCTTTGTTTACTTTTATCCATTTGTTTTATGTTTAAAATTTTATGAGAAAACAGCATTGTAGAATAGACACTTTTTTTTTCTTTTTCTTGCTTTAGGTTTTCTGAATTTCTGGCATCTGGAACTTAGGAAACTATCAGCCATTATTTATTTGAATATTCCTTCTGCCACATTTTCTGTCTCTTCTAACCATGACACTCCAATTAAATGTATGTTGAAAGTTTCATGCATATTCTCACTTTTTTTTAATGATCTGTGCTGTTTCATTTATTCCTCTTTTTTTGGCATATGTTTCTGTTTAGGAATTTTTGTCCTAACATGTCATTTAGTTCAAAACTAATGTATATAGTCTTATGTTAAAGCCATCATTGTATCAATCTTAGATATTATATTTTTAGTTTTAGAATGCCCATTTGAATCTTTTTTATTAAATCCAAATTTTGGTCAAAATTATCCATCCTTTCATCTATTCTTTCCATTCTTTTTTTAATTTTCTAGCTTGTATTATTTCTATAGTTATCAGCCCTGTTATTTTCACAGTCATTAAGTAAAGTCCACATTTTATTATTCCAATAACTGGCTCTTCTATTTCCATTGTCTGTACTATTTTTGATCATGTTTCCATTTATCATATTGACTTATAATTTTAATATAATGCACAATATGGTGTATAAAAATCATATAGTCTTTGGATGATGTTATCTTCTTCCACAAAAGGTTGACCCTGAATTCAAGCAGGCAGCTTAAGGGGGAGCAAGTCTCCCTAATCCAATTAAGGACTGAGCTGAGTCCAGACATTTTTTTGCAGTTTGGTGAAGCTCATTCAATTACTCTTTCAATTTGATCTAAAGAGTTAGATCTCCAAGAACCACAACTGAGATCCTGAAATGTTTATTAAAACTCTATTTTTATGATCAGATCTGAACACCAATTTTAGCTTCTTAGTACTTTAAGATTACTAAATATTCATTCTATGCTTTTGTGGCATTTGACTTGGCTGCTTAATTTCTTATTTTGTAGAACTTAACAATTTGGCAAATGCCTCAGAATGACAGGCCTTCAATCCATTTCTCTCTATTTTTTTTTTTTTCTATATCGTCTAGGCACATCAATTTCTGACTATCTTGGTGGTTCTAAACTCTAAAGTTCTGGTTTCTTAAGCTTATCTCTTGCTTGATTTCTTTATAATTCTCATTCCGGAGGAGAGTGGAGCAACTACCACAAAAGCCCTTAAGAAAGAAACAGATTACAGATGTACTCAAATCAAATTGGCTTACTTGCTTATATTTTTGTTTTTCATGGATGTTGGCCCCTTAAGTCCTAGTTGCCTCAGCAATTCTCTAGAGCATTTACATATGAATATGTGTATAATTTATAAAGAATTGTGGTAGTTTTACATGCTGTAAGCTACCCCATCCTGGTCAAAACCATGGGGGTATAAATAGGTATGAAAATATATAGGTGATTCCATGCATTGTTTTTAAATAAGCACAGATGTAACAAGGTAGAGAATTAAGAAAATAAATACAAATATATTACTGTATACTTAGTTGAAGATGATACAATATTTATTTTTATATGTTAGGAAAAGTCAAAGAAAGAGAATGGAAGTTCATTTGACTTTTGTTAAGCACAAAAATTATGCAAGATTGACACAGTAAAATAAAATTTGAACCTTAATGTATTCCTAGGATATACTGCTGGAAGATTTATGATAGGATGACTCAACATTTCTACATACCTTCTTCAAAGGCATTACTGTTTATCAACAATTTTTAGCTTGGAATAATTACTACTAAATTCCAAAAATCTAATAGTAGGTAAAATCTGACACTAAACTTACAGTTTATAGTAGAATTTGCTCTAATAAAAATATTATTCTTAACAGTTTTATTTCTGTAAATGTAGATGTTCTTTTAATAATGAAAAGTAGTATATTATAAAGTGAACTAAAATAACATAAACAAGTAATCAAATGCATGCAGTTGAAATGATTCAAATCTTCACAATGGATAAAGTGCTCAGTGTTTCATTTGGAAATTTTGGGGTCAGGTTTAATAGTACTGCATAGGGAAAAAAGAGCTCAAGCCTTATTTATTTTAAGGACTTCTGAAATTGACTTTGAAAAACACTTACATTGAAATTCACACGAAAAGGAGTATGTAGTAGTTTAATTACACTATTGCATGGCTTTAGAAATTATATAGTAATTTTCCGTTTTAAACAGCTTTAAAGAATAAATTCGCTAAGCTACAAAATATTGGAATCACGTTAGTTAACAAAGGACATGTATGTTTATGGAATACTAAATTAATATAAAAAAAAGAATTGACCTTACCTTTGTAAATTAAATTAGGAAAAATTAAAGTTTGAGTTATATACATTTTGATATGCTGTAGCCATTTCAGATGTATAAGTTATTACTTGTTAATTTATTTTTTCAGTTTCATTAATCACTTTTACACAAACTATATGCAATAAAATGTTAAAATTACTTGATTTTTTTTAAATTTTAGACTCTGTAAGTTATCAGAGTTTAAAACCACTTAGCTACATTTTGATGTATTTATTGATATCTGGCTTAACTTTTGTTGCTGTTTTGATTTTAATATATTAAATGAAGCAACTTGCTTTCCCATGTTTTGCTTTGAGTTTATAAGGCTCATAGCTATGATGTGAGTAATTCAACAATTTTTGGCCTTACACATTCTTTTTACTGAAATGTCTTTCTTTAAGTCTCCAACCAGAGGGAAAATTAGGTAATTAAAGAATTTTTTCTTTTGTTTATAGTAGAGGAATGTGTGGACAAAATAAATATTATTTCTCTTGTATCTTTTTCTTTGCTTTTTTAAATACAAATGTTTCATTCTTTGTAATATCCATTTCAGTGAAAATGGTTAGTCCTCACATTGTGATAATATTTTGTTTTGTTTGTAATCATTCTTTAGTTCTGGGGAAAATTCTAATTTCTGATGGAATGTTACTTATGGAATTGATTTTACAGTAGAATACATACCTTTTAAAGGTTTCCCCTGCCTTAATCACAAAGAAAGGAAACTTTACTTCTGATACTTATGCTAAAACTAAGAGTCATAAAAATAAGATGACTTGATCAATTTTAAGAGTAAATGAGTGGTAGAAACAGAAGGAGGAGGGAGATAAAACATAGAACAAGCTTCATGCTAGTGCCTTAGAAATATTAGCTAGTTAAATCCCCTGATATTCCTGTAAGATAGATTCTTCCCATCTTACAGGTGAAAAAACTGGATCTCAAATCCAAGTGGGATGACGATGACAAATGTGCATTATTCCACAGATGTGAAATGTATAAAGATTTTCTTTTTAGTCTTACTTTTTATTATGGAAAATTTTATGTGTAAAGAAGCTTAAGAACCCATGGGAATACAGACAATAAATGTCAGTGCTGATAATTAATTGCTTGCATTGGCTCTACCCATCCTGATGTTACTCTAATTATCAGGATCCAGATTAGCACTGTCACTGTCGTGTATTAGACAAGGAGAGTTTTCTACATTAATGTCTGAAGGAAGCTTCATCTGTTCATAAGGTCCTGTATTCCTTTAACCTTCAAAGACAAAAATTCAGTCTCATTTTCTGCTTTGCTCTGGAGATCCAATCTTTCAATAGGTCCTTCTCCCCAGGTGTCTGTGGAAATCCCAGGAAGGACTTCCATTTGCCACACAACCCTCTGCTCTCTTGCCCAGCTGTTTGCCTCCAAACAGCTCTCCCTCTCTACTCCCGTTCATTACTTTTGGTCTGGAGACCAGCATTCTTAGACTATCTCTGCTCCTTCTTCTATAACTATTTTATCCAAGCTACGGATGCAAGCCTTTGATGTCTCACAATGAATGCAAGGCCAGGCCATAAAATTAAATAAAACTTTATTGCAACAGAGATAATTTAAAATCAATTGCTGAGCATGTTGCTTTTTGAGTTCAGAATCCCTGTAGGAATACACAACCCCCCTCCAGCTGGAGCTAACTTCTGCATTTTTAGAAAGATTGCCAAGTAAAACACAGAATGCCCATTTCCATTTGAATTTTATAGAAACACAGAATAGTTTTATAGTATAAAATGTATCAAACTATCAGGATATATTTATAATAAAACCGGAACATACTTATACCAAAACACTAGGATATACACTAAACAAGAAATTTAAAAATGTGATGCTTATCTAAAATTCAAATTGCACTGGGCAGCCTGTATTTTTATTTGCTGAATGTGGCAACTCTAGTTTCCCTAACCATAGGAGAGCACTGGACTAAGTCTTCCCCTTCCAGGGTCTAGGCCTCTAATTTCTCCAATCTTTTATCTTTAGATCTATTACTTACAGCATCAATGTAGTTTTATTTTTTGTTTTTGTTTTATGTTTTGTTTTGTTTTTGTAAGCATATGTAAAATACATAACGTTTTTGGGGGGTAAACTAGCATCAAAAGAGCTAGATTCTGACTCTTGCTCTATTTGCAAGTCTTTGGACATGAGGATGATCAAGGAACGCTTCTCAACTTCCTTTTATCCCTATTAGAATTCAGCTCAAACAGTAAGTCCTGCCTTGCATGGTGGCTGTGATAATTAGGTAAGAAATCAAGGGAGAAGGCATTCAGAAAGCATAAATTCTGACCCAACTATAGAGAAATACGTACAGCTTACATTGTCTTTTAGGTTATGTTTTACGTTGTGTTGTTTCATGGGAATGTCATGGGGGAGAATCTATAAACCGCAGCCAGATGGTAGAAGAGCATCCATCAAGGAGGGTAGACAACTTAGTCTTTGGTCTCCATTCTCTCTGGATGTCTTTCTGTGTCTACCTGTCAGCCTGGACCATGACATCTCTTCTAAATGGAATCTCAAATACTTCTGATTGGGGTTCCAAGCCATCTGCCCTCCTATGTTTCTGTCCAACACTGTTAACCTAATGTTTAATTATGTCTTCAGGCCCCTAGTCCTTAATCTTGGTATTTGGCATCACCTGATCTTAATTCCCAATCATTTTCGTGGTGGTTTTGTTTGTTTCTATTTCTGGATGCATGTGTGTGCTTGCTTTTCCTCTAGACTGTTTTCATATCATTTGAAATCTAATGTCCGCCCTCACTCCCCCCATTCTCAGTGGTATTAAAAGAAGTACTGTGTCTCTTCTCTCCGATGTTTAAAAAGATCTTTCCAAATCATTTCACCAAATTTTGCTTTCTCTAAAGATTTTGAATGTTTATTATCCTTCTGAAATGTTGGCATATTCCTGAAGCTAACTGATACCAAATGTTATGTAAAATCTGTGAAGTTGCTCTTAGAAGGTGGTATTTATAAACTATATGTAAATGTGGAGTTTCAGCTCAGAGAGGGCTCAGTATACCTCTTTCCAATTCCATGGTTCCCATGTGATGTGCTTTTGGATTTCAAGACAGTACTCCAAAGCTAACCATTCATTTGGGCCTAGAAATGTGTTTTCTGATAGTGTGGATGTTGTCAAAACAACTTGAGTAAAGCATTTGATTGAGTGCTGCTATGAGGACACCCCCAAGAAATTTAGCATTTATGTGATATTCCCCTTTTTCTTAGGAGAATAATATCTTCCAAGACTTTTAATTCCCACTTCTACCTTCCAACGTAGTTATCAGGTGATAAAGGTATTTTTTGTTTATAGCATTGAGTGCTAACAAGATTCTTCAAATAATTTAATTGAATGCCTTAAAATCTATGGATCTAATTTCTGTTTGTTGTTGTTGAATATGGATAAGCTTTCAAAGTGGAGCTAATTTTTTAGAAAAATAGTTCAAGTACTGAAGTATTGTGAGAAATGTTATTTCTTTGGCTGGACTGCCTCCCTGTTGCTGAATGGTTGGCGTACACGTCATGCTATCAAATCCTATCATTCTCCCATGCTAAAAAAAAAAAAGTCAGACATCCAATAAAATAATTTGGCAAACCCGGCTTATGTATTCTGTGAAAATAAAATCAGTTTCTACAATCAATTATTTGAAAGGTCGCTTAAAAAAATTCTGTTTCCATTAATATTTTAAACTATTTCCTTTTAGTTGGGGGAAGAAAGGAGCAATGCCATTCTTTGTAGACTTAAGTAAATAAATGACATTTCAGTGTATAAGATTTAGAGTCATTCCTACCCAATTTAGTTTTCTTCTGTAAAGTTTATATGGCAATAAAATTTTCTCTATTTTTCTCATTCCATTTTTTTAAGTGGAATACAGTATTTTAAAAATTGAATAAATACATACAGAATTTCATATCAATATTTGTTGGCATAATTAGAAAAAGGAGAAAAAATTTGCCAAATAAAATATAGGTTGCCTAGTTAAATTTAAATTTTATATAAACAATACTTTTAAAAAATTATATCCCATGTAATATTTAGAACATAACTTACACTGAAAAATATCATTGTTTATCTGAAGTTCAAATTTCATTGGATATCCTGTATTTGCTAAATCTGTTAACAGTAGAAAGAAGATAAAGCAGATGGTGAAGTTAAAAAAAATTGAGGTATTATCAATGAAGTTTTGGACAGTACACTTGTAATTTAGACTAGAACTCTAATTTCATTAGCTGCAAAGTAAGGAAGAAGATACTTAATTCCTGCGTCTTCACAGAAGTTACTACATTCCATGGACAGGGCCAAGATTCTGCTTGAATTTTATAGATAAAAGAGATGCAGAGAGATTCAGAAACTTGCCTAAGCTAGCAAGTGGTACAGTTAAGATTACTCTTTCTGACTATAGTCAGTCTGTCTCCAAAGACGACTACACCCCACCTCTCTAAATGTTTCATCCCCAAGGAAAGGATTGGAAATACCAGACAGTTGTTCACTGGCAAAGTTCTTCATCTGACAAGTAATCATGATATCCCAATCTTGCAATGTTACTGTAAAGGATTGCTGAAAGATATGAATATATATCAAAACATAAATGAGAGTCACTTGACATTAACATTTGTTTTCTTTGTTAAGCATGTAAGTTTCTCTGAATCACTGGGATCATGACAGGATTCAGAAAGCAGGACGTGGTATTAAGAAAATGAGAGGACAAGGAGATAATTTTGAATCTTTTATGGAGAAAGGCATTGAATAATGTTAAAATAAAAGAAACAAGGAGAGAAATGCATCCTCGTATTAGTGTATGATCCATAGCCAAGCAAAACAAAATTTCAGGTATTTCATGAAAAGCTGTAGGGCTAGAGATCTTAAAATATTTTCAATGAGAGAGAAAGAGAATTTATGTTAATAGGTCTAATGTTACTAATTTTAGGTGTGCATATGAATATTAGTATTGATGTTACTTATATTTACTGTTGTGTTGTAAATTTGTTATTTATTATGGCTCTCAAAGTTTTATCCCTAATTTTGTTTCCTAAGTCTTTTTTAGTCTCCTATAATAATAGTAGTAGTAGCTGTCATTACATGAGAGATTCTGTACAAGCACTTGACTTGCTAGCTCTTGGAAACTTAAAAACGTCTTTATTAGGAGTATATTTGTGTGTGTGTTTAGTTTCCCTGTTTTAGTTATGGGTAAACTAAAGGCCAGTGAGTTTAGAAAAGCACTCAAGGTCACACAGCTAGTAAGAGAGTAGCCAAGTTGGAACCCAACAGCCCCCACTTTCCTTCTATGTTGTACTATTCTGCTTCTAGTCATGTCTTAACTCCATTAATTATTATGATTGATGAATACCTGGGTTAAATTGTCAAATCAATGCTGAAAAATCTCAACTCTCACTCCTAGATTTAAAAGCAATTTTTTTTCGGTGCAATTTGAAACCCTTAGAGACTTTCTGGTTTTAGGGTTTTGTAGGTTTCTGTCTTACTTTTCTGAGTAATTATTTTAATGGCCTTTCTGATTTTAATTTTAATTTAATTTAACTTAATTTCACCATGTTGCCTAAGGGGAACACTACTTCTGACTTGAAATTTTCTGGAAGTCCTGATACAACTTTGACTCTTGTCATTTTAAAGGAAAAAAATGGCAGCATACTGAAACGGTAAATGGAAAGGCCATGTTTTTTGAGTGACACCATTAGAGTAAAAACTAGCCAGAGGCATCTGGTGGACAAGCATCTGAGCCACACAGGAGGGAAGTCCTGTCCATGAGATGCATTCACGTGAGTCCTGGATTCAACTGCTTAGCTTGGCTCCACCATGGGTTCTTCTCAAAAACCAACCTTACAAAGTTGTTGTAAAGGCTAACAAACATATTTATTTATAGAACAATATAAATGATAGGTACTTGATAAATGGTGGTTATTTTATTAGTATGCTTAAGTAATGGAGCTTAATCCATTCAATCAATTTCTCTATTTTTCACAGAGATAAGGAAATGAGCTTTTTGACAGCTTTTCCCTGCTATTAGATTAGTTGACAAGATGGTGTTAATACACCCATTCAACCACCGTGGCAGACACTGTAGTTCCCGGACAGTGAAATTTTTGTTGCACCAAATACGATTATTGTGGTTTTTGTTTACAATGCTATACATGTTTGTTGTTTATTTTATTTAACTTTAGTAGAAATGAGTTGCTTTATTTAAAAAAAATGACTGCTAATTTGATCACTGAAATAAAATTAAATGGCAGTTCAAGATGCAGACTTCTAACCAAGCTCTAGTATTAAACAATGCTGCTACTTTCCAATTCTCACTACTCATCAGATGTGTTGTATATATCCAAGATTGCGGAATTTGGGAAAAAATATTTTTTCATTTAAGATGTCAAGTGTATTTTTTGAGTAGATCATCGTGAACATTGAGAAGTTTTGGATCATTTGCCCATATATGTTAACTGAATAAATGTACTGGAAAAATCTCTCTCAGCATTTTAAACTATTGACTTGTTTGTTAATGCAAATTTAGAATATATCATGAGACATTCTATCCCAAGATCTGTTGAATTTTGTTGTATTATAGACCAGGGAATAAACAAAAAATCTACAAATCCAAAAAATAAGAGCATAGATGAGTATTTTCATAATATTTTTGAAAATCTCTGAGAAAGATGATTTATAAGAAAACATAATACTGGGTCATTTTGTCTCCCATCTTTATACAACTTGGTGAGTTGAGTGTCTGTTGAGTTTTGCTGTATAATAGACCAGGAAATAACCCAACAGTTCACTATAAAAGCTTAGATGGATATTTTCATAATATTTATGAAAATCTCTGAGAAAGATGAAAAGAAAACACAAAACTGGGTCATTTTGCCTCTTGTCTTCATACGACTTTGTAGGTGGTCATTAAAAATAATTCCATCCTAGTCCATATGAATGCTGTAATTTTGTTAAATATTACTAGAAATAATAGAGTTTAAAATATAATACTTGTTAAATATTACTAGAAATAATAGAGTTTAAAATGTCATACTTAACATTCTAAAAAGAGAAAATTATTAGGTTGGTGGAAAAGTAATTGTGGTTTTTGCCATTACTTTTGCACAACCTAATAAGTTAGATTATCATTATTATGGAACATTATCTTATATTATTTCCTTCAAAAAGGTGTAGCTTTTCAAACGCCATTAGACATTAAACCCTTTTAACACATGAGTTGTTTGTATTTTGCTTTTCTAACAAGACATCTAGAATATGCTACGTTTTCTACTTTAGCATTGTTTCAACTTTGAATAATTACTTTCTGATAGATTGAATGTAGGTTTATTGAGAGGAATTATCATTTTAAATTGTTTTGGATATTTTTTCCTTTACTACTCAGCAAATCAAAAACTATTGTCAATGCTCTAATTATGATTTATAGAGATTAATTCCCACTACCAAAGTGTTGATCATGATTTTTTTTTTTTTACAGGTACTAAAGCAGGTGTTTTACCTAACATCTCTGTGTTGCCAGGTTTTGCAGCCACTGAAGTTATTGATCACTTTTCAAAAATGTCTCACTTTGCATATCGACTACCCTCCGTTGCTCCCTGCTAGTTTTTAAATCTGCACTTTGGGGCACTAGAAGTGACTGAAATATCAGTTAAGTCCTATTTGACAAATACGTATTTAGAGTAACCAATTCAATAGGGCCATAAAGAAACTACGGGGTTAGTGCTAGTTAATATTGAGACATCAGTTTTGGGAATTTTGCTGTTTATTGGTGGAAGCTACAACGAGATTTTGTGTAGTTTCTATTAAAACAATAAAATATTATCTGATTCATAATTCAGTTCAAAATACGCTTTAATGTTTTGCTAGATGTGTTGGACACTCAGCTTCTATTTCCATGGGCTGAATAATTGATGTTTACATTTCCCAGACATCCATACAGTTAGGGTTCTAAAAGTAAGTTACATCTTCCACTTGGATTTGGAACATTTCCTCATTCCAGGTTCCAGACCGCTATATCAACAGACTCGTAGAATGTTACTGAACACACTGAACACACTGTTTGGTGGTGAACAGATGGTGGCTAAGAAGTTGCTCATGGTTCCTGGGAGTCCTAACCAGGGCCTGATACGGCAAACCTTTCAATGATTTGTAAACTCCTAGTGTATCTTATCTCCTTAAAACACATAAACACGTAAAACTGTGTCTCCTTAAAACACAGCATGGTTTTGTTTTCACCACTGAGCCCAAAGTAATTAAAACGAACTGCTATCACATTCATTTGTGTGTGTGTGTGTGTGTGTGTGTGTGTGTCTGTGATTTGCAAAATGATATAAATAGGTAGATAACATTGTTAAATAGATAAAGCCTTAGAAGACGAGAGGATACAAATTAATATTTATTATACCTGTGTTCACTACAACAATCCAGTTTGTGTTTTGCACTGTAAATCCCAAAATGTGTTATATTATTTTTGTCAACTAGCGTTGCCAACACAAAGCCAATATAAGTTGATTTTACAAGAGTATACATATAATATTTAACAGCTGGGTTTGAAAATAATTCAGGTTTTAAAGTTGGAAGTATCTTCGCTTTTAGTAGGTAAAGAAATAAAAATCTGAGAGGAAGGATTAGGTGATGTAATTTCTTCTGTTTGATACTTAAATTCCATAAGAGTCTATATTTGAGAAATATAAAAATATTGCTGAGTAGCACTTTTCTGGGACTTTGAGAAGTGTGGGAGACAGAATGCACTTTACGAACATTTTTTATGCCTTGTAAAAATAGCACTACATATATATGTGTTTAACTCTACATAGCAATGAACTTACTTTCTCTCTGCTTTTTATATTCCTTTATGGTTTACTACCTTAGGCATTAAATCAAGAATTTAATATGTTGAGGGGAAAGGGTTGCATATCAAAAGTTTCTTTCTTCAAGCAAATATGTGGTGGATTCCCACATGTCTACTGAAATAAAACTAGGGAATAATATGTATGTGTATTACAATATTCTTTTCAAGACTTTGGCAGGAGAATTATTTAAGTATGTCATTCTATCTTGAAAGCCAACTATGGGTTTATGAGGGGGAGGGGAATACATCTATACATTAATTCTTGCAAGGTTAAGAAGTTTTGGGTTTGAGTCTCGTAGCACTAATTAAAATTTTGTGGTTTTCAACAAGTGATGCATTACATTTGATTTATTCTGCATTGAAGAAGAAAGAATATCATCTCTCATCTCATCTAATGTTTATCAATCGGGTTAGCCATTCTAACATAGATTTGATGTTTTTAAGCATCTTAATGCATAGTTAATTGCAATTGGCAAATAACCTATAAATGCATTGTGCAATGGGCCTGCTGGTATGGGATGAGGTCAGCGTAATGCATGGCGAGAGGCAGCTTAGCTTTGTGGCTAAACACAGGTGTTCTGCATATCTGGGCTCCAATATCTGGGTTCAACTCCTAACTCCATCGAATACTAACCCTTTGATTTTGGGCATGTCACACAATTTCAGCTTCAATTATTTTCTGTAAAATGAGTATTATAATTGTATCTACTTTATTCAGTTAATGTGAGGATCGAATGGGTGATTCAAGATGTTGATGCATATTCTCTAAAAAGAGGAATTCTCCACTCTTAATTGATATCAAAGGTACGAAAAAATAAATAATTCTGCCAGTGCATAACCTCATCTAAATGATAGCTGCCTGAAAAATACCAGATAGAATCCTAAAATATAAATTTAGGATTATATTTTAAATAATGTATACAGTATCTCTTTAAAATGCTGCTTCTGCTCGGGGGTAACTTTCCAGATGCTGATAGGCAAGGGGTCTGGCTGTGGGGCACAGGCACTTCAGCCTCCTCCCACAGCCTCTGAATGATGAGGCGCAGACACACCCAGCAGCATGCAAATGCCTTGCCATCTCTATAATCCTGCCCTCCATGTGGGGCATCTTATTCTGTTCTGGTTGTCATAGTAAAATGCCACAAGGTGGGTAGCCTACTAATGACAGGACTTTATTTCTCACCATCGTGAAGCCTGGGAAGTCCAAGGTCCAGGCACAAGCAGATTCAGTGTCCAGTGAGAGGGACTTTCTGATTTATAAATGGTGCCTTCTTGCTGTGTCCTCACAAGAATGAAGAGAAAAGTAGCATTCTTGCACCTCTTTTAAGGGCACTAATCTCATTGCAAATCACCTAATCACCTCCCAAAGACCCCACTCCTAATATGGTCACCTTCCAAAGACCCCACTCCTAACACTGTCACCTTCCAAAGACCCCACTCCTAATATCATCACATTGGGGAATAGATTTGAACATTCGGATTTTCGAAGGAACACAAATATTTAGACCATAGCATGAGATGCCCATGTTAGATTTGTAGCCAGACTAAGGCAGCAGGGATGCTGGAAAAGGGATTTCAGTGGAATCTAGGAGCAAGGTCGGGCAGCCAGCAGTCTTGAATCACCACCCCGCCACATCCCTGTGGCCTTCCACTTCTACAAAGGAGGGCTCTAACCTGGGATTCAGCCAACAGGCTTGGAATCTCTCCCTCTGACCTCATATTTTGAGTTAAAGGAGGTCTTCAATGTGAATGCAGCCCTGTAGATGGGGCAGTCTTGTGCAGAAGATAATCCGAATACTGTTATGTGATATGTCTGACCAGAGCCTCATTATTTACTCAGAAAAATGGTTATGCTATTTGATACGGAAGAAGTGATTGATAGTGTAGTTGCTTTCGGTAAATAGGAAGGCTGCAGGTTGATGATTTCTTAGATACCCATGAGACTGGGTTCACTTCTATAGACATAGGACACACCATTTTATTGTCTAAAGAGCAAAGAAGTCCTATTATATTGCTGATTTGGCTCATCCTGATTCAGAGCCTAGATGAGGCTGTACCTCCTTGAACTATGTTCATATTTCAGGCATCTGGGTAGATCTTAGTGAAAAGGCAGTGGCACATTTTCTTCTCTGATGACAACCTCCCCTCTTTTCAGCTCTTCCACCCCACTACTCTTGGTGAACCTACTTTTACGTGCATCAAAATCTTTAGTCGTCCAACCACTCCTCCTCTCCAATTCATTCTATTTGGCCTCCTGATGCAAAACCACTGTATTAATAAAGTTGCTCTAAGCCCTTTAAACTAATTTCATGACTTATTCTTCTACTATAACTTTCTTAGGTGTTCTTCTTGCCTCTTGCACTTAAGAAGCAGAAAATCATTAAAGACTGTGGTAAAAGTACTGACGTGCTTAAATAAAACAGTTCCAGCCCACCTGGTTTATTACTGTTCAGAGTCAAGTAAACTTCTCATTGTTGAGGGACTATCTTCAGCAAAAATTTCAAGTTTTTTCTGCCCTAAGCAATCCTTCTATAGCATCTGGGTCTGCTCAGCAACTTACAACTTTCTACAAATAAGATTAACAACAACAGAGGACTCCTTTCACCTCACTTGAGAATTTATCTGTATCTTCTTTGTGTCTCAGGGAAAGTAATGTCTCTTCTCTTCTCTTTACTTATCCTCCTAACTTGCCCTCTCCTACCTGCACCAGTCATTCTGATCTTCCACACTTCTTCACTTTCTTCTCTTGATAAAGTTCATGCCCAGAGATTCTGTTCTACCTGATTTTCAGTAAGTCCATTTGATTTGACTATTCCTTTTTCCTGGGTTTTACTCTTACCTTATACATTATCAATTTTCCTTTCCAAATCATTTTGCTCTTTCTTCAAGATATGTGTACAATGATACTGCCCTATCTTCCTTGAAAATAAAACAGTATTTCCAGCCATTATTGAAAATACAACTTCCCAGACCAGTTCCTGAAGGTGCAGATGACAATGGGTCTAGAATGAGGCCTAAAAATATGTATTTCTAACAAGCTCCCCCCAGATGCTTCTATCAGTCTTTTTCCTCCTTCTTACTACAGTTTGGACCTGCTATTTTCTTGATGCTACATCTCCTCTCTAACTATTGTCATATTTGCCTGCTGTGCTAAAATTTCTTGAAAAAGAGGTCTATTCTTGCTATATTTAATTTACCTTTCCCTTAAACCTACTCCAGTCAGACTTTCAGCTCCATCATGACACTGAAACTCTTTCTGTCAATATCAGCTGTGATTTCCGTGTCAATAAATCCTACGGCCCTTATTCATTTCTTAGCTTTTTTGACATATCATACACATGTAGATGTTACTCCTTCTCATTGAATACACTTTCTCTTCTTGTCTTTCAGAGTGCCACCGTATTGGTTTTTCTACTATCCACTGTTTGCCATTCTTGATCTGCTTAGTGCTTTCTCTATGTCTTTTTGATGTTTTAACATTGCAGAGTCCCAAGACTGCCCCTAAACCTTTTGTCATCTCTATCTCTACTCATTCCTTTTGTAATGTTATCAAGTTTTGCAATTTTAAATATTATCTGTACTATGATGACTGCTAAGCTTATATCTCTGAAACAGCCTACTCTCCTGATCTTTGAATTCGTTATCTAACTCCCTGCTTAACATCCATCCTGAGTGCTTAATAGACATTGCAAAGCTAACATGTTCGAAAAGTAACTTTATGTTATTACCCTTGGTGCTCCCTCAGTATTTCCTATTTCAATAAATGACTATCTTCTTTTTCTAGCTATTTAAGCAAAAACAAACAAACAAACAAAAACAAAAAAAAACAAAAAACTGGGGGTCATTTTTGGCTTCTCTTTTTCTCATATTTCTCATAGAATCCATCAGTATATGATTTTGGCTCTATCTTCAAAATACATCCATAATTCAACCAATTCTCATCACCTTCACTTATTGCTATTATCCTGGTGCAAGTCACCATTGGCTATCTTCTGAATTTTTGTACTAGTTTCTTAACTGGTCTACCTATGTCCTCTCTTGTCTCAGTAAAATGCATTGTCTTCTCAACAGAGCAACGGAGAGATCTTTAAAAGAGGTGCAAGAATCTCGCGTTATGGTCTGAATATGTGTGTTCCCTTAAAAATCTGTATTTTGAAATCTAATCCCTGATGTGTTGGTATTAGGAGTGGGGTCTTTGGAAGGTGATTAGGTGATTTGTAATGACATTAGTGCCCTTAAAAGAGGCATAAGAATTTTACAAATCTTATCTTATATCTATATATTCTGTTCAGTATAGATCTGTTATATATCTGAGATATATATGCCTGTGATTATATATGATATTATGGTATTATATATATATATATCTCAGATCATCTCACTGTTCAAAACATGCCAATAGCCCCTAATCTCAGTGTAAAAGCCACGTTCTTTACTACGGCCTCAAGATCCTGCATGACCCAGCTCCTCTTCACTTCTTTGATCTTACATCCTCTGACATTCCCCTCACTTACTCTGCTGCAGCCACACTGGCTTTCTTCCTCATTACTTTTCTATCACACCAGACACACTGTTAGCCACAGGGCTTTTGCTGGTTTCCTCTGTCAGATACAGTTTCTCTCCCCTCCTTGGAAATTTGGCTTAAAGGTAAGAGGCTGCTCTTGACACTCATTGAAACTTCCACCTGCCTTCCCCTTTTCTTTCTTTTCTACTTTTTGTACTCCATAGCACTTATTACCTTCCAATCTAATACCTATTTTACTTATGTACTTTGTTTCTTTTCTGGCATTTTGCACAAGAATCTCATCTCCATACAGCAGGGATTTTATATATTTTTCAAAGATGTAGACACAGTGTCTATAGTTGTACCTAGCACATAGCAGGTTTTTAATAAATTGTAGATGAATAAATATCTTGCCTTTTACTTGGTTTTATTGCTGTTTGGTTATGTGTATTTTTTTCTTTTGGACCATAAACAGTGGTACCTGTGTCTAAACTTTTATAATTTCAAACCTCCCTAAACTGTACCTGGCATTTAACTAGATGTTCAATAAGCACTAATCAAATGAATAGAATAAATTTGCCTGTGAAGCACCATTCTACAACCAAATTCAAAACAGAATTTAGATTCTATTATTGTTAGTGTGATACTTCAAATAGTTATCTATATTGAGTAAGTAAAAATTTGGCAAACATATATTACTTTAAAATGAACAGTACATTAAATTTCAGTTCACTTTATGTGATTACAAAATTGGGCAGGCACACTTTAGAAATACTACTATAAAATCATGCTTATAAGAGAAAGGAAATTTTACATCCAATATACTAAATATTTTTAAGCATTTTGAAATAAAATAATGTATGAAATATAACAAAGTAGTTTTTCCATATAATTTAAAATAGTATATAAAATATAAAAATAGAAAACATATCTACTATAATTGAACATTAATTTTATAGGTTTAAGATTTCTGTTGACATAAGAATTATATATATGTACACACAGATATTCACACACATGTTGTTTCTTGATATATATCTTTATTTCTAGTTATAGTGATAAATAAAACAGGAGAAGGTAAACCTCTTGTCCAAAATCTTTGATGGAATTTTTTGTCCTCCTAGTAGAATCCCTATGTGACTGATTATTTTTTCCCATTTTTAAAATGAAATACTTAATTTAACTAATAAGTCTGTGTAGATAAATGCTAAAGGACGAACGCTATTACAGCACATCTTTGATATAACTAAATGTTTCGTTTGGTAGACCTTAGAAGACTAACCTTTCATCTTCAAGAAAGTTAATTTCAACAACAATTGTATCTCCTATTTAAAACTTCTCTTCCATAGCTTATTTTTTTGTTAGTGAGATATGTCTTTTTCAGAGGAAGAAACTGGATTTATTTTATCATTGTAACAAAATATTTCTCACTCATCCAACCCGGGAGTCTGGAAGAGTGGGAGTCTACCCAATTTACTTACACCTTTGTTCATAGCTGAAATTTACATTGGGTGGTCTTATTAATGTTCAAGAGTAGTGGCAAGGCCAAATCATAAACACATTGTGCTTATGTAAAACATCAGAACGTAACAGTAGGGTTTCCTAATGTCCTAACTGCCATGGTGTGTGTTATATGTCTATAATAAATAGGAGCTTACTGTAAGATGCAGAAGATATGTTATAAATCCCTACAATATAAGTTGTTAAATTACTTCAAGTTCTTGCCATAGTTTATAAGAATCTAATAAAATTTGGGTGGCCTGCATTTCGTACTATGGCCATGTGCTTATAAATGACCCATATAGACATAGATGTATTGGGAGATCCTGATCAAAGTGTTAACAGTGTACTTGACATCTCATCCTATCATACTTTTTTCACGATATGGGAATTATTTCTCCACCATCGCTTATTCTTTTTTGCATGTATGGACATCGTGTAAGACTCAAAGAGCAATCAGTTAGTACTATTAATCGCTACATGGCCACTGCACCTCTTTAGAGGCCCTTTCCTGCATGTATCTGCTAGGTGATTTTTTGATTTTCTCTCTGTATTTATGCTTCTTCTTACTCTGGCAAGGATTTAGTTATATCAAGATGAAACATATTGTAGGGTTAACAACACAGACGCAGGGGTTCAACAGCCAGGGTTTGAATCCCAAATAGCTCTTTCATTTGTTAAGTGCATAATCTCAGGAAGTACAGAACAGAGCAGGTGGGAAAAGCACACTGAGAGAATGGGGAGAAAGTTTGGGTCACTGTATGGCTATGAAGATTGTACCCCACTTAGCTTTGGGAAGGCAGCACTATGATAAATATAATGTGAATGGTAAACTGGGAGTTGAACTTGTACCACTTCTGCATCCCACAGTTTATGGACTTCATACTCACCAATTGGTTTAAAAAGTGTTTGGGGTCATTCCTTACACATGCTCATAGGGATAAGAAAGGGAAGCCTTGTAAAATGAGATGACTTGCAACAAGAATGTTAAAACAGAATACTTCCGTCGTGGAAAAATAGGAGAGGGACTATGTAAATTTAATCCATATTGTTAGTTGTTAAAATTGCCTTGTCTCCTAAGAATTAGAGAGAAAGAAAAGCTTCAAAGAACAGCTGTGATGTTGGAAGTTTTTGTGGAAAAAAAAAAATTGGTGTTCTCAAATAGCTCATGTCTTTCTGAAACTCTATATGAGATTTATGAAAAAGATAAAGCATAAATTGGAGTTAGGTGGATTGAAAATACACTAGGAATTTCTGCCAAGTAAAGCAGTAAGGAAATTTCATAACCCCTCATTGTTCTGGCTTCATTCCCTTTAAATATATCAAAAAAACAATAGATAGCCTTCACTTTCAGAAGAAACTAACTTAGAGATAGATTGCTTTATTTGTTTGGAATGGCGGTAGTTTTAGTGAGTTTAAATGTTCTTTAAAATTTTTATATAAATTATGCATATTAGAAAATATAATTTTTAAAAATTTTTGCTGCTGTTTTTACAATATTGGTGAAATAATCTTTTTTTTCCCTTCAAGGTTTTATTAGTCCATTTTCCCATTGCTGATAAAGACATAACTGAGACTGGACAATTTACAAAAGAAAGAGGTTTAATGGACTCAGAGTTTCACATGGCTGGGGAGGCCTCACAATCATGGTGGAAGGTAAAAAGCACGTCTCACGTGGTGGCAGACAAGAGAAGAGAGAACTTGTGTAGGGAAACTCCTCTATATAAAACTGTCAGATCTTGCGAGACTTATTCACTATCACAAGAATAGCACGGGAAAGACCTGCCCTCATGATTTAAATACCTCCCACTGGGTTCCTCCCACAACATGTGGAAATTGTGGGAGCTACAATTCAAGATGAGATTTGGGTAGGGATACAGCCAAACCATATCATAGGGGATGTCCCTCTCCTATTAACATTTTTTAAAATTAAGCCCTTAGTGAATCCACTATCCTGAAGTTCTTCCATCCTACTGTTCTCAAAGCAGACACTAAAACTAAGGCTTAAATGCAAATGGTTTATTTTGGTCTGTGATTGGGAATTAAAGGAAAAAGGAGTGAAGGTAACCAGGAGGCACTCTGGAATTGAGTTGATGCCACTGTGAACAACTGGGCTTGGATTCTACTGGGCACTTCTGAGATGCTCTTAAAAATGCACCTCAGAATTGTCTGCTCAACTTCACTGCAGGAAGGGAGGATTAGCTCTTGGGCTCCCCTTCTCCATTTAATAAATTTTGCCTCACCGGGCATTAGCTCCCTCATAAGCCCAAGTTGCACAAGGGCCAGAGGTAAAAGGCATACAATGCAGCTGAAGTGAAGTGCCACCACATAACACTTGTGCAAAACTGGTGGCTGTGGCAAAAATTAAAGAAAAGGTGATCCATGCAGATGTGAGCAGGGGACAAGAGTGTCTTACATAGCCTGCTATACTTGGAGAGAACAGAAAATGTATCATAATGCTCCAGCCATTTCATTTGAGTCTCATGCTGAACAAACCTGCTTCCTCAGCACAGTGAATGAACTCTCAGCTCTGCTATATTTGCTATTTTAATACTTGAGATATGCTTCTTCTATGGAAGATCCACATGTATTGACTCTCCCTCTATAGGATGAACACTTACATATTTTGACAGTTAATGATAGGTGTCAACTTGGCTGGATCAAGGAATGTCTAGAAACCTGGTACAGACTTCTTCTGGGGTCTGTCTGTGAGGGTGTTTTCCCGAGAAGATTTACATGTGAGTTTGAGTGGACTAAGCAGGAAGATCTGCCCTCAGTGTGGGCAGGCATCATCCAATCTACTGGGGATCCAAAGAGAACAAAAATAGAGAATAGGTGTATGTGTCAATCTATCTGCTACAACAAGAATACACTCTTTCTCTCCTGTCCTTGGACAAATCTGGGCTCCCCAGCCTTTGGACTTAAGATTTGAACTCCAAAACTTAAGACCAGTGTCCTCCCAGGTTCTCACACCTTTGGCCTCAGACCCTGAGTTACACCATCTGTTTTCCTGGTTCCAGGCCTTTGGACTTAGACTGAGTCAAGCTACTGGCATCTCAGGGTCTCCAGATTGCAGGTGACCTGTCATGGGACTTCTCAGCCTCTATAATCACATAAACCAATCCCCTCATAATTCCTGTCTCATATATTTCTATCTAATCCTATTGATTCTGTCCCTCTGGAAAACCCTGACTGTATCAGTGTTGATTTATAATTTTTTAAAATAGTCGCAGAAATTCATTTGGGAGAGTAATTTTTGATATCCTCTTAAAAAGTAGGGAACTGAGATCAAATAACTTGTCCAAAGTTCCTTTGTAACTTTGCCCTTAGTGTCAATATAGTCAGCCCTCCATATCTGCATATTCAACCAACACTGAAGTAGCTTTATTGAGTACAAATGTTCCTTTTACATTTTTTAAGCACTTGGAAGTTCTCTGAAAAAAATAAATAAATCTGCTAAAAACACAAATTTTTATTGGCTTAAAGTAAATTTTGGTTTTTTGATTACATTTTACTAAAAAAAGATGCCAAAATATACTAATCCTGAAAGAAGATCTGATGAGAGAAAAATAACCAATAAACTTAAGTCTGCAGCCATTCTAAGGGCATTCTGCTACTTTTACTTCCAAGACAAGAATGATTTATCATTAAATATAGTTGAAACTTTATGGTCTTATTTGGCTGTTTACCTCACTCACAAAAATAACTGCCCTATACATGACTGTATTTCATTGTCCTAATCTGGTTTCATGTTTTTTGTTGTTATTATTTAGTGTAAAAACTGAATGCTAACCCATGTTCATATGTGCATTTTTAAAAGCTATACCTGTTGAAATGTTGGATATTTTCACTAGCTCTCTTTTAGTCATATTAGCCTGTAAAAGTTTATTGAAGACTATTCAATTACTGTACATTGTTTCCTGCAAAAAAAAGTATTGAATTTTTTTCTGACCTCCCTTACTGAGAATAATGAAGACCTAGGAGAATAAGGTACTTATATTTCAAAGTCTCTTAAAGTTATTGCATTTATTTTCTTTCACAAAACAAAAGAAAGCAGGAAAGCAAAACCTAGTTTAAATGAGTTGTTTTAACTAACTACTTCTTGACAGCTAAGAAAAATTTCTTCCCAGTTGCCTTCTTTCCAACGTACACCATCTAATTCTTTCATAGACAGTAAGAACACATGGAGAGTGGGGAAGAATGTAGCTTGCAGAATTTAGTGATTTAATTGGTGGCCTTCTCAAGGGGTGCTACTGGAATTTAGGCAGTTTCTACCAAAGTCACCCAAAACCGAACTTGAACTGGCTGCATGAAGTTTTCCTACATGTTTGTCATCAAGAGTTCAAGCCGCTGCAGCACTTAGAGACCTGACCATTCTACTGAAGAAAAGAAATACTATAGTAAACTCTAGTTGGTTGTGAAATGAATGTTTTCAATTGCTAGAAGCTAATGATAAAATTTTTCTAGTAATACATTGATTTTTACATTTACAGATTTCCATAGGATTGACAAAGATGCCTCTTCATTTTTGAGAAAAGTCCCTTCATTGCAATATTTTATGAAAAGTTCTATGTGTAACTATTTGGTACAAAGTGTAAATTTAGGTCTTCTTAAAATGACTCTACCCTTAAATAATTTTGTTTTCAAGGGTCACGTCTCTTGGGTAATGACTAACGTTCTCCTAGTGATTAGTAATAACAATTATGTAGAATGGTGATTCTTGGTGACTTTCTGTCCCACTGAATGAAACAACATATTTCAAAATCAAGACTCTGGGACATTTGGTTCTTCTAAGTCACATTTTTTCCCCAGTATATAAAGTCAAATTTTTATGTAATTTTATATAAATCACTTTTAAATAAAAAAAATTAATAAAATATCAACAAGAATAATTGCTTATTAGTGTCTTCTTGAAATCTCTAAATTACCATTTGAAAATTGTTTTTCAATGTTTTTGGCTATGTAATCATTAGAATAAAAACTACGTTTCTGTTTAATCATTTGGACATCTGGACCAAGCATCTGGAAATTTTAGTCAATTGTTTTTTTTCCTTGATCCAATTTTTCTGCAGTTGTTTGGTGCAGTAAAGATATCACGAGTGGAATACATCAAGTTTGCATTCTTATCACTTTCTCTACATCTGTTACTGACATGATTTTCAGCCAGCTTCTATGTAGGCAGAAGCCAGTTTCTGGGCCTATTTTGAAACCTTGAGTTAGTTATCGTGGTTAATAAAGAGATGCAAAAAGAAACTTGCTGGACACAGAAATAATAATAGACTTATAGTGCACTACTTTAGTACTATGCTCCAGCCTCTATACGATGCAAGGTTGGTAATGTACTAAGAGCTGTTGGCTTTGAGATTCATTAGCTATTTAATATTGGAAAAATCACTTAAATTTTGTGAGACTTAGTTCCAAAATCTACAAAATATAAGGGTAACAGAGTACATTCTTTTTTATTGTGGTTAAAAACACGAGATCTACTCTCAACACATGTTTGTGTGTGGTACAGTGTTGTGAACTATAAACACAATGTTGTGCAGTAGATCTGAAAAACTTTTTCATCTTGAGTACTGAAACCTTATACCCATTGAGTAGCAACTCCTCATTTCCCACAGTTCATTTTTAAAGTCTCTTCTACGTCTGAATTTCATTTCTGAAAATTTCACATATATGTTTCAACCAACATTATAATCCAATAATATTTACTTAGTTCATATATATATGTTCCTTAATTTGTTTTGAGCAATACTATATGATACTGTTCAAAACCAATTAAAGAACATGACTTTTCATAGCTAGAGATCTTAGATTTCTAACAGCTGATTCTTATTTGAGCAAACAGAAAAAGGTACAAATACAGAACTATATACTTCTTCTACTGACCAGGAGATGATGCAGCAAGCTCTTTCCCAGCCCAAAATGCATGCAGCTTATCACACTTAGCTGCCTGAACTTTTTTTTTATGGAGATGGGATCTCACTTGTTGCTCAGGCTGTAGTGCAGCAGCTTTTCACAGATGTGATAACAGAGCATTGAAGCCTCAAACCCCTGGCCTCAAACAGTCCTCCCAACTCAGCCTATCAAGTTGCTAGGACTACAGGCACTCATTGTGCCTGGCTAAGTGTCTGAACATTTTGTCTACAAGAATATTTTTTGCATACAAGACTGGGGCAGAAAATTACCATTCCACTTCTATTTATTTATGGTAGGATAAAAAGCACAAAATTAAAAGTTTAGGAAACACATTGCAATAATAGATTTTCTACACAGGTAAGAAATTTCATTAAAGTACAATTTAAAATATGTGAATAGATCAAAATAATAAACTTATGTTGAAATCAACCAGAACACCTTCAGATACTTGACATTATTTTTTTAATAATTAGAGGAAGGCACAAACACACTCTCTGTTTTTCTTTCTTTTTACATACAAATACACACACATACACACACACAATTGGAGCACAGCTAAGTGTCCATTAGTGCTCATTTTCTACTTTTATTTTCCTCTGTAAATTTCCTCTGCTATCTCAGGATTCTTTAATTTAGCAAAGTGATGTCTTTGGAGCAACACTCAAGTGCTCCTCCATTTAAATTTGAATTCTGACTCAGCCATGTCCTAACTATGTGACCACTATAAAAGTCATTTTGTCTCTCTGTAAAATGTGGATGGTGATGACTAGGTTGTTACAAAGGTAAATGAGTTAGTAAATATTTAGTGCTTAGAACAGTGTCTAGCCTTCAGGAAGTGCTCAACAAATGTTAGTGTTTTTTAGTATGATGTTAGACACCCCTCAGTAGGACAGGACAAATTTTGGAAGAGGAAGGTAAAAGAATGCTCCGTTATAATGAGTACCGTAAAAGTCCCCTCTTATCCACAGTTTCACTTTCTAAGATTTCAGTTATTGGCGGTCAACCACGATCCTAAGTTATTAAACAGATAATTTCAGAAATAAACTATTTCTAAGTTTCAATTGTGTGCTATTCTGCGGAGCATTAGGGAAACTCATACTATTCTGCTTCTTCCCAGCCTTCTTGCCTGGGATGTGAATCATCCTTTTGTCCAGCGCTTCAGCACTGTAGACACTACCCACCCCTTAGTCACTTAGTAACTATCTAGGTTCCACTAGCTGCAATCCATGGTGATATCACAGAGTTTATGTTCGAGTAGCCCTTATTTGACTTAATCATGGCCCCAAAACACAAAGGTAGTAATTCTGGCAATTTGTATATGCCAAAGACAAGCTGTAAAATTTCTCCTTTAAGCAAAAAGGTGAAAGTTCTTAACTTAGTAAGGAAGAAAAAAACATTGTATGCTGAACTTGCTAGACCTACTGCAAAGACAAATCTAACCGCAAGATGGTGAAGAAGGAAAAAGAAATTTGTGCCAGTTTTGGTGTTGCACATCAAACTAGAACAATTACAGCCACAATGCATGACAAAGGCTTAGTTAAGATAGAAAAAGGATTAAATTTTTAGTTGGAAGGCATGAACTGATACTTGTGCAAATTGATGGGAATTGGGTTCAGTACTATCCATGCTTTCAGGCATCCACTGGAGCTTTGGATCATATCCTTGGTGAATAAGCGGGGACTACTGTAATGAGGATAGACAGCTCTACTAGGTGGCAAACTTTGGATGTTTTCAGTTACCCTCATATTTTATACATTTGGAAAATGAGGTCCAGAGAATTTAAGCAACTTTCTGTTATTAAATGCTTAATTAATCCCAAATTCTAAAACACACATTTTAAAATATAAAAGTCATAATATAATAATTCAGCACTTAAGTCTTCAAATATTGTGAGGAATGCTAATGGTTGAAACCAGAACCCTCTAGGAGTTGAGATTGAGGTTACTTTAAAGTTTCAGGCTCTGTCTCAATGGTTTGCCTCATGCAAGTGGGTCCAGTGTACAGAATTACATTAAAAAGACTCCAATTTTTGAAAAGAAGATGATAAACTAATGTAAGTTTTCTGTCCACATATTGCAAATAGAAGCAAGAAAGAAAAAGAGGCTAGGCAGAAAAACCAAGAGAGGTCATCAATTTTGTGAGCTTAGCTATGACTTAGTGACTTAGTTCACAAAGTGAAAGTACTGAAAAAAAAAAAAGCCTTCAGAAGCGAGACCAACATTGTCATCTAGTCCTATACCTTGATACTGAATCTTATTATAATACAGTTGACCATTGAACAACATGGGGTTGACCTACACAAGTTCACTTACACATGGATTTATTTTTCAATAAAAGTTATATGTGTGCCTGCTTCTTCTGCCTCCCCTTCCACCTCCTCCACCTCTTCTGCCTCTACCTTCCGAGACAGCAAGACAAACCCTTCTTCTCTCTCCTCCTCCTCAGCCTATTCAATGTGAAGACAAGATGAAGACCTTTATGAGGATCCACTTCCATTTAATAAATGGAATGACTTAAGACTTTTATCTTCTTTATGATTTTTCTAATAGCATTTGCTTTTCTATAGCCTACTTTAGCCTATCTTGCCTTAACTCTTTGAGACTACGTAGTCTTTTGGTGCTGCTTCCCTCTGTAACGCATCATTTCTTGTGCTCCTTTTGAGCCAGATTTTGGATTCATTTGCAAATCACCTAGCATGGCTGAACTAAAAGGATGCTATTATTTTCTGAATCTACATGAGCTGCCAGATCTACTGCTCACAAATAAAGTACTATGGGCTCTCTGTTCAGAACTGATTTGCTCAGGTAGATCAGACGATTAACCCAGTTCCATTAACCATTACAAGGGTGGATCTCCTCGGATATGTGGATACAGAAAAGAAGCCTTCCATGCTGGGGGGGCAATTTGTAGTGGTGGGTCATCAGAGGAGCAGGAATTCCTAAATAAATATACCGTATATCTTCTCTTCTAGCCACTGAACAGCACTGAGAGAATAAATGGCCCAGCCCTGACTTTTGGGTTCCCATAGCAATGTGTTTATGTTCTTACTTTGGTCATAGCACTAACCATAACATATTATGCTCATGTATTTATCACACTGTCATCCCAAGCAATTTGTGAACTCCTCGACACCAAGGATTGAGTCCTATTTATTCTTGTACTCCTGGCAGATCTCACAGTGTTTTTTACATAGTAGATCCTCAAAATGTGATGTTGACCTAATTTTCCATGGTGAGTCATTGAATCAATTATAACACTCAGTGAACTGTTTAGATGGAAAAGAACTTCCATGTGATGTAAGGGGTCAAATGTAGGTAGGGAAGCTGCAGATTATTTATAGTATCACATTTGATGCAGCTTAGAACAGAAATCATGACTTTTCACTTTATCCTCAGAGTCACTTTGCTGAGAAGGCATAAAGTGGCCAGGATTGATAGTTTTACAACATGATAATCAGCCAGGGTTTACAAGGCACTCTGCACAACTCTGAAATACGCTGCCATTTTTATTCTCTCCTGCAGGATGTACATTGCACATACTAAAGGCACTGAGTTACAGGGCACTCTTTCAGTTTGTTTCTACTAGAAGTTTCCAAATGAGTTTGAGCATAGACTCTCTCTCTATACCAAACACTACCTCTTGCCCTCATAAGAAATTAGCATTGTACAAAACACATTTTTCAAGATGGTGGTTCTAAGTCATTGGTCAAAACCACATTGGCATATGGGGATCAGAAGAAAACAGTGCCAAAAGAATAAGAAGACCAGCTGGGCGCGGTGGCTCACGCCTGTAATCCCAGCCCTTTGGGAGGCCGAGGCAGGCTGATCACAAGGTCAGGAGATGGAGACCATCCTGGCTAACACGGTGAAACCCCGCCTCTACTAAAAATACAAAAAAATTAGCCAGGTGTGGTGGTGGGCGCCTGTAGTCCCAGCTGCTCGGGAGGCTAAGGCAGGAGAAAGGCGTGAATCCGGGAGGGGGAGCTCGCAGTGAGCCGAGATCGCGCCACTGCACTCCAGCCTGGGTGACAGAGTGAGACTCCATCTCAAAAAAAAAAAAAAAGAATAAGAAGACCACAGGAGCTGGAAACCTCACAGAGACTCAAGAACCAGGAATCTATGAGCATGAGAAGTGGATGACAGAACCCAATCAAGGAGTATGCAGCCCAAACCTTTGTTGGGGTGATGTTGCAGTTTTGTAAAGACAGTCACTAATGCACAGGGATCTGCAGGTAAAATCTGGGGGGAACATTTTAGTAAAAACGTAAAGGTATAAAGGACATTTGCTGATACCCAAGTCAACTGGGTGACTCTCTTATTTACAGATCTTTGGGACATGAATTGCTCCATATCTAGGCCTGCATACACAAATAGATATGCTCTTATTAGAAATGTATTGGTGCAGGCCAAGCGTGGTGGCTCACACCTGTAATCCCAGCACTTTGGGAGGCTGAGGCGGGTGGATAACTTGAGCTTAGGAATTCAAGACCAGCCTGGCCAACATGGGGGAAACCCACCTCTACTAAAAATACAAAAAAATTAGCCGGGCATGGTGGCACATGCCTGTAGTCCCAGATACTTGGGAGGCTGAGGCACGAGAATTGTTTGAACCCAGGAGGTGGAGGTTGCAGTGAGGCAAAGATCATGCCACTGTGCTCCAGCCTCAGCTATAGAGTAAGACCCTGTCTTGTCTCAAAAAAGAAAGGAAAAAGAAATGTATTATGTGCAAAGCATTACACAAGACATTTGGAGAAATGCATAAGCACATTCTTACAGGTCATTTTGGTAGACCACAAATATATGTTTGAAAAAAAATCAAAGAAATAATTCATCCCAATGTATGGGAAGTGACAAATTAGAAGCAGAATAAATAGGGGCATTGAAAGTTCAGAGATGGGAGGGAGGAATCACTGTGGCCCATGACTTTCTGAGAATGATTTACCAGGGAAGATGGGTTTTATTTAGAATCCAAAGGCTGGGTAAAATTTTGGTAATCGGCAAGGAAAGAGGAGGACATTTTAGTGCTGGTGATTAATGTGAGTAAAGGTAGAGATGCTAGGCTGTGTAAGAAGTGTTTGTGATCAGGATGACGGAAATTTTTAAAAATGTTTCAAATTTAAAAAATAAAAAGGGTAGAGGGAGTAACGTCCAGACTGCTGTGGGTGAAACCTTGATTCTATCCTACAGAAAGAGGAACTATTAAATATTTTTGAAAAATAAAAATGTAACAGGACAAAAATGGTGGATAAAAATCAATGGGTAGTAATGTGGATCACAGGTTACATAAAAGAGAGGACCTAAATGAAGTGATTTTAAAAATAAACAGCTCTTTGTGCCTTATTTATATTTTTTCAAGTCAAAATCTTCAGAGAAAAAGCCAAATGAAAAGGACAAAGCAGGAAAGTATTTCTTGAGATGTACTTATAGAACCCAATAGGTATTTAAAAAGAAAAAGAAAAAGAAAAAAAAAAAAAGAAATGTATTTATAATGTCAAGGTAGTAAAATCCAGCAGAAAGATGAGAGAACAAATGTTTGGCTCAATCAGCATTAAGGGACGTGGATTAGGGAGTATCTAGAATAAACCTAATCTTACTCTGGTAAACCCTTAAAGTGGTTTTAATTTTCCAGGTAGATTCAGAGTACAGCAAGCAAATAGAGACTGAACCTCGAGGAACACTGACAGTTTGGAGGTAGAGATTCATAACAAGCTTTACCCTCCAAAGCAGTTTGAACTCTTTCAAAGATATCTCATGATCCGATTTCTTGACTGCAACTCTTATTATTGTTTCTATTTTTCTACAGGGGCGCGTCTTTCAACTCTTCTATGTGTCTGGTCTAATCCACCTTTCCTTTGGCCTCTCATCTCAAGATACTCTCAGCGTCTTCTTATAATTTCTTGTCAAATTAGCACATTCTCTTTTTTTTCCCCTCCTAAGTAGTTTCCTCCTCACTCATCCCTGAAGTAGGCTTTTCATCAATTAGTTTTTTTTGTTTATAGTACAGACATGGAATACTTAGTAATGTCCCAAGAGTACTCTCATCTCAGCTAAGCATGGTGTATTTACAATACTCCTACAATTGGAAGCAAAGATGGTTTCATCTCAGGACTAAACATTAGTTACTTTTAATGCATCTGTTTCATTTTTACTTTAAAAGAGGTAATATTACTGTAATTACATTAAATGTCTACTTTAATACCATGCCTTTAAAAGCAAGACAAATTAAAATTCCTTTCTTTCTAGAACAAGAATTGATATGTCGCTCCTGCTGATAAGAGAAGCTCTCTAGGGAGTATGGAGGCAAGAAACGCTTGATAGTCAGAGAAGCTTATTGGAGAAAGATTCTAGCCTTCTGTAAAATATAAAAATCATGTGAGACAAAAAGCCAAAAGATTTTTAGGAAAATGGAAAAGGTACATTAATGAAATAATGCTGAAACTTTACTTCATTAAGTTTATTCATTTATTCCTCATCTTTCCCACCTCTACCTACAGCCACAAATAGCTTTTCAAATTTTGCCCAAAACCAGTTTGCAATATTTATCAGGCGAATTTAATTTTCATTGTTTCCAAATACAGCACTCAAAAAATCCCACAAAAGGTTGTACTGAACAATCAACCTCTAAAAGGAAAAACAAAATCCATACCTGTTATAAATGTCTTTCTCTATACCTGGACATTTTTGCTATTATCTTGAATTTTCTAAGAAATGTATTCAGTTCTCTAGAACTAGAACACCAATTCACATCCACTGATATACTTCCACTGGGTTTGTTCTTCATTTGCTATATAGATAGTATGAGATACTCATGATGTTAACCCTTTTAAACACCACCAACCACAAAAAAATGGTACCCATGTACTTTTGGAGAATGGACAATAATCCTTATAATGGGATTCAGTATGTAAAATTTAGAAATATCGCACTTTTGGCAATCTTTGTATATCCCAAAATACAAAGCACTGCTAGTAAAAGCAATTTTCAATAGCGGAGACATTTGTCTTTTGAATATAAATCACCAAATCATTTGTGACATCTAGGCAGTTTTATTTGTTCAGATATCAATCTATATGTGAATACTGAGTGTGGAAGGGTTGCTTATAAAGTTGATAATAAAAGCAATAATGGGTAGACTGACAATATTTTGATAATGTCACCAAAATCTGGTGCTATATGGTTTGAATTTTATGTGACATGTAAAGAATGTGGTCATCAAAACAAGGATAGAAAAGGATATGACGTTTCCCTGCCCCTACCTCATTATGAAAAAGTAGTCTTACATTTTAGAAAAGATAAATGTATTAATATGTTACACTTCAAATGTTGTTCTCTGCTGCGCAGCGAAATTTGATCAGGAAGCTGCCAATAATAAATTCCGGTTGACAAATAGCAAATTCTACCGGGCTGAAACAAAACTCAGTTCTGAAAATCGTCAGAGAAATCTTTGTGAGTTGTAGAAAACTACGTAAGTTTAAATTCAGAAATACTGATTTCCACAATAATTAATTCTGCTTTATTCAAAAGAACCAATATTTATTAGACTATAGCAGGTTTTTTGATGTAGAGTTTAATACTATGGCAAATTTACCTGAGTACTCTTTTTGTATTTGCTATTTAATATATACAATTTTATAAATCAGAAGACCTTATTTATAGTTCTATAAAATCTATCATATCGTATCTTTTTTCTTTCAAGAAATATATAAGATTGATATTTCTTCCTTTCTTCTCATTTTTTGTCATGACAACTTTTCCAGATACAATGCCATGTGAGCATTCCCAACCTGCTTAACTGATGGGAAGAGATAAAATTTTTTAAAATGTTTGGGCAAAATCTGGGTCAATTTCTACTTTCAAATAAATCACTACAACAACTTTTATTTACTAAAATGTAGCATATGCTAGTTATTTTAGAAAATTTACGACAATGTTATATAGCTAGTTAATTTCAAAATTAAGATTCAAAATATTTATGTTCTTTCATGAATTACAGGAACTAAGTAGCAATTGCTTACAGAGAAAAATAATGTAACAAAATTTATCGCCACTAATTTTGAAACCCTGTGTGGGCTCCTGCCCTAGCCCACACTCTTTCTCCTTCATTCAGAGGTAAATACAATTCTAAATAATGTGTTCATCCTTCTTTTTTCCTTTGTTTTGCTTTTATCACGTATGTTAGATTCCCTAAGCCAAATGATATTTAGTTTTCAAAGCCTTGTACTTTATACAGGTAGGATTTTGTCTGCATTATCCTGTGATTTGATCTTTTGTTTAAGCATTATGATCCTGGGATTCATTTATGTTATCTTGTGTGTACTTTATTAAGTTTTCAGGCCTGGATTATATTCCATTCCATGCATATACATCAAGATATTTGTTTACTCCATTGTGGATGAATTTGGGTTTCTTTCCAAGATTTTTCTTTTAAGAACAGTGTTATTGTGAATATTCCTATACATGTTTTCTGATTCACAGATATAGATTCTCTAGGACATTGGATTTTATACTTTTGACTATAAAATGCATTTTATTCAACAACCCTATCTAAACATATTGTATAGTGTATAGGAATGAGTTATGTATGTGTTTGTAAAACTAAAACCAAAATAATATAAAATATACCATTAAAATTTCTATTCTACCTACTCTATTCTACTTAGTTCTATTTAATTAAAACAAACAAACAAATGAACAAAAACAACAACAACAACCATGCTGGTCTTGAGCCACTGGAAATCTTGAGCCGACACTAAGTTGTAACCTTTGGTTTCAACACATTGCTCTGTGATATATTTGGCTGCTTTAAGGTATATTGAAGAGTGGAATTAGGAGGCTTAGCATATTTTAGGCCGGATAAGTTACACAAGTGGTGGTAAAACAATCACCCAAACATATTGGAGTCCTCACTGTAGTAACTTTTACATCTCAACACTCATGTAACCTCTGCTACAGGAAAGGAGTGGCGCTTATATCCACATAGACACAGACCCAGATTTACCATGGGTCCTCCAGGGACAAGATAGACCCATGGGTTGTGCATTTTTGTGACTAATGTTTCTTTTGCTCACCGCTCAGTAAGTAAAATCTAGCAGGAAATGTGGCCTATCAGATGAATATCTGGTGAATGCTACTGTCTTTGCCACAGAGGGTATGTGTTTCTTCAACTTAATAGTATTAAACTGTTCTCCAAATGATTGTATCAATTTACACTTTCATTAGCAGTATATACTTATACTGGGAGCTCCACATTGTCACACATACTTGCATTGGCAGGATATTTAATGTTTAATAGGTATGAAATCCTAACTCATTGTGATATTAATTTCTACTACCTTATAAATGAGTTTGATCGTCTTTTTATATGTTTCTGGGTCAATTTCCTTTCTTTCTTTGTTAAATGCCTTTCTTTCTCTGCTGAAGGCATTCTTTGCTATTTTATCTCAGATTATTTGTCATTTTCCTGTTTGGTCTATTAGTGTTATTATATATTCATTATTCTTTTTGTATTCTTTATGTATTATTAGTTGTAAGTGGTGCAAATAATTTCTTTCCCTTTTCATTTTTTACAGTACTTTTGTATAAAATGGATGTAGTTGAATTGATCAGTCTTTTACTTTATGTATACTTTTTGGCTCTTGTCTAAAAATGCTTTCCTTTCTTATGTTGCACAGTGATTTTAAAAATAATTTCCGCTAAAAGTTTTTCCTTCTATATAAAAGAGCTTATTTTCATGTATGGTATGGGGAAGAATAAATTCAGGAAGTTTAATATACCAAATAAATGGGCAGGGATTAGTAATATGGAAAAAGAACAGAATAGAGACTCCAGAAATAAATTATTGCATATAAGAATATTTTAATTTGTAAAACCAGAGGCAGTTTATATCATAGAGGAAATGGTGAGCTTGTCATTAAATGGTGTGGGACAATTGTTCATCCATGTGGAAAAATATTGACATCTATCTGTATTAATCTGTTTACGTGCATTTGTATCTATGTCTAAACATATTCTATATTTATATTATGCTTGCACACCTTCCCCCATCATACATAATAATATGCTCTTTATATTTTTATGTTATGAAATTTTAAATTTTTACTCATACACATTAATCCTGGAATATAGAGACAGATTTGACTTTGGTATATTAATGTTGTATCTAGAAAATTTGATAAACTCATTAATTTTAACATTTATGATCATTTTAAAGGGTTTTCTATACATAGAGTAATGTTATCTAAGAAGAGTAACAGATTACCTCTTTATTTTCATATCTTTAATTTCCTTAATGGCACCATAAGCAGTGAAGTTGTATACTGTCCCATGTATACTTGACCAGAATACATATTCTGAAGTTAATGGTTCAGAATTATATATAAACTCAATCAATCTAGCATTTCATTTGTATGAAGCTGACATAAGTTTTCCTCTCTACTCTCATTGTTACTATTGAATCCTCACAATGTTAAGAGGTAGATTGGGCTGTTATACTCTCAGGCTTAGAGAAGTTGAATAACTTGACTTAGGCCAAACACTTAGTAAGTGGAAGATGATCACAGGTTTCTGTCTCCAATTGCCGTGCAATTAACCTATATGCTACTCTGGCAACTCTAACTGAAAAAAGGTAAGTTTACTCCAGGATAAAACCAGTGAAAAACAGCAATCTTTTTATTAAACCATATTCTTGTCTAGTCTCTTCTACAGAGTGACCTTGAAAGCAATCTCAGTGTTTTCTAGGGCAAACTAAATTGATGACACTTTTTGATAAAGTCCCAGAATCATCTTATTGACAACCACATTACACATTCAAGTTATTACCCTATTGCATATCCACATTAAAGATATTCAATTTGGTGATTAGCGGTTCAACTTAACAAATTAGCTAAATTCCTTCCTTTTTCTATTTTTCTTGATAATATAAATACAAACTCTGAGATGTCCCCTGGTCTCTGGAAAGGTGTAATTTAAATGACAGCTGAGTTTTGTATCACAAAAGAACTCAAATAGAGAAACGATTCGTAATGGATTTTATCACTTTGTTAATCATTTAAAGCTACCTTGCATGACAGAGACAGATAACTCTTCACTCTTTAGCCATTTAATATATGAAGATATTAAACCTCTTGAGTATTCTTGATGGAATACATCAGACGATATTTATTTTCTTACTGGGCAAGCACTCTAGTATATTAAAGAAGAAGAAGCTGTTATTCAACCGAAGTTTTAACTAGACTGACTCTGGGGCTCATAATGGTAATCCACAATTTGCCAAGATATTTATTCTATTCCATTTGAGCAGCAGCATGGTTTAATGAGAAACATTGCTCTTTCCTATGGCTTCTGTAGCACTGTAATTTTACCACATTATTTGTATTATGGGATATTTGATTGTCATTTCTAATCCTTCATTCTTCCCAATATCATTCTCTTTGCCATGTGACTTTATATTTCCTCTCACTAGTAGTGGAGTATATTTCCCCGCCCCATTGACGCTGAATTTTGCCATGTGATTTTCTTTGGTCACTGTCATACGAGTAAAAATGACTGTGGCAGTTCCAAATCTAGACTTTTAACAGCATTGCCCATTTATGCATACCCCTCTTGCATTTCTGCCATCGTAATTAGAAGAATATGCCTTGGCAAATCCGTTGATCCAAGGAAGATTAGAGACACATGTAATACAGCCCCAGTCTTCAGCTTGATTCCAAGGGTAGCCAAATTCAGCTCCTTAATCAGCCAGCTTCCAGCTGACCTGCAAGCACACGAACTTGAACAAGTGATTGTTGTAAGCCACTAGTTTTTAGGGAGTTTTTCTCTTCCAAGACATTATTGCTGCAATTGGTGGTTTATGTACATACGTTCAAGAAATGCCTTCAAAACTCTTGTATGTTAGACACTAACCTAGATGTTGATTAAATAGTAGATGAAAGAATAGTGATATATGTTCTCATAAACTACCATTTAGAGAGTGATAGAGACAAGTTGATGGATAATAAAATATAATATGGGTAAATGTTTTGATCAGAGCATGGTGTTGTGGGAATATATGAGCCTGGTGCCTCATTTATACCTGTGGGTTTGCCTTAACTCTCCATAAGAAGTCATGACTATGTCAACAGTGGGACTGGTAAAAACTGTATAAAGGAATGACATTTACTCCAAATAGAGTTAGCAGTGTGAGTGATCAGAGGGCATAGAGTACTCGATGAGCTGGAAGGAGATGAGATTGGCTATAGTGAATGTTGGAGGAAGAGTGGAGGGAGAAGCTTGTAATGTATGTGCTTTAGCTAATGCAACACCATGGTAACTATTATAGTGTTTGGACTTGACTCAAGAGCAATGGTACTGGTGGTGTTGTTAGGAGGGAATTCTAGTTTTCCTTTACTACACCTGTTATTATTTAGTTGTCTTTCCCATGAGAAGATGAGAATATCGGTATCCTCAGTGCCAGACAAATTGCTTTTTCCTGGAGCATACATTTAATGCATTCAATGTGTAAAATGGCATTTAACACACTGAATGCATTACAGATTTATATGTGCCAGTTTCAGTTTCTGGGAGGCAAATGGGGATGTGAACAAAACAAATGGTTAGTCATGTTTCATATAAGTTTAGGATCAACTTATTAGATCATCTTGAATGCCTTTCCCTGCCAATTCAGGATGAATTAAACTCTGGCCTAGCCATTTCCCAGTGGTTTGTCTAGCCTAATTTTAAAATAATCAAACGAAGGGACTTAAATTAGCTGGGGAAATTATTCCATGCTTTAATAGATTTTGATGCTAGGAATGTTTTTCTGACAGTCTAACCAAATTTTCCTTCCACGATTTTATCCCATTACTTTTAGTTCCGATTTAAAACCATCTGAATACTCTCTTTTCCTTTTAAGTAGTCACACAATCACCTAATGTTAATATCAGTGGTTTTCTTTCCTTCATTTGCCAGACCCTTGTTTTTTCACACATATTGAAGTTACATTTTTTTCTCTAGATTTATTAGCTTACATATTTTGGTCCATTTTACTCTATTTTTCATCCGGGCTTTAACACTTATATCCTGTTTATATCATCTTCCCCAGTAGTATTTGTATCATGTCCCCGATGAGGATAATTAGTGAGCTGTTTGTTCTCCTTTCAAAGCCATGAATAGAGATGTTCTGTAAAATGAAGCTCTTACGCTGATCTTCACTTGGTCCGCTGGGAGACTTCCTCACAGCTATGCACTCTGCCCTTATCATGAGTTGTTTTTTACATTTCTTCCAGTTTTCAAAATATGTTAGTAGCAAAACATGCAAATCTACTGAAAATTGTCAAATATGTGCTTGCGATGTGTTCAACAAAAGAGAACCAATTAAAATATGTTTTTGATTTAGACACTACAGAGTACAGAGTCTTAGTACTCAGGATCTGTAGTTAAGGTTCCTTCCAAGAGACAATAACTTCATGACAAATTGCACACTCAGCAAAGCTGTCGAGACTGGGTCTTGGCAGTTTTTGTCCATGGTGGGAAGTGTTAGCAGAGCTTTGACTTTTCGCAGCGCTTGGCGTATTGAGTTGAAGCAGGAGATTTTCAGGGAAGTGTTTTTCATGTCTGGCTACTCTCGATTTGGAAGAAGCATTAATTCTAGGGTGATCAACTCCTTTGCCATGCCCTAACATTAGCATTGTTGGCTACTCTTTGGTTCTAAAGAACATTTTCCAAAATTGTTTTTTTTTTTTTTGTATGGTCTTGTTAAAAAAAGAATGTTACGTGGAAATGTAAAGATGGAAACGGGGGAGGAAATGAACATAGAGGATGAGCAAATATTGAACTATTAGGCATACACACAAATATTTCCCTCTCTATATACAAAGACACTTTCCCAAAATGTTAGAAATGGAGAAAATCTCTAGTTCTGAATTAGGCAATTGTGTTAAATACAGTGTCTTCTGCCCAAAAGAACATACACTCCAGATATAACCAGTGGAGGACACACTAAGGAAGATCTACACGTTTTGAAAGGCTGCATGAATCATTTTTCTTCTGTCTCAGGACAACCCAGTTGGGGCACGTCTAGTGTTACTCCCAATTCTGAGATCAGGAAAATTAGGATTAGATAGTTGGACTGACTTGTCAAAGGGCCACCTATGAGTAAATGCTGCAACTGAATTCTAACTCAGGGTTGTCAGATAGCTGAGCCAGGTTTTAAATGCCATATATACTGCACTTAAATGAGGTAATCAACGTAAAATATCATGCCTGACAAATAGTACAAGCTTCTTATCCATTGACTGTTATTACTAATCTGGATGAATAGTGTGACTTATTGCTTCTAAACCAAATCCAAGATTTTTGAAACAGTAGCTGTTGCCAAAATGCTATGAGAAAACTCTTCTAAGAGATCCCCATGTGCTGATATGAAAAAAATATATTTTCTGCAAAAATAAGTTTATTTTCTTTTAGTTAAACACAAATAAAAACTTGAAAAAGTGTTATAGTGACTTTTTGGTAATCTTGCTTTGCCGTTAATTAGCTTTGTGAGATCTTTGAGTTAATTCTTCTAGCTTCAGTTGTTTTATTGTAAAATGAAGGTACTATGAGAAGTTATAAAATGAGAGGATTCAAATGAAAGTACCCTGAGGATGACACAGCACTGCAGAGATGCATATGAATACTATTACTACTGTTACTACCCTCAATTTCCCATCTAGACCGTTAGGAGTTGAATGGTGGCCCTGAAAAAGGTAAGTCCACATCCTAATGCCTGGAACCTGTGAATGCTGCCTCATTTGGAAGAGGAGGTTTCACAGAGGTAATCAAATTAAAGATTTGGATATGAGGAGATTTAAGGTGCATGATCTGGGTGGACCCTAAATCTAATGACAAATGTCCTTAAAGAGACATATAGAAAAGACACACACAGAGGAGAAGGTTATGTGAAGACAGAATCAGAGCTTAGACTAGTCTACAAGTCCAGGAATGTCAACAACCAGCAGAAACTGTAAGAGGTTTTCCTAGAACCCCCAGAGGAAGCAGGTCCCTGACGTTATCTTAATTTCAGACTCTTCATCTCCACAGTTCTGAAAGAATAAATTTCTGTTGTTTTACGCCAGCTAGTTTGTGGTAGCCTCATGAAACCAAAAATAAATAAATAAATAAATAAATAAATAAATAAATAAATAAAACAAAAAAACCCCACAAAAATGGTATGATTCTAATGCTTTAATGTATTTAATTTAACTTGAGCTTCTAACTTATCCATTAAAATGACAAGTTTAAATGGATCATTCTTAAATTCCTTTCTAAGGGCAATAACAGTTAATTAGATGTAAGTTTTCTTACCAGTGTGTTTTGAAAATGTACCCAGTTTAGAAGATAAAGAAAGAAACTTGGGATATTAAAGAGGAAGGTTAAAAATGCGCAGGGTACCGAAGCTGGTGGTGTTTAAGGAAAGCACGAAGGTAGAAAATAGAACAGTCCTGATCTCCAGGTATTCTTCAGGAAAAAAAAAAATTAAAAGCTATATTGACTCTAGATAATTAACACATTTTGTATATCTTACCTCAATAATTTAGGTTTACATTGAAGGTATCTTTTTTATGGCAAATGTTCCTATTTTTTGAGACAAGAAATAAAGTGCATATATGAAAAAAAATTCATAACGAATTCAAAAATTCATGTTTTGAGAGGCAGTTTTCAAGTTTAAATTATAATGGAACTACTTTCATATATATCTTAGAAGTAAAATTATGCATATCATATTTCCACATTTGATTAAGGTTTTCTGTGAAGTAGACAGCTTTTAGACTATTTACTAATTTAGCAGTAGCATTTTATTGATTAATAAACATTTTTAGTTGATCAGCAGGATGTAGAACTTAACTTATTGTAAAGTATTTTATTTAGATAGAATACTTTTTTTTACATTGGATTAACACAAATTGGGTAAAAATTGCTTTCCCTGTTAATTTAAATTAGCTCTAAAATGCTAATCCAGTCGTTTAATTATTCGACTCCTAGCCAAATTGTTTTTGTGTTTTTAAAGTTTTCAGTGTGTGACATGAAAGCAAAACAGAAGAAAACAAAGCCCAAACCACAAGCCTGTTAAAAGTTATTTCAGATGACTCAAGAAGCCAGGGATTAGAGAATTCTATGTACAAGTCCTATTCACTATGCTCTGTTTCTATCTTGAAAAGATGTGAAAACCCTAAGACAACATTTAGAATAGTAGTTGCTTAAGACTGAAATTAATTTCAGTTGCCTATACTCAAAATATACTATTAGAATGCCAAATTTTTGTGTATTAAACTTTTTTCTTTTTTAAAAACATAGCCATGTTTATTACCTAAGCAACATCTACTGCTTTCGGATTCCATGAGTGATGGATAATAGATATGTTAACAGAGGATTATTTTGATTGATAGACAGATTCATTCATTAATTTATAAACACTTTACACGTGTATTTACTGAACATATGTTATGTTCTAAATACTTATCTAGGAGCTAAACATACAATGGTGACAAAATTGGTGAAGATTTTCAAGTGGCTTCCATTGCAGCAGAGGTGGCCACACGTTAAAAGATAAGCAAATTATCATGAAGGCAATGACAGATAAAGTGATAGGAAGTGTTGATGGTAAAGAGGCAGGAAAGCATAACAGCAGGTGGGGTGGGAAATGTAGCTGGGGTCAGATCAGGGCCTCTGGGCCAGGGGAACATGCATTCATGTTGAATGTATTAACCTTGGTGAGATTCTGAAGCCTAAACATAAACTACCACGTATTATGATTGATTTCTCTGAAGTCACCCCATTGCATGTGGTGTCAGCCCCACAGAAAGATTATTTTGATTGCAAGGGTAAATGGGGACTAGAAATTAAAAGGAAAGATATCAAAGAAGAAGACATTCTACCAACCTTCACCAGAATATGTACTTTACCTTTATTGTCTCTGTAGGGTTCAAGTAAACAATTTGATTTTTCAATTACGTTTGGTGAGAGTTTAGTGATTTTTTTTTTCCGGTCATGTCACTGGTTTTGTAGCATGTGGCTATTTATTGATTAAATCAATAAGTCAATCAACAGATAGCCAGTTTCAGTTAGTTAATTTGTTGATTTAATCAATAAATAGCCACATGTTACAGAAACTGCAACTGGCCTGTAAAGCTCTCTTGATAAACACTTAATGGTCCTCATACTGCCTTAAAGGGACCACTGGAATGGGATTTAGTTTGTGTTCACTCTGTCAGGTCAGTTGACTCTTTTCCCTTTTAGGGAGGAATGGCTTTGAATTGGCCTTTTTGGGCTTTAAAAGGAAAGGCATCAAGGGAGTCTCCTGAGTCTGCGGAGACAGAGTTGGTGAGTAAGTAGATGGTAATATATACTATAGGCACCTTCTGAGAGGGCTCTTGGTGATTCTGCTACTGGGAGTCAGGCGTCCATACCCTTGAGTATGGACTAGACTCAGACTCATTTACAATGAACAGGAAATAGTAAAGGTGATGAGATGTTGCTTCTGAGGTTAGGTTAGGGCAATCATTACTCATATCTTGTAAATTCATTTATCAAATGTTTTCATAGCTCATATCTAGGTAAATCAGTTCAGCAGGAGGGTGGGCATTCTTCAGGGTGTAGGAAAGCTCTATTTCTTTGCTTTGCTGAGCACAGAAATGGCTTGGCCACACCTATCTTTCCTGTCAACATACATTCAACCATGTGCTATGCACACGTACACACATGTGCATGCACACACACATACATGCCTACACTACTTTCAGAGGTAAAACTAGAAAATTCTCAGAACATACAAAGAATCTTCTGGCCAACACTACACATTCTAGGAGGTAGTAGGTAGTAGAAAAATACCACCTCCATTTATATAAGGCAGCATCAGAGGTGTGATTTGTGAGGCCATCAGAGACAACTAGAAAGTGATCTGTAAGCAAGAAAATAGCAACTCATGACTGTTGTTTCTAATAGCACTAGAAGAGCAAGTATTGGAATTGTCCCTAATGACATGGATATTTCAAGATAAATATTTGAAAGCAATACTATGACGACCCTTTGGCCACCAAACAGTTTTACTCAACTCTCATCTTCTTACATTGGAGGAAAACAATCATACCTTAAAAGAGCTGTTTACCTTAGCTCTTCTGTGATTCACAGCAACCCAATTTGAAATTATATAGGGGAAGCTAAATAAATTAACTTCTGGCTTCTGTCTATATTTTATCTAAAAGTGGTCCATATTTTTTGGCTTCCTAATTCTAAAGGCATAACATTCATCAGTATTATATTTGAATATGAATTTTCTCAATGAATAATTCAAAGATAAAAAATTTACAGGTGAAACCTTAATCTAGGTTTTTTTTTATTTGTCATTCAAAGGAAATTTAATTCTCTCAGTAAGAATAAAAGATTATTTAATAGCCACTGTTCAAGGTGGAGATATGTGCCCTTATTCTCAGCCTGATTACAATCTAATTAGAGACAAAAAGCAAAGAAGGCATACTCAACAATAAGTATCATAACTAAGGGAACAAACAGGGATCACAGGAATTGACTGAATGCTGGTATTATTCCCAGCTGTGGAAATTAGGAAACTATTAATAGGTTACGTGCTGCAATTGGAAACGGATAATTAAAAGAAGAGCACATTTCAACAAGTATTAAGAAGGGGACATTTTTAGTCAGAGAGAAGAATGTGAATTGAAGGTAAGCATGCAGTATTTGGCTTACCTGGGTGACAGTACACTGATATGGTAGGAGTCAGGCCACAGAAGATAACGTGTGCCTCCTGAAGGGGTATGGAATCTGTCTGGGGAAGAGACAGATTTTAGTGTTAGCAACGTGGAGCATGGATTAAAGGTGTGGAAAGTCAGAGACCTGTTAAGAGGCTATTATGATATACCTTCTGAGGAATGATAAGAACCTAGACTAAAGCAGTGAAAAGAGAAGCAGAGAGTGAATAGAATGAATGTGAAAGATATTAGACAAAAGTAATAACATGATTGGCTGGGTAGTTTTTGTTGTTGTTGTTCTTTTTTTGAGACAGTGTCTCACTCTGTCATCCAGGCTGGAGTGCAGTGGCCTGATCACAGCTCACTGCAACCTGCACCTCCCAGGCTCAAATGATCCTCCCACCTTAGCCTCCCAGGTAGCTGGGACTACAGGCATGTGCCACCACAGCTAATTCTTATTTTTTTATTATTTTTTTTTTCTGTAGAGATGGGGTTTTGCCATGTTGTCCTGGCTGGTCTCAAACTCCTGAGCTCAAGCAATGCTCCCACCTCAGCATCCCAAAGTGTTGGGATTACAGGTGAGAGCCTGTGTCCGGCTGGCTGAATGATTTATGTAAGGAGAGATGAGACATAACGCAGATGTCTTAGGGTATTATATTGATGATGATATTGACAACCAAGACAGAAAAATAGGAGAGAGGAATATTTAAGCAAAAAGTTAATCAGAAAAATTTTGAATATTTTGAAGTATCTTTAGAATTTTTACATGAAATTATTGCAGTAGATTGATGCCTTTATGTCTCTAAAACTATAGAGACGTATGAGATAAAAATATAGATGTGGAAGTCATTGTCATATGCTACATTCGTGGTAGATGAACAGTTACAGAGAGAAGAAGGCTGAGAATATGTTATTAACTTCAAATAGAAAGTGAAGGAGATAGGAAATACATCTGCTATGTGGTAGGTTTTTTATTTTATTGGACACAAGAGCAGAGAGATAGGATGAGCCAGAGTAATACAAGTTAATGGAATCAATAAAAAGAAGCTTTGGGAAAGAACAGTAATATAAAATGCCACAGAGAGGGCAAAGAGGAGCATGAATGAGAAAATGCTGTTAAGCTTGATCAGAGGTAACTTTCAATAGACTGGTTTCAGTGGTGAGATGGTGGTGAGAAAAATGAAGGAGACTCAAACTGCATAGGCTTACAAAGACAGTATTTGGTTAAAGTGTAGGCAGGAAGCACTGGCTTAATTCAACAAGTTTATAGGTGAAAACAAAAGAGATAGGCTTAAGAGAAAGGTAGTTAGAGGACATGGAAATTGAGCATGTTTATGGGTAATAGAGTATAAAACCAGTAGAGAGACCGAAAAGACAAGACAGAATCTGTAATTGACATAGAACATTATTCAAGCAGGAATGTGTTAAGGGGAAATATATAGACACTTGATCTGTGGCATTTATAAAAGGGAGAGTCTTCCTCCAAACAAGCTAAAGTGAGGGAAGAAAAAAGTCCTAAGAAAATACAAAGAAACTCTAAGGAGAGGAGGGAAGTGAAGAGATCATATGCCAGGTGGTCTTGATAATTTCAGAGAATTTTCGCTGAGATCATTTGTTCATCTGTTGAAATTTATGCTCCTGGGGAGGGTTGGAGATTTCAAGATGTTGAAAAAAGTTTGGATCGGTTGCTATAGGGAGTGAAATACAGAGTCAACAGTGAAGTTTGAATCACTCTCATTTCTAATAAAATCAGTAAGTTGAAACCACTTTTTTTCCTCCAGCCATGCACATTTGTACAGATAGGAGCAAAGAAAACAGATAATGAGAATTTCCCAGGGCTGGAATTGGGGAAAAGAAGGGTGGACCCTGCAGGAGGCATTACAGATACATTGCAAGAGGGTTCTTAAACTGTTTGAATAAGAAGTTGCAAACTGGGTTGAAAGAAAAGTGAAATCAAATTGGCACCAGGGACGACTACAGCATGGAGAGATCAAAGGCACAAGGATCACAGCAAAAACACAAATCAGGTTCTGCATGGGTTATGAAAGAGCAGGTGGTATTCAGGTTGAAGCAGTGGCCAGAATCTGAGGACGTGAAGAGAAGCGGTTTCTGGAGACAGCTAGGGTGTGGACATGTTAGTAAAGGCTTGAGTTGGAGCGGGGATGGAGGCCACTGGAGTTCAATAATTTTAAAAAGTGTGAGGCCACGGTGTGAGAGTGATGACAAGAAAGGGAGAGAAGGGTATTGTAAACGAGGTGACTAAGCCAGTAAGGAAATTTTCCTGAGAGTTCTCTACGTAAGAAAGAGAGAGTGAGAGAGAGAGACAGAGAGAAAGAGGAGATTAGCTATTTAATTATTTCCATTGACATGGGGATTGTTTTCTGGGGAATTATTAGCCATATACATTGTCAGTTTTGGTTGCTATGCTAGGCCAAAGTTGAGTCCATGGGTTTTACATCAATTTAGTCATAATCAAAGTGCCTTATGGAAATGTAGGATCATAACTTGAAGCACACAATAACCACCAGAGCCAATCTAGACTGAGTCTTGTGTTTACCTTTTGGGGCCTCAATTTTAGATAGACTTTACACATTGAAACAGATCCAGTAAAGAGCAAACAGTGTAGCAGAGAGAACTCAAAGCCATTATGATACTAGTAGGCTGGAGGAGGTCCCCAAATGCCAGCTGGACCTCAATCTCAGCTGGTATCCAGGTTCTTGACCCTGTCACGGGAAATAATGCAAGGACAAGTTGGAAAATAGTGAAAGAACGGAGATTTAATATTACAAAGTGAAAAGTATACACTCAAGGAAACGGAGTGCAGGTGTACTCCAGAGTGTCACACCAGAGGCTTTGAGGTTTCTACCTTTATGGGTTTCTTTAACCAAGGGGTGGAATATTCACGATGGCCCCTGGACAAAGGTTAAGATTTCTTGGAACTGTGGTGCCACCCGTTTTTACACTAAATATGGTTGTTCTCAGAACTATCATGACGCTGGTGGGTGTATGACTTAGTATGTTAATGAGTGTATAATGAGGTCCTAGGTGAGACTTAGGTCAAATCCAGTGCATGTTGGGTCCAGTTGGCCTTAGCCAGATTGGTTCATCCTCTGTTTTGTTCAGGGTCTTGTCAGCCCCTAGCTTATGCAACTATTTCAATAGTTTCCTTTTGCTAGTCGTGTGAAATTGCTGCCTGGAATTTTCTATTCTCCTGCAACCACCCTGTCTTCTTCCTGTCTCAATTATCATATTGGGGATGTAATTTTTGAGCAATGAAAAGATTCAAGGGTGATACATTTCTCAAGTTCAATCTTTCCAGTAAAAATATAAATTTGACTTAGCAATTGTGACTCTGGAGGCTGGAACTAGGACCAATGGATGGAAATTATTGAGAGGCAAATTTTGACTTAATTCGAGGAAAAAAAAATTGTTTCTTCTTAAAGCAACGAGTCCCATGCCATGAAAAGTGTTCATAATAGACTAGTGAGACAATTCTTGCATACACTGAAGTCCACATGGACACAATTGGCATTGTTTTGGAACTTGTTATGAATGCAGAATCTCAACTGCCATGCCGAACCTACATTTTAACAACATCCTCAGTCCTGAAGATGCCATCTATGGTAAAGCATTGATCTAGAAGACTTTCCTCCATTGGGTACACAGTTGGGCTACACAGCCTATAGTCTCTTCCTGTTCTGTGATTTCTGTCATGTATTCTGATTTTAAAAGCAATTCTGTCCTTCCTTAGTTTGTCTCTGTCTTTTAAAATTTCAAACACTAAGTGAAAAAGCCTAGTGAACTTTTAATCTTCATGTTAAGTTTAATTTTATGAGATTATTTTCGTATGACATCACTACTTAAATCATCTACATAGTAAAAACTTCAAAGTGCAACTTTTTGAAAATAGCTTTGTGATTCATGAATGGTATAATTGAAATATTGTTTTAACAGTACTTCAAAACCAACAAAAACAATACTATCTGCAAAATGTATGTAACACTCTCCCTGTACCACAGCCCTTTCTTATAATTCACTGTTGACTCATGGAGAATCACTGTAGATTTTGTTTTTCTTCACTAATAATTTACTGTAGCTGGCTTGTGAAAACCGCATAGGGAAGAAGAATTGTTGCTTTCTTGCTATGTCTTGCTTTTACTTTAGTACCTCCATTTAAAAGCAAGTTAACTGTCTCCTATTTTAATTACTCAGCTTTCTCTAAGGTCTTGGAATTTTTCTTCTGAGACAACTCAAGCCTTGTTTTACTTTTAAATGCCTGCTGAAAGTAACAGTGATTTGTTTATCAACAGAGTAAAGAATTGATAAGCTATGGTAGTAATTATTTTTATTTTTTTGTTTAGAAAGCACATTCCTTGAGTTTTCCTCCAAATGGAAAGAATTTTTAATTGGCATAAATATGATACAGCTCCCTTGTAACTGAGAAACATCATAGAAATGAATAGGGCTTTGAGTAAAACAATGTTTCTCATGACCTGATATTGTTTTGTTTGTGTGTGCAACAACTGGGCTTTATAAAAAATTCTACTGTCAGCAGTGGTACATCACAGTTTACAATCTCTCCCTTCCAAAGGGAGTACTATCACTACTTAGAAAAGTAGCTGATTTATGGCAAGAGGCAACAAATAAGAAATCATGGTTTTTATAGTGAAAGAAAGATAGAGTTTAGTGTAAAGTTTCTCTTATTTGAATTGGAGAAAGATTTGCTATTTGTGATGAACAATATACTTGGCAATATAACTGAAGACTTGCTAAGTCAAATAGTCTATTGTCTCATGACAACTACATTGTGGACAAAAAAAACATGTAAAACATGTTTCTCCTTGCTTTGCAAATTCTTTAATAACACTTTTACATGTGAGGCCCAAATATGAGAGTGATATCAAACAGTTTACATTTGTGTTCAAGTGATAACCTCAAATCCTACTAATTAGTATATTTTTTTAATTTACCACTTATCCACTGTGTTCCTTTCCTTTCTGTTCCTACTGACATATCTTTAAAGTATCTATTTATTTAAATAAGCTTAGTCCTCTATTTGAAAACTATGAAAAAAAATCAACATAAACTTTTCAGCAGCATGGAAGACTATTTTTTAATTTTTGAAAACAAAAACATGTTTTAAAATCTTGCTGCTCAAATGGTATTCCTTTGGGGTCCTGGAAGTTTAAGGTATTTTCTCATTTGTTTACAAATTACAAATTTACAAATTTTCTCTTAAGTGAAACAACTTCTTGCAATCTTTTCTTATGCAATTCTTGGGATTTGCAACATGACCCTTTTCTTTAGCCAATCCACTTTTTCAGACTTGTCTCCTTCCCTCCCTCTCCCTTGAGTCACTAGTCCTGGAGCTTCTTGAGGTTGCTGAATCACCACTTATCTGCAGGCCTACTTGACCTCAGCATCCTTATTGACAGTATTCCTCTGCTTGAGGATCCTTTCTTTTCCATGTCATGTACCCATGCATATTCATCTTTCAATATCTGCATCTAATAGGTTTTATTAGGTTATTTTCACACTGCTATAAAGAACTACTTGAGACTGGGTAGTTTATGAAAAAAAATGATTTAATTGACTCACACTTCCACAGGCTGTACAGGAAGCATGGCTGGGAGGTCTCAGGAAACTTATAATCATGGCAGAAGGCAAAGGGGAAGCAAGTATTTCTTACCATGGCAGAGCAGGAGAGAGCAAGCTAATGGGAAGTGCACACTTTCAGACACACTTTCAAACAACCAGATCTCATGAGAACTCCCTCATTGTAAGGAATACAGTTGGTGCAGTGGGAGTCACCCTTGAATTACTGTAACCAGAAACATCAGTATCACTCACTGTCACAAAAACAGCAAGGGGGAAGTCCACCCCCATGTTCCAATCACCTCCCATCAGGTCCCATCTCCAACATTGGGAATTACAATTTGTCATGAGATTTGGGTGGAGACATAGAGCCAAACCATATCATATGTGTTATCTCCATAACTATTTCGATGGTAATTCAGCTAGAAATTCTCTTCTTCTGCTCTTAGAGCTTATGATTCTTTCTTTCACTAGTAAGCCCTCAAAACATGGAGATTTGGCTGATACTCTCCACTGCTGTGTATAAGTTCACTCACTGACTCATCCATGGCTTTATTATGTATTCATTATTGTATCCATTATTGTATTGAATAAGTGTTAAGAACTTTTGGAAGTCACTTTTTAGAAGGGAAAAAAGGCTATGGCACAATCAGTCCTTGTAAAAAGTGCAATGAATGTTATGGTAGAAGAGATATGTGTGATCTTGCCTGGTGGCTCCAGCAGATGAAACAAATGACATAGAAATATATTAACCTGCCATTAATGGGACATGTCACATCATTTTTTGAAAGCTTATAAAATAATGCAAACTTAGTGTATGAGGTTGGCCTGTTAGTATTTTTTATCTATTAGTAGGAGTGTTTTCGTTTGTTAGAGAGAGAAGTAAGAAGACATACACCACATCACAATGCAACTTGAGAAAAGGGAATGCAAATGAAAGCCAGGCGTTATCATTTGTGCTTTTCTATTTTGATCTGATTCCCTCTGAGTTTTAGAAGCACCAAGGATGTGGCCGTTTTCGAAGTAAAAAAGAGGTTTTGATTTGGTTTATTGATTCCAGGAAATGACAGGACAGCAGGTATACCTCAATCCATGACACAATTGACCTTAGCCAAGGTCTAACATAGACATATCCCTCTGTCATACCAAGACTTATCAATGATTGTCCTAAAAATAGTTAAAATTTGAAGATGTGTGTTGTGTTAATATCCATTTCAGCTCATCAATGTCTGCCACAATACTTTAATGCTTTTCTGATTTTTCAACTAGTGGGAGTATAATCACGAAAAGTTACCATTTATTGAGATCTATGTGTCTCACATCTTTCTTTGCACTCTAAATTTCAGATTAATTCTGAAAACTAGGCATTGTTTTCCCCATTCTGTAGCTAAATAAGTCAAAACTTAGAAATACTATATAACTTGCCCAGGACTACATGGTGAGAAAGCCACAGACATAGACTGGGAACTCAGAAATGTCAAATTTCCAAGACATAAACTTGGCAGTCTCCTTTATGCCACAGTGATTCTCATAGAAAAACATATCACTTAATACACATGAGATGTAGAAACTAATCCCATAGGAGCATTGGATCTCTTTGTGCCTGGTGGTAGAGTTTAAGTACAGTTAACAAGTATAATGTGAAATTAGCATTTATGGAGTTTCACAAGTTTGAAAAAGAACCCTTTGTAAGTTTTCCTGAAATTTCTTACTCAACAAAATAATTGTTGTTGATGTTTTTTCTTAATCAAGCTCTTAATATCTGTCTGTAAAACAAGACATTCCTAATGGCCTGTTATACAGTTTTATAGAATGTGGCTAGGACTTAGTATGATCTTGTATTTCTTTAGCTCCAGTATAGCCATGTTCTTTATCACAAGCTCAAACCAGATTTGTTAAATTTTGCCTGTTGAGTAATTGGATTCCCAGTAACATTGGGTGGAGTTCATATTATGACCATAATAATGACTTGTAATAATTTGAGCAGATGTTCTTCATATTAATTTATGGTGCATAGGTCCAATTTATTTATTTTGTTTCTAAGTGAAGGGTTCTTACTGGTTTCATATCTGCCAAAATGTGAATTCTGCCCTTAAAATAAAAAGGAACTGAATTGGTTGTCATCCCCATCGTCGTAAGGCATGCAGTTGGCGCAGTGGGTGTCACCTTTGAATTATTGTAACCAGAAATATCAGAGGATGATAAGAATAAAACAAGTGAAAATAGGCAACAGATTGTTAAGCCAAGCAGACAAGGTAAGAGTTATGGAACCCACAGTAACCAAAGAAATCTGGGAATAAGATCAATTAATCAGTGAAAGTCATCTTTAGCCAGAGAGGCCCATGAGTTGGACCTAAATCAGAAACAGGGCTAAGGTCCAGCTGGGGATTTTAATGAAATTTCTACTAAGAATGTAAGTCTCATGGTAAGATCAAAGATGATACTAGGTAGGGGAAGGGGTTTACTATTCGTGGAAGATCATAAAAAAAGAGAAACCATATGCCAACTTTCCAGGTCCCAAACCTGGATCTTTCTTTTCAGCTCAGAGAGAATGACCTAGACATACAGATAGCAAAATGCCAAGTTTTTAATTTACAAGGAATATTTGACTTACACGCAGACTATATCAGCATGGCCAGAACTTTCTCTTCCTGCAGTAAAATGTAAATGAAAAGCCAAGTTGTAACAATTGAGTTGATTAAGTACAATAGCAAATAAGACATAGAAGGGCTTGACCTCATTTGTTGTAGTAGAATGAAACTGACAATAGATCAGTATATCATCATATAGACAAGATGATATTAGATTGTGATGGGGGCTATAAGAAATAAATTGGGATAATGTGAAAGAAAGTTTACTGGGAAAGAGGATTTGCTATTTTATTTTATTTTTCCTAGAGCAGGCTTCTCTGAAGACATGTCATTTTACCCAAGACCTGAAAGATGAGGATGGTCAAGCCCTATCACAAAACAAGTGAAGATGTCCAGGCAAGGTAAAAAGCAAGTCTTATCAACAGATGCTGGGGTTTATACTGTAACTTTCAGAGCTTTGAGGGAAACTTTCTGGCACTTCATAAGTGGAAAACAACTAAATCCCTTCCTCTTTCACACCCACCATCAACATCACCACCATCACCACCCCCACTTCACCCCCAATATCAACAATATCAATAAAGTATCAAATTTTAATTTGTACCAAAGAGAATTTACTGCCTAGAGGCTTCCCCACACGGGTGTAGCAGGAGGTTTAAAGCTACCTGTTGTGCTCCACAGTTTCTAAAACACAGGATGTAAATATTCTCTAGAAGAGTTTGGTCTAAATAAGTTCTATTTAGATTAATGTTTAAGTTATTAATATTTGTTAAAGTTTAGGTTAGTCTTATTTAGGTTAATGTTTAAGTTGACTTAAAAGTAAACTTTCAAATATAATTTTAAAATAAGTATATAAAGTACGTGTAATATATAGTCAAAAATTTTTGTGTAGATAGAACAAAGAAATGTTTAAGATTGTATTAGATGTTTTAAATAAAATGGTCTGCAAGATGAGGAATATGAAGAGTGCTGAAATGAAGAAAAATAGCTAGGAGCTTTCATCATGGATAACATTTTGTCATCTTCCTGCTGTGTGACAGAGTGTTTCATTTTCATTAGCATTTTAATAGGGGAAACAATTTGTTTGTTCATAGGCTTTCAAAGTCTTGTATTTGGAGACTTTTTTTGGAGAAATGAATGATGAGATATTTTAAATACTATTATATATGAATAAATTATGAACATTTAAAAACAAAGATGAAAAACTTGGAATTTGAAATTGATGTCTTTATGATCACCTAAAGAAAAATTTATGCCAGCAATAAGATACTTCTTTAGGATTTCAGAACAGTCTTTCCCTTTGGGATTTTTTTCTTCTTATTTTACTTCTCAAGAAAACATGCCTCTAAAATACCTCTAACTTTGCATTTAAACAATGATCGAAGCTTCTTATCTTGTCTGCATGCTTTTCGGTCAAAAATTGAACCTGATTTGTAATCTAACACATTATAAAAACCTCTGATTTATTAAATATGTATGAATAGCACAAATTTCTAAAATACTGAATATATTCTAGGATGTTAATTGCCAACAATTTTAAAATTATATTAAAATGCAAAACAGCTTTTAGTAGAAACTTTTGGTGCTCTAAATATTTACTGAAGACATTTGCCATTGAATCATTAAAAAAAAGCATCTCATTGGTTTCTAGGTGAGTAGACTATATGATTGTTTAGAATTACAAAATATAAGTTCTTGAAAATGTTAAACAGAGGCTAGAAATACCTGAAAATTAAAACTTTGGGGAAAAAATATTAACATTTTTGTTAAAACACAGAAGCTTTAAATATTATTTAAAGAATTTTTATTTTATATTTAAAAATCGTTTCCTGTTTAGTGGACTACTTATCATATTTTATAACATTTTACTCACGTAAATTAAATTACTGGTGTGTTTTAGTAGAAATGACTTAGAATTTAAAGTCTGTATGTTTGGTTTATTCCAGCTGAATTAATTTCAGCTGAATTAATTTGTCTAACTGATGCAGATCTTGACATTCTTATGTAAAAATGAGGATGATGCATCAGAGGACTGCGATGCTCCCTTTGAGTTTGAAGGCCTAGGAATCTGAAACTGATGATGGTAAACAAAACTTCTGGAAAGTTGGTTGGATATGATTGGATAACATTTTGTCATCTTTCTGCTGTGTGACAGTGTTTCATTTTCATTAGCATCTTTAATAGGGGAAACAATTTGTTTATAAATATAAATGTTATTAAGTGATACTTTCAGAATAATGCTATAAGCAGTGAGAAATTTGCTAAAGCACTTTCAAATTAGGAAAAGAAGCAAAAGTAAGCTTCAACAGAAATAAAATCTACTATATCTAACTAAAACGAAACAAAAGCGAACAAAATGATCCAAAGCAGATGACAGAAAACTTCCGGAAAACATTATTGGGTATAGGAACATAGAAATAAATAAAGAACAGGTTATTTATAAATTGTAGCAAAATATTAGAAGGCAAAGGTACTGTAATTTTAGGTCACAGAGATAGTACTTAATGAATTTCAGGCCAAATTTTATAACCAATAACCTCTGTGATTCAGAGTCTTAAGTAGGTAAATTTAAGTTACATAAATAGATAATAAATAATTCTATATTTTGAGGGTTATTAATTGCAAAATTTTCAATTACCCTCATGATTTCCCCCAAACATATGGTTATAGCAGCTAACCATCACTGAGAGTTTGAAGAGATACTATGTGCCAGGAATTACATAACCATATTAGTCACTGATTCAATTCTGCAGAAACGAATGCCTGCATATGAGGTTTTTTTACTGTTGTAACTGTCATTTTTTTCAGATGAAGAAACAAGTCATGCAGGAAGTGGTGGAGACAGCATTTAGATTTAGGTTTATTTCACAGCCCTTACTGTTAAGCATTTTGTCTATAATTCCTTGTTTGTTATATTTGTGTTTTGTGATTATCTTGTATTAATGAATAGAACCAGAGTTTGTCAAGTTTGACCAAGTTTTGCAAAGCAAGATTTCATGAGTGTGTATCTGGAGTGGACTGCTCAGAAAAACCATGTTTCCCTTTGGTTTTCTATTTAGGCTCCAGAACCCACTGAAGGAACACATTTTTTCTAATGAGTAGGTCCAAAGGCTTGCTCTCTGTGCTTGTATTCTCCCTATCTGAATGTGATGGAAAAATATAGTTAACTTTTTAGTTGTTAACTCTGGGATACAGAATATTGTCTCACCCAGTGTGTTAATATTCCCAGAAGTTGTGGCATCACTGAAAAAGCACTTCTGTTAAAATGTGTTGATCTTCTTACATGTCACTCAGTATTATACTTAATTAACTCTCAAATTCACTTAGAGGCACTTGGCCAATTCAATCCAACTTTTCAGTTTATTTTTCAGTATGAAGTAATTTCAACTCATAACAATAGGTATTGAAATGAATATTTTTAGCCCTATATAATATTAAATGTGTTACTTTTACTTGTTTCAATTTTCATGAATCATAACTATGATGATTGTCACTTATTGTATAGCACAAACCAATAAGCATCATCCTTCTCTTTTGCAATGTTTGATTTTAGTCACAGATCAATTTCAGAATGTTAGGTGCAGAGGCTCATTAGAGCTCATTTGGTTCAAATTATCATTTTCAAAGATACCAGATCATGTAAATTACTCAGGTGATAATTATTTTTATTGTAATTATAATAGTAACAACATGATTATAATAGTAACAACATGTTTATCAGAAAGCTAATATTTGTTTGATTATTTGACTTACAAAGCACTTTTATATGCATTATTTCATTGAGTTTCCTATAAATTTTGTGAGTAGCAGAAGAGATGTGATTATTATTAATGTGTACCAGTGGGAAAAGACAAGTTTACTAATGTTAAGGGATTTTTCTCAGGCTCATATAAGCTATAAATAAAATAAAGTAGTTCAAATCAGAATTTCTGCTCCTTTCACCTTATAGTAACACCTTGTTTTTATTTTTTGAATGATTATCAAATATTTCAGTATTCCAAAATGAATAAAGAACCTAGAGTGAACATCATACATTCAGGATCCTCCTCAAGAAAGAAAATATGACTGAAACCATTGATGGCCTCAACATATTCTTCTACAATTGATTTGTTCATTATCTTTTAATGGACATTTTGCTCTGAGTGAGAAAGAGAGAGAGGCCGGGAGGGGGGAAGGGCACAGAATTGTATAGGGTATGCACATTTACAATTTTATTTGATTCACCAACTTGCTCTCAAACAGGGTTGAACCAATTGTTGCTCTCAAGCATGCATAAGATATTCTGTTACTCTTTGCAATCAGCCACATTTACAGTAGTGTATAGTAGTGCATGTGCCGGTGTAGTGTGTGTGTGAGCGCATGGGAGCGAGCGAGCGAGCGAGAGAGACAGAGAGAGAGAGGGAGGGGGGAGAAGTAGAGAGAGAGAGTTTTAATTTGGCCATTTTTATGGAGAGAGAGAGAGAGGGAGGGAGGGAGAGGGGAGAAGTAGAGAGAGAATTTTAATTGGGCCAAGTTTATGGAGGTATGAAATGATTATTTTTTTCTTATGGTTTTTAGTTACATGTCTCTTATTACTGCTGAAGTTAGCACACTTTCAGATAAACATGCAGAAACACACCCACCATTTGGATGTCTTCCCTAGGAATTGCCTGTACATAAACCTTGACCTCTCTGCTTGGATAGCTGACTTTTTATCTTGTTGATTCATAGGAGTTATTTACATACTTTGGATAAGAATTCTTGCAGATTATGTTATTTTTCCCAGAGCTTGGTTTTTTATTTTCACATACATACTGCCTGTTTTAATGAGAAGAAATTTTAAAAGTATCTACTTTTTATCCTTATCTTTCCTGTTTTAGCTATTTATATCTTGTTTAATAAACATTTCTTTTCCCTGAGGCAACAGAGACATTCAGACACATTTAAAAATTTTTACATTTTCAGTATTCACTTTTAGGTCCAACGTACCTTGAATTCATTTGTGTGTGTGTGTGTGTGTGTGTGTGTGTGTATCCTGTAGGTATGGATCTAACTTAATTTATCACAGGAATAACTGTCCCAGCTCCATTTAATGGCTACTGTGCCCTTTTCTACTGACCTGGTGCCTCTGTCACATGTTGAGTTTCCAACTGATTCAGCACTCTGTATTTCAGCTCTTCACTGTGTGGCCTTAGATTTGTCGCCTGTGGATTACTATTTAAATGTTCATTGTTTTACCTTTAAATAAAATTTCTTTTAGAACAGGGTAATTCCTTCTCTTTTTTGGCTCCTCCTTGCTCCTTCCACTTTCCTTCCCTCCTCCTCACACTTCTCTTTGTCTTATGAAATTATCTTGCCAATTTTTTGAACGTTTGCCCATCCAGTCAAGTAACAAAGACTTAGATACATTCATGGAGAAGTGACCTTGTTGAAAATTGAGAAATGGCTGCTTTCTCAATTTCTGCAAGTCTTTAAAAGTGTCTTTCAAGAATTATATATCATTTTTACCCTACAACTAATAAAGAAATGACAATTTTATTATTATTATGGATCCAGTATATCCTTAATAATTATTTTTAGTATAAAATCTGTTTTATTACATCAATATAGTTTGAATATTTTCTTTCAGTTACTATTCACTTGAGGTCTTCCTTATAAATAACATTTATTAATATATAGAGTCTTTTTTTTTTTTTGAGACAGTCTTGCCCTGTCACCCAGGCTGAAGTGCAATGGCACAATCTCAGCTCACTGCAACCTCCACCTCCTGGGCTCAAGTGATTCTCCTGCCTCAGCCTCCCAAGTAAGCTGGGATTACAGGCACACACCACCATGCCCAGCTAAATTTTTTTGTATTTTTAGTAGAGACAGGGTTTCATCATGTTGGTCAGGCTGGTCTCGATCTCCTGACCTCAAATGATCCCGCCCACTTCAGCCTCCCAAAGTGCTGAGATTACAGGTGTAAGCCACCGCGCCTGGCCTAGAGTCATTTTTTAATCCAACTAAATTATATTTGTTTGTATAACCAGTGAGCTTATCTTATTTTATTTCAATCAAAAATATATTTGTTTTTGTCTCTACATATTTTGTTCTTCCTACTTATTTGTCTTTTGGCCTGACTTAATTGTTCCTCTTTTCCTGTTTTCTTTGCAAGTAAAACATGTTTTTTCTCCTTTTCTTAATTACTTTGAGCTGGTATAAGAACATACCATAAACTGGGCAACTTGTGAGAAACAGAGCTTATTTCTTCCAGTTCTGGAGGCTAGGAAGTCCAAGATTAAGATGCTAGCTGACTCTGTATCTGGTGTGGGCCCATTTCCTGGTTCATAGACGGTGCCTTCTCACTATGTCCTCACATGGTGGAAGCGCCAAGGATCTCCCTTGGGCCCCATTTATAAGGGCACTAATCGCATCATGAAGCCTCCACTTTCATGGTCTGATCACCTCCCAAAAGTCCCCACTTCCTAATATTATCATCTTGGGGTTCATATTTTAACATATACATTTAGGGGAGACACAAACATTTAGACTACAGCACCTCTGTGTTCAACTGTTTACTGACATTTTAACATTCTTTCTTAAGGAATCTAAAGTAAATCTAATATTTTTCTAACTTCTTTAAGAACAATCCCCAAGCACATATTGGGGGAATACATTATTTATATAATTTAATTATTCCTTTTTGTACAATGAATCCTTCTATCTAGTAATTAATTTAGATTTATTTATATGTATATCAATTTCTTTGCCCATCATTTCTTCTAGTCTCTCAGTCTTCCTTCTGTGATCATTTAATCATTTGAAGAGTAATAATTTGCTGTTTTACAAAATCCTTATTTATTTGGCTTTGATATTTCTTGATAATTTAATAAGATTATGAATTTATGTCAAGAACACCACAAAAGTGATTCATGCCCTTCACAAGGCAGCATTTCAGGTGGCACATACTATTTGGGTGTCTCATTACTTGCAATGTTAAATTTATCACTTGGTTAAGTAAAAAAGAAGTGTCATGAGGATAAAGAACGATGGTGTACTTGTCCTAGAATAAAGGAGACGAAGGAAATCCCATAACTGAATGAAATGTGTGATCCTGGATTGAATCCTGGACCAGAAAAAGGAACACTATTATTAGGACAATAAATGAAATTTGCATAAGGTCTGTAGATTACTTCATTATATTGTTGTCAGTGTTTAATTTTTGGTGTTGATGCTCATATTGAAGTTGTTTAAATAGAAAGTTAGAAATAAAGATTGTTAAAATTGCCCTCATTTGACCTCCTTTCTTTGATTATCGAAGTGAAATATATACAGATTTGTACATTTTTTAATTTTTATTTTATTATTATTATTATTATTATTATTATTATTATTATTATTATATTATTTCAGACAGAGTCTTGCTCTGTCGCCCAGGCTCGAGTGCAGTGGCGCGATCTCAGCTCACTGCAAGCTCCACCTCCCAGGTTCACGCCATTCTCCCGCCTCAGCCTCCTGAGTAGCTTGGACTACAGGCGCCCTCCACCGCACTCGGCTAATTTTGTTTTTGTATTTTTAGTAGAGACGGGGTTTCATCATGTTAGCCAGGATGGTCCCGATCTGCTGACCTTGTGATCCACCCGCCTCGGCCCCCCAAAGTGCTGGGATTACAGGGGCGAGCCGCCGCACCCGGCCTGTACATATAAATTTTTTAAAAAGTGAACATATGTGTTACTAGAAACATTTGGAGCATTTTTTGACTTTCATTATTGAATTACTGTTGATTTGGGAACTTAATTCCAGGTTGGTATCTACTTTCTCTCAAAACTTTGAAATATCTTTCAATTATTTTCTGTTTGCACTGTGGCCATTGAGACCTTCATAGGCCAACCTAATAGACAATTTGTAAAAGAGCTATTAATACCGTTTTCTTTAAAAAGTCTTCTGTTTTTATTTGGTTTTGGTAGATTTAGTAATGTATACTATAAATAACATTTTTATCCTAATGGAAATGTTTTATGCTTATTGATCTAAATATCCTGGAACATTTTTTCATCTGTTTTGGAAAACAGTAGTATTTCTAGCTATTAATTTATCTTCTCTACTCTCTCTGTCTTATCTTGGTAGAAATCCAATTAGATCTTTTTGACTTTTTATTATACTCACCATTTCTCTTTAACTCTCCTTCATATTTTTCATTTATTGGTGTCTCTGTTTCTTTCAGGCAGGCTTTAGGCCTCAATCTGTCTTCCAGTTTATTTGATATCTTCAGATGTGATCATCTATTTGTTTTTTAAATCTATCCATTTAACTTTTAAAATATAAATAATTACATGTTTCATTTCTGCAATTTTTTGGTCTATCTTTTATTGTTTCATGTTCTGTGCTTGTATTTTCAATGCACTTTTGTTCTTTCAAAATTATACATTCTTTTTTCATATTCCAAGTCTGACCGTTTCAACCTCTTAAGTTAATACTGGTCTAATTGTGCCGTTTATGGTTTTTGTAAATTCGTACTTCTAGACACATAGCTCTTGTTAGTTGGGGAACATAGATTGCTAGTTTATGTTTTGCTGGACTTTGCCACTGGACATCATGTGAAACCGAGTCTGAGGGTTCATCTTTCTAATAGAGATTCCATTAGTTTTTGACAGGCAAACCAGGGTTTTAACAATTTAGGACCCACTTAAGTTAATAGTTGGCTAAAAGTATCCCAAACAATTTAGTTACTTTAAAATGAAATTCCAGCCTTCTCAGAGGACAGGTTCTGTTTACAAATTATTGTGGCAGACATATTTATATTCCTTGGAATCGAAAAAATTTTTATCTCTGACATTTTTCATATGGGAATTTTTTTCTAATTTATGACATTACTAATGATTGGCTCTCCAAGAGTTTCAGCTTTATGCAAGAGCACCAATTCCTATCTTGCCTAATCTATACCCCACACATCCTAATCTCTTCACCACATAGCCATTGTATCTCAAACATTATCTTATTTAATCTTGACGATTTTTAGTTCTCCTTTTTATGGATGAAAAACATGCTCAGAGATAAAATAGAAGGTCATTTGGTCAAGTTTACAAAGGTAAAAATTCACAAAGCTGAGATGCAAATTTTTCTGAAATACTTATCGTAATTAGATATTACATACACACACATAGTTATATATGTATATATACACACATACTTATGTATATATACACTCATTATATATAATGATATAAATAATATATAGCAAGAATTGTCAAACATAAAGTTTAACAATTTAAAACATTAAATTTTAGTGTGAATACACTCAGATGTCTCCCGTCTTCCTCCTATTATTATTTTACTATATCTGTGTTATTATATGTTCTTTCATCTATGTGTTCCTCTATCCATCAATAAGTCTATTTTATCTTTGATGCATTTCATGGTAATTGGTACATGTTAGTACATTTCCCTACATAGGCTTCAGCATGCCTCTTTTGTTTGCTGATGTAAAAGATTTGTGTAAACACAAATCATGAGTATACGTGCCGAGTTTTGATAAATGCATAAAATATGGAATACTTTGTGAATTTGTATGTTATCCCTGGGCACAAGATGATGTGCAAGATAATTTTCTCTGTATCAATTCAATTATAGTACATACCCTGCCAAAGAAAGTATTCACATACATTTAAAAATTCTACTTATCGTATCTTTTTTAAAAAGGATTTGAAGTTGGTTATAGAATACATGAGATACATAAAATACAGTATAATGTCCTTGTGATAAGATTGAATAACTTTAGAAAGGTTTAGAGTGATGATATTAAGTGGAACCAGGGAGAAGACTATCATGCTTATCACACAATTTTTGCACATAAATAATTCTACATGTTACTACTATGAACAGGTTATCAGAGTAATGAAAACCCTGATAATGAGCTGGTGCTAAAGGAGCCAGCCCCCCATCAAAACACAAACAAAACAAAACAAAACAAAAACAAAAACACTTCATTCCCGGCCTCTGTTTAAAAACTATTTGTGAATAAAATATATATAAGTATGCTCATTGTAGCAACCACATATTCGTTCTTCAAAGTAAAAAGTGAAATTTCAAATTGGAGGAACTTATGTATATTTTAGAAAGAGTAGTGGAATTTCCACAAAAAAGAATTTGTGCAACAGTTTTATTTTACAATATCCTTGGAGAATCTTTGGCTACGGTTAGGCTTCCTCCATGTTTTGGTAACCCCAGGGCTGACGTTTGAGGGTCATAATGCATTTTTATTTTTGTTCCAGTTCTCATAGTTGTATTTTCCTTCTCCATCACAAAAATGATTGGATCTCAATCTTGAATACTGTAAAAACTTAGCCTTGGTTTTGGCTATCAGAGATGACTTACAAATTGTAGTCTGTCTTTAGGCTGCATTCTTCAGAGCAAATATTCTCACAAATCATTAATTTTAAATAGAGGACTAAGATATTTATTAAATATCACATTTTCATTTTTTTCAATATAAATCATTGAAGACCCTTAGGATCATAGTTATACCCAGGGAGTTTATCAATAACCTGTAGAGGATTGAATTACATACATTAATAATTAAATACAGGTAAGCCTTTACTTTTCTACTGCAATCACTAGTTACCACAAATGTAGTGGCTTAAAATGACAAAAAAAAAAAAAAAAAGTATTCTCCGGGAGTGGTGGCTCATGCCTGTAATCCCAGCACTTTGGGAGGCCGAGGAGGGCGGATCATGAGGTCAGGAGATCGAGACCACAATGAAACCCCATCTCTACTAAAAAATACAAAAAATTAGCCAGGCGTGGTGGCGGGCGCCTGTAGTCCCAGCTACTAGGGAGGCTGAGGCAGGAGAATGTCAGGAACCCAGGAGGCGGAGCTTACAGTGAGCCAAGATCACGCCACTGCACTCCAGCCTGGGTGACAGAACGAGACTCTGTCTCAAAAAAAAAAAAAAAAAAAAAAAAAATTGACTTACAGATCAGAAACCTAGATAGGCTTTATAGGGTCCTTCACTTAGATTCCCTGAAGAGTAAAATCAGGTTGTCAGCATGGTTGCCTTTCTTACTGTAGGCTCTGGGGAAGAAGTTGCTTCCGTGATCATTCAAGTTGACAGCCAAGTTCAGTTCCCTGTGATTGTAGGACTGAGATCCCTGCTTCCTTGCTGGCTGTTAGGTGGCGACCAGCCTTTACTTCTAGAGGTTGACAACATTTTTTCTCATGTTAGGTAAGGTGACACCTTCTGCAATACAGCCTGATCATTTTCTCACTTTGAATCTCTCTGACTTTCCCTTCATCTTAGTGTTATTATAAAGAAATACTTTAGATATTCCTAAACCAAACTTTGAAAGCTGCTTCTTTATATTAGTGGTTTCTGACTGTACGTTTATACTGTAATTTTATCTCTTATTTCCATATCATATCTATGCAATTCATCCATATTAAGGCACGTTGCTACTTTTTTCACCATGGTATAGTTTTCCATTGCACATACATCACAAAACAGGGATTTATTCTGCTCATAGAAATTTTTTGTGGTTATTTTGTTTTACTTTAGGCATTTACATATTTTTCTACAACAATGCTGGTAATGTGTTCATATATCTCTCCATATTCCTATGTAAGAGTTTCTTCAGGGCACAAGACAGAAAGGGAATTTCTGAATCAAATGGTGTGAACTTACTCCATTTTTGATGACAATATCAAATTATTTTCCACAGTGGTGGTGCCAATTTGCATTCTCATAAGCAGTGTGAGTTCCTATTGACTCACATTCTTGCCAACTTGTATTGCTGAACTTTTATATTTCTACAATTATTAGTGATTGAGTCCTCTGAGTTCTATCTTCAAAAATATTTATAATGTAGCCAAACAATTCTGATCTCTTATGTGGAAGATAAAATAGTAGAGCCTGTCAACTAGTCTCAGTATGTTCACTCTCAACACAATCTGTCTAGTCAATTCCCTGTTAAGTCTTTTCCCTTCAGTAGATACAACAATCAAAGGAGCTTGAATATCAGGTCTTGTTAGAATCCTTCCTAAAATTCTGCAATGACTGTTCAAGGTACTTTGGCTAAATCTAGGGGCATTTTTTTTTCTATAGCCCAAATTATAAACTTCTGCCTTCCTTTTAAAATATTTCTCCTGTTCTCAAAATCCTTCTTTCAGTTTCTGGGAATGGCCAGCTCTCTCCTATCACAGGGCCTTTGCACAGACCCCTGTTCCTAGAACACTTTTCACCTTACCTGCCTTTTGCTCAGATATAAAATATCAGCTTACATTCAATTATTTTTTACCATTTGCTTTAGATATCAACTTACACTTCACCTCTTGTGAAACATTTTCTCTCACTCCATGATTTACACTAGGTTCCATCTCAAAACACATCCTTATTATTTGTTTCTTCATAGGTTTATAACATTTTGGAATTATTTATTGCCGGTTCACTTTTATATTCCTTTCTCTACTAAACTGTAAGCTCCATGAAAAAACTTTGCCCACCACTGTGGTCTCCTTTGCATTCCCAATCGTTAATACAGTGTAGGTGTTTGATCTTCATATATTTTTTGAATAGACAAATTAATACGATATATGCAGTTTTTCATAGCTATATCATTGCTAACAGATTTACTGGTTTCATTTATATATAAATATGCTACATTTAAATATCTAAAGAAACATTTGTCTTTATATAAAGTAAGTAAAATTACTTCAAAATAAATAGGTATGATGGAGATTGCTATATAACTGCTAGAATATATTGAAAGTAAATGTTAGGTGAACTTTTCATAGATGTACCCACCTTGATTTAATTACTGAAATACTAAAAATGAACATCATTTTAAGGCAGCCTACCTAGCATGGATTTCTATGGTTAGTAAAACAATCAGACTCTAGTACGCTTGTAGTTGGATAAAATCTTCATGTGAAAGAGGATTTTAAAATCACATGTCCTCACAGAATACCACTACTTCCACTACTAAAATTATTTTGGAGACCTTAATTGTCCTAAGGGCTCTATATACATATTTTATTTAATCCCTCCACCAATCTCATGAGTTAAACACTGTCATTATCCTTCTTTACACACAAGTAAGGCAAGCCTTAGGAGACATAATAATCTACTTAAAAGTATATGGCCAGAAATGATAGAGTTGGGACTTAAACTTGGAGTTTTCTTTTTTTTTTCCTTTTGAGATGGAGTTTCACTCTGTCGCCCAGGCTGGAGTGCAGTGGTACAATCTTGGCTCACTGCAACCTCCACCCCCTAGGGTCAAGCGATTCTCCTGCCTCAGCCTCCTGAGTAGCTGGGATTACAGGTGAGTGCCACCATGCCCCAATTTTTTGTGGTTTTTGTAGAGATGAGGTTTCACCATATTGGCCAGGCTGGTCTTGAACTCCTGACCTCAGGTGATCCATCCGCCTTGGCCTCCCAAAGTGCTGGGATTACAGGCATGAACCATCACACCTGGCCAAACTTGGAGTTATTACTTCAAAGTCTATGCTTTTAAACACGGTCCTTATCTAAGGCCTTCTTTCATTAGCAGTTGAGCTATGAAAAACATGTTATTATTTAGGATTCACTAAGCAATCAGTGCCTTCACATTGTTTTCTATATATTAGCTTGATTATGGTATTTTTTTATAGTAGGGAATCAGAGACAGAAAGAGGACTAAAAATTGCAGACATATTCAATGTGCAAGATATGGCTTGGAAGGGAGAGGGGGATACATAAAAGCAACACGAATCAGATCTTTAAACTCGGAAAGCTTGTAATTATTTTGGAAAGGAACACATTTTTCTGAATAAATAAATGCATCTGGGAAAAATAATAATTGCTATTCATTGTGATATCCCGAATCATGAAGAGTAATAGGTAATGTGCAATATTGTTTTAAAAAGATTTTCATACTACCCTTTAAAATTAAATCTGTCAGTATTAGAGATAAGCTTGATTATGTAGAAATTAGCTATAACTAAGATGATCTGTAGGGACTAATGGAAAAAAAGCAATAAGAGGTTATTACAGGTAGACGAGAAATAGTCTTATTTTTTATGTTTACAAAACTGCCTTGTCTTCTAGAGGGTAAAGTAGACATAAATTTGATTCTCATTTAAATACTTGCACTGTCAAATATATCAGACCATCACAAGAGAAACACACACTGTCCTCCAAATAAACAATTCTAATCCACTATACAATACCTAATTCCATTTTCCTACTATTGCCCAATCTGAAATCTTCTTCTCTTTTCTGGCCTGTACTAATAATTCAGTCTAGGCAGGGTCACATGTTTGCAACTGTTAGAATCTGTGTCTCCCTCCTGCTGATTGTTGGTCTTTCTCTAATAAACTGTTTATCTTGGCCATATTGGCTCTGAGAGTGTAGGGTTCACATGGAATTTCTTTTTGCTTTAGATCTTTTGCTTTCTGACAAATTTCTGTCTGTTCTTCTATTGTCCTACCTGTGAAAAAGGTGTTTTCTGCCAACTTGTAGCCAGTAGAGCAAATATATACAAATAATGGAGCATTCTATCAAACTGCCAGGCTAGACAATGTCCATCTTGGATGCAGTCCTACTCAAGATGCAAACCATACACATGTGCCTCACCAAGTGAGCCAGCTGGGTGTCTCCCTCCAGCAGGCCAGAAGCAGGGCCAAGTGTGTACCAACCAGCAGTTGCTTTTAGTAATGTGGGGTGGAATTTGAACTGAATTTCTACAGTCCTTCAATATATGCACTGGAATAATTAAAAAGATGTAAATAACAGCTATCAGAATGGTGCCAGACTCTTCACTCCACTGTCCTGCAACTGTCCTCCCCTGTTCATCACCAGAATAGTTTCCTGTGGGTCTCTGTTTTCCCAAGCAGGACTTTCAGATTTGGAAGAAAGAATGCATTCAGACTGACTTGCTTAGATACATTTGCTCCAGAGTTCACAGGGACTAATGGATGTGTATACCAGCTGAAGAAGATCACAATTAGAGTGCAGTTTTTTTAAGCTGAAAAGACTAGATTTATTTATAAAATGAAGTGAAAGTCATTATTAGGAAAGTCATCATTGGAAAGTCATTGTCAGGACATTCTATTTTAAAGTCTAAAAACAAAGAAGAAGGGAGGAAGAAAAAAGGAAGGATGAAAGGAAGGAAGAAAGAAAGATGAAAAGAGAAAGCAAGCAAGAAAATAACAAAGAAACAAACAAAGAAAGATGTTTCTTGGCATTTTTCTGGTTCTCCATTAAATAATAGTTTAGATAGTTGCCAGACTATAACTGTCTTCTAATAAGAAATTATGTGTCTGGACTTAACCACATTTGCTGTCTATGCCAGGTCAAGTAAATTAAAAAATTGTTGAGATTGTAAAAAGGGAGTCAAAACAATCAGAAACTCATGTGGTAGAGACATCACACCATTTGGAGAGACAGATATGACTAAATTTGCTTAGTACTTAATCTAATCTTGGAGAAATTACCAAATCTTTCTGACCTTCATTTTGTTATCCTTAAAATAAAGGTGAAAATGAACCTAGTTCATAAGGCTCATAAAAAATCAATAAGATAGTGTTTTAGTTTGTTCTCATGCTGCTAATAAAGACATACCAGAGACTGGGTAATTTATAAAGGAAAGAGGTTTAATGGACTCACAGTTCCACATGACTGGGAAGGCCTCACAATCATGGTGGAAGGCAAAGGAAGAGCAAAGGCACATCTTACATGGCGGCAGGCAAGAGGGCATGTGCAGGGGAACTCCCATTTATAAAACCATCAGATCTCATGAGACTTATTCACTATCACAAGAACAGCATGGGAAAAACCCGCCCCCATGATTCAATTACCTCCCACCAGGTCCCTCCTAAGACATATGGGGATTATCAAGGTAGATTTGAGTAGGGACACAGAGCCAAACCATATCAGATAGCATGCATATGTACATAGAAAATGTCAAATTGTTCACGATCAGAAAATGTTTGTTCTCTCCCCTATTCTTTTCCCTTTCCTCTGTAGCTGTGTGCACATATGTATTTTGATTATGAATGAACTCCATTTATTCTTTCACCTTCCAGCTGAGCTCTTATCCCTTCCCTGATTTTCTCTTTCACTTAAAAATGGACTAAGGAATTCCACTCTGTTTATATTTTATAGCATATATTTAAACATTTCTTTCACATTATTGTTGGCTAAGTTTTATAGTTCTTCAATGCTGATTGCTACAGTGTCTTTCAAATCCAGGAAAAATATGCAACTTTGATAGTCCCAATGTGCCTGCAGATTTGTAGGTGGAAGGACCGATTGCTTTATGATTAAGAGTCTGCAATAATTTGTTTAAAAACTTTAACTTGCAGGCTGTTAATGATTGGACTAAGTGACTGAGGAAAGATCAACTTTAATTGTATGACTTAACTCTACTAAGAGTTTCATAAACACATTTTAACAGTTTTGTTAGAATAGTTATCATAACATAAATGTATATATTTTTTTAAAATGTGTAATATTGGGAGTGGAATTTATATGAAAACCAACTAAAACATATTTACCCTGTGATGTAGCCCCTTAGCACTTTCATAAAAAGTAGTATGAATGTTCACTTTATTTCAAAAGGATATTATTAGATCACATATAAAAGTTAAATATACCTAAAAGATAGCAATAATCTAATTATGTAATCAGTTTTAGTTTGGGAATTATTTTTGAGTAATGATGTAATTCTAAGACTGAAGAAAGTTAAGGGATCATATATATATATATATTTTAAGAGGGAAAAAGGCCAGTTGTATAAAACATCAGAATCAACAGGCTGAAAATAATTTCAGAGAATGCATTGCAGTTTACTGTTTTCTGGTTGATGTAACGAATGGGAATATGCTTTATAGGGCCATGTCTGACTAAGACTACTCTGTCTTCATAATTAATTTTATATTTTCACTACCTCTTATAAAGTAAAGAAATTAAATTTCTGTAAGTTTAATACATAATAATAATTATTCAACTTTATATGCTTTAACATCTTTGGAAATTTCATTGTATTTCAACATATTTGTGAGGTGACAGGGGAGTCTCAATTTTATTCTCATTTTATTTTCCATTTCTTTGTAATTAAAAATCTCATGTGACATAACTACACCTCACTATAGGACATATCCAATCCTGACAATTTTTATTTGTTTGAATCAATCTTTACAAGAAATAATAACAATCTGACAGAATTCTGTAAAAGACGGCCAATCAGCAATCAACTTTATAAGGTACTACAATATCCTGTAAATACAAGTTAAACCAATTTTGAAATAAGACTGTCAGTGCTTCTATTCTTGTTTGATTTGTTTGGCCTGGGTGCAAACATCTTCTATATAAGGTATTTTATATATCTTAATTGATGTGGCAGTAAAAAATATTTTAGGAATTTCCTTGTCTGCCAATAAGATTCTGTGATGTATTATTTACAAACATATGTTCTTGCTGTGAGAGTTACTATTAAAAAGAAATATGTGAATTTTTCGTGAACTCCAATTATAGGAGAAATTGCTTTATATGCCTGTCTGGAATATAGTTTACCTTCTCTCTGTACCAAAATTATAATAGGCTTAACAATGCCTATGAAGAATCGGGGCTAAGATGTTATCAGTACTTAGATTTCTTAAGTGAATGACCTTTGAGCTATATGGCATTTCAATGTTTTATCAACATAGACAAACACAGAAAGAATCCAAAAAAAACCTACTGTAAGAGAAGCTGAAATACTCAATAAACCTTTGCATATTTCCTTCGAAATGAAAACAAAACAAAAATAGCATACTTCTTCTACTTTAAATAGTCTATTGCTATCTTCAGATATTTTAGTTTTACTTATGCTGCCTCTCAGTATACTAAGAGCAGTGGAAAGTAGCATAGCTAATCATGATGATTTTTTTCAGTATGCATTTCTCATGTGGTCATTTATTAATTTAAATCAAATTGGAAAAGACAGGTTATTTTTTGAACTTACAAACTAAAATCTTGAGTAGTGGGATATGATTCCTGCTTATGTGATTCCACTGACTTTTTATTTCCTCCTTTATTCTACCCATGCTTCCTCCTGCCTTTTCTCCCTTTCTTATTTCTTTGTACTCTGCTTCTTTATTTTTCTTCATCTCCCTTTCTCTTTCATTCATCCAGTCTTTTAAAATATATAAAATGTCAGCAAATATGGTATTATTAAACATATTCTTCCACAGAATCAGAGGCCATTTTTGGCTTACAGTCGAAATGATCAAATATACACCTCTGACAACAGCCAAAAATATTCATGTGTTACTTAAATTTATCTGAAATTTATTTCTACAGAATGATTTTAGAAAAATATCCCCTTCTTTAAAGAATCTAAAACAGAGCCTGTTCTATTTGATCCATAATGCCCTATGTGTCCTATTCAAACCCTTGTATTTTGACTTTCTCTTCTAGTCTCAGTGGTTAATTACCATTCCATCCCAAGAGGAAAATAATTTTCTTATGATCCAGTTTTAATAACATATTTTACTCCATGGAATGCCAACATTTATGCTTGAGATATTTTTGTAACAAAAGAAAATAGCTAAAGGTGTTGTCATCACTTGAACCTAATGGAATTTGCGTTTTTTTTTTTTTTGACATGACTCTAAGAATTCAGTCAGTGTGACAAATCCCATATCCTCCATTGTCTATGCTATGTTTCAAAAAAAGGTAAGGTGTTCTCAAATCTGGTAAACTAATTTATTACTTTGAAAAAACAAAACAAACCTCTTAACAACTAGAAAGTATGTGTAAGCGTGTATGTATGTATGTGTGTTTTATCAGAATGAAATTATTTTCCTGTTACCAATGATCCATACAAGTTTTAGTTTAAACTAACTTTTCCTGATTATTTTTGAATGAATCACTGAAATACTTATGTAGGTAAATTGAAATTCCTTAATCTTTGATCTTCTTAAGCTTAATTGCAATCTTCATGGCAAATTTGCGTATTCTTGGTAAATGCATTTATTTCATTTATGATTTAAATTTGTGCTTATTAAAATAACAGCTAACCATGGTTTTTGGTTTGCAGAAAGGTCTTTTTGTAATTCTATTTACTTCTCCAAATTTATGATGAACACATTATTATTATTATTGTCATTTTAAATTTAAAGAATCTAAATTTCAGGTAAGTTGATTTTCCATTGCCATGTAAAATATTCATTAGAGAAAAAAGCCTGGAACCCGTATGTCACAATTCCTCATTTAGTATTTCTTTGATATTTATCTTATAAAGATACAGCAAGGATCTCTACTTTGCTTTGTCTTTTCTTGTGTTTCTTCAATCTATTCTCCATCCTGATCCTTTCACAGTGCAAATCAGATTATGTAACTCTGCTGTTTAAAGCCTGTCTTTGGGTTCCCATTGCTCTCAAAATGAAGACCAAAGTCATGAACGAGGTTCATAAGTTCCTGCAGTATTTTTTTTATCTTTTTTCAACACCAACATACTTTCATTTGCCCTGGCGTCCTTTGCACTCTGGTCACGTGGCTTTTATTCAATATTTGGACTTCCACCAAAGGGATTTCCACCATTTTGATCATACATTCTGAAATGCTATCTCCACTCACTCTCAGATTCCCAACACTGTCTTTCTAACTTTTTCATTTTGATCTCCAGTGAATACCACTTCCCTCCATCCCTGAAGTTTCTTTTATACCCCTGGAATCTTTTTATACAGAGTATGTGGCTTCCTGCACTTATGTAAACCACTACTTGGAATGGCATAATCTAATTGCCTACTCATATCTGATCATTTTGAGTTAAGGTCCACTTCCTTGTTTCTTTTTCCTGCTACTAGTCTTTATCTTGATGAAATATGATTGGATGCAGGCTACAGAGAATTCTTCAGACAAGTGCCCTTGCAGAGTGCAGTGAAGCACTCTGGCTTTGTGGGAGAAAAAGCTATACCATTTCTTTATTTTGCTCTTTCCTTTCATTAAGTCTACATATTCTCCCTAGTAACATGCAGGTCAAATACTTTTTTTTTTAGTACAAGAAAACTTGATAAATATTGTATCTTTAATAAATACTGTAATGTTGACATCTAATGAAAAATTTGCTGCTCTATAAAAACTACTTTGATTGACTATTTCAAGTGGCTACTGATGTATGAGATGAATTGATACATGATTTTGTGCTTCACAATACAATTCTGTTTTTTAATGAATCTCAGCAGTTTTCTATATTCACCAGACATTGTGTTAGAGTTTCCAAGCGAGTTTCCAAATCCTGTTGACTTTAACAATAAATCTTGCTAATAACTATTTTCTGGAAAGAATATTTTCTTTACCATAAAAAAGTATGTATCTGCTTTTCTCAGCTTGGCAGACTCTGTATACATTGTTCTCCACTGCGTGGTGACTACAGTGACTACAACCTCAAATGTAGCCAAGGGCAAATGATCACTGGCCAACTTGATCAGCCAAAAGATAACTTTATTTACTAAATTGCATATTTCAAGGGAGTAAAAAGGGATAAACTTTTTGAACAGATTTTCAATTATTAATTTGTTGGATGCATGAATATTTAGTAAGGGTTATAAGTAATGAGGATATAAGTTGCCAGGCACAGTATAAGTGATATATTAAAAATTGTTGAATGAAATACACAGGACGATATGGAAGAATCTCACCAACATAACACTGAGTTGAAAGAAGCTAGATGCAAAGGAAGGATATTATATGATTCACATAAAGTACAAAAACAGGCAAAACTAATTTATTCTGAGAGAATGCAGGATAGCAATTAACCACTGGAGAGAAGCAATGCTTAATGGGAAACATAAGAGGGTGGATGTGGCCTTTGTGGGCCTAGTCATGCTCTGCTTCTGGTGTACATGCTGATTACAAAGTAATGCTCAGTTTATGAAAATTCAAGCAGCTGAAAATTTACAAAGTAGATGCATATTATAATTGAATAAATGAAGATATAGTATTTTCTATAACCTTAATATAAATAAAGAAATATATGTTAGGTTTATTGTAAAAGGAATCAAATATGTCTTTTCCTCACAGTTGCAAAATGCATTGAAATTTTACATATTGATAATCTTCTTCATATAGACATATATCATCAATTGACTATATTGTTGTTTCACACATTGTTTAGTAGTTTAAAGTTTTGGTTTTGTTTTGGTTTTTCAGAGACAGGGTCTCACCCTGTTACCAAGGCTAATGTGTATGGCCTAGTCTTAGCTTACTGCAGCCTTGAACTCCTTGGACTTAAGTGATCCTCCTGCCTCCACCCGTTGAGTAGCTGAGATACAGGTGTGTCACTATGTTCAGCTAATTAGAAAAACAACAACACCAAAAAACTGTAGAGACAGGTTCTGACTATGTTGTTCAGGTTGGTCTCAAACCCCTAGCTTCAAGCAATTCTCCTGTCTCAGCCTCCCGAAGTGCTGGGATTATAGGTGTGGGTCACCATGCCTAGCCTTGACAAATTGTTGTTGATTTAGTGGTGTATTAGTCTGTGCTCATGCTGCTAATGAAGACATACCTAAGGGAGTGGGTAATTTATAAAGAAAAGAGGTTCAATGGACTCACAGTTCCACATGGCTGGGGAGGCCTCACAATCACGGTGGAAGTCGAAGGAAGAGCAAACGCAAGTCTTACACAGCGGCAGGCAAGAGGCAAGAACTTCCCTTTATAAAAGCATTGTATCTTGTGAAACTTATTCACTATAATGAGAACAGCACAGGAAAAAACCCACCTCCATGATTCAATTACTTCCAACTGGATTTCTCCCACAGCATGTGGGGATTATGACAATTCAAGGTGAGATTTGAGTGGGGACACAGCCAAACCATATCAAGTGGTACCATAGTTTTTGCAGGAGAAGAGCAAGCAAATTCAAATACAGTTCTATTTTTCATTCTTCTCCAAATAAGAACATGTTTACTAATAGTTCTGGCCTTTTGGTTCCTTGATGTCAATAAATTGAAGATAGGATAATCCGACATCAGTTCCTTGAGATATTGTGTGCTCATTTTTGGGACAAGAATTATATAGATATAAGACACTTACTTTCTTTTAATAGCACACCATCTCCCAGCATACCATTCTTCTCTTTTTATTCATCTCTTAACAAGAATGTAACTACTCATATAGCATGAAAATGACATAGAGGACAAAAATTATTAAAGCTCCACTTGTTTAGCTCAAGTAAAGGGTGTTAATCACAATAATGCACAGAGAAATAAGGATACAGCCAACTCCATTAAAATAACTATACAATCAGATATATCTAGGAGACTGAGATATAATTTCAGAGCAGAAAAATAGTTGATAATCAGAGGGAGGTTATAATGGATATTGTGGTGACTTCCCAGAGCCACATTTAGAATGGAGGCACCCACTGTTATAGCCACTGGCATTGGTGCTCTTGGAATTGCCCTCAGCTGAAAAGAACTGCTTTGCCTAAAGTCAGGCCTCCTCTCTGGTGTGAAGACCTTGTCTAATGACAGATTAAAATAATGTGTGAAGGTCTGTCTCCTTTGGCTTAGTGAGTGTCAACTCTGCAGGGCTGGCTCATCTCCAGATCTCCTCTTGAGGTTGTTGTGAATGTATCACTGTTCATCATTGCCTCCTGCCCAATCCTATTTTTTTCACCCTCCACAGTCATTGTTCTTGCAACCACCCCCCAATAAAATCCCTGTGTACAAACATCTGTCTCAGGGTGTGTATTATTCTGTTCTCACACCACTAATAAAGACATACCTGAGACTCTTCCTTTTATAGAGGAAAGAGGTATAATTGACTCAAAGTTCAGCATGGCTGGGGAGGCCTCAGGAAACTTACAATCATGGAGGAAGGCAAAGGGGAAGCAAGGTGGTACCTTCTTCATAAGGCGGCAGAAAGGAGAAGTGCAAGCGGGGGAAATGCCCTCTCTTATAAAACTATCAGATCTTGTGAGACTCACTTATTATAATGAAAACAGCATGTGGGAAACGGCCGTCATGATTCAATTACCTTCACCTGGTCCCGACCTTGACACATGGGGATAATGGAGATTATAATTTAAGGTGAGATCTGGGGGAGAACACAGATCCAAACCATATCAGAAGGCATTTCTTAGAGAAAAAAAAAAAAGACAATTAATATCAAGAGTGGTCTGAGAAAAACATTTTTAAGATAGGATTTTGGAACTGAGTTGCATTCCTGCCAGTTCTCCCCAAAAACCTCATCACAGGTAGCATGTAGGACATGAGCAAATCCTTCAAGCTATAATGTTTCATAGTCATGGCATGGGTAAAATGTGCCATGACTATGAAAATGGATAGGATATTGGTGGAAGAGAATGCACTGGCAGGTCTAATAGGCTAGGCTTTTGAGAAATGCAGGTAAAGAGTTAAATATAAGGACTATAGTATTTTATAGCTATTGCTGGAGAAAATGTATGCAAAAGAGGAAGACAATGGAAAGATGAAGATAATCCACAATTAAAGACTAAATGTGAAAGCTACAGGCTTCATGAGCAAGATACAAAGTAGAGATTAGATTGGCTGGTTGGTTACCCATCTGGAATGAGAAATATTGGAAGATAAGGGACAAGGAAATCTAAGTATGTCTCATATAGAAATAGGCTTCTGGGAGAGAGAAAAAATTATTAAATCCTTTTTGCATGTCAATGCCTATCGGGAGCACCTTTTCTGAAGTCCCACACCTTCTCTTGCTCTCACTTCCTTTCTGTTTGAAGAACTTCCTTTAGCCATCATTTAACAGTTGGCTTGCTAGCGAAATATTTTAATTTTATTACATTTGAAAATGTCTGTATTTCCTCGTTACTCCTGGAAGATATTTTTGCTGAATATAGAGTTTATGGTTGACAGTTTATTTCTTTCAGTACTTGAAAAATGCTGCATCACTTCCTTCTAGCTTCCATTGTGGAAAAGAAAGTCACCGTTATTCAAATTGGTGTTCCCCTGTAACACTCATTTGTCTCTGGTTGGTTTCAAAATATTTGTCTTTGTCATTAGTTGACAAAAATTTATTTATTTAGGTGTCTTGGCATGGATTTCTTTGGGTTTATCATACTTAGGGTTTCATCTATGATATGGTTTGGCTGTATTTCCACCCAAATCTCACATTGAATTGTAATAGTCCTCATGTGTCAAGGGTGGGGCCAGGGGCCAGGTGGAGATAAATGAATTATGGGGGCAGTTTCCCCCATACTATTCTCATGGTAGTGAATAAGTCTCATGAGATCTGATGGTTTTATAAATGGGAGTTCCCCTGCCCAAGCTCTTGCCTGATGCTGTGTAAGACATGACTTTGCTCCTCATTCTCCTTCTGCTATGATTATGAGGCCTCCCCAGCCATGTGGAACTGTGAGTCAATTACACGTCTTTTCTTTATAAATTACCCAGTCTCGGGTATGTCTTTAGTAGCAGTGTGAGAACAGACTAATAAACAATCAGCTTCTGCGATCTCAAATTTCTGTCTTTAACCAATTCAAGAGTTTTCAGCCATTATTTTCAAATAATATTTGTGTTACCCTCTTTATTCTTCTGAAACTTTGCAGCTAGAAATCTCAGCTCTTCTGTTGCTGTTCCTCAGGTTTCTGACATTCTGTTCATTTTTTCTGTAGAGTTTATTTTTATTATTTTAATTTTAATGTAATTATTTTGAGACAGGGTCTTACTTTGTCACCCTCCAACCTCAACCTCCTGAGTAGCTGGGACTATAGGCACATGCCACCATTCCTGGCTTTTTTTTTTTTTTGTAGAGATGGGGTTTTCCATGTTGCTCAGGCTGGTCTCAAACTCAGGAGCTCAAGTGATCTACCCACCTTGGTGTCCCGAAGTGCTGAGATTATAGGCATGAGCTACCGTATGCAGCATTTACAATCCATTTTTAATCCATTGTTCAGACTGAGAAAATTTGATTGACATATTCTAGAGACTCCACTTTAATGACAAAGCAATCCAGTGAGTTCTTTTTCTTCTGGTTGTATTTTTCAGTTCCATAATTTCCAGTTGGTTCTTTTATATAACTTCTATTTCTTTGCTGAAATTTTCTTTATTTTTTATTTTAAGATAACTTATAATTGTTTTTTAAAGGATTTTTATGAAGGCTGCATTAAAGTCCGTTTCCGATCATCTCAACAGTTGATTCTTTTCGGTTTTGGTCTCTATCATTTTTTTCCCATTCAAGTTGTAATATTTTATTTTTCATTTGAATATTACATTATGAGACTCCAGATCCTATTTAATCTTAAAGTATAGTGCAAGAGTGGAGTGAGTTTCTATGTTCTGCTTTATTCTCATCCCCACTGGTACCACCCAAGCGAAGGCAGACAGCTGACTCACACTGCTTCATTGGAGACAGGTGCAGTATAAGCTCAGCTCCTTTCTAAGCCCCACTGACATGAGAAAATGGAGAAGCAGAGGTCTGAATAATACCGCTTTGTGCTTCTGGGTAGGAGTCGTAGGTCAGCTCCTTTCTAGGCCTCACTGGCACCAGGGGAGGAGAAGGAAGGAAGTGGAGTACAAACTAGCCTTGCCTCTGTCCGCCTTGTTCTGTCTCATTGATATTGGGTAGATGAGGAGACTTATTGTTCCCCTGGACCCTACTGATACCAGAGATGTGGGCAGAGTGCTGCCATCTGGAGATGGAGATTCAGGATCTCATTGGGTTCTGACAACACAGAAGGCTGAGTGGGTGTGTGGGAAGAATGATGCCTAGCTGTGAATATCCTGCCTCTGCATTGCCTTGTTGTTGGATTCCACCAACGCTACCTTGGTGGGAGAATTGCAGCATTACCTCTTGTACAAACAAGAGATTGAGATCAGTACCATTTGGTCCCTGTTATACTAACCCAGTAGGTGAATTAGATTGTTGTCATCTACTTCCACTAGAAGAGGTTTGCATAATAAACTCCTTTCTCTGCACTGTTAACAATATCCAGCTGTGAAATAGAAGCTCCATCTGCTTCTGCATGACTGGGAATGGAAGATTAGTTGTTTGCTCAGTGCTGCTGACACCATAGTTTTTCCATTGGGAAAATTGGAGCTCTACTCCCTGCCTCTGCAAGATAGCTTGGTGAGACAGAAGATCAGCTCCTCACTCAGCCTCACCGAAACTGTAGGGTGGGGAGAGGGTATGTTGATGTTTTTTATTGGTGTTTGGCTGGAGTAAGGCAGCAATTGCTGGAATGGTGTTCTGTTGTTTGGCCACCTGGCCACTTTTTCCTAGTACTTTGGCTAATAGGAATTGGTTTTTCTTCCAGGTTTTTTTTTTTTTTTTTTTGGTGTTCTATTGGCAGTTATAAGTGGGCAATTTAAAAAAAAAAAAAACCTGGGAACTCACCACCATGTTCCTCAAGTCTCAAGGTCACTACTCAGCCTACTTTCTTTGTTAACATTTCAGACTTTTTAAATGCTTGTTTGTTGTGTTATATCCAATGGTTTTTAGTTATAAGAGGAAGAACCTTGGTTGTATTAGGGCGATCCCATCTTGACTGTAAACTGGAGTACAACTGGTGATAAAGGAGTGTGAAAGACTGCCCTCTGAAGGGTTTGCTCAGTGCCAGAGATCTTTTGAGATTGCTAAGAATATATCAAATTTAAAGTCCTCCCTCTGTCTAATCCCAAATGTGTGACTCTTCTGAACGAGGTGTTCTGAAGAGCACTCCCTAGAAAACTGCCTGAAAGCAAATCTAAACCTCAGGGTCTGTTTTCCATAGAGCCTGAGGTAAGACATAGACCTATGAGCTTGTTACATCTCAGGAGGAAGAGGTGGTCATGTGATCTTTCCCAGTCTGCAAATATAATGTCCATGTTCTTTCAATCTCAGTGTCTGACATTTCCAAAGGAACTGTCATTATATTCTGCATATCTTTGTGTACTTCCTAATATTTAGTCATTGTTTCTGCTTATGTATCATTTCTATTCCTTTTTAATTTGTATTGGCTTATTTCATGAACTGGTGGGAATTTGGGTATCTGACACTCAAAAACGTTTGTGAAAAATTTGATTGATACAAGTTAATCATTCTCATTTAACAAAAGAACTAGCTTTTGTGTCAATGTACTCCATAGAATTCTGGTCACCCTAGAGTTTGTTAGGTTTGGATTAGATGCTCAGCTCACTCCTAGCCCAATCAACTATGACAAGCGGGGTTTAGAAATATGTTATAACTATTTCCATTTCCCTCAGTAGAATTCTGGGTTTGAAAACTTCCAGAAGGGCTCTGGGTGTGGCACATTTTCTCTCGTTTTACTTTTTTATTTTTGAATTCTATACTGGTCATTCTTTATTTACATTTGTTTTTCTTTTATTCCTGCTTCTCTGTATCTTTGGCCAGAAGCCTGTCTGTGTCTTATATACTTTAACCAAAATCTGGCACTTGGCTTGTTTTACTTTTCTGGGTGGCATCGTTACTTTACCCACACTGTTTCCACATTTTGGTGTATCCACCCAGTGGTTGAAAGGACTACAGGGCACTTTCTAGTAAATTATTCTAAGATACAGCAACTGAAGCACCACCGTATTTCAAAACATAATCAGAGACCTATAAGTCACCATGAAATGAAAGATTCGTTTACAATTATGACTGTAACAGAAATGTTAAATCCTGTAGCTTCTAATGCTTACTAAGTTTCGTTGAGGTTGGGTTTCACACATGGTTCCCATCTTCACAGGGAATATACATAAAACAAAAGAACAAAATACAATGAGTGGAGGAAATAGCCAATGTTTTTGGTTATTGGGCACATAATCCCCCTCAAATTAATCACATTCTTTGTCAGAAAGAGATTTATATTTCCTACCCAAGGAAAGGACAAGAGACCTTTTCCAAACTTGTAGATGTTTGACAGTCTCCTTTCACCATGATATACTCTCTTATTTCGTCTTCTCCCCACCTCTTATTCTTATTTTTTATTTTTATTTTTTTTTGAGTCAGAGTCTCGCTCTGTCACCCAGGCTGGAGTGCAGTGGCACTATCTCAGCTCACTGCAGCCTCAGCCCCCTGAGTTTAAGTGATTCTCATGCCTCAGCCTCTGAGTAGCTGGGACTACAGGTGTGCACCACCACACCCACCTAATTTTTGTATTTTTAGTAGAGAAGGAGTTTTGCCACATTAGCCAGGCTGGTCTTGAACTCTTTACCTCAAGTGATCCACTCGCCTTGGCCTCCCACAGTGCTAGGATTATAGGGATGAGCCACCATGCCTGCACCCCCATATTCTTTGATGTGTCTCCTCTGTCTCTTACTCACAGACCTTTATAATTCAGTGCGTATGTCTGTGTGTGTGTGTTTATTGGATTGGGTTTGATTATTTCCTTGATTTATATATGCAGAATTTCACAATTCCAACTTTAGTGGAATAATTAAATCAGTTTTTTTGTACCAGTAAGTATTTCTATGACCCTATCTCCTTGGTATTTGACACAGCAACCTCAAAGAGCTTGCAAATTCAATAAATATTTAATTTACATGGAAGTGAGTAAGGCCCTTGACATATGTTGCATTAAAAACTATATAGTCTAAAGGTCCCTTCCAATTTTGGGCACCTTTAAGAATGCTCTTTAAGTTCCATAATACCTACCCACCACCTTTGTTGTTGTTGTTTAAAAATATAGCTACCTATAACTTCATAAAATAACAATGTATTTAGAGAGAGGAATATCTCAAAATCAAGCTCTGGTAAACGTTGAATTTAACAGTCCATAACAGTGATGCAAGATACTACCTCACAGTCCATTTTTTAAAACACCAACCTTTGTCTTAGAAACAATTTGGCTTCAAGCACTGGCTTTCATAAATCAAGCAGTGTAGAGAACAAGAAGCTGAACACGCCAAGAGAGTTTTAGCAGCTCAATACATTCTTCATCCAGAAGTTGTAGGAAACTATCATATTTTTAGTAGATTTTTAAATGAGGAAAGCAAGATTTTTCAAATGAATCATACCTAAGTACTTTCCCATGTAACTTTTTAAACTAGGGATTGAAATACAGCCTTATAAAAGTGATCTACATGTAAGCTTGTATCGCTGGTTTGGGGTATGATGGAGTCAAGATAAAAAGATAAGGTTTAAGAATAACATACCTTATAAATTGCATTTTGAAAATTTTCTTTTTGTTTTGAATAAAATTATTAATATATTGTCAACAGCAAAATCAGATCAGATTGAAAACTTTAAGTTTATGGTACATACAAATTGACAGTTGATGAACTGTGAATGCTCAACCTAAAAGTGGTCAAAGGAAGTTCAGACATATGGTATTATAGGCTGGGGTATAAAACAAAAATGAAGAAGTCACTTAATCTCTACAATAATTGGCTATTGCTACTGAGGTTTCAAGATGGCAGGGAGTTAGTGGAAGGTGATCATATTATACCATTTTTAGAAGCCAACGTGTTTCATTTATGACTGTCAGAGGCATTTACAAGAAATCACCTAAGCTACGTTTCACTCAGGTGGCCTAACTGATTTTGTCTGATCAGGGGATTCTCAAGCTTGGTCTCCATTTTATTTTAACACTACCCACATTTTGGTCAGCCTCTCAGAAAGCTGAGCATGTGGCCAAATGGTATAGCATTACTCGGAGGTACCACAGTTGATGTAGTCACTGGAGGGATAGTCAGGAAGTCACTGTCACTGAGGCATGCATGACCATCACAGACATGGGTGGTAAGGGCATTGAGTTCTCTGAACTACATAATCCTGATAGATGCCATTTGATGTGTGAGTGGCTTCCAAAGGGCATTTAACACACTTGAGAAGATAGAACTCTCCAGAGAGATTAATACAATGATTATGAAGAGAGTACTAGTCAAGGACTGAAAAATTCCCTAGAGCAGAGATTCCCAGGAGCCAAGATTTAACTAGTTAAATACATTCATGAAAGAAGCCTCGCCTGGCCGGGTGCAGTGGCTGATGCCTGTAATCACAGCACTTCGGGAGGCCGAGGCAGAAGGATCACAAGGTCAGGAGATCGAGACCATCCTGGCTAACTCGGTGAAACCCTGTCTCTACTAAAAATACAAAAAATTAGCCGGGCGTGGTGGCGGGCGCCTGTAGTCCCAGCTACTCGGGAGGCTGAGGCAGGAGAATGGCGTGAGCCGAGATCTCACCACTGCACTCCAGCCTGGGCAACAGAGCGAGACTCTGTCTCAAAAAAAAAAAAAAAAAAAAAAGAAAGAAAGAAAGAAAAAGGAAAAAAGAAAAAAAAAAGGAAAAAAAAAGAGAGAGAAAGAAAGAAGCCTTGCCTTTTGGGGAAAAGATTTGCATCTGATCTTAAGTTATTTTAAGTTTTGGGTAACAATGCCTAACATATTAACATAGAAACAGCGTTTTCTCCCAGTAAGAGCATAATCTCCTTTTTGAGCAATTAGGGTATTAAGAACTCTCCTATACTGAAGCTAAATTGTTCACTTCAGATTGTATTACTTGAAGATAACTTAAGGCACTATTAGAAACATAAAAAAAAAAAGGTTAATAGTTGGAACAAATTATAAGATTAGTTTTTTTAGTCTGGATGGCAGTTAGTTGCAGTTTCTAGATTTAAACTTAAAGATTCAAATCTAAAAATGATGGAGTGAGAATAGCAGTTGCAATGTGATGGATTTTCCCGGTTTGCAGTTTGAGTGTTTCTGGTTATGACACGGGGTGTTATAGTGGCCTCTCTGAGAAGCCCACACAGTAGCAGGCATGAAAGTTGCCCATATATGATTTGTTATGGTAATTTTTTTGAGGTTTATACCAAGTGGTCCAATTTCAGTTTGCAGAAATTGGAAACAGATCCGTTTTAATTTTTAGTGAAAAAAGAAGAATTTGGGATCTACTCCAGTTTATGGGTAAACAATAAAACCTCAAAGACAATCAACAGGTTAGAATTATGTGAGGTGAAGAGGGTTGTGTACTAGGAAGTGGGCCCTCACCAGATATCAAATCTTCCAGGACTTTATCTTGGACTTCCGGCCTCTAGAACTGTGAGAAAAAAATTTCCAGTGCTTGTAAGCCATTTAGTCTATGATATTTTGGTACAGCAACCTGAATGGACTAAGACAACTTCTAAATGAAAAAAAGCATATATCTATAAAGCACAATGAGTAGATATGGACACTACTAGGAGTAAAGAAACATTTATTGAGTGGAGTGGTAGAAAATAATAGTGCTCAGCCATGTCTGATTGTTTTTTCTTCTATGGAAATATAGAAAATCACACCTCCTAACAGGCCCATAGGATTAGTTATGGCCAAGGAAAAATGAAAGGAAGTGATGTGTCTCACTTCTGGGCTGCAGGAACAGTAATCCCATATACAGTTCTCCTATCTACCACTTCCTCCAAGACACAGAATGTGGAGGCCACTGTTGAGGATACAATGTGAAAAGGATGAAGCTGCCTGGTATACTGAGTCACTGCCTGGTGGATCAAGTCAACCAAACGCATGGTGGACTTTACAGACATGAGAAATACATTGTGCTGTGTTCTGCTGCTGAGATTTTGGGATTGTAGCATATCCTCATCTATCCTCACTAATATGGGAAATGGTTAAATGATAACACACATCTATCTACCATCTATAAACATGAATAACATTTCTGAGGTATCAATTTGCAAACAGCATAAAACAGAAAGAAAAACCTCACACTCTGAAATTTGTCATTGAATTTAATAGCAAGTTAAGTAAGCTGTATCGCCATAATGCTACTTACGTAGACACTGTTGGAAATGGTTTGATTTTGTTGACTGCCTGCCCGTGTGGTAAATCCCTATAAGTTAAAGGCACACACAAAGGTCATATTTGCCTCAGTAACGAATTTTTTAGTAGCAAGCAGTAGCCACTGTCAGGCTACCATAAAGGATGGTTCCACGAAATGGCTGGAAATGATGCTCATGCTCTCATAACGAGTGGCAGGGAAATAAATCTCTCCCTCATTCTGATAGACTTTGCCGTGTTTGGCAAAGCTTTCTAAAGCTGTGATAGAGAGTGGAGTTAGCTTCAGGAATAAGCCAGTCCCGTAAGAATGTTAGAGGAGGCCTTTCCGTGTCCAGCAATAAATTGTCTATCTGATAGGTCAATTGACTCCTGTTGGAGCCCAGATCATCCTGATTGCTGCACCAAGCACCATCATCAGTGGACCATGCTATAGGAAATAACAGTTATTTAAGAAGTGGGGAGATTTCACTTGTGTTCTCCAAAATATTGGGATTTTTGATTCTGCAACAGTAAGATATACAATTTTTTTCCCCATTCTTCTCTGGATATATTTATTTAATTTGTAAAAAAAAAATCTCTCATGGCAAGTCTTCTATAGTTATCACCAAATAATTCTAAATTTCTGGGAAGAAGACTGGTTTGAAAATCCATTGATTGCGGACATTTCTAATGGTTGACCCCTCTTTTTCTCAGCCCCAAGAAGCTATAACTGGATGGGTGAAACATGATGTATATTGCCTTTATTGCATTCTATGAAGAAATGAAAGTCAAGCTGAAGCAATTAATGTTCTTTTAAAAATGGTCTCAAACTCAGTATATAACTGTTATTTAACTGATGATTTGATTAATTAACTGACTTATGGATCATTTTCTATCTTGGTGAGGAAAAAAGTATTCATTGTCTTTTGGTGGCAGCTCTTCACCACCAAAGGTTAACATCTGGAGTGACACATAGAAGATTTCTTCTTAATAAAAAGAAATCCAAGCTATATAACTTACTTTATTATTTCTGCTTCAACACTGCATAAAATACATGTCTTTTGTCTTGCAATGATTACATTCACAACTAGATAAGATAACTTTAAAACAAAGATAGCCAATAATACCCATCATAAAACAAGCACAGAAACAAGACAAGATAAATTCATGTAGGGGTAAATTATTTAGCCTTGTGACCAGCATATGTGTCTGATACTGGCATTAGACAGATATTCATATGCCATTATGTTTTGTAGTAATGTAACCAAGATCTAAAACAGGAAGTAGGAAAACAACCCATATGGTCTGCCTGAAATATGCTTCTTCCGGCCAGGCGCGGTGGCTGACACCTGTAATCCCAGCACTTTTGGAGGCCGAGGTGTGTGGATAATGAGGTCAGGAGTTCGAGACCAGTTTGGCCAATATGGTGAAATCCCATCTCTACTAAATACAACAATTAGCAGGGCATGGTGGCACGTGCCTGTAGTCCCAGCTACTCGGGAGACTAAGGCAGAAGAACCACTTGAACCCGGGAGGAGGAGGTTACAATGAGCCAAGATTGTGCCACTGTACTCTAGCCTGGGCAACAAAGCGAGACTCCATCTCAAGAAAAAATAAAAAAAAAAATAAAAGAAATATGTTTTTTCCAAAAGCCTCACTGCTGATGATTATGGAGAATTCTTAAACAGTGACTGACAACCCAACTGGGACTTCTCACTAACCGTTGCTGGAAAGTTTCATTTCACCCCCAAAAGTAGACTGCAGTAGCTTAGCACTGGATTATACATAAAAGTGCCCAGGCTACTCTTCAGGTGCAAGTAGTTGTGTGCTGACAAATTGGATGTCTGCGAAAAAAAATATCCGGATTTGTAGCCAATTTCCATGGTGTAAATACTCTTACAATGGCCAATTTCCAGCTACCAGCTAACTTTCAAAATTTCAAAATATTTCATAAAACCATAAGAGACAGTTACAAAATACCACTGGCCTGCCCAGGGGTCTTAAGAGAGGTCCCAGGACTCCATCCACAATGTAAGTTGTCCTTCATTCCATATCAGGAAGCCCTCAGTGTGTAAGCACCATCAAAAACCATTACTGCCTCCCTCTACATCTGTCTTTATTTTTCTGACAACTTAGTGTTTCTCTCTGGGGATGTTTAACAACTACCCTATTTAGTATCTGAGTCAGTGAATAGCAGAAATTTTAATTCCTATTTACAAGTAGATACATTGCTTGTTAAATATTTTGTAAACTGTAAAATGGAGAAACACTATTGTTTTTTTTTAATTACTATTTTCTCCTTAATTTCCTCTGTGAGATTACTGATCCCTGTATTGTTCTCTTCTTTCATAAACATCAAGCAAACATCAGACGTTGCTAAAATCCCAACTGCTACATTTCAATTTTACTCCTTTCTACAGACTGTGTTTGAAGAAAGTAATTTGAATTATTTATATCCCTAAGTTTACAGCTATTAAATGGGAATTATAATAGCTATTGTTCACATGAGCTGAAAATTACAAAATCGCTGGATTTATTCATGCTCCATGTCTAAAATGTCTTCGAATCACTGCATTTGTGCTTAATTAAATTCAGTTGTTTTCCAGTTTTTTGCCAAGTACATTAAAGTTGAAGTTAAAATCTGTTTTTATTTTTATTTGATGCCAAGGGAGCAAGATATCAACATATGTCAAATTTAAAGGGAAATATATCTATTAATACATACACACTATCATGCAAGATGTTCCAACTGTGCACATTTCTCAAGAGGAGAGGAGAAAAAATCTACAAAAATGACTTTTGTTGCAAGAAGAATATAAACAAGTTAAAATCCTTTCGTGATAACAAAAGTCTCACAAAAGAGGACTGGACTTTGTCCATGTTTTAGGAATTTGCAGATATAAAGAGTTAGTTATCTTCTACTCCAGCTCTGTAATGTGTAGTGTGAAAATATTTGCTGTCAGAAAAAAACAAAGTGGGAAGGCATAGATTTCACTGACAGAGAGAGATCAAGAATCCTTTCACCTCATATCTTTATATTTCTAACTTTCATCAAATGCTTGCAATATGACAAAAACATTGATTTTTTTACTACTCTCCCCATAACCCCAAACTTTTAAAAAATCCTGCAAGCATCTTGTTCTTTGGCATGAAATTCACTGTTAAGGCATGTTGTAAGGGCCCTGCTTGCCTAGCTGCATAATACTAAGCAGTTTAGTGCAGCATAGCTGATAGGCTACTCCTTTCTATTTTTTTCCACTAAAATGTCAGCAAGTTTTAGGCAAAGAAGCATATGAGGTAATATAACACATACGCCAATAAGGATATTAATTTCTAAAGAATGCATCCAAACAATTGAGAGTGTTACAGGAACACTTTCTCAGTTAACTCCCCAAAGGGTGTAACAAAAACTAAATCTATCTGTAAAAAGTAGTTTATAAAACATGTATTACATTATGTTTGAATAAATGTGGTTTTAGGAGTGTTTTTGGTACACTATACAAATCCAACTCTCCTAATCTCAGTATTTGTCATAAAGGTCCACTCCTCAAAAAAAAAAACAATTCAAACACTCAAAATTGTATCATTTCGGTAGTTCGAGACTTGGAACTTTTGAAGACTTTATGTCAACAGAAAAATAATTCAGCCCGTTCCTTAGCTTTTAGGAACATTACTTTCTCAATGTCGTATTAATTCATACTTCTAAACCCAGGAGATTCAGCGATATTTGTGTGCAGAAAAGGATGAAAAGTCCTTACTCCATTAGATAAAACAATTTGCATCTTAGCTCCATTGTATAGCACATCTTTATCTCACTTTGAGACTTAGAATGATTGGTGAAAATTGCAAGTGTTGTCCAGTAAAACAAAAACAACAAAAAACGCAGGGTGGTGATGGTAAGGGTGGGGGGTGTGGAACAATAGGACTGGAATTGTCCACTGCTCTCTGCACAGATAAGCTAACAGGAGAAAGCCAATGTCCTGAATTAGAAGGGTCCAGAAGCAAATTATTTTCACTGGAGACATTCCTTGAAGTCCCAGTCTAATGTGGGGTTTACCATTTTTCTCATAAAATTTACAATTTCCCTTCATACTGTCGAGCACTATTGGTTGTAATATTTGTAGTTCATGAGTATTTGTTTAATGATTGTTTTCCTTTTTTTTAATTATACTTTAAGTTTTAGGGTACATGTGCACAACGTGCAGGTTAGTTACATATGTATACATGTGCCATGTTGGTGTGCTGCACCCATTAACTCGTCATTTAACATTAGGTATATCTCCTAATGCTATCCGTCCCCACTCTAAGCTCCGTGAGGCAAGGCTATTATATTCAATGCCATGAACTGTCCTTGGCTTTTTCTGTACCTCAAATCTACCATGATGCTAACAAGTTTTCCTCTGCTATTTTGTTGTTATTTTCAGTGACGTTCACCAGACATGGCCTGACTGCTATCTCTTTTCTTCTATCCATATCCAAGATTCTCGATTGACCTGTGAATTGACTGCTCTTGAGTTAATGCTGAATCCTGGTCCAAGTGGTTGCTTTTAGAGGGAAGTCAGATCACGAGGGGCAGCATCTCTGCTGAGAGGGCTCCCTTCTATATAAAACTCTCTGACCAGCCAGTGTTCCTTAAACAGAGGAGCAAACATGTAAGCTGATATGCACCGTCTCCTCTTTTTATCAATGAGGGCTTTCAGGTACTTTTTCACGCATCTTAAAAATCCAGGACTGTATCTGGCACTTGAAAAGTTCCAACCAAGTCAGGTAATTTTCTATCTTTTTATACTAATTTTACTAGGTAATTAACTACAACACACATATATATTTAAAAATATGTTTATCGTAAATAACAATTACTATGTATTATGGAATATTCGTTTTTCACACTTATTTAATACATCAGTTTATATACATTTCTTCATGGTCTACATAAGAACATATTGGTCTGCATTGCTGTTACATTCCAAGAGTAATTCTTAAAATGTTCGTCGTGTGCATCTTTGACTTCATAATAAATACTTTAAATTATTATAATGCATGTTTGTGAATTTCTAGTTTTGTAAGGCAGAGTGCTAGAAATGTTTCTTAACAATTTGTAATAACTCACTTTATAATCTCTAATAAAAATAATGAATAATTGCAATGCATATCTCTAGAAATAAAATTTCTCTGGACTATATATTTGGAACGAACATTTTAGCTTCTTACATTGTGTATTTTAGAGGTTAAAATATGGAAACGATCACATATCACACATTTAAATTTAAGTAGCCTATGCAATTAATACTGGAATTAAGTGCTATGTTATAATATTAATTTTTTAGGTACAAGTGACCAATATTATGAAATTATTTTTATTTTTAAATTTTATTTAGAATTGGGGTTATATGTGCTTGTATGTTACATATAGTGCTTACTTGTGGTGTTTGAGCTTCTAAGTGTACCAACAATGAAAATATTGAACATTGTACCTGATAGGTAATTTTTCAACACTCGCCTCTTTTCCACCCTTCCGTCTTTTGGAGTCCCTATTGTCTATTAGTTCTATCTTTATGTCCATGTGTATGCATTATTTAGCTCCCACTTATAAGTAAAAGCATATGATATTTGGTTTTCCATTTCTAAGTTAGTTTCTAAGTTAGTTCACTTAGGATATTGGCCTCTATTCCAACTATGTTGCTGCAAAAAACATGATTACATTCTTTTTTATGACTGCAAAGCATTCCATAGTGTACATATATCACATTTTTAAAATTCCAGTCAAACATTAATGGACACTTAGTTTGGTTCCATGACTTTGTTATTGTGAATAGTGCTGCAATGTACAAATTAGTACAGGTGTCTTTTCAGTATAATGATTTCTTTTCTTCTGGGTAAGAAAATCTCACTACCCAGTAGTGGGATTTTTGGGCCAAATGGTAGTTCTACTTTTAGTTGTTTGAGAAATGTCGAAACTGTTTTCCCTAGAAGTTGAACTAATTTATATTTCTACCAACAATACATAAAAGTTCCCTTTTCTCTGCATACACATCAATGTTCCCTTTTCTCTGCATACACACCAACACCTGTTTTTTGACTTTTTAGTAATAGCCATTCTGACTGGTGTAAGATGATATTGCAATATGGTTTTAATTTCATTTCTCTGATGATCAGTGATATTGAGCATTTTTTCATGTGTTTGTTGGCCACTTGTATTTCTTCCTTTGAGAGGTGTTGCTCATGTCCTTTACCCAGCTTTTAATGGGACTGTTTGCTTGTTTTTTTTGAATTGAGTTCCTCATAGATTCTGATTATTAGTCCTCTGTCAGAGGCATAATTTGCAAATATTTTCTCCCATTCTGTAGGTTGCCTGTTTACTCTGCTGATTATTTATTCTGCTATATAGAAGCTTTTTAGTTTAATTAAGTCTCATTTGTCTATTTTTGTTTTTGTTGCATTTGTTTTTGGGGTCTTCATCATAAATTCTTTGCCTAAGCCAATGTCCAGAAAAGATTTTCTAATTTTTTTCTAGTATTTTTATAGGTTCAGGTATTAAATTTATGTCTTTAAACCATTGATATAGTTTGGCTATGTCCTCACTCAAATCTCATCTTGAATTGTATCTCCTATAATCCCCACGTGTCTTGGGAAGGACCCGGTGGGAGGTAATTGAATCATGAGGGTAGGTCTTTCCTGCGCCATTCTCATGATAGTAAGTCTCACGGGATCTGATGGTTTTATAGAGGGAGTTTCCCTGCACATGCTCTCTCTTGCCTGCTGCCATGTGAGATGTCTCTTTGCTCTTCCTTCGTCTTCCATCATGATTGTGAGGCCTCCTCAGCCATGTGGAAAAATTAGTCCGTTAAATCTCTTTTCTTTATAAATTACCCGGTCTCGGGTATTTCTGTATTAGCAGCATGAAAACAGACTAATATGTCCATATTGAATTAATTTTTGTATGTGATGAGAGATAGGTGGTCCAGTTTCATTCTTCTGCATATGACTAGCCAGCTATTCCAGTACCATTTATTGAACAGGATGCTCTTTCTCTATCATTTATTTTTGTCAATTTTGTCAAAGATCAGTGGGTTGTAGATATGTGGCTTTATATTGGGTTATCTATTCTGTTCTATTGATCTGTGTACCTATTTTATACCAGTATCATGCTCTTTTAGTTACTGTAGCCTTGAGGTAAAATTTGAAGTCCAGCAGTAAAGTCAGGCAAATCTAGATGCCTTCAGATTTGTTCTTTTTGCTTAGGATTGTTTTGGCTATTGGGGGTCTTTTTGGTTACATATGAAATTTAGATTTTTTCCCCCAATTTCATGAAGGATGATGTTGGTAATTTGATAGAGATTGCATTGAATCTGTGGAATCCTTTGGGTAGTATGACCATTTTAATGACATTGATTCTTCAAATCCATGAGAATGGAATATTTTTTATTGTGTCATCTATGATTTATTTCATCATTGTTTTATAGTTCTTCCTTAGAGATTTTTCACCTCCTTGGTTAAATGTATTTCTAGGTTGTTGTTGTTTTGTGGCTGTTGTAAATGGAATTGAGTTCTTGATTTGGTTTTCAGCTTGAATGTTATTGGTGTATAGAAATGCAACTGATTTTACGTTGATTTTGTGTCCTGAAACTTGACTGATTTTATTTAAGTCTAGGAGTCCTTTGGATATATCTTTAGGGTTTTTTGCTTGTATGATTATGTCTTCAGTGAACAGAGATAATTTGACTTGTTCCTGTCCAATTTGGATGCTTTTTATTTTTGTCTCTTACCTGATTGCTCTAATAACTGCAGTACTGTGTTGAATAGCAGTGGTGAGAGGAGACATCCTTGTCTTGTTCTGGTTCTTAAGGGGAATGCTTTCAGCTTTCCCCTATTCTATATAATGTTGGCTGTGGATTTGTCATAGATGGCTCTTACTATTTTGAGGTATGTTTCTTCAATGCCTAGTTTGTTGATGATTTTTATCATGAAGCAATGCTGAATTTTATTAAATGCTTTTTCTGTTTCTATTGAGGTGGTCATATGGTTTTTGTTTTTAGTTTTGTTTATGTGATGAATCACATTGATTGATTTCTGGATGTTGAACCATTCTTGCATTGCTGGAATAAAACTCACTTGATTGTGAAGAATTATCTTTTTGATATGCTGTTGCATTCAGTTTGCTAGAATTTTATTGAGGATTTTTGCATTGATATTCATCTAGAATATTGGCCTGTGGTATTTTTGTTGTTGTTCTTTTGCCCTTGCCTGATTTTGGTTATAAGGGTGATACTGATTTTGTGGAATGAGTTAGGGAGTAATTGCTCCTCCTTAGTCTTTTTTTTTTTTTTTTTTTTTGAATAATTTCAGTAAGATTGGTACCAACTCTTCTTTGAACATCTGGTAAAATGCAGCTGTGAATCTGTCTGGTCCTGGGCTGTTGTTGTTGTTGTTGTTGAAAGATTTTTTATTTCTTATTCTATTTAATTACACATTATTGGTCAGTTCAGGATTTATGTTTCTTCCTGGTTCAATTGTGGAGGGTCATGTTTCCAGGAATTTATCTATTTCCTCTAGGCTTTCTATTTTGTGTGCATAGAGGTGTTCATAACAGTCTGGAAATCCTTTGCATTTCTGTGGTATCAGTTGTAATGTCCCCTTCCTTATTTCTGATTTTACTTATTTGAATCTTCTCTCATTTTTTCTTGGCTATGCTAGCTAACCATATGTCAATTTTTCTTATCTTTTCATAAAAACACCTTTTTGTTTTATTAATCCATTGTATCAATTTATTAGTCTCAACCTCATTTAGTTCTGCTCTTTATTATTTCTTCTGATAGTTTTGGGTTTGGATTATTCTTGTTTTTATAGTTTCTATAGTTTATAATGTGGATCAACATTAGGTTGTTAATTTGGGATCTTTCTATCTTTTTGATGTGGGCATTTAATGCCATAAACTTTACTCTTAGTACTTCTTTTGGTGTATCTCAGAAGTTTTGGTATGTTGTTGTCTCTATTTTCATTCACTTCAAGGAATTTTTTTATTTCTGTCTTAACTTCATTGTTTGCAGAAAAGTCATTCAGGAGCAACCTTCCTTGCACTTGTGTAGTTTTGAAACTTCCTCTTAGTATTAATTTCTAATTTTATTAAACTGTGGTTGAGGAAGATACTTAATATGATTTAGATTTTTTGAAAATTTATTGGTACTTGCTTTATGGCCCAAATATATGGTTGATTTTTGAGAATGTTCCTTGTGGAGGTGGGAAGAATGTATATTCTGTGGTTGTTGGATAGAATGTTATTTAAATGTCTATTAGGTCCATTTGGTCTATAGTACAGTTTAATCCATAGTTTCTTTGTTGATGTTCTGCCTCAATGTTCTGTCTAGTGATGTCATTGGGATGTTAAAGTCCTCCCTTATTGTATTCCTATCAATACAATAGTGTTTTCTTAGATGTAGTAGTATTTGCTTCATGAACCTGGGTGCTCTGGGGTTGGGTACATATGTATTTAAGATATTTAAATTTTCTTGTTGTATTGAACCCTTTATCATTATATAATACCCTTCTTTGTCTTATTTTTCTGTTGTTGGTTTAAAGCCTGTTTAATCTGAAATAAGAGTGGCTACTCCTGCTCACTTTTGTTTTCTGTTTATATATCTTTTTTCTTCTAATTTACTTTGAGTCTGCAGCTGCCTTTAGCCAGTAAGTGAGCCTCTTACATGCAGCAGATGGTTGAGTTCTGGAATTTTTGTTTGTTTTCTTTGTTTTGTCTTCTTTTGTTTTGTTTTTTACAGTTTCCACTCTATGTTTTTAGAGTAGAGCATTCAAGTCATTTATATTCAAGGATAATGTTGATAGGTGAGATTTTATGTTTATCATAGTGTTGTTAGCTAGTTGCCTTGTGGTTTCATTGTGTAGTTGCTTTATGTTATCTGTGAGCTTTGTATTTCTGTCATCTTTTATGATGGTGTGGGTCATTCTTTCATTTCCATGTGTAGACTGCACATTTGTTGGTGGTCTGGTCTAGTGGTGACAAATTCCCTTGGTGTTTCTTTGTCGGGGAAAGGTTATATTTCTCCTTAATTTATGAAGCTTAGTTTGGCAGAACACAAAATTCCTGGCTGGCTTTTTTGTTTCTTTAAGTGGGCTAAAAATAGGCTCTTAATGTCTTCTGGATTATAGGGTTTCTGCTGAGATTTCTGCTGTTAGTATAATAGGATTTCAAAATGATTAGACCCCTCTCTTGATGCTCTTAGAGTGTTTTTTTTCCCCTCTCATTGACTTTGGATAGTCTGATGACTATATACATTGGTGAAGTTCTTGCAATGTATCTCTAGGAATTCTCTGAGCTTCTGGTATCTGAATGTCTAAATCTGTCCCAAGACTAGGGAAGTTTTCTTAAATTATTTCCTCAAATAGGTTTTTCATACATTCTTCTTCTTCTTTGTTTTCTTCTTCCTCTGTCATTATGTAATTATGTATAACTTGTAGGTTTGGATGTTTTACATAATCTCATATATCCTGAAGTCTTTGTTTATTTAAAATTTTTTTAAATTGTTTCTCACTGTTAATTTGAAAGACCTGTCTTCTAACTCTATAATTCTTCTTCCACTTGGTCTAGCCTATTGTTAAAATTTTCAGCTGTATTTTGTAACTATTTCAAAATTTTTTTTACTTCTAGAAATTCTTTTTATTTTTTAACGATGCCTGTCTCCTTTTCCATGTCCTGAATTTTTTCTCTGATTTCTTTATGTTGGTTTTAGTTTTCTCTTGGATCTCAATTATTTTCTTTAAAATCAGTATTTTGAATTCTTTATCTGTTATTTCAAAGATTTCATTTTGTTTGAGATCCATTGCTAGAGAGTTACTGCTTCACTTTGGGGGTGTTGTAACACTGTTTTTTCCTATACTTTTGGAGTTTTTTCTCTTGTTCTTTTACATCTGGATAAGCTGTCTCTCCTTCATATTTTTTGATTTTGCTTTACTTTGGAAAGGACTTTTTCCCTTCTTGAGGAGGTGTCTACAATGTATGATGTTGTATAAGGTCCTTTTACTTTGTTTCTGGGAGTTTTCAGTGGTAAAGAGTCTGGAAAAACTCCTTAGTTATTGAAGCCTTTCTATGGTGGCTTTCTCAAATGTTTGTTGTAGTAGCAATGTGTTAGGCATGTGAGTAGGCTCAGGAAGCTTATCACATTTTCCAGAGCTATGCATTTGTGTCAGCAGATTTCCTCTTGTTTTGTGGGGTTCAACCTCCATGCCAGTGGGTGGTGCTGTAGTGTTAGAACTGGCTGCAGCCAATCGGGATGGGTATACACTAATACTTGATCCTTGTTTACTATGGGAAGCTCTGTGTTACCCAAGACAATGGGTTGAACTGTGGAATTCACAGGGTTCTGAGCTCCCTACTTATCTCCAGAGTGGGGGACCAAGGTAGGCAGGGCCCGACTGGACAGGCCTGCCTCATGTCTCATAATGGCAGGCACAAGCACCAGCTGTGTTGGGGGATTCTAGTGCACAGCCACCAAATGCCCAGAAGTGTGCCTAGGCATGGAGTTGGAAAACCTCCACTGCCCCAAGTTTTCTGCACAGGTAGGGGAGTATGGCCTAAACACAACATCAAGAAGAGTGGGTACTCCAAATTCCTGGAGATATATCTGGGCTTTCAGCACAGAAAGCTCCACTGCACCAAGATCTCTGCACCTGAAGGGAGAGGTGGCTCAGGCTCCAAATTTGGGCAAGTGGATGTACCAAATGCCTGGAAACATGCCCCAGGAATGCAGAGTACATAAACTGTGGTTGCAAGAAGGTCTTTGCAGGAAAAAAGGGGAGGGGGTGGCTTGAGTGCCTACTGTAGGGGAGCAGGTGTGCCTCATGCCAGGTAATACACCCAGAGAAGGAATAGAGAAACTGCTGCCACAGCAAGGTCTGCATGAGAAGGGAGGGATAGATTGTACTCCTAATCTGTGAGAGTGGGCATGCCAAATGCCTGGAGTTCTATCTGAGTGTGGAGCAGAGGGAGTACTGCTCTACGACGTTCTTTTAGCAGAAAGGGGATGGCAGCTCAAGCTCTTATTCTCAGGGGGCAGATGCACCAAAGCCCTGGAGCTATGTCTGGGCATGGAGCAGAGAGTTTGCTGCTGCACCAAGATCTCTTCATGAGAAGGGAGGAATGTCTCAGGCTCCTATCCAGCTGTACAAGTGTTCTAAATGCCTGGGACTGTGTCCTGGTGAGGAGTGGAAAAGTCGTCATTGTACAAGTTCTTTGCAGGGGAAGGAAGAGGCAGCTTAGGCCACTAGTCTGGGACAAAGGGTATTTTGATTGCTTGGAAATATGTCCTCTGGCGAGGAGTGGAACTCTCCATGAGGCCATCGGTGCGGGCTGGGGGAAAGAAGGCAGGGTGGCAGGAGTGGAGACCATGGGTATTTGAACCACTTCCTCATGTAACATACTTGTGCCTTCAGGACTTGTTTGAGCCCGATAATATATATACCACTTCCATTTGATGATGGAATGCTGTTGTGCATGACCCACTTTATGGCTAGATGGGTCAGAAAGCACCCAGTTCACGACAGGCAGTTCAGGTCACATGGTGACTTGATGACCCACAGTCAAATATACAGTTTCCACCAAAGCCCAGTAACAGGCCAAGAGCTGTCTCTCAAAAAAGAGAGTAGTTATCTGCAGAAGATGGCAGGGTCTTGCTCCAAAATCCTAGAGGCCTCCACTGTGTTTCACCTATAGGGGCCTGCCAAAGGCTCCAAACAGCATCCCTATCTTCCACTGACACCTCAAGCACCATTGGATATGCTGGGTCATATGACCCAAGTGTCAGAGCAGCTTGCACAGCAGCCTGGACCTGTTGCAGAGCATTCTCCTGTTTCTGACCCCACTCAAACTGGCAGCCTCTTGGGTCACACCATCAATGGGCTGGAGTAACACACCCAAATGAAGAATGTGTTGCCTCCAAAATCCAGATAGGCACACTAGGTGTTGTGCCTGTTTCTTAGTTGTAGGAGGGGCCAAATGCAGCAACTTCTCCTTCACCTTAAAAGGAATATCTCAACAGGTCCCACACCACTGGATCCCTAGAAATGTTACTGAGGTTGAAAGTCCTTCAGTTTTAGTCGGATTTATTTCCCATCCTCTGGCATGCAAATGTCTCACCAATAAGTCCAGTGTGTTTGCTACTACTTCTTGCTTACTGGATCCAGTCAGCAAAATGCCATCAATGTAATGGATCAGTGTGATATCTTCATCAAAGCAAAAAGCAATCAAGGTCTCTCTGAATAAGATTATGACACAAAGGTGGAGAGTTGATATACCACTGAGGTGGGACAGTAAAGGTATATTGCTGGCCTTGCCAGCTGAAGGCAAATTGCTTCTATTGGGCCTTATGGACAGGAACGGAGAAAAAGGCATTTGCCAAGTCAATGGCTGCATACCAAGTACCAGGAGATGTGGTAATTTGCTCAAGCAATGAAACCACATCTGGTAGGGCAGCTGTAATTGGAGTCATCTCTTGGTTAAGCTTACGATAATCCACTGTCATTCTCCAAGATCCATCTGTCTTCTGCACAGGCCAAATAGGAGAGTTGTGGGAATCACCACCCCTGCATCTTCCAAGTCCTTGATGGTGGCAGTAATCTTCACAATTCCTTCAGGAATGTGACATTGTTTTTGACTTACTATTTTTCTAGATAGAGGCGGCTCTAGTGGCTTCAATTTGGCCTTTCCCACCACAATAGCCCTCATCCTACCAGTCATGGAGCCAATGTGGGGGTTCTGCCAGCTGCTAAGTATGTCTATGCCAATTATGCATTCGGCCACTGGGAAAATGACCACAGGATGAGACCAGGGACCCACTGCACCCACTGTAAGTTGGACCTGAGCTAAAACTCCATTAATTACCTGACCTCTATAAACACTTACTTTGTTTGGAGGACCACAATGATGTTTTGGGTCTCCTGGAATCAATGTCAGCTCAGAGCCAGTGTCCAGTAGTCCCCAAAATGTCTGATCATTTTCCTTTCCCCAGTGCACAGTTATCCTGGTAAAAGGCTGGAGGCCACCTTGGGAGAAAGACTCACTGCATTAATTGTTGGTAATGTAGTGGGGTCCTTCCATAAGGAGGCCAGCCTCCCCTTCACTCAGGCCGTTCTGGGTCTGTAAACTGGCTCAAGTCTGGAAATTGATTGAGGGCTGGGATTCTCTTTTTGTAATTCAAATTAGTGTTTTGTCCACTCGATCTAGAAGTTTTCTGCTTGTATCAATTAGGTAGGAATGCAGTAGGTTTCATATCAATTTCACTTCTAGGAACACTGTGATTAATTAGTCAATGCCAGAGCTCTATATGAATCAGATTATTCTGATTGCTGCTTTGCCTCTGCTGTCCATTACAGTAGCTACACCCACCTTGCCTTTGATGGTTGAGTACTGACACTTGGCCCCTGCCACCTCGGGATCCAATTATTCACACTGTATTTAAATTTTGTAGTGAGTGACTGCAGTGCCCACCATTAGATCTGACCTACAGAGAAGAGAAATTATAGGGCTCCTCAAAGATGCAGGTGCTGCCCTCACTACTCTATTTTGCAAGGCATTGGTCAAGGTTATATCTTTTGGACCCTCTGAGCTGGGATGAGTAGGTCTAAATTGACTGATCTACTCCACCATCCCAATCTCCCTAAGCTTTTGGATCCCCTCCCTCTATATTAAAACAAGGGAGATCAGGCATTTCCAGCTTGCTCACAGTGGGCCATCTTTTAATCCATATTTCAGCTAACCAAGCCAATAAACTATTAGAACCTTTTTAACTCCCCAAGCTGCAACATTGAAAGCAGAGTCCCTACTTGGTGGGCCCAAATAAATGAATTCAGCCTTATCCAACTCTATGTTCCTTCCACCATTATCCCATACCCTTAATATCTACCCTCATGCCTGTTCTCCAGATTTCTGTTTATATAATTAAAGAAATCAAACAGTTCTTTTTGAGTGTAGCACACCTCCTCATGGGTCACACTCTCAACCTCACCTCTAGGGGCCTGCTGGGACTGTAGTTATAGGTCTAGAAGAAAACAGGGGTGTTGGGAGTGGCTCCTGAAGAGAATCAACATTTTGCCTGGCAACTGCCTCAGGGGAGGCCATCACTGTTCCCTCGGGCAGCGTAGGGTTTATCTCCTCAGACAAAGGTGGAAAGGATGATGGCAGCGTGGGTTGGGGAGGGGATGTTGCCACTACTAGAGATGGGGAAGCTGTTTCTTTTCACAAAAAAGGTTCATCAGGATTTACAAACTCAGTGGCCCCAGCTTCATCAGGGTCCTCCCACACATCCCCATTCCAAGTTTCGGGGTCCCATTCTTTTTCAGTCAATACCCTCTAGACACTTTAACAGTAGACACCTGGCGAGGTTGTGCATGAGTCTTTCATTGCAGTTCAGCCACTCTCATTCTAAGAACTTGTGTCTGTTTTCCCACAATTTCAGCTCTTTCTCTACAGGAGATAGAAGCTCTGAGTTCATCATTTTCTTTCATCACTTTGTCCACTGAACTTAGGAGCAAACCATCAGCTTCATTATGTTCCTTGATTCTCCATATATGGTCAAAGGTATTATGCATAAAATCACTAAACTCCTTGCCTCTCACGAGCAGTGAATCAGGAGTATCAAATGCATTTATTTTGCATAGCTCTCTAAACAGTTCATGCCAAAGACTATCAGTGTTTTCCATACTATTAGTAGAGTCCTTAGCATTTTTCTGTCTAATCATATTAAGCAGCCACCTCCAGAAACCCAAAAACCAATGAAAGAACTCCATCCTTAATATTCTGTTCATCTAGAACCACTCCTGGTATCAAAATCTGTATTAGTCAGGGTTCTCTAAAGGGACAGAATAGGAGATACATAAATGGGAGTTTCTTATCTATTAACTTACACGATCACAAAGTCCCACAATAGGCTGTCTGCAAGCTGAGGAGCAGAGAGTCAGTCCAAGGCCCAAAACTGAAGAACTTGGAGTCTGATGCCTGAGGGCAGGAAGCTGATCCAGCACGTGAGAAAGATGTAGGCTGGGAGGCTAGGCCAGTCTCTCCTTTTCACGTTTTTCTGCCTGCTTTCTATTCGCTGGCAGCTGATTAGATTGTGCCCACCAGATTAAGAGTGGGTCTGACTTCCCCAACTCACTGTCTCAAATGTTAATCTCTTTTAGCAACACCCTCACAGACACACCCAGGATCAATGCTTTATATCCTTCAATCCAATCAAGTTGACACTCAGTATTAACCATCACAGCATGCATAAGTGCAATGCGAACAACAAACTTTACATTCCAAAAAAATACAATTGAAAAAATATAGGGTCAATTTGTATTCAAGCTTAGTAACATAGATTTTCAGTATAATCGTTTTTAAGTTTAATTATTTTAACATTTTAAATTCATGGAAGCGCATTAGGAAATATTTACTTGTAAATGTAGGTTTTATTTATTTATTTTCCCTATTCATTTCTCAGAGGACCTGAAATAATTGTACTTTCATTCTAACTGCTGCCTTTCTTGCTAATGTTTAACTTTAAATGTAATCAATCATTTAGCCTAATCTTAAAAATATTTTTTATAAAAGTAATACATATTCATTGTAGAAAATGCATTTCTTTTATAAAACCACATATTCCAGAAGGAGGAAACTAAAGCGAGATACAGCCGAAGTTGAAATGTTTGTGTTGCTAAAATCTTCTCTTAGTCAGACTTCATTGAACAAGCCAAACAATTAACTTTTGTTTGAGGGTTTGCAATTAACAATAAGACCCTTCGAAAGTACTATGTCAACATTATTTCAGACAAAAGACCTCTTTCAATATTTCACCTGACACAGTTTTACATTAATTCCACTTAGCAAATGTTGGTTGAGTATTGCCTATAAGCTTGGCACTCACTGATTTATCTAAAGTAATATTATTTTTCTCTATTGACTCATCTAAATTCCAATCTTTGTAAAATATGCTCATTGTAATTATTTAATTGGTTTTTACCTTCAAGGTAAATGTAAATTGTATCTTGAAAGAATTCATTAAAAATGAAAATATGGCATATTATATTTGTTCCTCATATATTTTATAAACATATAATTATCTATCATCTATCTTATCTATCTATCTATCTATCTATCTATCATCTATCTATCCACCTACCTATCTATCCTGATTATGCATCCCAATTTAGAGTTTCATAGACCTTCTCTCAAAGAGAAGGCATTCTGTCAATAAAATGAAATCATGTAGGTGTCTTCTATTTTACATAATAGTTGATTCAAAATGGGCAAAATTGTATTAACTACAGTAGCTACTGGAAACTTCATTTAATACAAAGGCTAGACCAAAAAAAAAAAAAGCCATGCCCAGTGATCTGAATACCTTACATATTAGAAAAAGGGCACAGTCTACAAAGGAAAACGTTCTAAAAATCCTTGGAGAAATTGAAATTCATGGGAAATATAAACCAAAGGCTTTTGAAATTAGAAAATTCATCTTTGTTTAAATACATCTAATAATGCATTATGGGCTGTAAATACATTTCCAAAACTTATAAAGACTAGAGGATAACATTCCATTCTAGTAAGTTGTCTTCAATGGAGGAAGTGTATAAGTGATGCCAAATCCTCAGTTGCCAATAATATTCTTTCAAGCAGCTGACCTACTTTCCTTAGGGCAAGGCTCTAGTTTTCCCAAATGATTGTCATTTGGATTTCAGAATAAAATAATTTATCCCTTCTGTTCATAGTTAGAAACAGAACTGAGAACACAATGGATATTTTTTCTTTTCAGACAATGGGTATTTTTTTCGTTTGCAAATCTGCATTTATAAAACAATGGTGTGGTAGAAAGTCAAACACCAAATTAACGAGGAAAAGTTTAGAAACGTTTTGTTACATTTTACATATTTCAACGTCTCAAAAGTGGCATCACGATAATGCAATAGCTTGTCTAAAAAATGAAAAAAATAAATAAATGTTATATTTTGTATATAATGCTAGAAAATTTGAACAGTTCTAGAAGATGCACAAAATGGTGATCTTGAGGAAATTACACATGGAGTTTTTTAAGGATTCGATTCCCATATTAAAGCCAATACCATCATGTGAGGTCCCATATTTAAAGTTTAATTTCTCTGTGATTATTTACATAAGAATAGCTCCATTTTTCAAAACTTTCCTTTCATTAGGAACAGAAACAAATGTCCTCTAGGAATGAATGAAATATTTTTCTCTACTATTGCTGTTGTTTTTAAAGTTGAAAATTTACCTATTTATTAAAGTCATTCCATAACCTTATCCAACCCCAAATCTGTACATTTCACACTTTGTAGAATAATGAGTTGAAAAGAAACCCAGTGGATTTATGTATGTGTGTGTGTGTGTGTGTGTATATATATATATATATATATATATATATATATATGTACATACATTTTTTATTATGTGGGTTCTGGCAAATATTTTAGGGCTAATTTTTTAGCTGATAAATTTTAGTACTATAGCAATATTTGGTTATGTCAAATTATGTGAAATTGTGTAGTGATTTCTAGGAATAAAATATTCTGAAAATAGCAGTTGTGAAGGGAAGTCTAGGTTAGCCTCAACTTACTGAAAGTGAAATCTTTTGAATATTCAAATGAAAAAAGTAAGAGTAATGGGAATGAAAAATAATCAGGACACACAATAATGAAAAAATGAAATAAAAAAATTGTGGAAATAGTAAATATAAGACAGAAAATAAAATCTAAAGAAATTTTATTTAACTGGGCTACTGTTGGTAGCACCAGGTATAAACAACCTTTACTTCAAGCTTCAGATATGTTTCAACTCTCATTCTTGTTGAAGGTTGATTCTATGACCTAAAATGTCATCATAAGAAGAATTTGTCTTTTATCTCGCTTTACCAAGCACTCATTATCAAGGGTGGACCAATTAATAACTATTCTAGCAACCTGCAACAACAAATATGACATTGCTACGTTTTCGCCATGAATCTCATTTAGATTTTTTTGAAGATATTTATCTAGTACTTTGTGTTGAGTTGTAACTCCACGAATTAGCCAAAAGTATAATTATGTCATGGGCAATAATTGCATGACTGACTGAAGTCTTAGGGATACAGTTATTCTTGCAGATCATAATTCCCTAAAAGAGAAAGTTTGTTCTAAAGTTGCATTTCTAGAATTCCGTTTGGCAGCAATACTATATTACTGTTGTTTAACTTGGGAGCCAAAAACCTTAGAACTGAGGGGATGATTCTTTTAAAAGCATAGCTGGAAGTTTAATAGTAAATACATTAAACAATTTCTGCTTATTTTCTCTAAGTGTTTGACATAGTGAGGTCATTTGAAATCCAATTTAATAGAATCTTCACAGAATATTGGGAAATTAGTACTATCTTGACTCAACACTGACTGCCCTTGCATTAGTAACTGATATAACATTGACCTTAAACATAGCTCTTGAAATGGAAATATTAAAATAGGAAGGATGTGTATTTTATTCCAGAGTGGCAATCTTTTACTTCTTAATAATCATGTCCTAATAATATTTTTTTTTGAGACAGAGTCTTGCTCTGTCTTCAGGCTGGAGTGCAGTGGCGCCATCTTGGCTCACTGCAACCTCCACCTCCCAGGTTCAAGCAATTCTCCTGCCTCAGTCTCCCAAGTAGCTGGGATTACAAGCGTGTGCTACCATGCCCAGCTAATTTTTGTATTTTTGGTAGGGACGGGGTTTCACCATGTTGGCCAGGATGGTCTCGATCTCCTGATCTCGTGATCCATCTGCCTTAGCCTCCCAAAGTGATGGGATTACAGGCGTAAGCCACCATGCCCAGCCTCCATTGTACTTATTATACTCAGAGGATGCTATTCAGACATGCTAATGAAAATTTATTTTATATTTAAAAACTAATGTTTTCATATAACACAGCCATGAATATCATTCAGAAAAACAAATTGACAGGATTAACAAATGCAGAAAGCAAATGCAGAAAGCAGCAGCAAGAAGGCAAATGAAGGCATGCAGAGAAAAAGAGACTTATGAAAGCTTTCCTGTCTAGTTCTTTGATAAGAACTTAACATCAGTGAGAAAATTGAAAAGCCCAGTCTTTGGCAAAAAGATTAAAACAGGCCTTGGCACTATTTGTAAGCAATTTAGATTATCAGAGGAAAGACAATTCTTTGAAATAATATATAATGAGAGACACTGATGCTTCTTTACAGCTTCATAGCAGATCAACAAAAATCATGAATGCCAATCATGGCTATTTCTCAATGTAATGTTTTGTCAGTAATTCCTTCAGACAGGTGTTATCCATGAAAATGAAGTGTATAATTTAAATTTTTCTAAATGCCACATTAAAAATGTAAAAAAGAAACAAGTAAAATTAATTTTAAGAAATGTATTTTTGTTTACTCAATATGTCCAAAAATTTTCATTTCAATTTGTAATCAATAAATTATTAATGATATATTACACATTCCTTTTTGATTATATGTCTGCATAATATGTTATGCATTATGCTTGCAACCCATCTCGATCTGAAACAGTAGCATTCCAAGTGTTTGATAGCCACTGCCTAGAAGTTACTATATCAGTCAGCATGGCGATGGACATTGAATACAATGTTTTTCAAAGATAATTTAATTTGAACTAATAAAAAATAAAGTAAGAACTTCTGAAAATATTTAGAATAGCTTGGATAGGAAAGCCAAATTAGTGCAAATAAGATTAAGGGGTCAAATGAAAAGGGGAGAAAGGAAGAGAGGTTTAACTTAACTGCAAAGCAGAATTTTGGAGAATTGCAGCTAATGACAACAAATTGTTCTCATAAATTATGACACTATATAGCTATGTGGTTATGATGATGACAACTTTAGAATAATATGTAAAGAGCTGTTCTTCATTTTATTTCCACAAATAATAACTGAACATCTATTATAGGCTTGGTCATGACAATATGATGGTGAATAAGCAGTGGTTCTTCCCTTCGGGGACATAAAGTCAAATAGGGAGTGATGGCATTTTCCATTTTTGTGACAGATTAAACTTATTTGGTAAACAAATGGAAGACCTAGCAAGGCAAATCTAGTGGAAATTAAGAAGAGCAAAGTTTGTTAAGCACATCTGTATCACAAACAGAATTGTTCAGAAAACAACTCAGTAGCCCTGACATTATATAAAAATCCTCTTTGGTTGGACTATTAAGGGACCCTGTGTAACCGCATATAGAAAAGGACATCAAAGAGATTCCTGAGTTGTGTTGGAAGGCGTTTTGCATGATACCTAAAATTCTTTCCAGCCATATAGTAGTATGATTATATAATTATTGTGAGAAATATCTTATTTGAATTATTTTTATACTGTGATGATTATTTCAAATTATTTGAATGAAATTAAATATACATAGAACTCACGAATCATTTGATTTATCAAATACCCTCAGGTATTATTTTGACATCAAGAATTTAACAACACATTAATAATGCTTGTTAATAGAAAGTTTAGAAAACCTTTTGCTTTCTTTAAAGCACTTTTCACCGTGATTCCATCCTTTGGAATGACTGTTTCTCCTCCAAATCAACATCTTATTATTTTTATATCAATCCCAAGTTAAGTCAAGAGAATGAGAGGAATAAGAAAATGCCATTGCTTTTAAACCAAAGGGCAATATGACAAAAAAGAGGAATTTTTAAATTATTTGCAAAGTAAAAATTCTAAATGTCTTTTTACTGCTTTGTTTAAGATATTGTTTAAACTCAAACAATGAGACATTTGATACTTTACTGTCTATTCAGCCGTGTGTCTGTAAACATTTACACAAATTTACATCAATTTCTATTTGTTCTATGAGAACATGAATCCCATTAAAATGGCTAATGTATAGATGGAAACTTCCATTGCTACTATTCTTCAGGTTTTTCTTATTGAAAAGTGATTTGCGTTTCCTTTTTGTTATATAAAACTTTGTATTTTGCTGGTTAGCCTTAAAATGATTCCCTAATCGAATATCTCTTCTTTCAAATTTCGGTGTTTTTAAGAATATATAAAATGAGTCTAGTAATAGATCTAATGGAAGATACTGAGCATTTAAAAGTTAAACTGTTTACATAATAGTAATCATTTGCTTATGTAAATAGGAAAAGAACGTGGTTAACTGCCTGCACACAGCAGGAAATGCAAACATGAAGACTCAGTTCTGTCTTAGAACTGATGGAGTGAATTGAATGTGTACAATGCAGAGGTGTTCATTGCAAAGCAGTAACGTCAGTTATTTCAATACAAGAGACATAAAAATCATAAACAACAAACATTAAGCATGCTATGAAACTGAAAATCTTTAAAGAAACATCATTGAGCAATGGTGTTGTCTTGTCTATTATAGTTATGTGGACTGAGCTAAATATTCACATGACACTGAAATAATAAGAACGGGAACAAAAGCATTTAGAGGGTTATAATCTAATATACGGTGTCACAAATCAAATCCTTTACAAACCACTGGGAGACAATATTTCTGTAGTGTTTTTGTTCCATTTGTACGTGAAGAAGTTAGTGTGTCTTTTGTTGTTTTTGTTTGCTCAATCACGTTTTTCAGCAATCAAAGTAAAATTTGCAAATACCTAAAAATAATGGCTTCTTTTATAAAGCAATATTGTAATTAAGTAAATGTGAAAATATAAATCAATTTTTAAAACAAATATGAGAAGATACGTTCATTTTCAGATTAGCACACACACACACCTATAAAAAATAAAGTAAAATATGCCTGTAAAAGTACCAATCTTGGTTTTTCTAAATATTTCAACAATTTCTAAAATAAATATTAAACTTTTACTCTATTAACAAGACATTTGTATATTTCTCATTTTGGAAATATATTTTAGTAAAACTTATTTTGAAGTAAGCATAGGTAGTCTACTACTTTCTAGTGCCACTAGTGATCCTCATTCTAGTTTTCTGCCCACAGCCATATCCTGTTCTGTTGTTGGATTTCATTCTTATACTGGTTGCCTCATTATAAGATAATTACCTTGCCTCAACATCATGTTTGAGCTCTGTCATGGTTTGAATTGTGTCGCCCCCCAAAAAGATATTGGAGTTTCCTGTTTTAGTTCTTTTGGACCGTTATAACAAAATGTCATAAACTAGATAGCTTATAAACAATAAAATTTATTTCTCACACTTCTGGAGGCTGGGGATGATCTAATCATTACCCCAAAGGCCCCACCTCCTAATACCATCACCTTGGATTTAGGATTTTGACATATGAATTTTGGGGGAACACAAACATTGAGACCACAGTACTCTCAGTGCTTCAGAATGTCACCATTTGGAGATAGGGTTTTACAAATTAAGGACTAACCCAATATGACTGATGTCCTTATTAAAAAGGGACAATTTGGACACAGAGACAGAACACATAGAGGCAACACGATGTGAAGAGGCACAGGGAGAAAATTGCCATCTACAAGTCTGCACCATATCCTTCCCTCACAGCCTTCAGAAGGAAACAAGTCTGTGGACACCTTGATGCTGGACTTAGAGGCCTCCAGAACTGTGAGACAGTAAAATTATACTCTTCAAGCCAATTCAAGCCAATCTCTCTGATGATTTCTGCTCAGGTCTCTTTGTCCGGAATAAGTTTGTATAATCACCCCAAGATGCTAATAAAGGTGTGGTGGTGATGGGAGACAAGAAAAGATAGCCCATTCTTATTTTTGCCTTTTAAAATTTCAGTACTGGGACATTTCTTCCTTGAAAAAATAAACTTTTTTGTTGACCCATACAAAATGGAATGATAGCAGTGCCCACCGTAACAGAGACTTCATTTATTTCACCACTTGTACACATTTTCACTTCATGTAGACATCTGATTGTTCTATGAGAGATTCTATGATTGTTCTATGAGACCCAGCTATATTTATGAAGATGAATATTATTTAAACAGATAGATAAGATTAAAAGAGAAGATAGACTGGGAAAAGGATACATTTAGTATAGATTTCGGGGAGTTTGAAGCAAGGCAACTATGATATAATTCTAGATGTATTATTTACATTTTATAACTTTTTCTTTCCAACCATTCTCCACACTTCATCTCACAGGTTTTTAAAAAACTAATCTATTTACTAAATAGTATGCCACTGATAATCTGGAAACATCCAATACCAAGTATTTTTGATTATAAACGTATTCTTGTCTTTAATAAAATAAATGATAAAATGACAATAGGGATTGAGTTTGGCACTGTAAATTTTTGTAATTGCTTGATTCCTGCTAATATTAATGAAATAATCTAATGCTTCAAAATTCACTTATTGAATAGTCATTTCAGTGCTGGTATTATCCTTGATTGAAGAAGACACTATTATCCAAAGTCTTTAAACAGATATTTACTAAAGAAAATATTCCTTGTGATGAGTCTAAACATTGTCAGAGGATAAATTTTCTATGTGAAACACTAGTAATATTTTGTATATTAAGGTATTTTTAAGCTTGGAGTTGCTTATGAATGCTGTTACCTGTTTTACTCATATTGTAGGGATGTCTTACTGTTCTCTGGTCTCCTCATTCATATTATAAAGTTGTAGCTGGAAAGTAGGTGCCAAACTAGTCATTATATTGTCTGTCTTCCCCACCCCTAACAGCCCCCTTTATTGCTATATGTAGAAGCTACTGGACCTGACTGAATGCAAGTACAAGTGGTATGTGCCAGTTTAGGACCAAAGCTTTCAATAAGTGGGTGTGCTCCTTTCTGAACTGGGTGCTTCAACTTCTGCTGTCTGATTGTTGAAGACAGTGAGGCCCAATGGGATGGTGGAACAAGAGAGTGAAAGGAGCCTAGGTACATGAATGGCAGCATGCCTGAAAGCAAATCCCTCAACTGGAAGACTTTGCCCAAGATTAAAATATTAATGGGATCAAAACTTCCATTGCTTCCACCTCTATCTCTTTGGATCTGTTTTTAAAGCAGTTAGCCTACTCAACCAATGAGGCTTTGTTTTTTTTTTTAATCACCATTCTTATAAAAACCTTTAAATGATGAATTCGATGTTTTCTAGATTGCAATTTCCAAAACAGCAGGGTTGGTGTGTAATTTGTGCACTTTTGGGAACGTACAGTGCTTGTCACTTTGTAAATGCTTAATAGATGTGTGATGAAAGAAAAAAGAAAACATTCTAGAATACACTGAAAAAGTTATGTTTAGTTTTGTCTGACTCACGAGTAAACATATGGCTCTTATGTTTTTAGCAAATATCAAGTTTTGAATTTCAACCCAAGTAAAATGTTTCTCCCGTGGCTCCCTGACAGAACATTCCCAGCTGTTTCAATGCAGAGCTCTGACAGCTTCTAGAGCAAGAGTCAATATTAGTTAATGGTCCAGCTGCAGTTGCGACTATTTTATTTCATCACAATGACAACTTAGATTCCTTCTCCTACTATTTCCTTTGAGATTAGTGCTGCTGAACTTTAGTATTCACAGCTACTCACAGAGCTGTGACTATAAACCCTTTCGAGTTATTCATTATTAGTTCCTACACAACATGTTCTAATTAACTCATAATAAATCCTCCAAAATACTGCATATGTTACATTTTTCATTAGGATCTAATTGGAAGGAAGCTGCATCACTTTCCTTCTGTTAGTAAGCCATCTTTCTTTACATTGCATGATGCATTTTAGTTTGACATGACGATTATTCCATTCCATCAATGACCCAGATTACGTTCTTCCTTCCGTAACAGAATGTATTGTAAAATAATGAAACTGAAACTGCAAGGCAGAGAAAACTACACACACACACCATGATGTGATCGCTGAAGACTTTTGGTATGAGAGTGAATATGTGCATGTGTGTGCATGCAATAATGTGCACTCTATTTTTATGTATTGTGTTCTGAAAAACTATCTTAATAGACTTCTTTTTTTTTTTTTTTTTTTTTTTTTTTTGAGACGGAGTCTTGCTTTGTCAAGACTGGAGTGCAGTGGCGCGATCTGGGCTCACTGCAAGCTCTGCCTCCCGGGTTCACGCCATTCTCCTGCCTCAGCCTCCCCAGCAGCTGGGACTACAGGCGCACACCACCTCGCCCAGCTTATTTTTTTGTATTTTTAGTAGAGACGGGGTTTCACCGTGTTAGCCAGGATGGTCTTGATCTCCTGACCTCATGATCCACCCGCCGTGGCCTCCCAAAGTGCTGAGATTACAGGCGTGAGCCACCGAGCCCGGCCTTAACAGACTTCTTAATAGACCCTTAATATTAAGAAAAACTTAATAGAGCCTCTTTAGATTTGTTATTAGAATACTGAATTCATTGGAAGAAATTCTAGCATTGTTCTTTTGATTGTGTGTTTTCTGGAAAGAACTTTACTTCCACAGTAGTTAAAATAACATACAGATGAAGAATATATATGCTTGTTAATCTTATGTGTTGTGTATGTGTGTGTTGTGTGTGTGTTTGGTTCTTTTGTGCTGTGATTTGTTTTAAAAGAATTTCAGTACAATCAGAGAATAACAATCTTAGAAGACATATTACAGTTCACATAATTAAACCTCTCACTGTTGGAGGTTCTTGCACAGATGTTGTAAAAAATAAAAACAAAAACAAAAAATGAAACATCTTTGTCAGATGAAAAGTGCCATTGCTAGTCTTTCTTCAGTAATGTTACTAAATAAATGTCAGGCTTACCTCATTCGTCTATGGTTATTGTCAGACTGACTCATGTTTCTGCTTAAAAATAATAATAAAAATAATAATAATAAAAGCTGCCATAGTTGTTATGAATGGTTTAGAATAGTGTAGTCACTTTTTAATTTGAAATACAGAAAATAAAGGAGCTTTGAAGCCGTGTTCAGAGTCCTATAAATTTGTATACTCAAAGATGAGATTATTGGCAGAGGGCATATGTAGGTAGCAGTTAGTATTCCTCAAAATACGTACACCCACATCTCAGAAATATGGGTAAGTTTAGAAGGTGGTAGAAAATATATTTACATAACTGTTAAAGCTTTCTAAAACAATTTTTAAAGCATTTCAAGTTTTCTAAAAAACAATCTAGCATTTAATCATCACTTTAGTTTAAGATGATGTACGTATATAAAATATTTAGTTATTTGAAATGCTTTCCACTGATGTCTTTGATAAACGTTTGATTTAAAGAAATAATAATATGGGCAGAGCAAAAACAAAGTGTTTCTCAAATTGTTGTAACAGCTATATTATTTATAATTGAACTAAACTAGTCAAAGCTCTTACCCTGTCTGGTTGTGACAACAAATGTTGTGGTCAGTTAAATTTACTTTGAAATTCTTTAGATGGAAACTATTTTATAGATTCCAATTTGTTTGCTTAAAAAATATACATGGCAATATCTATGTTCAATTGTACAGCAGAGATTCTAAAACTGTCCAAAGTTGAAAGTTAAATCCTATATGCATATGTATTGTATTTACTCAGCATGATGTTAAATTTTAAAGCAGCATCACAAAATGAATAAAATAATTTCATGTGTTCCAAAATAAGTGAAAAGCCAGTGTTTCACCACCACTTCTCTTAATCGCTAGGATTATGATATGCGGAATCATTTGAGAGGCAGGGCATGAGATTTTGAGTAATGAAAAACATCTTGAACAAAGGCTTTGAAATGGGGGTGAATCATGGCATTTGGATTTGCTATAGTGAGAAAATCTAGGTATAAAGGGATGAGAAGCAAGACTAAAATGACAATAGAGGGATTGCAAAGGAAATAACAGATACTCATATCTAGAACACTGACAGAGCTTGGAGCATTTCTGGAAGTAGGGAATTAAAGAGAAATGAAGAATCAAAGACAACAAAAACATAATTTGGACAGGGAAGATTAAAAGTATCCCAAAGATTATAGAGACTGTAAAAAGATATTAGCTTAAGCTTTAAGAAAGGAAACCACAGCATGTTGGACATTCTGGGTCTAGCTAATTATAGTTTCTGAGAAAACATGGTGGAGATAAAAAAAATTGCTCGTCTCTCAAATTCAAGATAAAATATGCACATTTTCTTCAAAATTATAAAAAAAAACCACTATTTTCACATGTTATTCATGGAGTCTGGAACATTTTTGAAACAAGTGCATTCGTCAGTCTTTATAACTGTAGAAAAATTATATGGTAAGTATGATTAGGATCAAAATAATTACCCTTGCAAATCAAGTAAAAGTAGACAAGCTTTTAATATTATATTTTCAAATAGCCTGAATCTAAAATTTTAATTTTACACAACTGTATTCTCATTTAAGAGGATTTAAGGGGAAAAATACAGTCCAGGCCAGGTGGCTCACACCTATAATCCTAGCAATTTGGGAGGCTAAGACAGTAGGATCACTACAGCCCAGGATTTCAAGACTAGCTTGGAAACATAGTGAGACCTCATCTCGTCAAAAACTAAAACATTAGCCAGGCATGGTGGTGTCTGCTTATAGTCCCAGCCACTCGGGAGGCTGAGGTAAAAGGATCTCTTGAGCCCAGTAAGTTAAAGTTACAGTGAGCTCTGATCCTGCCATTGCAGTCTAGCCTGGGTGACAGTGAGATTTCGTCTCAAAATAAAAGGGGTGGGGAATTAGTAACATTTTCTTATCTAGCCCATTCCTCTCTTTGACAGGTATTTTAAAAAGCAAACAACCACAACCAAACAAAACTTGATTGGCCAAGTCTCCTAAGTTGTAGTTGTTAGTGTCATTGGTTTCTCAAGTGCTTTTAGAAGTTTAGAAGGCTGGTGTGTGTGTATGTGTTTTCTACAACTTACTATTCAATTATTTTTTAAGAATGCGTAAATAATCACTTGATGTTATTATGCCTAATAGATGATGTTTAACACATTGACAAAAAGAAAATATGTACTCATACAGAAATACTGTGATTTAGGTCACTTACATACTTGGGAGGAGCAAATCCTGCTGATTTTGAGTGTGTTGAAATGCTGAAGCTATTTTTCACATGTTTTGGGTCTGTTTCTTTTTTTTAAGTTTTTTTTTTTCTCATTATTTGAAAACCCAATGGAACTGTAATAAAACTGGGAAAATGTGATCCATATGTTTTGGAATCTTTTACAATTAAATCATCAAATTACCATTCAAAATATTTTGAACATTGAATATAAATGGCCTAAATGCTCCACTTAAAAGACACAGAGTGGCAGAATGGATTAAAATCCACCAACCAATTACCTGCTGTCTTGAAGAGACTCACCTAACACATAAGGACTCACATAAACTTAAGGTAAAGGGGTTAAAAAAAGATATTCCATGCAAACGGAAACTAAAAGCAGGAACAGTTATTCTTATATCCATCAAAACATACTTAAAAAAACTATAGTTAAAAAAGACAAAAAGGGACATTATATAATGATAAAAGGATTAGCCCAACAGGAAAATATCACAATCTTAAATATGTATGCACCGAACACTGCAGCTCCCAAATTTATAAAACAATTACTACTAGAACTAAGAAATAAGATAAATGGCAACCCAATAATAGTGGGGGATGTCAATACTCCACTGATATCACTAGACAGGTCATCAAGACAGAAAGCCAACAAAGATACAATGAACTAAAACTAAACCTTAGAAAATGGACTTAACAGATACTTACAGAACATTCTACCCAACAAATGCAGAATATACATTCTCTTCATCAGCACATGGAACATTCTCCAAGATATACCATATGATAGGCCACAAAACAAGTCTCAATAAATTTAAGAAAATCAAAATTATATTAAGTACTCTGTCACTCCACAGTGGAATAAAACTAGAAATTAACTCCAAAAAGAATCCTCAAAACTATACAAATATATGGAAATTAAATAATCTGCTCCTGAATAATCACTGGGTCAACAATGAAATCCAGATGGAAATTTAAAAATTTTTTTAATTAAATGGTAATAGCAACACAACCTATCAAAATCTCTGTGATATTGCAAAAGTGGTGCCAAGAGGAAACTTCATAGCATTAAATACCTATGTCAAAAAGTCTGAAAGAGCATTAATAAACAATCTAAGCTCATACCTCAAGGAACTAGAGAAATAAGAACAAACCAACCAAAACCCTACAGAAAAAAAAAAAAAGAAATAATGAAGATTAGAGCACTCAGTTCCACATGGCTGGGGAGGCCTCACAATCATGGTGGAAAGTGAAGGAGGAGCAAAGGCACATCTTACATGGTGGCAGGCAAGAGAGCATGTGCAGGGGAATTGCCCTTTACAAAACCATCAGCTCTCGTGAGAGTTATTCACTATCATGAGAACAGCAAGGGAGGAACCTACCCACATGATTCAATTACCTCCAACAGGGTCCCTCACATGACATATGGGGATTTGGGGAGCCATTAGGTTGGTGCAAAAGTTATTGCTCTTTTTGCTATTACTTTTAATGGCAAAAACCGTGATTAATTTTGCACCAAACTAATACAATTTAAGATGATATTTGGGTGAGGTCACAGCCAAACTATATCAACATTAGTGAGATTAACCAAGAAACAAAGAGAGAATATCCAAATAAGTTCAATTAGAAACAAAATGGGAAATAGTACAGAAGATGCCACAGACATACAAAATATCATTCAAGGCTACTATGAACACCTTTATGTGCATAAACTAGAAAACCTGGAGGAGCTGAATAAATCCCTGGAAATATACAGCCCTCCTAGATTAAACTAAGAAGAAATGGAAACTCTGAACAGAACAAAAACAAGCAGCAAGATTGGAATTGTGATTTAAAAATTACCAACAAAAAAAAAATGCCCCCAAGACCGGATGGATTCACAATTGAATTACAGCAGGCATTCAAAGGAGGATTGGTACCAATCCTATTGACACTATTCCAAAAGATAGAGAAAGAGGGAATCCTCCCTAAATCGTTCTATGAAGCCAGTATTACCCTAATACAAAAACCAAGGAAGGGCACAACAAAAAAAGAAAACTACAGACAGATATCCCTGATGAACGTAGATGAAAAAATCCTCAACAAAAAACTAGCTAACTGAATTCAACAGTGTATCAGAAAGGTAATCCACCATGATCAAGTCAGTTTCCTACTAGGGATGCAGGGATGGTTTAACATCCACAAGTCAATAAATGTGACACACCAAGTAAACAGAATTAAAAACAAAAATCATGTGATCCTCTCAATGGATGCAGAAAAAGCATTTGGCAAAATCCAGCATCTTTTTATAATTAAAACCTTCAGCAAAATTGGGTTAGAAGGGACATATCTTAACGTAATAAAAGCCATCTATGACAAACCCACAGCCAACATTATACCAAATGGGGAAAAGTTAAAATCACTCCCCAAGAACTGGAGGAAGACAAGGATGCCCACTTTCACCAACTTCTACTCAACATAGTACTGAAAGTCTTAGCCAGAGCAATCAGACAAGAGAAAGAAATAAAGGGCATCCAAATAGGTAAAGAAGTCAAACTGGGAGGCAGAGCTTGCAGTGAGCTGAGATCGAGCCACTGGACTCCAGCCTGGGAGACAGAGCCAGACTCCATCTCAAAAAAAAAAAAAAAAAGAAGTCAAACTGTTGCTGTTAGCTGATGATGTGATTGTATACCTAGAAAACCCTAAAGACTCATTGAAAAAGCTCCTAGATCTGATCAATGAATTCAGTAAAGTTTCTGAGTACAAAATAAATGTACACATGTCAGTAGCGCTGCTATACACTTAACGGCGACCAAGCTGAGAATCAAATGAAAAACTCAACCCCTTTTACAACAGCTGCAAAAAATAAAATAAAATGCTTAAGAATATACCTAACCAAGGAGGCAAAATATCTCTACAAGAAAAAACACAAAACACTGCTGAAAGAAATAATAGATGACACAAACAAATGGAAATAGATTCCATGCTTATGGATGGGTAGAATCAATATTGTGAAAATGACCATACTTCCAAAAGTAATTTACAAGTTCAATGCAATTCACATGAAAACACCATCATCATTCTTCACAGAACAAGAAAACAAAATTCTAAAATTTATGAGACAAAAAAGAGCCCATATAGCCAAAACAAAAATGAACCAAAAGAACAAGTCTGGAGGCATCACATTACCGAAATTCAAACTATACTCTAAGGCCATAATCACCCAAATAGCATGCTACTGGTATAAAAACAGACACGTAGACTAATGGAACAGAATAGAGAGCCCAGAAATAAAGCCAAATACTTACAGCCAACCGAACTTCAACAAAGCAAGCAAAAGCATAAAGTGGGGAAAGGACACCGTATTCAACACATGGTGCTGGGATAATTGACAAGCCACATGTAGAAGAATGAAACTGGATTCTCGTTTCTCACTTTATATAAAAATCAACCCAGGATGGATTAAAGACTTTAATCTACAATGTGAAACCATAAGAATTCTAGAAGATAACATTGAAAAATTCTTCTAGGCATTGGCTTAGGTGAAGAGTTCATGACCAAGAACCCAAAAGCAAAAGCAACAAAAACAAAAATAAATAGATGGGACTTAATTAAACTAAAAAGCTTCTGCACAGCAAAAGAAATAATCAGTGGAGTAAACAGACAAACCATAGAGTGGGAGAAAACTTTTGCAAGCTATGCATCCAAGAAAGGACTAAAATCCAGGATCTTATAGGAACTAAAACAAGTCAGTGATAAATAATAATAATAATCATTATCATCATACTCCTCATCAAAAAGTAGTCTAAGGACATAAATAGAAAATTCTCAAAAGAAGATATACAAATGGCCAACAAACATATGAAAAAATGCTCAACATCACAAAATGCAAATCAAAACCACAATATGATACCAACTTACTCCTGCAAGAATGGCCATAATTAAAGAATCAAAACATAGTATATGTTGCCGTGAATGTGCTGAAAAGGGAACACTTTTACACTGCTCTTGGGAATGTAAATTAGCACCATCACTATAGGTAACAGTATGGAGAATCCTTAAAGAAGTAAAAATAGGAGTACCGTTTCACCTAGCAATTCCACTTCTGAGTATCCACCCAGAGGAAAAGAAGTCATTATATAAAAAAGACACTTGCACATGCATGTTTATAGCAGTATAATTCACAATGGCAAAAATTAGGACCTGCATAAATGCCCATCAGCCAATGAGTGGATAAGAAAATATGGTATGTGTATATATATATATATATATATATACACCTTGAATACTACTCAGCCATAAAAAGAAACAAAATAATGGCATTCACAGAAACCTGGATGAAGTCGGAGACCATTATTCTAAGTAAAATAACTCAGGAATGGAAAACTAAACATCATATGTTCTCACTAATAAGTGGAAGCTTAGCTATGAGGACGCAAAGGTATAAGAATAATATAATGGACTCTGGGGACTTTGGGGGAAGGGTGGGAGTGGGATGAAGGATAAAACACTACACACTGGGTTCAATGTAAACTGCTTGGGTGATGGGTGCATCAAAATCTCAGAAATCACCACTAAAAAACTGATCAGTTTAACCAAACACCACCTGTTCCCCCAAAAACTGAAACAGTAATAATAATGATAAATAAAAATTTAAAAAAACAAAAATTAAAATAAGAGCTCTTTTTCAAACATATACACCTACACAAGAAAATAATGTACAATTCATAGGATTGTGTTGCTTAAATATTTTATCAAATATTTATTTTATTTTTAGTGTTGAATGGCATATCAAATAAATCATTCCATGATATTACCAATAATATATGATTATAAAATGATCAAGTGGCTGGGCACGGTGGCTTATGCCTGTAATCCCAGCACTTTGGGAGGCCAAGGTGGGCGGATCACCTGAGGTGAGGAGTTCAAGACCAGCCTGCCCAACATGGTGAAACCTCGTCTCTACTAAAAATACAAAAACTGAGCCAGGCGTGTTGGCAGGTGCAAGTAATTCCAGCTACTGAGGAGGCTCAGGCAGTAGAATTGCTTGAACCTGGGAGGCGGAGGTTGCAGTAAGCTGAGATGGTGCCACTGCACTCCAGCCTGGCCTACATGAGTGAAACTCCCTCTCAAAAAAAAAAAAAAAAAAAAAAAAAAAGAGATCAAGCATCATTTACTACTAAATAGGCAAAAACTTTTTCTCAGTGCTCACTTATCTATCACCAATTCGTTATCCAAACATGTCAGCATTTGCTGTAAACAAATCCAAACATGGACAAAGGACTCTCAAATGCATTCAAATCTATTACCCTTTACTGATGTCCTTCAGAAAAAAAGGCAACCTTTTTAGGTAAACAATATGAGAATTTGATGTTTGGTGTCTTTATTAACATATCTACTGGATAAATTATTCATTTTGTCACATTTAACTTTAAAATACAGTATTTTTATAATCTCACAAAACTATTTTAGTAAAAAATTGTTTTTCTATTTTTTAATTTAATTTATTATTTTCTATTTTATTTCAGACAGAGTTTTGCTCTTCTTACCCAGGCTGGAGTGCAGTGGCGCAGTCTCCGCTCCCTGCAACATTTGCCTCCCGGGTTCAAGCGATTCTCCTGCTTCAGCCTCTGGAGTCGCTGGGATTACAGCCGCCTGCCACGCCCAGCTAATTTTTTGTATTTTTAGTAGAGACGGAGTTTCTCCATGTTAGCCAGGCTGGTCTCAAAATTTTTTAATTTATTTACTGAGTAAGATTATCTATTTCCTGACCTCGTGATCCGCCCGCCTCGGCCTCCCAAAGTGCTGGGATTACAGGCGCGAGCCACCAAGACCATCCTGGCTAACATGGTGAAACTCCCGACTCTACTAAAAATACAAAAAAACAGCTGGGCGTGGTGGCGGGCGCCTGTAATCCCAGCCACTTGGGAGGCTGAGGCAGGAGAATCACTTGAACCTGGGAGGCAGAGGCTACAGTGAGCCGAGGTCCCACAATTGCACTCCAGCCTGGGCGACCGAGCAAGACTCTGTCCCGCCCCCACCCCCGAAAAAGATTATCTATTTCCATATCTAATATCTACCACTTGTCTCTGGCATTGAACAGGGTATTTAGATAAACAAAATCTCATGTTGTTGGAAGAATTTCCTACTTTGCAATTTGCAGTAATCACGGCCACTGCTGGATCTGATATATCGTTTCACTTTCACAGGTGAGGTCAGTTAAGTTCCATTCACTGAGAATAATTCAAGGGTGAGGCTTTTCCAAGACATCTCTTCCTCACCTACCTACCTATCGGTATTGGAACTGTCCTTTATCTTTGGAGAGCTTTTCCTTTTCTTAGCTAAAATTGAAGGAATTTTAACAAATATTTCTGACATTAGCGATTATTTATTCAAGCAACTCTAAATTTGAATGCTGCAGGAAATTATAAACAGTGAAAGAGTAGCAGCATTTGTTATTCCTAACAAAGCATGTTTACTGCAGTAGCAGACAAACTTTGGATAAACACTTGAGAAAATATAAATTATAGGGCATAGCTAAGAAAACATTCTTAAACATAGTACGTTTCATTTATAGAAAACATTGGTGTAGTCTTTCTTATTATAAATATGCTTTGCATTTGAAACACAGTTTTTAATTTCCAAAAATCCTGTATTTTTACGATTCTATTTCTATTATAAGCAAAAATGTAAAAGAATGTCACATATTACTTCTGAGTAGCTGCACTGTTACGATTTTCTGTGTTTTAGGCCAAAGACTATTACCGTAATGACTACTGTGTGAATATGTAATTACACACGTACTGCTACTGTTGTGTAGAGATAACATGATCTATTTATGCAAGCATAAAATATGGCCATATGGTTTATATTCCGGACTTGCATATTATGAAATCATTTGTAGCCCTACCCTGAACTTCCACAGAGAAAAATCACACACATGAGATACACACATGGGCATTGTGGTTTCAAAACTCTTTGTGGAAAAAAGCTGACATAAACAAACGAAGCAGAAATCTCCTCCCTTCAAAGTGGTGAATATTATGTCTTGGAAAGAAAATGAACCTGGGATTAGACAGATGGAACTGTAGCATTACCTATGACAAATTATTCCGCCTCCCTGACCCTAAGCTGCTTCATTCTAAAAGAGAAATCAGATTATTCAACTTTTCTATACATCTGTTTGAAAATGCTAGGAAAATAGTAGACATGCAATAACTGGTTGTGAATGTTTTTCTTTTTCTTCCAATCATGCCACCATATCTAAAATGTCACTTTATGTCACTATGCTTTTTCACAAAAGGTTAATTAAAATCAAAGTAAAGGTTATAGGCAATATCATGAAACATGTTACATTCCTTATTTAAAAACTTGATAAGAAACTACTATTTACTAGCAGATTCAAATATTTACCAATGAGTATTTTAGCTAAACTTAAATTCTGTATATAAGAAAATTAAGATTATTATCCTTTAGTGAACTGATAATAAAATGTAGATGATGACCCAGTACATTCTGTGACATTTATCCAAATGAGTTGAAAACTTATGTCAACACAAAAACCTGCACATGGAGGTTTACTGTAGCTTTATTGATAATTCCCCAAACTTGGAAGCAACCAAGATGTCCTTCAGTAGAAGAATGGATAAATAAACTGAAGTACATTCAGATGATTAAATATTATTCAGCGATAAAGGCACTATCAAGCCACAAAAATACATGGAGGAAGACAACTTAAATGCACATTGCTAAATCTGAAAAGGCTACATAAAAGCCAATCTGAAAAGGCTACCTACTGTATAATTCCAACTCTATGATATTCCGGCAAAGAAGACACCACTATGAAGACCTTAAAAGGAAAAGTGGTTGCCAGGTATTTAAGGGGAGGAAGGGAGGAATAGGTGGAATACAGAGGATTTTTAAAGCAGTGAAACTATTCTGCATGATACTGTAACGGTGGGTACATGCCACTATACATTTGTCCAAGCCCATAAAACACACAGCTCTAAGAGTGAGAGTTAATGTAAGCTGTAGACTTTGAGTGATGATGTGTCTGTGTAGGTTCATCAGCTGTGACAAATGTACCACTCTGGTCAGGATGTTGATAATGAGGCAGGCTGTGCCTGCATGGTGGCAGGGTTATGTGGGGAGTCTCTGTACCTTCCTCTCAACTTGCCAGTGAAACAAAAACTACCCTAAAAATAATGTCTATTAAAAGTGCAGGTGATGAACATTAATTTAAAAATTTAGTATTTTTACAGGGACAATATATTCAGTTATTTGTTGTGTACATAAAATTAACATAATTTTTTTAAAAAAATGATGAAGACCTATATTTTAGCTGAAAATACATAGAAACAATAGTCATTACATTAAATATCTAAGAGAAAATATGTATTATGTCATGCAAAGAGTCAAGAAGATATACATGCATTCATGCATATACATTTTATAGCCATATGGTTCAATATCAAATTGAGCTTACGGAGTAAAAATGGATGAACAGAGATGTTGCAACAAGCACATAAATCTCACAATGTCCCACGTGTAACAGAAGTGTAAGCCAGCACTCCAGATAAGCATGTAACATTGCAGGTAATAAGAAAAAAAATAATAGACTGAAGGAGCATACCATTGACTTATTAAGCGACAACTATTGATACGCGCTAGCTGGTTGATACATGTAACTTCATCTTCATAGTAATATTAATTTTAAGTAAATATTCTTGTCATTTTATTGGTAACAGAATGGAGGCTCCAAGAAATTAAATAATCTTCTTGAGATCACATCATCAACATTACACATGTGAGTATGTTTTAGGAATTGGATTATAAAAACGGAGTAAATCTACCTCAGTGTCAATATGTTTTTCATTTTTTGTCATATGCCCTTCAACAGTTATGCTGCAGCAAGGAACAATACACATTTATCTCCTAAATAAATAGCCTATACGATATTTTTGCATCCCGATCTTTTAAACTGTTCAAATATTTGAAATTGACCATTATATAAACCAGCTCTTCCCCATTGCTTTTAAGATGAAAGTTACTTTCCTTCTCTGAGACTTGGTTTTTTCCTTTGTGAGGAGAATACTACTAATTACTTTGTAGGGTTGTTGTCAGAATGGGGCAGCTGATATTTAATGCCCCCTCCAAACACACAACCAAACCTGAATATGAAACATAAAAAAAAATACACTGAAGAATCAACTTATTTGTAATTTCATTAATTTCTTAAGAAAAAAAGAATAATGCCAGTTTGCAAGTCAGATTATGCTGGTATAATTAGGATACTTATGCTCCTGCCTTTCACTGGAGCATGTTTCCTATCTTCTATACTCATCAAATCTGAGGGAACTCCAACTTAAACACATTTTTACCCTTTGTGCTGCTGCCAATTTCAACCTTTGCTGAAAGCACTCACAAATACTATTTTTGTCATGCTTGTTTTGAGTGCTAAAATCTTCATACTATCTCCCTCTAGAAACAACATTTTCACTTTTGTCTTTTACTGCTTTTTATTATTTATTTTTTTATTTATTTTTATTTTTTGTTTATTTATTTATTTATTTATTTTTGAGACGGAGTCTCGCTCTATCGCCCAGGCTGGAGTGCAGTGGCGTGATCTCGGCTCACTGCAAGCTCCGCTTCCCGGGTTCACGCCATTCTCCTGCCTCAGCCTCCCGAGTAGCTGGGACTACAGGCGCCCGCCACCACGCCCGGCTAATTTTTTGTATTTTTTAGTAGAGACGGGGTTTCACGGTGTTAGCCAGGGTGGTCTCAAATATCCTGACCTCGTGATCCGCCCGCCTCGGCCTCCCAAAGTGCTGGGATTACAGGCTTGAGCCACCGCGCCCGGCAGCTGCTTTTTATTATTTTTAAAATTATTCTCCTTATTTATTCCTCTCTTCCACATTAAGCAACTTTCCCCAGCCAGTGAGATTTGGAAAACACTGCTATTTTTTTTGGTGAGGTATGACTATGGCTGCCTCATGTATGGCAGCTACATTAACTACTGCAATCTTCATAATGGCTCTGAGGTGGGTACTGTTATTACTCACCCCCGCACAGATGAGGAACCTGAGGCCAGGTTGGGGAAGGCCTAATCCAAAATCACAGAGCTAGCAAAATCTGGGCGTGACTGAAATCTTGGAGGGCTAGCTTCAAATACTGTGTGTTTAGCTGTTATACTAAACTGTTACTTATCTATACTCTTTTATGGACAATTTTATAAAGGAAGCTGAGGATATATTTTTAATAATACATAATGAGAAAGTTTATAGAAATGCATCAAATGCATTACGCATGAAGGTTAAATTACTAAAATAAAATTAAAAGCTGGATTTCCTTAATTATACATACATGTAGCCCAACTGAAATACTACTGTAATTTCTCTAACACATTTTTAAAAACTTTTCACACAGTATATTATTAGAAAGATATGAAGGATTTACAGGGAAAAACAGCCCCATTATTGTCTGGCTAACAGTTTTATTTATTTAGCCATGTGTAGAATTAAATTTCAGTCATTAATTTAGCCTTATAATCAAAACTTTTGAAAGACTTAGTAGATTCTTTCTTAAGAGATTACTAGGCTTGTTGTGAACCCATACAAGTTCGTGCACTGAAAATCTTCACTTAAGTCTCTTTCTAATGCATTTCTTTACACACAAAGGCTTATATCAACTCCTGTGTACACGCTAAACAAATATCCATGTAGAAGAAATTACTTAAACAGCATGAATTCTATGTGGGTAAAGAGTTCATAATTTGTCAATCTCTTAGAAAATCTAGGAAATATATATTCATAAAATCAAGAGAATACATTTATAAAATCAAGAGAACAGTGAGAAAAACAGGCAATCTGTAGCTTAATACAAAAATACTTTTAACAAAATAAATTAGCTAAAAGACAAAATTTAGAATGAATAATTTATTAATTGATTTTCATTGAAGAACTATGTCACCATCAGGGCAGATAATTGATTTTAAACTATACTAAATTATATTTTAGTTTTTATTTTTTTAGAAGTCAAGCCAGGTGTGGTGGCTCACACCTGTAATCCCAGCACTTTGGGAGGCTGAGGTGGGCGGATCACAAGGTCAGGAGTTCCAGACCAGCCTGGCCAATATGGTGAAACCCCGTCTCTACTTAAAAGACAAAAATTAGCCGGGCATGGTGGTTCACACCTGCAGTCCCAGCTTCTCAGGAGGCCGAGGCGGGAGAAGTGCTTGAACCAGGGAGGCTGAAGTTGCAGTGAGCCAAGATCACACCACTGCACTCCACTCTGGGCGACAGAGTGAGACTCCGTCCCCCCACAAAAAAAAGAAGTTAAAGTCAGAGATAGCAGGTCTAAATCTTGAATGTCAAATTTAGTTGTTGTTGTTGTTTAATTTGCTTTGTTTTAAAGTTATTAAAAAATTATCTAACCAGCAGCAGCAGTACAGATTACACATAGCCCCAACTTACCTGGGTCTTTGCGCATTTCTTTCAATTACACAAGAGTATTTTAACCACATTATTGGTTACCATAATTTTACTTGAAAAAATATGCAACTAGTTAGCATATAAAAGATCTGTTTTTATGGCAGTTTATAATTATATCTACTCAAAACAAGTCATTCAGAGAAACAGTAATTCAAACTTACTCTAAAATGTTCACAAAGCATTTATTCCATTAAATATTTATAATATTTAATATATAATACAAACAGTCCCCAACTTATAATATTGGCTTAGAATTTTTCAACTTTATGATGGTGCAAAAGTGATAAGCATTCATTAGATTCCATACAATCATTCTGTTTATCACTTTCAGTAAAGTATTCAATATGTTATATGAGCTATTGCACACTTAATTATAAAATAGGCTTACTGTTAGATGATTTTGCCCAATCATAAGCTAATGTAGATGTTCTGGGTATGTTTAAGGTAGGCTAGTGTAGATAAGCTATGATATTTGGTAGGTTAGATGTATTAAATGCATTTTGACTTACTATATTTTCAATTTAAGATGACTTTATTGGACAGAATCCTATTGTAAGTAAATAAGCATCTATATTACTTATAAATAATATATTTAATGTGTTAAAAATATATTCAGGTAGAATATTTTTAACATTAAATAATTCATTTTAGCCTAAATACATTTACAGCAAATGATCATTTATAGACAATAAACAACAGTGCTAGGTCAATGACATCAGAAGCATTTTGCGTGAAGGCTGGAATTATTTTGTTTTTCACATGATATCACAGGCTATAATGTCTTTAGCATAGTCGGTGCTAGCCATTTAGAATCATAATGATCTGTTCTAAAAGGCTGAAAATATTCTTTTCATTTCTGCAAATTTTAGAAATATATAATAATCGCACCTGGAACTAGATTTTGGACATTACTCCATTCTGCTACTCTTTTTTACTAAGATGAAAGCTGAAATAGAATGAAAATTTTTACTTTTTTGATCTCATTTCAATGGTACAGGAGAATATGAGTATTGCCTGGACACATGTATGTTTGTAATGAAGCCTTAAATATAGAAATGCAACTTGAAACTGATGTGAAAGTAGTTAAACCTGTTGTGTTCCTGTACTAAAAAGTTATATCGTTTCTATTGGGAATTGACTTAGAATATAGATATCTATTTTCTTCATTACAGGTTTTTGGAAAAAATATGACAAATCCAAAAAATTTACAAAAGACAATTCAAAGTCATTAATAAAAATTTGGAAGGATATATTACTTTTTATGAAATAATTGCATATTGTCATTTACACAAATATCTCTCTTTGAAAGACCAATGAGGAGTAACAGGGAATTAGAAATGGCAAACAAATCAACCCCATACAAAGAATGTGGCTGAATTTTCACCGAAGCAAATGAAAACAGTTCTCTCATTCATTCCTTGATGTCTAGTCATTGGCCAAACAGCCTAATTCATAAATGGATCTCAGAGAAGGCAAATTCAAAGTGTCTAAAGGAAATTCATTTTAATAAACATAAAACCAAATGTGTATTAGACTGTTTAATGTAATAAAGTCCAGAATGTTATATTTGATCATCACGAAGCTTTAGTTCTTAAATTTTGCATAGAAAAAGCAAGCCAATGATTCAGCAATTTCATTTGTTTGACTCATTTTGAATTCCACAGGAAGCAACAAAAGCAAGTGACTACATAGTAGAAATATATTTTATTTCTACTAAGAGCTTGCCTCTCATTACTAGAGTATAATTGTTACAGATATATGTGTACACTTGTAATAGTAATTTTTTTATTTCCATTTTAATCTGTTCTTTTTAAAATCAGTTCTTGACATAATTTTAAAAATTAGAGTTAGAAATTACAAACTTTCTCTTTTTACATTTTTTAGACAGTGTCTCACTCTGTTGCCTAGGCTGTAGAGATGGGGTTTCACCATGTTGCTCAGGCTGGTCTTGAACTCCCTGTGCTCAAGAGATCCATTCACATTAACCTCCCAAACTGCTGGGATTACAGATGCAAACGCCTGGTCTCCAAACTTTTTTTGCAACAAGAACATTTGGAGATTTAAAAAGTAAACTGAATCAATTTGCAGCTGGAACAGTGTTATTTAAACATCACTTGACCTACTAATGGAGCAGTCTAAATTAGATACTTCCAAGAGACAAGAGGAACTGTCAAAACTGGCATCTTTGGTGGAAACCCTATGATTCGGGCTTTCATTCATTGGCTTTCTCATTCACTTTGGGAATGAGTTTAACAAAGAATAAGAATGAAACTGAATCATTTCTGGTACCAGTTTTCGCCTTTTCTTTAATAGTCTTGGGCTATTGATGGCTAAGATGAAGAGACTTATGGGGGAAACTCTCCCGTCTAACCGTTTGTTTATGTAAAAGGTCCTTTGCCAGCCCTTTCTGGGGAGGATCTACTTATATTATATATTAGTCCATTCTCAAACTGCTATAAAAAATACCTGAGACTGGGTAATTTATAAAGGAAAGAGGTTTAATTGACTCAAAGTTCTGCATGGCTGGGGAGGCCTCAGGAAACTTACAATCATGGTGGCAGGTGAAGGGGAAGCAAGGCAGGTCTTACATGACAGCAGAAGAGAAGTGAGAGCGCAGGAAAAACTGCCACTATTAAAACTATCAGATCTCATGAGAAGTCTCTCATTATCACAAGAACAGAATGGGGGAAACAGCCCCCATGATCCATTCCCCTCCCCACAGGTCCCTCCCCTGACAATTTGAGATGCTATTTGGGTGGGGACATAGAGCCAAACCATATGACATGGTATGATTACAAGAATGACAGGCACACTGATGGCCTTTTCCCAGTGAACTGCAATGTTACTGGAATTATTTGCTTTAGATATACCTAAAGGGCTGTCCTCAAGCTGGCTTAAAAATTGATATTTAGAAGCTAAATATTAAGGTTTACTCTATAGAGAAGTAAATATCTTACCATCTAGCTCAAAGCAAGAATTGACGGATCGATAAACAGAATTACATAGAGTTTTGTAGAAAACGGGTAAAGAAAATATAGTAAGGGACTATTCAACTATTACTTACCTTCATTGAAGAATATTGTTATATTTATTTCATGTTTCATTGTATTCTAAAGATTATCTCTAAAAAGCTTACTAAAGTAACCAAAAAAATAGAAAAAATTTGAAAGAAAAAAGAAAGAAGAAGAAAAGAAAGAAAAAGGAGAGAGAGAAAGAAAGAAAGAGAAGAAAGAAAGAAAGAGAAAGAAAGAAAGAAAGAAAAAGAAAAGAAAGAAAGAAAGAGAGAGAGGCCGGGCGTGGTGGCTTACGCCTGTAATCCCAGCACTTTGGGAGGCTGAGGCAGGCGGATCATGAGGTCAGGATATCGAGACCACCCTGGCTAACACGATGAAACCCCGTCTCTACTAAAAAAAGAAAAAAAAAAAAAAATGAGCCGGCCGTGGTGGCGGGCGCCTGTAGTCCCAGCTACTCAGGAGGCTGAGGCAGGAGAATGGTGTGAACCCGGGAGGCGGAGCTTGCAGTGAGCCGAGATGGTGCCACTGCACTCCAGCCTGGGTGACAGAGTGAGACACCCTCTCAAAAAAAAAAAAAAAGAAAGAGAAGAAGAGGAAGAAGCAGAAGCAGAAGCAGAAATGGAAGAAAGGAAGGAAAGGAAGGAAAGAAGGAAGGAAAGAAGGAAGGAAGGAAGGAAGGAAGGAAGGAAGGAAGGAAGGAAGGGAGGGAGGGAGGGAGGGAGGGAGGGAGGGAGGGAGGAAAATTAGGCACACATGGCCAAAATGTCATACCTGAGATTCTATAAGACCTTCTCTGTTTTATACAGAGGGACAACTAGAATTGGTATGATTTCATAAATGAAATAAATAGATGTTGGTTTATATATTGTATATTATATATTCATCTTGAAATTGAACATCAAATTTAATTTTAATTTTATTTTGAAATTATTTTTAAAATAATTTTTATTTTTTAATTTAATCGTATTGTGGAAGATATCATTAATGCTGCAGAGAATGTATATTAGAAAGTATATTTTAAAGAATATTTGTTAAGTGAATAGAACTACCACATTGCCTGTGTCTTAAAAGCTTTATAAGTCCCTTCCAAATTGCCTCCCATTTCTGTTTGCAAAGCAAGAGAATCCCAGTGTGTTAGTCAGTGTTCTCCACAGAAACAGAACCAATAGACTGGAGACCTAAGGAAGGATTGATGTTGCAGTCTTGAGTCTGAAGGCTGAGTCTTTTCTCTTAAGGCCTTCACCTGACTGAATGAGGCCCATTGCATTATGGAGGGTAATCAGCTTTACCCCCAGTGCTACTAATTTAAATGTTAATTACATCTAAAAAATGCTTTCACATCAATGTCTAGGCACCAAGTCGACATAAAATTGACAATCACACCCAGGAAGTATCTCAAGCATGTAAATTTAGATGTTCATATCCAGGTGAAAAGAGATATATGGAATATACTATTATATGTTACTCTATACCTCATAATTATGCTTTTTAAACTTGGGGAGGCCTTAGTTACATGTTCAGTTGGCTTAATGAATGGCAGTCAGTATATTGAATCTATGAATAATAACAAACCCATAAATACAATGTTTACTTTTACAACTTGGCAAGAATTTGTTTTGAGTATCAAATTGGGGGAAAATCCAAAATGCATGCCAATTTTGTAGTGCTTAGCCCTCTAACATAATAATTAACTCTTATAAAAGCTATTGATAGCTTTTATTTTCTTTTGCTACCAATCATGCAAATGTGGAATGTACTTGAATTGAAAAATATTCACTTTCCCTTACTGCTGCCAACCTGTCTCTGTATCCTATCACAAACTTCATCCAGGATATCTGTGTTTATTTTCTGTTTCCTCATCACTGGTTAATTCTTCAAATTATTCTTATTTGGATTCTACCTCTATCATCATTTTATTGGAACAACTCATTTTATGCAATCTCTAAAAAATGTACAATACCTGTGACTTTGCCCGTGTCTTAAAAAAAAGCAAAACTAGTTTCAGTTGCCAAAGATAGACATCATTCACCTATAGCTCAGGCTGGAGGTAAATATTAGAAGTGCTGTTGTATCAGCTATCCCTGAATAGGTAGGATTGAAGCTGTGATTATATATTAAGTCAACCAGAAAGCGAGTATGGACTGCTAAGGAAGAGGAGTTAGAATGAAATGTCAACGCTCAATGCCTGAAGAGAACAGGGGAGTAAATAGAAAAATCAGCGGATGCGTGGTCTTTTAGAAGAAACAAGTTACTTTGAAAAAGGTAGTGGTGAACATTTTTGAAAGCGGATGAAATGTCAAGAAAGATTAAACCTTAAATATATACAATGAGAAGACATATAGGGGCCTAGCAGAGGGAGGCAACGGATTAAAGTGAGTTGAAGAATAATGAAAAATCTGCTAAAAATATACAATTCTGAATTATTTTGTACTGCATAAAATATGACTCAACTGATGTGACCTCATTCTATATCTAGCTTCATTTTCTATTGCTAAATTGACTTTCAAAATGTGCCCCGTAATGAAGGTACTTATCCTCTTATTTTATTCTCTCATTTCACCATTCTATTAATTCATCCAAAAATATTCATTGAGTTATAACTATGTGTTACTACCATCTGGGAACTGAAAACTCAGCAACAAACAAATGATGATGAAGTCTCTGCCATACATACTACATTTATTTAGTCAAATTGTAGCAGTCGGGATGGTTTAGCCAGGTTTGCTGGGGAAACAACCATCCATGTAATCTCAGAGGCTTACAATAATAAATCAACACTTACTTCATATTCAAACTGCATGTAGGCTGAAGTCAGCTGCAATCCTCATCCATATATTTTTATTCCAGGACCCATACAGAAGGCAGAAACAAACAGGCAAAGAAATTTCATTAGTACCTTTTAAAGTTTCTTCTCAAAAACAGTATACATCGTGCCTACATTTATTCCATTGACTAAAGCACATCACATAGTCAGGTCAAACATCAATGGAGCAGAGAATATATATTCTGTCCATAAGGGGCCCCTTAAGCCTGATGTCAATGAGCAACAATGTATAATTTTCTTACAGGAAAGGAAGAATGAATAACTGCACGATAAAACAACCTAGCACAGGTATTTACTCCTGTATTTTACCTACAAAGCCATCCTATAAATATCTAAGAAAATATGGCTCAGCTTTAAAGCATCAGCAATAATACTGCTGCACTGCTTGTGATTCTTAAAAATGGCTTGATGTTGGGCATCAACATTAAGACTTGTATTATTTTATCATTTTACTTAATACGATTACTTGTTTCCTTCCTTGGGAATGCTAGGAATTATTGATATACTGTATTTTTTTATTTCTACTAGGACATTCTGCATTAGGAAAAAGTTATACTTTTTATAAAGCATCCCAAATAAATCAATTCATTGAGTCATTAGAAGATATTTACTTGAGTTTCTACAATATATTCCAATCACAACTGGACACACACACAGTATAAACAAATTGTCCAAAATTTATTTCAAAATTCATATAAAACCAAAAGAACCAAAGAAGGTATACATGCAACCAACAATCACATGAAAAAGAAATCTCAACATCACTGATCATTAGAGAAATGCAAATCAGAACTACAATGAGATACCTTTTCACACCAGTCAGATGGCTATTATTAAAAAGTCAAGGCGGAGCGCGGTGGCTCATGCCTATAATCCTAGCATTTGGGTAGACCAAGGCGGGTGGATCACCTGAGGTCAGGAATTCGAGACCAGCCTGGCCAACATGGTGAAACCCTGTCTCTACTAAAAATACAAAAATTAGCTGGGCGTGGTGGCATGCACCTGTAATCCCAGCTACTTGGGAGGCTGAGGCAGGAGAATTGCTGAAACCCAGGAGGCAGAGGCTGCAGTGAGCCAAGACCACGCCACTGCACTCCAGCCTGAGTGACAGAGCAACACTCGGTCTCAGAAACAAACAAACAAAAAAACAGATGCTAGCAAGGGTGTGGAATAAAAAAGGAACGTTTGCTTATACACTGTTGCTGGAAGTATAAATTCACACATTGTGGAAGACAGTGCAGTGATTCTTGAAAGACCTAAAGACAGAACTACCGTTAGACTCAACAATCTTATGACTGGGTATATACCCAAAGGACTGTAAGTTGTTCTATTATAAAGACACATGGATGTGTATGTTCATTGCAGCACTATTAATAATAACAAAGACATGGAATCAACCTAGATGTCCATCAATGATAGACTGGACAAAGAAAATGTGGTACATATACACCATGGAATACTATAAAGCCATAAAGCAGAAAAAGATCATTTCCTTCGCAGGGACATGGATGGAGCTGGAGGTCATTATCCTTAGCAAACTAATGCAGAAAGAGAAAACCAGATACCACATGTTACCTTATAAGTGGGAGCTAAATGATGAGAACACATGGACCCACACAGGGGAGCTACACACACTGAGGGGCCTACTTCAAGGTAGAGGGTGGGATGAGGGAGAAGATCAGGAAAAATTACTAATGGGTACTAGGCTTAATATCTGGGTGATGAAATAGTTGGTAAAACAATCCCCATGACACAAGTTTACCTATGTAACACACCTGCACGTATACCCCTGAACTTAAAATAAAAGTCAAAAACAGGGCTTCCTGTTTGGTCTCTTTCCCACCCACTACGCTCTACAATCAGTGGAACACTGGGCCCCAGGCTCCTTCTAACAGAGTTCTCGTCAATCAGTCCCACGTGGGTCAAATCTGATTATCTTCCCTCACAACCACAACCTGCTATGTTTTGTTTAATGTCATTTCTCAACCTTTAGGAAAAATCTAGCCTCATTATTATGGTACACAGTGCCTGGGCTCTTCTTTTTCTTCTTGTTCATTTCCTGGGCCTTTCCTCTGTCTCACAACCTAGAGCAACTCTAGGCTTCTTTCCCTTCCTAGAGCACATGCATTTTGATGTCTCCTCATTTTCTGCCTAGAAGGCTGCCCTCACCCATTCATCTTTCCTTAGGACTTTTCCTGACCCTTTAATGTAAACAGGATCCCTATAATATTTGCTCCCATCACCCTGTATGTTTCCTTTATACTGATATCATAATATGTAGCTAGACATGTTTGCAGCATTTTTTAAATGTTTGCTCCGCCCTCTAGACCTTGGATGCTCAGAGCATGATCTCCTGCACTGGCATTGGTGGAGAGCTCTAAGGCAAGATAAATATAAGCATTCAGAGTAAGCATTTCAAAATATCTGCAGCAATTTCACATTGCCAGGCCATAAAGGTTTTTGATCAATGGGATTATTTCTGACCAGGGTATAGTACAGTTAATTGTTGTGGATCACATATGATCTAAGCTGTATGCTAGTCATATGTAGCAGAATCACATAGCAACAAATGACACTTTAAGGTTAGTTTGTGCACTATAACCCAAGTGTGTGTCAAATTTTGAGAAAATGTAAGCCTTTGTATGCTTAAAAAAATTTCTAGGTGCACTTTACTTTTTAATGATGCCTGTTTTTCAAATTATAATGTAACATTATTAGTTATACTAAGAAAATACAATTTACATTATTTAAGTTTAATGCCAATTAACACGGAGAGAAATAAGTTTCTCTGGGCTTGTTACGAGAAGGCATAGATTCTCAGCTACAGACATTTTAGGTTAAATAATGGTGAAGAAAAACAGTAGGGAAAAGCTAAAGACCAAAAAGAGTTCATACTTGTTTTACTTAGAAGTACGTATCCTAGTACATTGAGATCAGTTTTCTAACCATAATTGATGATACTATGCTAAAACTATGGTGCCTCATTTGTGGAGTTGCATTGCATAGTGAAGGGATGAAACAATGAACACCTATGTGGTATTTACATAAAAGATATAAATAAAAGTGTTCAAAACCACATTCTCTGTATAAGAGTATTTAATTGAAAAGCCTACAGAAGCAGATGCTCAACATTTCACATATGAATATTGATGCTATGTGTCTTATTGTAAAACAGCACTTTGGGTTGCTAACTAAAGAAAATGTATACAATTGCTGAGACAGTGAAGTATGGTATCAAAGATACTTGTTTGGAAATGCAATGTGAATCTGTATTACAAAGTCAATCAAATACCACTTTGCAGTAACACTGTATACTCAGGAGCTGAGTGATGATCTAGAAGACCAACTCACTGAACAAGTAAAACTAGTAAAGTGTTTTTCATTGTGATTAGACTAATGCACTGATACTGCTAACATGGCAACTCTTTTAGTGTAGTCCATTTTCAACATTATATTGATATTATGGAACTTTTTTCTTCATCGCTCATGTAAACTGACTAGATCTGAACCCTATGATATGAACTGTCAACTGGTGTAGTTTAGAGATTACGTTTCACATGCATGTTTCTGTGGCATAATATCTATTACAGAAAACATTCTTGAATGGTTACCCAGATATGGTGCTTTTGTTAAAATGCAAATCAACACAGTTTTCTTTATCAAAAACATCTTGCATGGCATTAAATGTCAGCTTTAAAAAGTCACTGATGGCATGGTAAAATTTTGTGAGTTAAGTAAATGTCAATACATTAAATTCAAGATTATTTTACATATCAAGTAATAATATGGAAGCTGATTACGAACTCAAATTATTTCATAAAGAGCCATGCAGTTCATGGAGAGCAATAGTTCTGTGGAAAGCACTTCAATTACTGAATAAACTTTTAATGTTTCACTTCTTAAGAAACCAGTTTGGTCTACCAATTTAAAGCTGTTCAGTGATAGCCAGGGTTACTTGTTTATCTGATATTTTTTATGTATTTAATGATATTAATATTTTTAGGTATTGTAGAAATAGAACAAGTTTTTCAATGACAGAAAATGAAACTTTGAGAATTTATGGAATCTAGTTTTACAGTTTATATATGGAATATAGTATGTATTTAATGATATTAATATTTTTAGGCATTGTAGAAATAAAACAAGTTTTTCAATGACAGAAAATGAAACTTTGAGAATTTATGGAATCTGGTTTTATGGCAAGCTAATAACAATTACCAGTGAGGTAGGTGTTAATGTTGTTATTGAACACCTGCAAAAGGTTATCACCAAACATTTAATCAAGGGTTTGGAATTTTATTTTTTTTACCAAAAATGTGTCACACATAAGAAATGCATGGATCTGAAAATCATTCTCATTGAAAGATAATTCAAATTTAATAATAAGGATAAATTTATAGAACTAGCTACTGGTGGAATCACTGAAGTTGTGTTTTGAAAGCACATCATCACTTACTTCATTTTTGGATATCAGTTAAAAACATACATGGTGAGCTAGATGAAATTACTTTAAAGGCTCTTGCTCTGTTTCTAACAATACAGCTCCACAGATTGTTTTGGGCACAATGAGTGTCACTAAAACAGGAACCTAGAAATAGTGCAGATAATTATGAGTAAATGAACGTTGTGAATAAAATGTAGCCTAGACATGTTAACGGAAGAAATGAACTGTTTGCATTTATTCATATCAAAATCTTTAAATGTGTTTATACAAAGTATTCTCAAAGTGTGCATATAAGTTTTCATTGAATGAAATCACATTTCACTTATACATTTTGTTTAGCTGAGATTGTAGAAAGACAAATAGTATATTAGCAATTCTCAATATTAATGGCTATGTGTATACTCTTAATAAAAATATATAGTCTTTTGGAAATTATTTTCTTCATATACCATATTTGTTCTGATTATATGTATAAAAATGGAGAGATATTCCTGATTCTACAAAAAGGTTTTGCAGTTTATGTATCTTTGTTTAATTTTAGTTTTCTAGTAATTTATTTTCATCATATTTTTCCATAGTATTCATTCACAATAAATTAAAATACTGGCTCTTTGCAATAAATACTACTTTTACCTTTTTAGTTTTGAAATAATTACAGATTCATTAGAAGTTGGGAAGATAGTACAGAGAAGTCCCATGTAACTTACATCAAGTTTCTTCCAAAGGTTACATCTTACAGAACTCTATACAATAAAAAACAGAATGTTGACATTAATACCATGTATGTATATTTTCATTTTATCACTGTTAGATTGGTATGACGACCACTCCAATCAAGATAACACAAAGATCTTACAGCGCGACCTCTTTAGAGTCTCATCCATCCCCTTCCACCTCCAATGTCCATAAACCCTGGAAAACAAAAATTTGTTCTTCCATGTCCATAGTTTTTTCATTTCAATAATGTTGTATTTTTAGGCTTTTGAGGAACCTCTATACAGTTTTCCATAATAGAAATTCTTCAAAAAAACTAAAAATATGGCGTTCTTAAAATGACAAAATTATAAAAAATGGAGAACAAATTTTACCATTTGATCCAGAAATCCCATTTCTGAGATTTCTAAAAAATTCCGTATATCTAAAAGACATCTGCATTCCCCATGTTCATCACAGTATTGTCTATAATAGACATGGGATCAATCTATGTCCATCAACAGATGAATTGATAAAGAAAACATGGTATTTATAAACAATGGAATACTACTCAGCCTCGATGAAGAAAATTCTGTCATTTGCAACAACATAGTTGAATCTGGAAGACATCATGCAAAGTGAAATAAACCAAGTACAGAAGAGAAAAACTGCATGTTCTCACTTATATGCAAAACTAAAACAATCTAAGAAGCAGATAATAGAAAAGAGGTTACCAGAGCCTGGAGGTGAGGCAGGGATGAGAGTGAAAGGAAGAATGATGATATGTCAGTCAAAAGATCAATTTGAAGTTAAATAGGAGGAGTAAATAATGAGTATTTAAGGTGCTAGATATATAAACTTATTTGATTCAATCATCTCACACTGTATATGATAGATATATACATGACTGTGTCTCCTATAATTATATATAATTATAATTCAAAAATAATTAAAGCTATTAAAAAAGAAACGAATGTTGTATTAATAGAATATTGAAGTATGTAATATTTTTAGATTTTTTTTTACTCAGAATAAATCCCTTGAGATCTATTTAAGTACTGGAAGTTAGAATTCTAACATGCATTTTAGTAGAACACAATTCAACTCATAACAATACAATTATGGCTGACATTGGTCTGTAATTTTCTTTTTCTTTAAGGTATTTTTCACCTTTTCATGTAGTATTAGCCTGATCTTATATAATAATAGTCCCTCTTCCTCTTTTTTTGCTGAAAAAGTGTGTATAACCTTGATTTTATTTATTTAGTTTTAGACAGAATTTACCAGTACAACTATCTCAGCGTGGAACTTTCTTTATGGAGACAAATTTAATTGCCTTAATGGAGATTAGGATTACTCAGATTTTCTTTCTTATTGGTAATTTTGATAAATTGTATTTTTTAAGAAAGTTGTCTATTTGTTTTATTTTGTCAAGTTTGTTGGTATATCATTCTTAATAACATTCTATACTATTCTTTAATGTTTGTAGTATTTAATGCCTTTGATTACACTGCTATCATTAAAAGGTATTAACCCACTTTTCCAACCACGCTATTATAATGAATAGAACTTCCTCGTAAGAATTTCTTCATCATTCATTCTTTCAGTATATTCACTAAACATCCTGTAAATCCCAGAAAACAGAGGCCGGGACAGATTAGATGTACTTTCTGCCTTCACAGAGCCAATGGTCTAGTGGATTATGTGGCTATTAAGTAAGAATTTGGAAGTGTGTTTGGTATAATGATATGAAGACCATATGTTTCAAGAAAACTTTAATGAGTCTAAAGGGTAAATAGAATTTAGTTAAACAAAGAGAAGAAGAAAGCACTGTCTGGTCAAATAGAAAGCTAAAGAAAAATTTCAGAAGCAAGAAATGATGAAGTATAATCCAAGAAGTTAAATTAAAAAAAAAAAAAAATCAGCATTGCCAGGTATAGACTGCAAAAGGGGGAGACAGCAATAAGAAATTATACTGAATAAGTATGTGTGGCCAAAGGATACAGTGCTTGTAAGTGTTCATGAGATGCGATATTTTCCTAAATGGGATGGGAAAGTATTAAATTCTTTTTAGCACATGGAAGTAATTATCAGATTTGCATTTTCCAAATGTTACTGAGGACTTGACGTATAGAAAGTATCGGCAAGAAAGCAGACTGTAAGCAAGGAGGTGAATTAAGACTTTGTTCCGATGACCTACACAAAAGACGATGATGGCTTGACCAAGAGGTAACAGGGCAGTTTTAGAAAAGGAGATGGATATGTCTACCAGAATTGACTCAATCTTATGATTGATTGAAATTGCCAAGTAAGGGAGACAATGCAATCAAGAGTGACACATAGATTTCTGGCTTAGGTAATTAGGTAGATGGGGTTGACATAAAACGAGAAACTTACAGGGGGAAATGTTCTCCCAGGGAGAGTGTTATTTTTGAACAAGATGAATTTGAATGGGCTCTAGGCTACCTAGTAGAAAAATTATGTAATATAATCAACTTACTTGAACTCTGTTGAGTTTGAAATAGGTAGCTTCATATTGATACCTATGCTCAATGCTTAGCTTTACAGGTGCTGGCAAAAAGAAAGTGGGTATGAACTGGTTTGGGGTTTTGCCAGAGTTCTTGGAAGAGCAGAATTCAGAGAGATCAAATATTCTCCAAGTAATTAAAGATTGGGTCATGAAATCTAAGCTTGATGGGTTGAAAAATAAGGAGAAAAGAATAGTGGGTGTAGAAAAAGTAGAGAGAGCCAATGAGATATAAGTTTCAGGGAAGTGGAGAAAGAGTTCCAGTGGAAGAAGATTAACAGAGTAACTTGAAAAAAGGAAAATTGTAGTTAAAAATTGAATGTATTTGTCTGGAACTTCTGACGCTATCCTGGATGGATGATGAAATTTTGAATGATGAGAGAGGAAAAGACAAATGTGTAGAGGAAGAAGAGCAGACATGAGAGCCTTGAGTGAGACTCTTAGAACTTCCTACAAATGTCTTTGTAATTGGACTCATGTGTCATCTCCTCTATGAAACTGCAGGTCGCTTAATGTCCAGGTCTGTAACTTACTCTCCCTTCAATCAACAGACGAGCCCACTAGCATGCTGTCATGTGTAAAACAAGGACTCCATAACTAAATCTTGTATCAATAAATGAATGTGGTGATTTGTCTAAAAGTCAGATTATAAAATTACTCAATAACAACCACAGAGCAAGTAGTTCCAAAATGATATAATTCCCAGAATTTTATAGAACATCATTGATTATCTCATAGCCAGAAAAATTCCAAATCTTTTCATGGCTTGTTATCTTCTTGAATTGCCTACTAAATCCTACTGATAAGGTCCTTATAGAGAAGTAATTCTACAGTAGTGTGATTACCAGGTATTAAAGTCTTAAGAAAAAAAAGATTTCCTGTAGCAATAGCTTCATATACAAAATTTTAGAAATAAAGCAGTAGAAAGCATTAGCACAGGCCTAGGACAACTCTAAGCAGGAAATAAAACCTTATATTTTATTTTCATTTTTATTTTCATAGAGAGTAGCAGAAGGGCACCCCTTCTTGAGAATCAGCTTCAAAGGGTGAACAATACTGTCTTTACTTAACAGACAGGCTTTTTAAAAAACAACCTTGAGAGTATCATGCAAACTGACTTTTTAATGGTTTTGGGCAACATGTTTACATTTTAAACTTGTGGGTTTGCATTTTTCTTTATTTTCAAAGTTCAATCTGTCAGCTGGTTGGAATTTGTAATTTATGGCTCTGCAGCAATCCAAAGTTCCTTATCCTTAAGTGATCCCATTCCCAAGGAAGTTTATGTTAGAGAGATTTCTAAAAAATCTTAAAAGTAAAGACAATATTTTGGAATCATTATGTGATGTTTCTAAATATGTTCTTCTATGTTGATATCCCTGTAATTTTTGAAAGATCTTTGATACTACACAATGAGGAAAAAAAGAAATCTTAATCAATGAAATGTCAAGTCCTTAAAATATCTCCCGTAATACTTCCCTTCTGAGTATTTTATTTCAGCTTCAGATGTGTATTTTTCCTCTTAAGTTAATTTCTCTAATCCTTATTGATTCCCTACTATATGCTTGTTACTTCACATAACATTAATAATTAAAAAGAGAAATAATATCAATAACAGTCTCTAACTTGAAGTGTTTATGGTCAGTTGCAGTGAAAATCAACATCAAAACAGGTAATATGAAGTTTAGGACACATTGTTGGGACTACCAGCCAAAAGTCTGGTGAGGTTGAAGATACAATAACATATAGAAGAATACACTGATCATCATTCAGCTGTGTTTTATTTGAGTAAGCTAAACTGCTTTACTTTTGTCCAATGCAGAATTTTTTAACGTTGTATTTATTTGCTTAAAACAAAAGAGTTACTCTATACAAGTTTTGTAGTCCATGATTTCTTTCTGAAACCTTTCAGGATTAAATCAAAATATGGCTTCAGAGTTACAACAGTAACTTAAAAGCACAGAAGCCAAATATTTACCAGAACTGTAAAACTGTAAAACTAAAGTGTAAAACACTTCAGTTTAAAACTATTCACATTATTTCTAGCTTGAAAGTGCTAGAAATACATCAAAATTGGCCTTTATTAATTGAGAAGTTAATTTGACATGTTAGTGACATTTCTCCAGGTTAATGTATTTATTGCAAGAAAATGTGGGTGCTTTATAGGAAAATATTTGCTTAATTTAGGTGAACTATTTTTTTCTTATTTTATTTCTAAAATTTTGTAGAAAGAGAAAATCTCATATTCTGTTTCTCGTTGGTTTCTCATTGGTATAAGTGTGCCCCATGGAGCATTGACTCATTCACATTTCACATAGAGGATGTGTAATTTGGCCCCTCTGGGTAGAGAGAAGCAGATACCCGTGGGTCCAGCATGACCATGTGAAGGTAAGTCTTTCCTTGTCAGCCAATGCATCGCATGAGGGTGCCAAACTTCTGTTGGTGGTAGAGCAGGGGGAGTAGTCTGGACCTGGGAAGTCCCTGAGTTATCGTTACGTCTGTCCCTTAGAAAATAGGCAAGGGCCAGGATCAAAGACAGGATGAATACATAAGCTGGTAGGTATGGGAGGATTTTATATGATGCGTAACTAGGTCTACAACACTATCATTTTTTATTGTTTTTAAAAAACCTTGATATCCTTCTTCACACAGAGTTAGTGGTTTTGTTCTTCAGCTACTTGCACTGAGGCTATAAACTTGTTCAGACTTTACCTTCTGTCTCACAGTATCAGCTATATTGATGATGGTGGCAATTGCTGTAAAATACAACCCCCTAGATGTTAGTGGAGAGTAAAATTTATTCTTGCTCCATCAAGTTCAGTGCAGATATAGTCAGCCTTCAGTGGTGCTCTTCCCCATGGTGAGCCAAAGTTCCAAGCTCCTCTTATGTAGTTATCTTCTACTGTTGCTAAGTATTTCAGAGTCATCTGGAGTCCTGAAGTCTTCTACAAATCCCTTCCATTTGGACATCAAACAAGAGAAGAAGGACCTTTAATGAAATAACTTACATTTTTTCTACCAATATCCCATCAGCCGAAACTACTCTCTCTCCCCACTCCTCCAACACTCTGGAATATAAAACAGATTTATGAGTAACCACCACTCTGTTAGGTGCACTTTGAATTTAGTTCTTTCAAAGAGAAACGGGAATGGGACTGTAGCCACCTCAAGAAATGATACTGGCAAAAGACACATTTGGTATTCCTATTTTATTGCCACAATATGCTGAATTTTGTCTATATTAAGGAAAAGGTATGCTGTATATCTATCAAGGTATATTGTGCTTGGAGATATGTAATACTCTTTGGAAGATTTTACCTTCTTCACTATTAAGGGAATTGGATTTTCCAGTCATTGTAAACTGATATTTTGTAACGTTTAATTCCATGCCATAAAAATAATATCAGGGAAAACAATAGCTGTAAGAAATTTATCAAATGCCTCATCTTAGCTCATTCTTCAAAAGGCGTATTAGTCTAGCTGGACTTCCATGAAGGTAATAAAAGTGGTAAATATCCAGCTAACATTTTGTAAGCTGAAAAAATTTTTCTCCGAAAGTAAAATACAGGTCACTGTGTGGTAAAAGAAAATACTCATACTAGCAGAGTACTTAATATAGTAGTTTTATGTGGAAAACATGATGTCTTTACTAGGTGTAGTTAGTGCTTAGCACATAATGTTATGAATACATGTCTGCTAAACAGTGCGATTCTGGCTATCTATAAATATCTGCTTTTGCTTGTATGACCTGAATATTAATGGCAAACTTTCCTATAGAATGAAAATGATTAATGAGACTCCTGACTAAGCTGGGGACCTAATTATTTAAGGCCAATTTTGTAATGTTCACTTAGCTCTCATGTCAATTACTATATTTCCAAAAGGAGACCTACCAATTGCTAATTATATCAATATTCATATAATCCGATGACAAATACTCACATTTTGTGGACGATTGCATCTTCCAAAATGGCCCGTCTTTCATGCTCTTGTTAATGTGATCTTGATTTTCCTCCCATTGCCCATGGTAATGTGCTGCCACCCCTAACCCCAAGTGTTTCAGCAGAGTAGATTTTTGTGACTATTTCAACCAATAGAATAAGCTAAAATGACGCCATGACAATTCCAAGGTCTGGTTGTAAAAATGCTAGGCATATTCACTTTGTTCTCTGAGGATGTTTGCTGTCAGCCACCATGCTAGAAAGAAGTCCAAATCTTCCTCTCCAAAAACACCCCCTCTAGATGTCAGTGGAGAGTAAAATTTATCCTTACTCCATCAAGTTCAATGCAGACATTCAGCCTTCAGAGGTGCTGTTCCCAATCATGAGCCAGGGGTCCAGGTTCCTCTAAATAAACTTCTAGGTAAAAATATTTCTAAATAAACTAACATGTTTTGCCCATTTTTAAATTGGGGTTTTAGAAAAGCTATTACTGAGTTTACAACTATTATTAAGATATGAATTAGACAAGAAGAGGCCACTTTAGGAGTTCTAATGCACAGCTCGGTTTAGGTTTCAGCCAACAACCTGCGTCAACAACCACACATGTGAGGAAAGATGTCTTCTGAAGATTCCAGCCTCCAGCCAGCAAGCCTTTCCAAGTATAACCCTAGGTATTGTGGAGAAGAGGCAAGCCATGCTGAACCTCAGAATCCGTGACAGTAATTTACTAGAATCCAATATTAGTAAAATAGTATTTTTTGTAAATACTAGATTTGAGATAATTTGTTATGTAGCCATGGTAACTGAAACATTCTTTATTCAAACATAACTAGATCCCAACTTTCCATTAAACTTTTTCATTAGTGTTTTTCCTAACTTTAACAGTATTTACATACATACTTTATCTTCAATTGTTCCAGTTGACTTGACTTCCACCAACTATATAGCACAGAAAAATTCTCCTTTAAAAATTATAAACATACATTCAGTCTTCAGGTTGACCCTGGTTTTCTTTCTGAATATTTTTGACTTAACTGCTGTTACATGTTTGATTATACAATACACTAGATTATGTAAGAGTAAAATTATTATTGATAATTTCTAAACTAATAGATTTAGTTCAGGGTCATAGCACTAATAGTCCCAGTGCATAGCATAGGACTTACACATGGTAAATGGTCAATAAATATTGCATGAATAAATGCATGCACAGACACTTTTAATCTGTTTTGAAAATTTAGTTAGAATACTGTAAAAAAAAACTATGTAATATTCACTGTTAATTCTAAATGCAGATTTGAGATTTAGCTTATATGTGCTTTTATAGTCTTATTCATTTGACCATCTAAATATTTGACTATGAAATTGAATAAATTTGTATTACTGTCTCATCCTATATTATAAAAACTGTAACTTATTATTTTTGTGGCTTATTATTCACTTATTAAAACTATTCTGGTCATTTCAATAATGGTGATGATGATAACAATAGCAGCTAGTGTTTCTTGGACACTTACTTGTACCAGAAATTGTCCTAAGTTCTTCTTGTGCTACTAAATTAATTTACATGTATTGGGATATAATTTACTCATAGACAAATTAATTCCTTTTGGTTGTACAGTTCTATGCATTCTGATAAATGCATGTAGTCAAGAAATCATCATTACATTTAAGACATAGAGCATTTCCATCATCTAAAAAAATTCCCTTATGCAAGTTTGTGGTCAATTCTTTCTCCCATATTCAGCCCTTAACAAACAATGGTCTCTTTTCTGTCCATATAGTTTTGCCTTTTCCAAAATGTCATACGAGTGAAATCATACTATATGCACTACCATTTGCTTCTGGTTTATTTCAATTAGTCTAATACATTTGTGAATCATTAATGTTGTTGCATTGCTGTTTTTTATTCCATTGTTTAGATGTACCATAATTTGTATAAATATTTTCCTTATTGATGGACATTTGGCTTTAATTTGGGTAATTAGGAGCAAGACTGATATAAGCATGGGTGTATAGATATTTATACAAACATATGCTTTCAATTCTCTTTTATATCCACCTAGGAGTGGTATTGCTGTGTTGTATGCTGAATAGATGTTTAACTTTATGAGAAAGCATCAAAGTATTTTCAAAAGTAGCTGCATCATTTTCAAAAATAGCTGTGTCATTTTGCATTACCACTAGCATTGCATGAGATTTCCAATTGATCTGCATGCTCACCACAACTTGATACTACCAGTTTTGCTTTAAAGCCATTCTAACAGATGTACGCTACCACATCGTGGTCTTAATTTGCATTTCCCTAAATAAAATGATGTATAGAATCATTTCATATGTTAATGTGCATCCACATATTTCCTTGAATAAAGTTTTATATTTTGCCCATTTTTAATTTTTTATCATTATTCAGTTGTGAAAATTTTAAATATATTTTTAGTAACAGACTTTCATTTTATATATATATATGTTTTGAAATGTTTTCTACCAGACTGTGACTTTTTCTTTGATTTTTTTAACAGTGTCATTCAAAGAGCAAATCGTTCTTTTTTTTTTAATTTTGTTGAATGCCAATATATTTCATTTTCCTTTTATGATTCATGTTGCTGGATGTTGAGTCTAAACTTAACCCAAGGTTGTCTCTTGGGTTTTTTTTTTTTGGACATCTCCTTGGAGATGTTTTATAATTTCTGCATGTGGTGCAAGGTGTGATTCACATTTATTTTTGCATATAGACGTACAATTTTTGCCACATCATCTGAAAAACCACGTTGAATTATTTCATCTACATAATTCTAGATTTTATAATCCTAAAACATGAGATTAATTAAATAACCCAGAGGTACACATTGTACACCTTGAATATATACAATTTTTTTTTTTTTTTTTTTTTTGACACAGGGTCTCCCTCTGTCACCAGGCTGGAGTGCAGTGGCAAGATCTCAGCTTACTGCAACCTCCGCCTCCCAGGTTCAAGCAATCCTCCTGCCTCAGCCTCCCAAGTAGCTGGGACTACAGGCATGCACCACCATGCCCAGCTAATTTTTGTAGTTTTAGTCAAGACAGGTTTTACCATGTTGGCCAGGATGTTCTCAATCTCCTGACCTCATGACCTGCCCGCCTCTGCCTCTCAAAGTTCTTGGATTACAGGCGTGAGCCACCACGCCCAGCCAAATATATACAATTTTTTATTTGTCAATTCTACCTTGATATAGCTGAAAAAGAGAAAAGGCAATTTATTTGCTCCATCAGCTGACAGTTGTTGGCATGTTGTGGAATACAGTATATAAGACCAATATACTTTGTGGTTGTATTCTCCTTCTTTTATGTTAATCATTTGTGTAAAATGATTCCCTTTATCTGAAGAGATTATAAGCAGAATCCTGTGTGATGGCTCAAATATTTAGTAAACTTTGTGGTAGTGTAACTGGCTTAGGTCTTGAGGTTAGGAACAGGAAGCCAATACCTAAAATATAATCAAGGTGAATCATGTCCCTTTTAGAGCAGAAGTCCAAGGGTAGCAACTTGCTACCAAATGCCTGGTTGGTTATCTTAAGGTGCCATATTAGAGACTGACAGTTGATCTCAGTTGCTAAGTTATTGGGAATTTTACTAGAGAAGTAGCCAGATCAACCTTATTGAGTGGGATTCTGTGCTGTCAGGCCCTGCATGGCTCCATCTCCACTACCGTGGCTACCCTGTGCTTGAGTCTCTGCTGCAGCAAAAGGGTGTCTGAGCATAGATGCGATGCTGGCTGATATCAACAAGCTGCTGTTAAATCTGCACTGTTAGTGCCTCTTCTTTGTGAATGTTCTGTGGTGGGTATTAAAATGTCATACATAGATCTTTATACTTTGTTCCCATTACTGTAAGTTCATCTGCGTGTCCCAGTTCTTCCAATCTTTTTCCTTCAAGCTCTATCAAACCAATCAAACCATTAGCTTCTGTAAATGTGTCTGTACATACTCCTACCATGGACTTTCTATTTCCATGTAAAGTGGATGACAACTTATACCACCCTAAGATCTGCCTATTGGGATAAATGTATAATCACCAGTCGTTTTGCAACATCTATGAGTGGGACTATTGTATAACAATAACTGATTTTCAGTTTGAACCCGCTTACAAAGGTGAGGCCCTTGGGAAACAAACTCAACCTTTTTCCTCCTCTGTCAGATGGCTGTAAAAAATTTCCCCCATACCAAAAGAGAGATGCTGGGTGCAACAAGGAAGAATGAAATGGTCTGGGCGACCCGCTGTGTAGATTAATCTCACCCTCCAAGATTCTTTGTGCCTGATCCCATATATATTGCTTTCTTCTTAAAATGCATTGTTGCTAGGCCTTCTTGACTTTGGAGCTTGTGAAAATAACATATATACAGTGCAAGATGGGCAGTTGTGGTCACATGGTCACTTGATGTGCTGGGTTCAGCTGCTCAGTCTCTACCAGAGCCCTTTTACTTGCTGGGAGATGCGTTCTGAATGCAGACACGGATGTATGACTTAAATACAGAATCCCAGGATTCTCTCTTGTGGTTCTGAGACCAGAGCTTGTCACAAATGCAAAAGAAGAAAAATAATTTTTCTTCAACCCTCATAAATTCTTAGTTAAAAAGGACCACTGTAACAAAGAACAGATTAACAAGAGGAAAACAAACAGAAGTTCATTAACATGTATATTTCATACAGATGTGTGAGACACCCAGGGAATGAGTAATTTTCAAAAAGTTGGCTTTGAATTTCTATTTGCATACCTAGCATCTTAAAAAAAAACAGTAAATTTTTAGATAAGTACTAAGACACAGGAAAAGGACTTTGAGACTCTAGAAGCAGCAACTTGTGGGAAGGCAAATAAACAGCAGATAAAAGCTAATTACCACATCTCATTTCTGTTGGTCCGTATCTCCATGCACAGCAGAGACAGTGAAAACCCAAGCATGCATCTTCTCAGTGAGTCAGCCCACCTTCCTTCGAGTGTTGGTGAAGATGACTTGCCTGGGTGATGGTCAGAGTTTCATACAAGTCACGCAGTGTGTCCAGCTTCCACTTCTCTTGTTCCACATTGATGCAGAATTGGTGGATACTCTCCAGGATCAACTCTTCCTTCTTGACCAGAATCCAAATGGGGTCCCTCATGAACTTCTTGGTCACCTCAAGCACATAAGAAAGCATTGTAGCTGACAGCAAACTACCTGGGTGTTGCTGTTAAACTTTGGAATATGACATAGATCTGGTCCTTGAATCCATGGCTTAACATTTCATCAGCTTTGTCCAGTACAAGCATTTTGATGTATTTGGGAGACAGGTATCTCCAGTGAACCATATCAAACATGCATCCAGGGGTATGCATGATGACATGGGGAGCTTCCATCTGCAATTTCTGCACCTCAGTACACACATTGGTGCCCCCAATACAGGCATTACAAGAGGTACTCATGTAGTCTCCAGGTGTTATGACCACCTTCTGTATCTGCTGAGCCAGTTCTCTAGTGGGTGCTAAGACCAAGGCCTGGGTGGCTGTTAGATCTAACTCAATCTGTGGCAGAATCGATATGACAAGTGTGGCCATTTCCCCAGTCCCAGGTTGGGCTTGAGTGATCACATCATAACCCTTGACACAGGTAGAATGGCTCGCTGCTGGATGGCAGAGGGTTTCTCAAAACCATAGGCATAGATGCCACGGAGAAGAAACTCCTACAGTTTCATGTCATCAAAGCTGTCAACCATCTCATTCTAGTTACTCTCGATGATGCCTTTGGGCTCCATGCCATCAGGGTCATTGTCTCAGGATGGGGAATCCTGACTCACACCTACAATCCCAGCACTTTGGGAGGCGTAGGCAGGTGGATCACTTGAGGTCAGGAGCTCAAGACCAGCCTGGCCAACATGCTGAAACCCTGTCTCTACCAAAAATACAAAAATTAGCTGAACGTGGTGGTGCATGCGTGTAATCTCAGCTACTCAGGAGGCTGAGGCAGGAGAATCGCTTGAACATTTAAACCTGGGAGGCGGAGGTAGCAGTGAGCCAAGATCTTACCACTGCACTCCAGCCTGGGTGACAGAGACTCTGTCTTTAAAAAAAAAAAAAAAAAAAAAAATGCTAATTAGCAAACCATGTTAATGTAGATTCTTCTGGTACCATGTACAAGCCAATAAAGGTCTAAAGTTGTCTTTGGTGATCTTTACCTTTGTTCTCCCTGGTAGAAGAGTGACATTATATGTTTTGTCTTTGTGAATCTATGTACTACTTTTATGCATGTAGAAAAGGGCAGAAATCTTTCCTGCAACTACTTCTTCATTGCCTTTAGCTCAACAATCCTTCATATTTTGGAGGGGCATATTCTGATCTCCCACATCACTAAAGATACTTCAAATGCATGAGCCTATAGGTATTATGGGTCAGGTGGCATGGCTGCTTTCATGGTAACCTGAACCTGATATGGATCCGTTTCCTTCTCCAGGCCCTATTTAAAGCTGGGAAACTTGCATGCTACTTAGGAAATGGGTTGGAATTATTTTCTTAAATGTGGAATATGTTGCCTCCAGAGACCAGAGAGGCCTACCAGTCATGCACAGGAATCAAAAGAACGCATGCACCATGCCTCATGACCTTGAAATTACAGTCTATTCATGTTTTCCAGGATCCCTCAAGTTTGCATAGAAGACTTTTTCCAGGATTCCTCTAGATTTTATAGAAGACAAATTGGTGGCATGGATACATTGAGAAAAAATATACCTACATCATTTAAGTTCTTTAAGAGTCTTTCTTTAAGATTAACACTAATATCTGTTGTTCTCCCTAAGACATATTATTGCTTTTTACTCACTCTCTTGGTGAGGCAGGAATAGTTGGGCAGTTTCAAAGGCTTCCACTTGAGTGTCCTCACTGTGCTAGGTCTTACCTTACAGGAGAAGTAACATTGAGGATCATGCCAAAGGCCAATATGATCATTTCAATTAAACATTCTTGGACCTAAAGAAATAACCATCAAGGGGGTCCATTTACCCAATGAATCTACTGTGATTCACAAATGGGCCAGTACTTTATCTTTTCTCCTAGAATGGGAGAGTGTGATGAAATTTCAGGTCCCTAGAATCAAGGTCAAAGTCCTCTATATCAGTGATTAGCAGAGATTTCCTTAAAATGGGCCAGACAGCAAATATATTAGGATTTGAGAGACATAGAGTTTTTGCATCTCAAATATTCAGCTCTACTGTTGTAGTGTGACAGCAGCCATAGATAATGTGTAAGCAAGTGGATATGGCTGTGCTCCCAGTGCAAGGGCATTAGCTGGCCTTCACATGGGAGGAGTGTAGCATTTCTGCAGGCCCAGAATGTTCAGAATAATCTGGGGACACACAATTTTCAAGGCATTGGCTCTCATATCCCTATATCAACTTGTAAGGTCTTCGTCCTCTTGAATAAGGACACTGGCATGACTTCACGGACTTGCTGATTTTGAGAATTCAACCTTTCTTTTATTTTTATTTTATTTTATTTTATTTTATTTATTTTATTTTATTTTATTTTATATTTGAGAAAGATTCTCACTCGATCACCCAGGCTGGAGTGCAGTGGCATGATATCAGTTCACTTCAACCCCCGCCTCCCAGGTTCAAGCAATTCTTGTGCCTCAGCCTTCCGAGTAGCTGAAATGACAGGCACACACCACTGCACCTGGATACAACCTTCTTTTTAGATCTGCTATTTTTATAATAAAATTGTGGGCTTGATCCTCAACTATTTCTGCCTTGTGGCTATAGGAAATGAGGATCTCTTTATGTGCTGCTAAAATGCCTTCTGACTCTCACACTTAGCTGTAAATTAATGAATTAATCACATTCAGCTTTTGTTTTCATTTTCTAAAATATTGAGTGCCTAGCAAAAATCAATCCATTTTATGAGCCTTATAGTTATTATCTTCCATGAACTCTGAAATCATGCTGCAGTCATTCATGTACTTCCTTCCATCAATGAAAGTTTAACAACTGCACTAGTACTTCCTACTGGGAGCTATCTGTGCTCCACCTATCAGCCATCTGGCCAACTATACAGATGCAAATTTCTCTTTATAGTCTATTTTTTAAGTCTACTCTTGGCATCTAAGTTTGTCTTCCTGTGTTCTAGAAATCATATGCAAAAATAGAGATTTGCATTTACTTGGTATATATAAAGGAGTGCTCTCAAGAACAACACCTGGAAGGAAGTGGAAGGAGTAGGATTAGTCAGAGTTGAACTGTGCGTGATGCTTCCGCAACAGAAGCCTTGGCCACTCCATGAGGAATTCTGAACCTTGCCATGACCCTTCAGATATGTCCTTTTGTACTTCTGAATTGAGCAGTCAATGAGTATCTGCTTTCTCCAGCATTAGGGGAAGCAAGGTGGCTTTGGTTGGCTGAGGACAATAAGCTCGCCTGCTACTAGGTTTCTTATTCTCTGTCATGCTAGTATGAACTTTTGCACATGAAATTGGCACTGGTAAGGTTCTAAAAGAATGGGCAGAATTAGATGAGACCTTTTCAGTTCTTAACTTGAAACTGGGCTAGCATCACATCTGCTGCATTCTATAGGACAGAGCAAGTCACAAGGCCAGTACATTTCTGAGAACTGGATCAAGACTCCACCACACACTTGCAGGTGTGAGAGGCTGCCTTATGAAAACTCACATTCAAAGGGTATGTGTACCAGAAACGAAATAATTGGAGACACTTTTACAATTAATCCACTACGTATAGAACTAAGATTTCAACTAATTATTATTTTTTCTTCCTATATGTTTCATAGCTTGTTCAATCTCTAAATTTTAGGATTTTGAAATAAAACTCCTTACTAATAGTTGGGGCTTCCTATTTTTTCTCCCACTTTTCCAAACCAAACCAAAGCATTCAAGGCTGTTCAAAGAAAAATATAATGCATCTTTGCAAGATTGAATAGTTGAGCCAATAATGCAAAACTCACTTTTCATTTTCCTTGTTAAATGTATTTTACTTGATTGCCAACCACCAAAATAAACACTGGCACAACTGCAGGATTTTCAATTTTTTCAAATAGGAACTGGAAGTAGCAGAAATAGAATCGAGGGAATGCAAGGTCAGCACGTGATGTGTGCTTATAAAGCTGCTCTGACTACTGTCCCCACTGATTTATACTTGTCACATACTGAGGGCTCAGTTGTGGCGCCAACTTTCTTTCATTATTATCTTTATTTTAAAGTGATTTGTGTGGTGGATTAAAAAAATGCATTGCAGGAAGTCAAAAATTCTAAGTAATCTTAGTGTAATTTTGGAAACTAATATGAAGAATAGAGCAAGAAAAAAATTGGTACTTGACTTCTAAATATGGGAGATAAGATAATCTAAACAAAAAATATATCTAATGTGCTTATGAAATAATGCATGTGGCAGGAATATAGATATTACTACTTTTTCCTTATACACAGATATCATTATGTAGAATATATCCAAGATCATCGATGGCCACAAGGCTAGGCTGAGTGTGGTGATTAGTATCTGTTTGTATTCTCTATTTATGTCTTATTCTTCAGTTTACTTAATAAAGCTCAGAACTTTTAAATTGTTGCTAATAGCAGCCCAATTTTTTGACATTGAAATCTCTCAGCTTTATAGCTTTATAAAGCTTTATAGGCTTATCTCTGTAAATGGCAGCTGTTTCACATTCTTGGAATTTCAACTTACGAAGGTCAGTGTTAAGAACCCATTCCTACTATCTGAAATTATTCAATCTATGTTAGAATAAGAGAGATCTGAAAAAAAGTTGACAGGTTAATTGTCTAGATTTCAAGGTAGAAATCAGTCTACAAAAGTCCTATTGCTGACATGATAGCTTCATTATTATTTGTGTTTGTGGGGTTTTTATTCATTTATGTAGAAGGAAATGATGTTTAAGGACAGTAGCTGTCTCCATGTGCTCTTTGTTGGTGCTGGGAATTTCTTATCAGTGTGAGGTTGATTGTGAAGACATGTTTGAGGGAGAAAGCACAGGAAAACAAGCTCTTGACTGCCTTATCTTTCAGTGAGATCATGCCTCATAGAATATGTTGAGTCATTTCAACATCTTTAAGGGTTATCATTTGAGTGGTGATTCTAAGCACTGACTTGAGGTCAACTGGCTATAGGGGTAAAAAAAGTTTCATGTAGCAATACATGTAATAGTTTAGATAAATTATTAAGTGATGATGGACACAGAGTTCTACAGTTCTGAGTTTATGATAAAATATTCTAATAGGAAAAGTCTTCCCATTATCCGTGATGTTACCCAGGCCCATACCTAATGAGAATAATAATATTTTTCATTGTATAGAAATTTCGTTATTCAACACTATTTTCATCTTTCTTATCTGTTTTGTTACACACAACAACCCAGTGAGATAGTTAAAGGGAATTTCCTCATCTTTTATAGATGAAGAAAGTTCAAAATATTCTACATACCTGACATTCTTGAATTGGTAAGATTCTACCACAATTAGATTGGCCCAAAAAAGGGCAATGTGTTATTCCATACGAGGGGAGACAGAAAATAAAGAAATAAATGCATAAATAAGATACTTTTAAGTAGTGGTACATATTATGATAAAAATGAAAGAGGGTAATTTAACCAAAAAGTAATCATTGGGCACCTCCAAACTATGTAAATAAAGCTGGCTGTAAGAGGGATTTAAGTTGAAACTGAGATTTTAATTGTATCATGGAATTACCCGTGTGGAGATGACAAGAGAAATCAAGCATTGCAAAGCCACCCTGATACACTCAATAACCTGGAAAAAGGTCAATGTGGCTGCAGTGAGCAAAGTAAAAGTGGTATAATGTGTAATCAGACAGGCAGGTAGGGCCAGATCCTGTAGAGACTGGTCATTGTAAGAGGTGTATATTATAAGCGAAATGGAAAGCTGTTGAAGGTTCTAAGCAAGGAGACATCATTATCTATTTTGAATTTTTGGAAAAATCATGCTATTTGGATTTTGGAGCAGGAAGTCCAGTAAGGATCTATGCGTAAACAAAACAGAGACCCAGGCTTGTGCTACAGCAATGATAGTGGGGAGTAGTGAACAGTTAGCATATACATTGTAGTAAAAGTGCCTGCAGATTTGCCTACAGATTAAAAGTGAGAATGAAGAGAAAAAAGGAATGAGGATTAATGACATCTAAGCATTTGGATAAATAACTGGGCAGATGATGATAATAACATTTATCAAGGCAGGGGGAAATGGGTGAGTAGGTTACAAGGTCAAGTTGAAATGCTTGTTACAATTAAGTCAAAGTGCCACATAGGTAGGTGATGTACATTTCTGAAGTTCAGGCAAGAGGTTGTTATTAATGAGGGTCTCATTGGTGGACTGCATTTAAGACATGGGACATGAGATAAATGAGATTAGCCGGAGAAAGAGAGTACAGACAGAGAAAAGACACTGGGACACTGAGCCCCTCAGAATTTAGGGTTCCTACTGGAATGCTTTTAGAGATAAAATTACTACTGCTTCAATTTTTTCAACTTTTATTAATGGCTGTAATCCTAACAACTCATAGTACAGTTATTTCATACTCCATATGTATAAAATCCAAATTATTAACTTTTTAATACTTGTATTAGATGCCTCGTTCTTATCCTTCAGTTTTCATCTATATTTATTTGCTTTTCATGGCAAAGGAATTTCTTCTTGGCCATGAATGGCAAGGCAGAATGAAAAATATTGGAAATTATAATAAGATGGTGCTTGGCACCAAACTTTCTTTTACTCATGACATAATTCAGTGACTACATTTTTTCCTGATAGAGAAAATACCCAAAAACCAAATACGGCTTCAAAATATGTAAAAATATTCTTTCTCTTATGATCCAGCAAGAAATAATTGTTTGATAAAATGAAATAACCTTTATGTGAAGCCCATTAGGACAATTACAGTTACTAGGATAAATAATTTTGTAAATATATTTCAAATGTTTCCACTGTGTAAAGTAATTGAAACTTTTTATTGCAGGTTTAGAAGGTTCCGTTCTTTAAAAAAGAGCAGGCTCACACGCACCCAGAACAACAACAATACCAACAACACCACGTGCACACGGCACAAACATTTCACAAAAAAAAAACAACAACGAAAAAAGAAGTAACTAAGGGACAGTCGTGGTGGCTCATGCCTGTAATTCCAGCACATTGGGGAGGCAATGTGGGAGGATTGAGTGAGCCCAGGTGTTCAAGACCAGTCTGGGCAACACAGTGAGACTCTGTCTCTATTAAAAATAATAATAATGATAAAATGAAAAAGAGGTAACTAAGCTTTTGACCAAAGGGGCTTGAGAGGTCACATACTGCAAATGACTGAAATTATTCTCGTTAATTAGTATGTGAAAACCATCAGTCAGCGGATTAGGTTAGACCTAGAAAACGTCTTTAAATGGGAAATGTAGCACTGTACAAAATCCTTGTAAGACTTTGCTAATTTCTAAACTAAGAAGCCTTTTGAGCTGCATGTGGGACATATTTGGGTTAAACGGATTCAATTACAGTTCTCTTTGAAGACCAAGAGGCATATAATATGGCAAAAGAGTGAGGAAGTAGAAGTCAAAAATTATCAAAGTAATTGCAACTGCTTTAACATTAGCCTGGGATCTGAATTCAGAAACTTTGGGACCCATATAAGCCCCATAAGTAGCATACTTAATACTAAAGTAATATATACTGTATTTTAAGTTGAAGTGATTGTTTTATAGCTCTGTCCTATCAAGGACGTCTTTTTTCACCTTTTCTTACCCACACATCTAATTCTTAAGCTTTCCCCACGTTCTGACGAAAAAGAACTCTGTAAATTCAGCTCCATACAGGCTGTGAGACAGTGTGATTTTGTAGGGGGGACAATGTGGCTCGGCATTTACAGCCTTTGGAAAAGTCTCTACACTATGCCAATGCTGCTAATGGCCATGTTTCAGGTCATAATTTATTGTGCAAAGGCCAGACAGAAACTCAAGGGAGGTCTCTTTTGCCTCAATGTTAATTTCTAACAAATGCAATAAACATTTCAAATTTTGAAGGAGGCAAACAAAATTCTGTTTCTTTGTATTTCTCCCACCACAAAATTTCAAGGTTGACTTGAAGTCATACAAGGTTAG